>NC_000008.11:95714222-96339222 GCF_000001405.40 Homo sapiens
ACAGAGTGAGACACCATCTCAAAAAAAAAAAAAAAAGTCTCCATATATAGAGAGGGACAGATGATAAAACTCTGTGGTAGACACCTGAACAAAGATCTGTAAAATCACAGAGGAGGAAGCAACCAAGTCGGCAGTTCACCCTACTTGAGGGTTTTGGGGAAGGTGACAATAACAAAAGTGTTTTATAAATGGAGCTTAGAGAGATACACAGAAATTGGAAGAACATGTCACACAGAAGGAGCAGCATGTTTAAAAATGTAAAGCAGGAATGAACACGGTTTCTTAGGAGGGAAGTGAGAAGGTCAGTATAAATGCATAGAGATGGAAAATAGAGGATGAGCCTGTATAAGCAAGCAAGAGACAGACTGTGAAGGAATTTGAATTTATCCTGAAGAATTATCATGATAATCTCTAATCTACACCCTGATTTTATTCCAATCCTTTGAGAAACCTCACCTACTCTTCATGTCTCAGATATACATATAGACACACACACACACACACACACACACACACACACCCCTATTGTTCTTTCAGGCCTTTCCTCTCAAGAATGAGTGTATAGCTTGACAAGAAAGTATGTATTCTTCTATCCCTGCTGGATTTAAGAACCAATCTTCCTTTAAAAATGCTTCATAATTTTGCTGTTGCCCTTCCAAAATGTATTTGACAAGCATCTTCAAGAGAGATCAAAATGGACAAAGAACTAAAAGCCCCAAAGAAGTATAGCTCGTTATTTTCCTGTCCTCTTCTCCTTCACCTCCTGCTCCCATCTTCCAAACAGAATAAAAAGTAAGACTCTTTTTAGAATGCATAATTAGATTTATGCCAAGTAACCTGCTGCTTATTCTTCTTCACTCTGGGCATGATTTATCTCTGTGTTTTACTTAACTGCTAACAAATAGGGTGTCAAGTTGAACTAGCTATTGTCTTTTTTGCTCATATTATTTGTAAAGAAGCTTCTGCCCTTTGCCACAACTGAAAGGCTGAATTGGGCCTTTTGACTTCCTACCTTCCCAGATGTGTAGCTTCAGATTAGACTGAGGTCCAGAATAAATGTTGTTATAGGCTCTCTCAAGTCTCATCCTTTTTTTCCAGAAGCTAATAAATGCTGAAAGTGTTGCCATAGCTGCTACCAAAGTCAGCCTCTGAAAAAAGACCCAGTGTGCATGACTTGTGTAACTGCTGTAAGCACAGAAGGGAGAAATAGAAAGATAGAAAGGGCAACTTCTGACTCATTCCATCTCTCCATTTTCTTTCAGACTCTCTAATAGTTCCTTTCTTCCTTTTATTCTTCTTTTCTCCATTCTCTCCCTTGCCTCCCTCTCTCCCTTCCCTCCTTCCCTACCTCCCTCCTTCCCTCTCTCCCTCCTTCCTTCTTCCTTTCCCTTACCTCCCCTCCCCTTCCTTCTTTTTTGCTCCAATCTCTCTCTGTCCCTCCTTTTAAATTTATTTCTTACATTTCAAAAGATGATTCATTTATTTAAAAATAAGTTGACAGTTATTATTGACTGACACAATGAGCCAGTCTCTGTAATTAGCACTGGAGTTTAAAAAAAAAAGGAGCAAAAGGATACACAGAGTTCCTGTATTCAGGAAGCTTCTAATTTAGCCCCCTTGTAGCAACAAGCCAATTAATATCAGTTTGAAAAGAGATCAGTGCACTATATTTCTCTGTGGTAGATCTGACATGATTTTAGTTAACTTTATAAGATTTCTCCAGTCTTTGAACTAAATTCTGTGATTACATGCTCTCTGCATTTCAATTTTGACTTTGTCTAGATAACATTATGTTAGCATTTTCTTTGAGAGATTATCTTTAAGTGGTAAGATATTTTCTAGGTTTAATGTATTTTCTATGTTTTTAAAAATTAATTTTCTATATTTTCCAAAATTTATATAAGAAACTTCTATAACTTTTATAATAAAGTTATTTCTGATTTTAAACCCAATAGTGAATTTTCTTACAGTAAAATAATAGAAAATGAATTCATCTCTCTTTGAGTGTTTATTTCTTACAATATTTGAATATAATCTACTTAAAATATTTTAAAACTACACCATTAGGGTAAAAACAAAGGCATTGAAGAAAGAAAATACAATAATGCTAGCTGAAAACATCATTCATTTTTACATCTCCCATTTCTTCCTATTTCCTGTTTGTAGGCATACACGTTTTTACATAGTTGTGCTTTTTTTTTTGCTTTTCTATTAATTATTATTATATTTTAAGTTTTAGGGTACATGTGCACAATGTGCCGGTTAGTTACATATGTATACATGTGCCATGCTGGTGTGCTGCACCCATTAACTCGTCATTTAGCATTAGGTATATCTCCTAATGCTATCCCTCCCCCCTCCCCCCACCCCACAACAGTCCCCAGAGTGTGATGTTCCCCTTCCTGTGTCCATGTGTTCTCATTGTTCAATTCCCATCTATGAGTGAGAACATGCGGTGTTTGGTTTTTTGTCCTTGTGATAGTTTACTGAGAATGATGATTTCCAATTTCATCCATGTCCCTACAAAGGACATGAACTCATCCTTCTTTATGGCTGCATAGTATTCCATGGTGTATATGTGCCACATTTTCTTAATCCAGTCTAGCATTGTTGGACATTTGGGTTGCTTCCAAGTCTTTGCTATTGTGAATAGTGCCGCAATAAACATATGTGTGCATGTGTCTTTATAGCAGCATGGTTTATAGTCCTTTCGGTATATACCCAGTAATGGGATGGCTGGGTCAAATGGTATTTCTAGTTCAAGATCCCTGAGGAATCGCCACACTGACTTCCACAATGGTTGAACTAGTTTACAGTCCCACCAACAGTGTAAAAGTGTTCCTATTTCTCCACATCCTCTCCAGCACCTGTTGTTTCCTGACTTTAATGATTGCCATTCTAACTGGTGTGAGATGGTATCTCATTGTGGTTTTGATTTGCATTTCTCTGATGGCCAGTGATGATGAGCATTTTTTCATGTGTCTGTTGGCTGCATAAATGTCTTCTTTTGAGAAGTGTCTGTTCATATCCTTTGCCCATTTTTTGATGGGGTTGTTTGTTTTTTTCTTGTAAAGTTTGTTTTTTTCTTGTAAATCACGCTACCTGACTTCAAACTATACTACAAGTCTACAGTAACCAAAACAGCATGATACTGGTACCAAAACAGAGATATAGATCAATGAAACAGAACAGAGCCCTCAGAAATAACGCCGCATATCTACAACTATCTGATCTTTGACAAACCTGAGAAAAACAAGCAATGGGGAAAGGATTCCCTGTTCAATAAATGGTGCTGGGAAAACTGGCTAGCCATATGTAGAAAGCTGAAACTGGATCCCTTCCTTACACCTTATACAAAAATTAATTCAAGTTGGATTAAAGACTTAAACGTTAGACCTAAAACCATAAAAACCCTAGAAGAAAACCTAGGCATTACCATTCAAGACATAGGCATGGGCAAGGACTTCATGTCTCAAATACCAAAAGCAATGGCAACAAAAGCCAAAATTGACAAATGGGATCTAATGAAACTAAAGAGCTTCTGCATAGCAAAAGAAACTACCATCAGAGTGAACAGGCAACCTACCAAATGGGAGAAAATTTTCACAACCTACTCATCTGACAAAGGGCTAATATCCAGAATCTACAATGAACTCAAACAAATTTACAAGAAAAAAACATGGTTGTGCTTATAGCTTCAGTTACGTTTTCATCATCTGGACATGAGAATATCTTTTGTCGTTACTTAATGTAAGAATTCCAAACAATAGAGAAAGATAAAAGTGGATGAAAATCTACTTTCCTAATTTTACTCCTCAGAGGAAAGTACTGTCAGCAGTTGTTGTAATTGCTTCTGACTTTTTAATATACAGATAAACAAGTAATGCTCTCATGTATACATCTGCTCATTCAATAAAATATTATGGAATGGCTTGGTATTTTTCTAGGTGCCGGCGATACCATGGAGAATAAGATAGGATTGGTGCATACACCCTCACAGAATTTGCAGTCAAGCAGGGTTGGGCATGAGAATGAGCATTCCTAAGAAAGAGAACATTCGGCCGGGCGCGGTGGCTCACGCCTGTAATCCCAGCACTTTGGGAGGCCGAGGCGGGTGGATCATGAGGTCAGGAGATCGAGACCATCCTGGCTAACAAGGTGAAACCCCGTCTCTACTAAAAATACAAAAAAATTAGCCGGGCGCGGTGGCGGGCGCCTGTAGTCCCAGCTACTCGGGAGGCTGAGGCAGGAGAATGGCGTGAACCCGGGAAGCGGAGCTTGCACTGAGCCGAGATTGCGCCACTGCAGTCCGCAGTCCGGCCTGGGCGACAGAGCGAGACTCCGTCTCAAAAAAAAAAAAAAAAGAAAGAGAACATTCATTGGTGATGTGTTGTATGGTTATGGACATCTCTCTATGCCAGCATAAGTTAAGCTATTTTATCATTTTTAATACCTGCATAGTAGTCCATAGTGTGGTTATAATAATCATAATAAAAAGAATAGTAATGCTTATTGAGTGCTCACTGCATTGCTAGATGCCATGCTAAATGATTATGTACTTTACACTAACTAAAGTGTCACTCACAGCCACCAATAAATAGGTTACATTATTTTCTCTATTTTACAAGTGAAAAAAAATGGGTTTATGCAAGTGAGGGATCTTGATCAAGTTCCCACAGCTAGGGAGAGCTAAAATCCAAACTGAGTCTGACTCCAAAGCCTATAGTTTTTACTTCTCCACTATAAATATTCCATAAGTCACTTATAAAGAAGCTTATTGATAAACACTTACGATACTTCTAGTTTTTGCATTTGAAAATAATGCAGTAATTTACATTATACTTGTATGAATATTTATACCCTAAAATAGCCAAACTAGGAATTTTTAATTCAAGGAAATACATGTAATTTTTATAGATATTATCAAATCATCCGTCTCAAAACAACAATCATGAGAGCTTATATTGTCAGCAACTTTCTCAAAGCAACAATTCTCAAAAATTTCTAAATGCGTTTTAAGCAACAAATGTTTATTTGGAATGTAACAATTAGTATGAATTGGACATGTAAAATACACAAACCCACTTAAATATCATTTTATTATCATCATCATTATTACAGCAAATCAAAAGTTGTTGTTCTCATTATACCCCTTATATTTCAAGGGCTGAACACTTTGCATCTAGACAAAACGGAGTAAGTTTGGATTATAACTGTTTGGTTTCGTCGTCCATTGTCAATCTTCCTATTTGAATTATTTCAGAAACTCAGATTTTAAACCAGTGTTCATCAACCATACTCCTGAAGGAGGTTGCTTGGCCCAGTACATTCAGCAAAATGATTGGTCCAAGTACAGATTAGCTGGAAATTACTTACCTTGCCCTTTTCAAAGCTGTGAGGCTTTCTGCCTGATTACTGTCACTGGGTTTTGTCTCTTCCCTATTGCAACCTAAAGAGAATTTTGCAACTGCAATTTGCAATGAGTAACTGGATAGCGATAATGGAGGCAGTGAACCTTCCCATGTAAAGCTATTAGGTTGGTGCAAAAGTAATTGCGATTTTTGCCATTAAAGGCAAAAACCATTGCTTTTTATGAGTAAAATGAGTAAAAACCAAATGCCATTGCCTTTAATGGCAAAAACCGCAATTACTTTTGATGGCAAAAACCACAATTACTTTTGCACTTGTTTATTTAAAAATAAATTGAGTGCTCACAATGTGTCATTCTCTGTAATTAGCACTAGGGTAGAAAGAGCAAAAGGATACACAGAATTCCTGTCTTCAGGAAGCTTCTAATTTAGCCTCCTGTAGCAACAAGCCAAGTAATATCAATTTGAAAAGAGACCAGTGCACTGTATTTCTCTGTGGTATATGTGACATGACTTCAGTTAACTTTATAAGATTTCCCCCATCTTCAAACTAAATTCGGTGTTAGTTTGGTTTTATTTGCCATTATTTTTAATGGCAAAAATCATAATTACTTTTGCACCAACTTATAATACACATCCCTTAAGTCTGCAAAGCTAAGGAATCACCACCTGTTTACCCATTCCATGATCCCTATTTTATAAGCTACATAAACGATTAGAAGAAAAATTGGAGTCTTGGGGTTCTTTTATAACATGTGCACAACCTAGTTTGTTACTAGCACCTCAGTGGCATATCCAGCAATATCCTCATTCCTTTGAAAAGTTTCAGTTGGCCAGGCGTGGTGGCTCACGCCTGTAATCTCAGCACTTTGGGAGGCTGAGGCGGGCAGATCACAAGGTCAGGAGATCGAGACCATCCTGGCCAACGTGGTGAAACCCTGTCTCTACTAAAAATACAAAAATTAGCTGGGTGTGGTGGTGTGCGCCTATAGTCCCAGCTACTCAGGAGGCTGAGGCAGGAGAATCGCTTCAACCCAGGAGGCAGAGGTTGCAGTGAGCTGAGATCGCGCCATTGCACTCCAGCCTGGTTTGACAGGGTGAGACTCCGTCTCAAAAAAAAAAAAAAAAAAAAAGAAAAAGAAAAAAAGAAAAGGACTGTAAATTGAGGTCCCTGTTTGGTCTTTTATTTCTTTAATCTTTACATTTTTTTTTAATTAATTTTTTTTTGGCAGAGTCTCACTCTGTTGCCCTGGCAGAGTCTCACTCTGTTGCCCAGGCTGAAGTGCAGTGGCACGATCTGCACTCATGGCAACTTCTGCCTCCCAGGTTAAAGCAATTCCCTCGCTTCAGCCTGCCGAGTAGCTGGGACTACGGGCGCGTGCCACCACGCCTGGCTAATTTTTTGTATTTTTAGTAGAGATGGGGTTTTACCATGTTAGCCAGGATGGTCTCGATCTCCTGACCTCCTGATCCGCCCTCCTCGGCCTCCCAAAGTGCTGGGATTACAGGCGTGAGCCACCGCGCCCGGCCTAAATTAATCTTTATTGAGACTGTGGGCTAGGTGTTAACCTTCTGAACTTCAGATTTCTCTTTTATGAAAGAGGATAAGACCAACCATTTCCCTCCTAACATGGATAGGCAAGATAGTCAAGTATAGGAAGTTTATGTGCGACCAAGGGAAGAGGATGGCTCTGATGACATGTAGATCTACTTTAGTGAAGAAATATCTGTTCTCTAGAATGAAAACAAGCAGCTTGGTGCTTGCAGTCCAGAGAAGAAGGGCATGTAGAGAAAAGGAACCTGTCTAAATACTTGAGGTATTTTTTTGCTGTTCTGTGTGACCCTCTGTGACCTTCCCTTCTCCCTCCTCTTACGGCCCCAAACTCAGCTATTTGACTAAATGTTTCACTTCTCAACAAGTTATGCTGGTGTTACGTAGAGACAGACTTAATTAAAGTTTGCATGTGGTGAGTGAGAAAGAGAAGGGCATTTAAACTGAGTCAGGACCTGTTAGAAAAAACAAAACAAAACAAAACAAAAAAAAACAGCTGTGACAGAATGACACAAGGAAAAGAAGGAGGTGCAAAAAGCCATTTGGTTCGAGCTCTGTTAATTCAGGCCAGGGAAGAGGTAATGCAGAGGCCCGAGGGGGTGAGTTAAGGACAGGGTTTCTGCCTTAACTCTCAACATGCTTGGTTTTATTAGTTTAGGCCAGGCGGCTGCTAACATTATTTTAGTATCTATTTTGTGAGTGATTATGTTGTATGCATGGGCAGGAGGTCAGGCGGGTCGGGCCTTTCTGCTCCAGACCATCTCTGCATGAGCCTTTCGCCTTCAGATCTTGCTGAAACTTGCCACCTGTAAAAGCAGACAACCTAATGGGAAAAAGAGCAGCACTTAAAATGCTGTTTTTTCTCCACTGCTCTCTAGTGTAAAGAACGTTGTAAAAATATTTCAAACTGGATTTTTTGTTTTGATTGCGTTAACTCTTTGTTGGACCGTCGTCACACTTTTCCCACAAAATTTACTTTCGGTAACCAGAGATGTTTTGGAGAAACTGAATATTATGTCTGCAAACAGAGGGAAGCAGTCAGAGAAACCCAAAGGGAGGCTTGCTAATGTTCTGATCACTTAAACTCGTCTGTCCTATCATACACAATGACCACAGCTTTGGAAAGCTAACAAACCAGTTTCTTTTTTAGGAACTCTCTTTCATTTGTGTTTGAACGAAACGTCCATGAAACATGGACCAGCTCCAACCACAATGTTTTTGAGAGCCAACACCCAAAAGAAGGGATGCAGTCTAGATCTTAATCCTAATTTCTTACCCAACTGCCCGTGTGACCTTGTCTCATCATGATGCCTCAATGCCTCAGTTTAACTTTACAAGGATCTGCTGGCCTCATTGTTTGGGGGATTGGACTCATTTATTCGCTGTTACTCAGAGCTGTTAGGTAATCAGGCAGGAATCATGGACCCAAAAATGGGGTTATGGGGCAGTGGTATAGATGGGGCCAGATCTTTCCAATCTCCAAACTTTGGTTTTGCCCAGCAGCAAAAACTTCATTGTAACTAGCAGGTGCTGAAGTCTGGTGCAGAACAGCAATGTGGAGATGCATATTTGGTATAAAAAAAAAAGTGGCTGGGTGCAGTGGCTCATGCCTATTATCCCAGCACTTTGCGAGGTTGAGGTGGGTGGATCACCTGAGATTAGGAATTTGAGACCAGCCTGGCCAACATAGTGAAACCCTGTCTCTACTGAAAATACCAAAATTAGCCAGGCATGTTGGCGGATGTCTGTAATCCCAGATACTTGGTAGGCTGAGGCAGGAGAATTGCTTGAACCCAGGTGGCGGAGGCCACAGTGAGCCGAGATCACACCACTACACTCCAGCCTGGGTGACAGAATGACTCCATCTCAAAAAAAAAAAAAAAAAAAAAAAAAGGCTACTGGGCTCACTCTCTTCTGGGCCTGATGCTCTGAAACCCCTCCTGCTTTCTGTCTAAGCTGTCTGGAAAGCTTTCAGTTATTCCTTCACTCACTCAACAAATATTTGTCAAACATCTCCCCTGCTCAAGGCACTGTGCAAAGATGCTCTAGGACCAACTCTCCACTCTTGTGAATCTTCTACTCAATGAAGAGATAATGCATGTTCAATAAACGAATAAATAAATATGCAACACATCAGACAGTAAGTGCTGTGAAGGAAAGTTTAGCAGGATAAGGGAAGGAGAAAGTCTGTCAACTCTAACGAGGTGACAATGAGTAGAAGTGTGGATGAAGTGGAAGACTGAACCATGCAGATATCTGGGGAAGAGCAGTCCAGGCAGAGGAAAGAACATGCACCAAGGCCCTGAGGTGGAGGCGTCTGGAATGTTCACAGACAGCACGCCGTCTCATGGGGTAGCACAGAGTGAGTGAGGAGGACAGTGGTAGGGGCTGAGGTTGGGAAAATAACCGGGGTCCTCTGTGAGCAGGGCCTACAGGACAAGTTAAACATTTTGGATTTCATTTTGAGCGTGATGGGAAAAACCAATGGACTGTTTTGATCAGAGAAATGTTATGGTTTGACTTTTTCTGAAAAAAGGACCAGCTGGTTCCCTGTAGAGAGTGGATTAAAGAGGGTCAAGAGGGGAAGCTATGGGACTAGTTAGGAGTCTGTTTCATTGGAACAGGTAAGGGGTAATAGTGATGTGGCCTAGGGTAGTGATACCATGAGTAGAAAAAGGTGGTCTGATTTGGAATGCATTTCAAATACAGAGGTGAAAGGACTGAGGATGGTTTGAATATGGGATATGTGAAAGAATGATAGTCAAGAATGATACTTAAGCAAGTAGATGCCATTACACAGAGAGAACATTCTGGAAGAAAAACCATGGAGGAGCAGCTAGCTTGGGGGCTTCAGAGGCTGATGGGAAAATCCAAAACTGTGTTTCAAGCATAAATTACAGGGTCCATCTGAAGAAGAGAATGCCTGCTTTCAAGGCAGAGCTATTTCATAGAGAATAGAGGATCAAGGAGGTCTCATGTGGGCCAGAGGTGAAATGGTGGAGAAAGCCACATTCAGGCTAGGAATCTTGGGTAGGATACTGTCACTATGAAGCAGATACCTTTCTCTGACCAAGGTAGCCAATATTGACCACTAGACCCTAATGGCTATTGCATCTGGATAGAGAGAGTCCCCTGGTTAGGGTCCTTAGTATCCAGGCTTCTAGATACTGTTCTAGCAACAGCTTGATCAAGGGTGAGAGAGGCCAATCTAGTAAAGACCAGAACCTGGATACCCTGCTTCTTACCATCTTCTGCACTGCCCTGCATCCAACATTGCTCCCTCCCCCAAAAAGTGGCAATGAATACTGGAAGGTCTTAGCTGCAAACAAGATGGTAAGAAAGAAGCTGAAAAGCCCAGAGTAGTCAGCGCAGAGGAGTGTGGCAGTCCATAATTGATGGAGGTCCAAGCAGGTAAATCTGCAGCAGCAGAGACATAGTACAACAGGGAGAAGGGGTCCATTATGGAACAGGACTAGGGTAGGATGTTAAGGGATATCTATTTATTCCTTTTCCCTTCTCTTCCTTCCCTTTCTCCATCCTTCTCTTCTTTCTCTCCCTTTTCCCCTTACCCCTTTCATCCTTTGCATCTAAGCATTCATGCCTTCAGCAAACATTTATTTAATGCCTGTTGTGTACCAGCCATTGTGCTAGGTCTTGAGAACACCTAGAAAAAACATAGAGTTGACCTTCCTGAGGCTGAGAATTTAGTGGAGGTGGGGGGGAATTCCCCAAATTCCCTCTTGGTTCAGTGGAAAAGGCAAAAGAGTTAAGGGTAGGAGCCACACAGGTCACCTGACCACACACGTTTGTAGTCTGTTTTCAATGTAAAATATGAAACCGCCCTGCTCTAGGCTTTCTTTGTTATCTTTTATGTTTCTGTTCTGTGAGTGGCAGGGCCTCCTTTCCTGTGGGTTTTTTTCAAAGTCTTATCATATACACCATTCTGATGCTTCGTTTTCACGCAGAAGTTGACCTTTTATATAAAAGGATATTATTATTTGCTTGATGCCTTACAAGAACATCTTCAGATATTTTTTAAAGGAATTTTTATTAATATGCTAGGCAGGAAACACAGTGGTTAATAAAATGGATTCTGAAATCAGACAGATCTAGGTTGAATGTAGGCTCATATATCTAACAGCTGTGTGACCTCGGAAAATTTACTTTGCTGTTCTGAGCCTCAATATCCTCTATGTAAAAAATTATATCTAACTCATAAGGTTGTCATATATATTAAATAAAATGGGGTAGGTAGGTAAAGTGTTTGATGCATAATTAACAAACACTCAGTAAATAGCTCTTGTGAGTTGTCAAGTGCCAAATTCACACATCCAATGTTTTCTTCTAGTGTTTATCTATACCACTGTGTCTTTTACCTTTCCGCATATTAATATCGGTTGCTAAATAAACTATGTGTGTCCAAATTCTCTTGTATGTTGCTTCACAGAATAATCATTTAGGGGAAAAAGACCCAAGATGAAACTAGAAAACCTCTATAGGCATAGAATTAGCAGCCACATATAAATTGATCCCAATTGAGGGGACACGATCAGGAATAGTAATTTGGGAGAACCCTGTGTTACTGCCTACTCTCAGAAATAAAACCGAGGAAAACTGCCCAACAGATGTTAAAAGTAAGAGTTAGTTAGGTTCTGGCAAATAGAGTCGCTTCAGAACAGAGGTCCTCAAACATTCCACTGCAAGCTTAAAAAAAGTTTTCTATCATACATTTTGGTACTGTTGAACAAAAAATGCATTAACAGGTTTGCAATGGAAAATAGATTCCTTGACATATGCTAATTACAATTGGTTGATAGTAGCTGCTGGGAGAGCTATGATGAAGGGCTATGAGGTCTGATACTGTATCCATGATAAAGAATGCTGTGACCCATTTAAAATACCTTGCATGGATGGGCATAGGCATGGGGAATGTTGGTATGAGTGTTCTGTACTTGCCATTCCTCGTGAACACTGCTAACCTGGGTACGTTTCCAGTTTTAGTAACGCTTAAGATAAAACAAAAGTATCTACTTATCCTAAACTCTTATTAGGCTTTATTATTTACTCATTTATTCATTCATTTTTTTTTTTTGCACAGACTTATCCCTTTAACAAAAAATACTTCTGAATCTGTGTTCTGTTCCAATTTAGAATTAATTCAATTCAGGAAAACATATATTGATAAGTAGATTTGCAGCATGGATAAATGGGGAAAACAGGAATAAAAGATGGTTATTCCAAAGGAAAAGGTGAACTGGTGATTCTGTGGAGAGAAACCTGAAGTAGAAAAGAATAAAGATTGAAATTATTCAAAAGAACATGCTATATATGGAGGACAGAAAATAAAGTGGTGCGCTCAGATTTACAGTTGTTCTTAGAGAAGGAACTGGAATAATTACAGAGTCATGCTAAACAAAATTTCACAACTGGGAAGCTTCTTAAGTTGAAAAAGAAAGAAAATAATTTGAAGCTCCTGGTCAAAGGATATTGCTTTGAAAAAAATTACTAATTTTACTGTTGATTAGTGTAAAATTATGATCCTCTTATATTCGTAAAGGGTTGAGCTAATACACAAATATCCTATGAAATGAATCAGTCAAGGTGGAATTATTAAAGCATTTGAGCAACTATGTGAATCTCAATCACTCACTCAATCTTTACAAAAAGGACTCGCAGCAAATGTCAAATACAACTTTTTAAAGATAGAAAACATAAACATTTGTTGTTTGCTTGTTTTATTTTTGACTTTCCCATCCACAATTTATCATAAACTGGATACCCATTTGATTGGGAAATTATGAATTTCACTATTAAGGTCAAATTTTTATCATTCCTTATAATTTAAAATGATGATACTGGGCTGGTTTAAGTGCTTACTTAAACCAACTTCCATACTAACAGCTCTCCACACTTCTCTCTTTTGTCCCTTGCAGTAAGCAAGTCAATTTAGTGTTATAATCTTTATTTTAAGATAAAGGTATAAAGGCTTTGAGAGAGTGTGAGCCAGGATTCAAATCTCAATTTGACTCTGAAGTCTATGCAATTTTAACCACAGTAACTATTAGTAGATTAATAGCTATAATTATATAAGAATTAATATATTAATAGGTAATTATTGTATTAGCTCTCCAACTGGAGTTGCTACAGCTAAGAAAGATGACTCCAGAAGGTAGAAGCTATAGGAAAACCAGCGTGATTGTTATTTAGGGCCATATTTCATCCTGAGGGGTCTCTTCATGGAAACCAACCAGTCTTCCAGCACTGAACAAATTACCATTGCCAATTGGACATGCTGGGGAAAAAACATATTACCATATTGTTTAGCTCTTGGAAAATGAAGCACTCTTCATCTGTAACTTTGTGCAGCCATATTCCTTTATTTTCTCTGGCTCTGGGTTCTCCCATTGGGAGTGCAAAAGAATGTCTTCAAAACTCCCCCAAGCACAGAACTTTCCAGGCCATGGAAGAACATGCACGTTGAAAGCCATCCATTCAGCTGCTCATTTAGGAATTTATTTCCTGGTACATCTATCTGGCTTTTCTTTGCCATGAAAGAACTGGCTCAATTCTCAGTTTTATTGGTATTTTAGCTTCTCAAATTGTGCAAGATCTGTAGATTTACAAAATTGTAGTACATCTCTCTTTACCCTTGCAATTTACACACTTACCTGTACTTTTTTCTTTAGTACCAGACACAACTGTTTTTTAATCTGTTAGAACGTGTAGCTCAATAAAATACAATAGCAGTATGTGTTTTGGAGAATTTATGTATGTAATATGAATACGGAGAATTTAAAAAATTATATTGATTAAGAGAACAAAAGGGGCTGGTGAATACTTTTATATATAGTTTTAATAATATTCAACTTTCTGTAAGTAGCCCCTCCCCCACCTTGATTTCACAGTGGCTTTGGAAAGAATTTAAATCTGATACAAAATCACTGTATTAAATTTCCAAAGTCCCCAAATTCACCTTTAAATTCCTTCATCCTTATCCGCTGGATTATGACTTTCATCCAAGAGCTCCCCCACATCTTTGTGGTCCCAGAATCAAGAAAATTCCTCTTTACATTGCACTTATCTTTTGGCAAGTAAAATAAAATTTGCCTGGATATTCTTCTCCAATCATACTGTTATGATCAGTTTGAAATGGAAATGACCAGACTTCATTTGGATTACAAGAGAAACATTCTCCTTTAAAAAAAAAAAAATTAAAACAAAATGTAAAAGTGAATAATGGGAAATGCTGCCCCAGGCCTATGTTTATAGACACAGAGACAAACCCTGAAAACTGGGGCGGAGGGCTGGATGAAGAACAAACAGTCCATCAGTTTTGCTTAAAAATTGCCTAAGAAGGCTGGGTGCTGTGGCTCACACCTGTAATCCCAGCACTTTGGGAGGCCGAGGCGGGCGGATCATGAGGCCAGGAGTTCGAGACCAGCCTGGCCAACACGGTGAAACCCAGTCTCTACTAAAAATACAAAAATTAGCCACGTGTGGTGTCGAGCGCCTGTAATCCCAGCTACTCTGGAGGCTGAGACAGGAGAATTGCTTGAATCTGGGAGGCGGAGGTTGCAGTGCTCTGAGATCGCGCCATTGCACTCCAGCCTGGACGACAGAGCAAGACCCTGTCTCAGAAAACAACAACAACAACAGCAAATGCATAAGAATTGGTGTGAATAACTTTTAAATGCAGTTTTGGCTCTATATAGACACAGCTATAGGAGTTAGGTATTTTGTGAGTACATGAAGTATCAGAGCCAGTTGAACGTTGTGGCAGCAGTATACACAAATAATTTATTTGTCAAACATTTATTGAATTCCTATATGCATCAAATGGATATTATGGTAGGCCTTGGAGAATTATCTTGATGAAGTCAGACCTCTTCTATATTTCGGTGGGCAATGACATTGTGGTTTTTTTTTTTTTTTGAGATGAGTCTTGCTCTGTCGCCCAGGCTGGAGTGCAGTGGCGCGATCTCGGCTCGCTGCAAGCTCCGCCTCCCGGGTTCACACCATTCTCCTGCCTCAGCCTCCCTAGTAGCTGGGACTAAAGGTGCCCGCCACCACGCCCAGCTAATTTTTTGTATTTTTAGTAGAGACGGGGTTTCACCATGTTAGCTAGGATGGTATCGATCTCCTGATCTCGTGATCCGCCCGTCTCGGCCTCCCAAAGGACATTGTGTTTTTAAATAAGTGACTGTGTTATGTTTTTTAGAGGAAAGAAGCTAGGTCTTTTTCATAAATGCCGTAGTTTAATAAATAGTAATACAGTTTCAAATACACCTGATTTATAGCAATGAGGTGGCTTAGTGTCTTTGTGGCTCTAATGCTAAAATATCAAACTGCTCAACAAACATGAGGTTTCAAGATACAACTCATCTCCAACATGCTCCTTAAAATACAGGCAATTTCCATTGATTTGCACGAGAGGAGAGAAACTGAGATGTGTCTAAATAAAATGGTAAATAACAAGAAGTAATACGTCTTCTGCTTTAGTGCTTGCATTTATATATGAGTGTTTTTTGGTGGGGGATACCAATGAAACTCATTTCCAATGGAATCCTGTTGCCATGCTTGAGGATGTGACTCGGGAGGAAGTTGGCAGTTTTCTAGTTTTCTACTTCTGCTCCTATTCAGCAATGCCTCTAACCACATCCACCCTGGGACAAATCTATCTTCTCTGATTCAGACAAAATGCCCACATACAAATCTTTCCTGGAGTAGGAAGTGGCTTAACCATCTGGTTTTCAAAGACATGTTGTGCAAGCAAAGTAAACAGGGAAGCTTATTGAATTAGTAAATTGAAATTAAGCAAATTATTTCCTACCCCTTAATAGTAGCTACCCAAGATGTCAACAAAGCAAGGATCAGTGTCAATAATATTAGAAGCAAGGCTAGCAGCGCTTATTACAAGACAAACAATCCAGTGGCACAGAGTAAATTGCTTCTAAGTTCCTGGATTCTAAACATCTCCATGAGATGTTTTTGTATCTTTTTCCATGAGATGTTTTGTATCCAGAGAAAGATTTTGTATCTTTCTCTGGGTCTTCCAAATTGGCAATTGGAAAAAAAATTGCTATTAAATAATAAGAATGATGATGATGATGATAATGATTTCTCTTTTGGGGCCAATGCCAAATTTATCAGTCCCATTTGTTTCCCTCCACCCACATTTTTGCTGTAAGCTAATAGGTATTCTATACAAGAAATAATTTTCACTCACAAAGTGTGTAATTCCATCCATAAAGAATCCCAGCTCCCTGCAGAAGCCTGGGTTTACCGATGGTTGAGATGCACTGATGACGCCTCAGATTGTGCCCTCTCTCTTGATTGAAAGCAGAAGGACCCCCCACTCCTGCTCGGCCTCCTTACTTATGAACAGTGTCGATCCACTTCCTGTTCCCCTCTGTTAATTCATACCAGGACAGACGCAAGATCAGAATGAGGCACCCAGCGTTTCGGCACCTCCTTGGAGCAGTGTTGATGGGAATAAGTGTTTGCAGACTGCAGGTTCCTGTTCAGGCTACCAGAGGGTGACTTTTCAATTCTTAGTTAACCAGTTCCAGCCCAGAAAAATAGCCACTGTACACTAGCACTACTCAATATTGTTGGGCTTTTTTCCCGCTTCTCTTGAAGTATTGACCACCCAACCATTATCACTCCCAATTTAAAATGAAATATGGAGCTCCTCATCTGGGTTTCAAATGAGATGCAACTGTCTCTTTGTTCTGCTGAAATCAATCAGAATCTTGCCCAAATGGGAGGTTTCAGGTTACCACAAGGAATGTGTTTCCAGGGGTGTTTGTGCTGAAATAAAAAAAAAATGTGATAATCATTACATGGATAGTCAATAATTATAAGCATTTCCTCTTGGAATCACAGAGAAAAAAATACAGGGACCATATCAAACTCAAAAAAAAATCACTGAATTTCTATCTGGTATATTAAGGCACCTGGTTGGGGCCTATGGCCACACTTCCTTTCAATGCTGCTGCATTTTGACATTATTTGTAACCCTGATTGAAGTTGCCACACTATTTTGCTAAAAGTAGTGCTGAATTTGTCCAAATGTTTTTTTCTTAAAGTGAAACACTCTAGTAGAACCAAAGCCGCAACTGTCAAAAAATGCAACATTATATTTTGTATGTCAGGTACATTCTAACCTGTAAGTGGCAGCTGATTCTAGTTCTAGGGAAAGGTCAAGATGCATTACAAAATGAGATCTTCGCGGGCAATTACAGGCACCCTCGAATGTCATACGGTATGTATATTAGGTCGTATGATCTGTACTTAAAAGGGGCATGGTTGCTGCTTCAGAGACTAATATTTCAAAATGTAGTAGGTTATTTTCCACCACACATTCTTGTCTTTTTCACTAGTTCAAAGCAAATGGCCTAGAAGCTTGGGCAGATTCCACTTGCTCAACTCAAAAAAGACTTACCTTCTTAGTTTTTTCTTCTGCTGTTTAATGCCCACAATTTAAATACATTATTTTAAAGACCAAGTGAAATGTCCTAAATAAAGGCTATTTGCACGTCAAGTTGGGATGCTCTCAACTGTGCTAGAATCCATCTTCAGGTTTCACTTCCCAAATCTCTGTCCCCCTTTAAGTCCAAAGGGATTCATAAAGCAAAGTAACCCCAAGCAGGGACTAAACAGCAACCGGTTGATAGTCCTTAGTTGCTCTGGCCAAAAGGCAAGCAGAACAGTGAAGGCTGCTTGTAGAATAATTACTTCCACTGCTGTCTCATGGCTGTTTAACCAGAGGCACAAAGTTCTGAATTAAATTGCCAAAACCCCACGTGATTCTGCTCTAGAAAAATCCAGGACGTTGTTTTGCACCCTCGGACTAAAAGTCTCACCTACTTTACTTACACACTCACCCTTGACTACACACAGATGAATCCAATATAGGATAACTGGTAAGCTCTGCTAGAACATCCAGATGGGTGCAAACCAAGGTTAGATATACTTTACAACAGATGAGCAAGAGAAGAGAACTAACATCTACTGGACATTTTCTATGTGTGCTTGGCCCTGCATGGCCTATCTCATTATATCCTCAGAAAACACTCAAAAGGCAGGTGTGCCTATCCCCATGCTGACGATGTGAAAACTGAGATTAGCAACGGAAGGCAAGATTTCCCGGGCCTGCTGTTAGTGGCAAAGCAGGGATTTGCATTGAGCTCTGCCCCACTTCAAAGACAGACCCTTTCCCTAAACCAAGCAGCCACTCAATTCTTAGCATCCGTAGACACCCACAAATAGGAGGGCCTAGATAACACCCAGCTGAGCCCATCATTTTAGACCTGAGGAATCTGAGGTTAAGTGACTCACTTGAGGAAAGCCAAGTTAAGACCAGATGCAACTGGCCTTGCTGGTCGCTAAGCAGATAGTGCCACTTAAGGACAAACACAGTTTTAAGAATTGTGCCTGCTAACCCCAAATGTGCTCACTTACCACCCTTTCGTGAATCTTGTCACTGCTGAAATTTCCCAACTGCCTTATATACATATGGATTGGTATTTCCTTTCTGAATGCATTTGATAACTTAACAGTCAACAAGAATTTCCATAAGGCTTCAGAGTTAAGAAATTAGGCTTTTGAGAGGAAAGAAAGTGTCTGTCGTAAAGTTCTCCTTTAAAGTATGGCCATGGTCATGATGATTTATGTGATATTCATGTAGTAATCTGCTTGACTTTAAGTAGTCTATAAAGCTTCTTTACTTGTCTCTCCTAAAAACTCTTTCACGCACATTATCACATTTTATTCTTTAAAGAAACACATGAGGAAGAAAATTTGCAACAAAACAAACCTTGGGATTTTCTACTGTGTTTGTGGATTTTAATTTTCTCTTTTAATTTGTAAAACAGTGCTGAATCTGGTAAAAATCTGGTAAAAGTAAGAGAGGGAGTAAGAATATGCTTAGGGCAGAGGGAGAAGAAGAGAGATGGACATCAGCCCTGTGTAGATATTTGCATGAGAATTTGAATATAGGGGAATTGGACCCCAGATTAATTCCTGATAATTATCAGAGTTTAGTAAATTAATGAATGAGAACCCAGGGGCAAATGGAGATTAAATATGGCTCAGTAAGCAAGAGGCAGGCTGATGGAACAGACAGAACTTTACAGAAACATACCTTAAAAACTGTGGCTCCAAAAAAAAAAATCTGTCTGCAGTGGCAGCTTACACCAAGGGTCTCTGGGGACCCTTTAGGTGCACACATGCCAAGAGTGCCCTCTGTTGTCTACCAGCAATACTAAGAAGCTTCAGAAAACTCATCCCTGCTAGAATATACACTTCTTTGCCCACAGAAGTTTTTCCATCTGGCAAAGGGTCTGATAGGGGTTATGCCCTAGAATGAGAGCTTATTGAATCGACTGCAGAATATTAGAGTTTGGAGAGTCTTCAGTAGTCACCTGGTAACAGTCCTCCCATTATAGGTGGGGAGAGGGAGGCTCACTAAAGAGGAAGTGTCTCACTTAAGAAGATATTGAGTTAGAGGCAGACTCTTATCTTGAACCAAGGACTCCAAGTCTGGTGCCACATCCTATGCAGCCTCCTAACCCTATTTTTGCCTCCTTCATTCTCTTTAAGAATGGATGGATGAAACAGAATAACAGACTCATGGAATGCTTGAATAGAAGAAACTCCGTATTTTGCTAATAGAAAATTGAAGTCTCTGACTTACCAGAAGTCCTTACCTTGAGTCACTTAAAAAAGGTAGATCCGGCCAGGCGTGGTGGCTCACACCTTTAATCCCAGCACTTTGGGAGGCCAAGGCGGGCAGATCACGAAGTCAGGAGTTCGAGACCAGCCTGGCCAGCTTGGTAAAACCCCGTCTCTACTAAAAATACAAAAAAAAAAAAAAATTAATTGGGCATGGTGGCACGCGCCTGTAGTCCAGCTACTCGGGAGGCTGAGGCAAGAGAATTGCTTGAACCTGGTAGGCGGAGGTTGCAGTGAGCCAAGATCACGCCACTGCACTCCAACTTTGGCGACAGAGTGAGACTCCATCTCAAAAAAAGAAAAAAAAAAGGTAGATCCCAGACTCCAAATTTAATTACTCTTCTACAAAATTTTTAAGGTAAGGTGAGGAGAAAGGGGTAACATGATCTCGTTTTTCCTTTATAAGATGAGGTTCTCTCCTCCACTTCCATGTGTACATACCCTACCCTCTCCTTCACTCTTTATGCTTAGACTCATGGACTCAAGCCAGGCACTTAAACATGACCGTGTCATTGAACAGCCAGATGGGAATGCAGGCTGAAACCAACAGGAGATGCCCCAGAGCATGGGGATGAGGGACTGGTGGATGAGGAGCAGGGATGGTGGCTGTCATTCAGGGTGAGATGGCTGCAGGTGACTGGGTACCACTGCTGGGTTCAAGGTTGGGCCCAGGGAGATGCCATGTGGGACTCTTGCCCAAGATGAATATCAGAGCACTTCTCTGTGTTATTGTACAAAGTGGTGGTAGGGAAGCAAAATGCCCCAATTATATTTCCAAGCAATAACGTCCCATGCTTTGCAGGGACTGGGGGAGGTGGGTATTTCCTCAAGCGGCTGCTGCTCAGAACTGCCTCCACTGTGGGCTGCATCACACCTCGTGTCTGAATTCCTCAGCCCAGCTGACTGACACTTATTTCCTTATACTAAGCCTTAGGGCCAATGTCACTGTAGAATTGATTCTTTCTGAAGAGGATGGAAAGCGAAATGGGGAAGCCTAAGATCTCTGAGGGCTTATTGTTAAAGGCGCTTGGCTAGGTGTTTTCCTATGTGTTACTCCTTTTCATCTTCACCTTTTTTCCCCATTAGGTAGTGCTATGATCCTGCATACTCAAATAATGAAACTGGCACTCATTGGGGTGAATTCCTTTGCCCCAAGTCCCACAGTTGCATTTGAAGGCAGAGAGCTCTTATCTGAAACCAGTCCTTCCAAAATGGAAGTCACCTTTTTCCTTCGAGTCAAGACAGGTGGAAGCTGGATGGCGAGCTGGCGTGGTCAGTCTCCCTGACCCCATCACAGAGTTCCTGCCTCCTACCCCTCTCCTCATCCCTGACTGTGGATCATCCATCCAGTCTGTGGACTGCTCTGGCTACCTTGATGGAGAATATTATGCTCCTCTGCTTCTAAACAGTATATCTGGGTTTTGATCTATGGTTTTATAAGTGTGCAGCTTTTTCCTCCAGTTCTTCTTTACCTGGCTGACATCTTGAGCCGGGCTCTCTTACTGTGTGGCAACTCCCCGCCGACCCCACCGCAGAGATTAGCTCAACTCCTGAGAATGAGGTCAGTTGGAATGCCGGGGGTGTGGCCCTGGACCATGAAGTTTAAGGGAAAGCCAGTCACTCTGTTGGACGGGCCTGATACACAGGACACATGCATCCAAATGCCACTGTTGATGCTAGCTCAATGTCTTGAGTAAGAGACACTAATTCCCTATGCCTCCCACACCACCTATAGCATGGGCCTCATACTGCCTTTCAGACTTGTCCCAGGGCTAAGTAATATAATGGTTGCAAACTGCAAAGCACACACAGTAGGAGTTCAATAAGTAGGAGCACCCCCTTGGTGCTCCCTGGCAGACAGAGACAATGCCTCAACTAATTGACAAAAACAGCCATTTTCCCTAGGTCACAAAAATGATCCATATCTATTTTCTCCATGTTTTAT
Source organism: Homo sapiens (assembly GCF_000001405.40). Taxonomy (NCBI): domain Eukaryota; kingdom Metazoa; phylum Chordata; class Mammalia; order Primates; family Hominidae; genus Homo; species Homo sapiens. Next base: position 95,735,824 of record NC_000008.11, read on the forward strand.
TTTCCACATGGATCTCTCTCGAGACATCTGTAACCAACAGAAATTAGATGCACAAATCCTTTTTGTTCCAGGGGGGCTTTGCAAACAGTTTACTCTCAAGCCAATCCCAGACCCTGGGTTTCTCATGTGGTCTTCAGACTACCCATATTACAATAGAAAACCCACTTGGGAAATTGGAGCTGACAAGTCTTGAGCTGGTTCCCCCGCTTATTTCCATCCCTGCACCATTTACTAAAAGTGATACAGGTGGGTGGAAATCAGGTGAGGCCTGCTTCTCAGAAGTAACTAAAGATGCCTGCACACCTCTGTGTGTCACTCGGCCTATTCTTCCCAGGACGGCAAATGCAGTCAGGTGTGGGGCCTGGGCTTGTAGGGATATCCAAATATTTTCTTGGGAAGTAATCTCAGTTTATTAGAGTTTCTTGTCTCAATTCAGAGTATAGATTTTTGAATGCGTTTGCTGACAGATTGACCTGGACTGTGTTTACCCCTTATTCAGGGAGCGATCGATCTTTATCAAAAGGATTTGTTGACTGACGGGCTTTCACGGTTCTAATGTGCTGTTTGATACTTTTAAAAGACATATGCCCCTTTGTATAATGAAATTATCTGATAAAACAGGGAATGAAGCTCAGGTTTTCTGAAGCATCTTAGCTCTTGACTGCTTTGGTGACTGCCAGGGAATTTTGTTTGTATTTGCCTGTGATGGAAACCTTACAACCTTAGCGAAATTGTTTTCGAATATTCAAGTTTCTAGACCATATACTGTGCTTCTAGGCCTAAGGGCCTGAACTAAACCAAGATTGTGTTTCCCTCAGGTAAGTACTTCCAGACACTCTATCCTCTCTGTCTTTACAACCCTCTTCTCCTCATTACTGTACTATGTAACACTAGATGCGCATTATAGTCCACATAAAAAGCCATTTCTGTAGCATCTTGTCATCGGTTCATGGACGCTGCTTTGAAGCCGTGTTGAGTTCTGAACTCAGAGCCTAACAGCAATGGCTCAAGTGCACCACACCGTATTATTTACCCAGATGGGGTTAATTGTTAAATAAAAGAATGGGCCCTTTCAGTTTACTTTTTTTGCAATCTCTCTCACACTGATTATGGAAGACAGGGAAGTCTATGATAAATATCAAACTTTCTAATCAGAAACGAGTCCAGTTGTATTTGAAATCTTGAACTTAATCCAGAATCAGGAAATGTAGCCACTTGTGTTACTGTTGCTGAAAGAAGAAAATGACCTTTTTATTGTAGCTTACATTCACTATTGTACTTGAGAGCTACAGGGAATGGAGCAAGTAAATGTAAAGGCTTAAGTAGAGTTTTCCTTTTAACAGGAAGGGTACAGCTTGGTGTGCTGAAACCATCATCTTATATTTTCAAGGGATTTTTGCCTAGAGTGAAGCCTGCACTGAAACCTAAAAATTGTATTTTGCCTAAAACGTTTATAACAAAAACCTTTAAGGTTCTAATGTCAGTGTGGCTAAATGGCTGCTACTATTAGCTTTATTCATTGACTGAGACATAATTTGCAAAGAGTAAATTTCACAGACCTTAAGTGTAGGGGTTTACAAATGTTTGTATATGTATATACATATGTAATACTCATGTATGTAACTATACAGTTACATACAGTTACAGTGGTAACTGCCTAGAACAAGAACAGTTTAGTGCTCAGAAGGTTCTCTTAGGCGTCTCTCAGTCGGCATCTCTCAGTCAAAGCCCTCAAAGGTAACCACTCTTCTAATTTCTGTCACCATAGGTCAGTTTTGTCTGTTTTTGAATTTTATGTCAATGGAATCATATTCTACATACTCTTTCCTGACTGGCTTCTTTTACTCAGAATGATGTTTTTGAGTTTTATCCCTGTTGTTGCGTGTATCATACCACCATCTTTTCAGATATCACACTATTTTGTAGAATCATTGTTAAGTGCAGTAGATTTCCTGAAGAGAGGTGTTCAAGGCAACAGCAAAGTAAGGAGCAAAAGAGATTTTACTTCTTATACTCCAGTATTTCTTGTTGACCTTACTGTGGTAATATCATAAAGAGGTTCAGGGGATTTACATATCTAATGCATAAAATATAAAAATACATTTATTTACATGTACACATACATGTACATATGCATATACAAAAATATATTCACATTTTCATGAAATATCATCCACAGACAAGTAATTTTCCACTAAAGTCAAATTCAGGACAAATCAGCAGATTTTACAGGACTACATGTGGAAAAAATCTCTCTCAGACCTAATCAAGATGAAAGGATCAAACATTAGGACTTGAGCTGCCCAGCCTTCTAAGGAGCATATACTGAATGAAATTTTGAAGTTACTCTGGGTACATTTATTGTGAGCTAGGCTGTTGCAAACTCTTTACCACTGTCTTATTACCCTGAGTTTCACAGGAATTGAAAAATTTGGCCTGGCGTAGTGACTCACACGTGTAATCCCAGCACTTTGGGAGGCTGAGGCCCGATGGATCACCTGAGGCCAGGAGTTCGAGACCAGCCTGGCCAACGTGGTGAGACGTGATCTCCTTTAAAAATACAAAAAAATAGCCAGGGATGGTGGTGTATGTCTGTAATCCGAGCTACTTGGGAGGCTAAGGCAGGAGAATCGCTTGAACTCGGGAGGTAGAGGTTGCCACAAGCCAAGATTGCGCTGCTGCACTCCAGCCTAGGCAACAGAGTGAGACTCTGTCTCAAAAAATAAATAAATAAATAAAAGGAAAAGAATAAAAAAAGGAAAACTAGCATAGACTAGAGTTCCCATGAATTATTTCAATCATTAACTCCTCAGACATTTATTGATCCACTGGATAATTGTTCTAGTTACTGTGGATTTACCAGTAAACAAGGCAGATTAAGGTCCCTATTCTCGTGGAGTTTATATTCTAATTGGAAATACACAATAAAAAGTGAATGACTACATAAATTAGCAAATAACAATCACTTCAGGTGGTGATTATTGCTAAGAAGCCAATAAAAAAGGTTATGGATAAAAAGCAATGGTGGGATTGGGTCTATTTTGGGTGGGGTGCACAGGGGAGGCCGCTCTGAAGAGGTGAGATCTGAGCAGAAAATAGGGAGAAGGAGCTGATCATGCAATGATCTAGGGGCAAGAGCATTCTGGACAACAAATAACAAGTGCTCAGGCCCAAGGCAGGAACTGGCTGATCTGGCTCAAGGGAGAGAAAGTATGTCAGTGTAGCCGGAGGCAGTGGTGAAGGTTAGGTCAGGGAAGTAGGCAGCAATGTCCTGTTGATTCTGGTAGGGACACAGTATCTTTTAGTTTCAAATGCAATGGGAGATCATGGGGGGATTTGAAGCAAGGGTGATGACATGACCCGATTGATTCTGTTATTGAAAGTTTATTCTGGCTGCTCTGTGGAGAATGGATGGTAGCGTGGAGAAAAAAAAATGGAAATAGGAAGACCAGATTATCAAAAGATGACTTCAGCTTAGACTTGGATAGCAGCAGTGATAAGGAAAGAGATGAGGATGTAGAGTTCATTATTACTTTGGCAGGCAGTAAAGCCAACAGACTAACTAATCAATTGGATGTAGGGTATGAGAGACAGAATGGTTACCTTTTCAGTTGTTGGCCAAAGCAAGTGAGTAAAAGATGGGGCCATCAAATGCCATGGAGAAGACTGGAAGGGTAACAGTTTGGGAAGGAGATACCCCTAAGTTCCATTCTGGCTATGTTAAGGTTCAGATGCAGATCAGATTAACAAACGAAGGCGTTAAGGAAGCAGTGGATATAGTCATCTGGCAGTCAAGGGAGAAGTCAGATCTGGAGACAAACATTTTGGAGCCATCAATATAAAGTCAGTATGAAAAGCCATAGGATTGGATAGGTTGACTTAGGAAAAGCTTATGAAGGACAAGACAGAGTCACAGGTATACTGGCTATATTGCCATCAATTTTGTCTTCATCATAATGAAAATCATCATTATCACTATTATTTTTTATTGAGCACAAAATGTTCTGGGCAAAATTGTTCTAGGCTCAAGAGAAATATTAATAAAAAGAGGATTTCTTGCTATAAGGAGGAGAGGGGGAGGCAATAAAAACTTGGAATAATAAATGCTATGATCATGGTTAACTCGGGGCAGTGGAAGCAACAGACTCTGCAGGCCAGCCAGGCTTTGATGAGGAGGTGACATTTGGACATTTGAATTGGATATGTGGATCTAGAGCAGTGTGATCCATGGAGAAAGCCTTCCCAGGCAAAGGGGGGCATTTATTAAAGTGGTAGACACACAAGAGGCAGGAGAAATCTGGAAGCTGACAGTGGTTCTGAATGAAAGTGGTACAGGGAGTGGACATGGCAGGAGTGGAAGTTGAGAAGCATCTGGATCATCAAGACCTGTGAACATCATACCGGGAAGATTGAAACTCTATCCTGAAAGGCAACAGGAGAGGGATACACGGTAGACTAAGAAGTCCTTCAGAACATGTCTTGAAGCTACAGAGGACGGTGTGATGACATTGGTGACTACTGTTTAGCTTCTCTAGACCTTAGTTTCCACATCTGTATCATGGGTAAAATAATAAATACATGGCAAAGTTGTTGTGAGTATTGAAGATAGTAAGTGTAGAACATTTGTACCCAATGCAGAAAAAGTGACGGTGATTATTTCTGCTACTATAATTAACGGACATTTATAAAAGTTTCTTTTATAGGGGAAGGATAATAAATCATTATATGAATGTGGATAAAAATGGTGAGCCCTTGGTGGTGGGGAGGGGAGGACAGAAGTGAGAGGGCTTGCTAACCGACAGGCCAAGGGAGGAATGGGGGTAGGAAGGAAGGAAAGGGAGGAATCTCAAATGACTCTCAGGTTTCAGAACTTGGCAGCCGGGTAGGGTGGTAAAGTACTTTTTCGAAATTGGGAACATTGGGAAATAAGCATGTTTTGTGGAGAAGGGGATGAGTCCATTGTCAATGTATTATTTTGTAAGATCTGTGAAGCTTACTTTATGGGTCTGGAGCTCAGCAGAAAAAATTGGGCTGGAGATACAGATATGTACAGCTCATACAGACAAGGGAGAGTGTATTGAGTGAGAAGACCAAAAAGAGGATTATAGACCCCTGGGGAACACTGAGATGTAGAGATGGAGCTGGAAGTGTTAGAGATGTAGATTGAGAAGAAGCGAGGCAGAGACATAGAGGGAGGTCCAGAAGGGCAGCTCTGAGGCAGGTTCCTCATCCCACTCACCCAAAGGGATGCTCACACACACTGGCCCTCCAAGCCCTTGCCTCTTCTTAGAGGAAGGAAGAGATATCTGCACCTTTGTGCTACATTCAAATATGATTGATTAAAGTTCATAGTAGGAAATGTTCCATCAGATTGGCAGAAATCAGAAAGAGGTTTGGCCTCTTCCAACCTCCCTTTTAGTGCCAGGACCTTTACTTCTGGACCCTACACGAGAAGGGTGTCGGCTGTTGAAAGCTGTTGGCTCTCCTGGGTCCCATTCATATAGGGCCAAGGGAACTGTAGTACTCAGAGCTGAAAGCAACCTCATGGATCATCTAATTGAATGCCCACCTCCCTTATATGAAAGGTCAGGACACCGAGCCTCAGAGAGGGCAAGATGTTCAAACAATTGATATTTTAACTGTAATTAAAATGCTTTCCCAAGATCTCTACTCAGCAATACTGCTGCTCTACCTTATTAGGTGGTAATGGCCTAAGGTGAAGGCCTGCGCTGGAGTTGGAGGTGACATCTCACTAGTACTCAAATCCTGCCAAACCCAAATCTAATGGTGGTAATCCAGACTTCAGAATCAAAGAGTGGGTGAGAGACGAGGTCTGCCTCCAAACAAATACACTGTTCAAGCCAAAATTGGGAAATACCTCACAGAACAGGAAATACAAAGAGGATAATATGATTTTCCAAGATCATTTTTAGAGGAAAATCGCCCTGCAAAGGCTCTGGATGGGATGTTGAATAAGGAAAAGGAAAAACAACATGTGATTTTTGTTGCTTCTGAGATCCAAATAATCAAAGGAGATTGTTCCATGAAGCATTGAAGACCTTTATATTGAATTATTGAGAAAAACCAGACTGGGAGGTGATCCAAAAAGAGGTGATAGCCTAAATTAACTAATAGATTGGCATCATTATTTTTACTCTAGTCTGGAAATTAGTTCTTATGGCAGAGAGGGTAGTTTTCTACCCCACTCCTATTTTTGCTTTTCTCCTTAGAAGCAGAAGCCTGGTTTTTAGCAGGCTATATTCCCACATGGCCAAAAGAATCCATTTCCCAGGCTCCCAATGGTATAATGGGTATAGAAATGTAGTACTATTAACAGGAAATACAGTGTTATTAACAGGAAAAGTATCCATTCTTTTCTTTTCTTTTTTTTTTTTTTTGAGACAGAGTCTCGTTCTGTCACCCAGACTGGTGTGCAGTGGCATGACCTCGGCTCACTGCAACCTCTGCCTCCCGGGTTCAAGCTTTTTTAAAAATTTTTCATCTTTTTTCATCCAACTGCATCCAACATGGACATGGTGGCCCTAATTCTAGTAGCCATAATTCTAGTAGCCATCTTGGCCCATGAAAATGAGGGCCAAAGAGGAGATGCCCATATCAGCCCTGGACTTCTCCCTTCTGAACTTCTGTTACACAAGAGAGAAGTAAACTTCTATTAAGTTTCAGCCACATTGTTCTATTAATGCATCTCAACTTAATCCTTACTGATAAACTTGTTTTCTTTTGTTGGGTGTTCAACATGTATTACAGCAAAAGCCATCGATAATAGTAACTTAAAGAATATGATCAAAAAGTTAATTATGAGTTTGTTACATAAAAAGGAGTACCTTGTATTTGCAGAGTGATTTAAATTTCACAAAGCACTTCTTACCTTATTCTTAAAATACATCTTTACTTTCAAGCTGAATTATTTAAAATAGGACTTTTAAAAATTGCTAAAATAGGCTGGGCGCCATGACTCACACCTGTAATCCCAGCACTTTGAGGCTGAGGCGGGTGGATCATGAGGTCACGAGTTCGAGACCAGCCTGGCCAACATGGTGAGACCCTGTCTGTCTCTACTAAAAATACAAAAATTAGCCGGGCGTGGTGGCACACTCCTGTAATCCCAGCTACTCAGGAGGCTGAGGCAGGAGAATTACTTGAACCCGGGAGGCAGAGGTTGCAGTGGGCCGAGGTCGTGCCACTGTACTCCAGCCTCCAGCCTGGGTAACAGAATAAGACTCTGACTCAAAAAAAAAAAAAAAAAAAAAAAAGGCTAAAATATAGGCCAAGTGCAGTGGCTCATGCTTGTAATCCTAGCACTTTGGGAAACCAAGGTGAGGATCACTTGAAGCCAGGAGTTTGAGAATAGTCTGGGCAACATAACAAGACTCCATCTCTCCAAAAAAAAAAAAAAAAAAAAAAAAAAAAAAAAAAAAAAAATCAGTTTAGTTTGGTGGCACACACCTGTAGTCCTAGATACTTGAAAGGCTGATACAGGAGCGTCACTTAAGCCCAGGAGTTTGAACTGCAGTGAGCTATGATTGTGCCACTGCACTTCAGACTGGATGACAGAGGGAGACCCAATCTCTTAAAAAAAATTAGCTAAAATATATATTCATGTTACCATGGTGATTTCTAGCTTAGCTATTTATTGTTTATGTCCTAGACAACAGTTCTTAATTTCTAACAGACTGGTTTTTTTTCATAAGTCAATCATGGATAATGATTTCTTATGTATATAGAATTACAGCAAATGACAGAATGCAATACAGCACACTGATAGGATAAATATGAATGTCAGCTGGGCACGGTGGCTCATGCCTGTAATCCCAGCACTTTGGGAAGCTGAGGTAGGTGGATCACTTGAGCCCAGGAATTCAAGACCAGCCTGGGCAACATGGTGAAACTCCATCTCTACAAAATATAAAGAAGTTAGCTGGGTGTGGTGGCATGCACCTGTAATTCCCAGCTACTTGGGAGGCTAAAGTGGGAGGACGGCTTGAGCCTGGGAGGTGGAGGTTGCAGTGAGCTGAGATTGCGCCATCACACTCCAGCCTGGGCAACAGAGTGAGACCTTGTCTCAAAGAAAAAAAAAGTATTAATCCCAATTAACTCCCAAATTGCTGTGTGACCTCAAGCAAATTACGTTTCTGCACCTTGATTTTCTAGTTGTACAGTGGAGATCATAATGCATATGCCACTTGAGGATTTTGTGAAGTCATTGAAAAAATGCACACGAAGTATTTATCAGAGTCCCTGACACACTGTAAGGGCTGAAGAAGCATTATTGTTTTACCCAAAGTGTCTAGTAAAGAACCTTGATATATCAGGGTCACTCAACAGACTGCATTGGTCCTGCTGTACATCCTTTGCAACTTTTAGAAATCTCAGAAAAATTCGGAGACTGGAGTAAGTTCAATGGTCCTGAGAAAGAAAGAGAGGCCCAAGGCCAGAATTAGAGGAGGAAACCTGGCTACCTGCCACAGCTGTCTTCTGGGGCATGGAGGAGGTCCTGGGTCCTGAGCCAGAAAAAGAACTGCACACTAGCTGACGACAGACCATTTTGCTCTGTACCCTTCGTGCTCCCCAGAGCATGCCAGAGTCACAGACTCAGACTATTTGGGATTGAGTCAGCCTCTAAGATCATTCAGAGAATAATAAAGACCCTGTGGGAGTCTCCAGGGTAAGTGCACCAGCCCTGACAGGTGAACAAGGCAGATGGGGAAGGAAAGCACAGCCCCATGTGGACAGAAATGACACCATGAGAGTGAATGCAAGATGGGCTCCTGCAGGGGCAAGAAACCCTCAGAGAAGCTCATGCACATAACCATGGAGGCAAGGAGCCTGGGGCATCTGCTGACTCCAGCAGTGAAACCAGATCAAGGAAATGCCAGGAATGTAGACTGCATGCCCAGCACTAGAAAGAAGCTTGTGGGAAAGGGTCTATAGTGAGACTACAACAGCTATCCTGAATTCTCAGGGAGGATACTGTCTCGAAGCCCCACGCCATCACTTACCAGTGGGGTGACCTTAAGTAAGTCACTGAGTGTATAAAATAGGCTTGCGCTCAACAGCAAGGCTTCTGGAACTGGGTTCAGGCCTGGATCCAATTCACTAGCTCTGTTTACATAACCAGCCAAAGCCTCCATCTTCTCATCCTTAACGTGGATATTGTAATGCCTGTACCTACCTTATAGTATTGCTCTGGGGCAGCACTGATTGATAGAACTTTTGGAGATGACAGTAATGTCCTACACCTGCATAGTCCAACACAGTAGCTACTAGACACATGTAGCTATTGAGTACTTGCAACATGATTAATGTGATTCACAAACTGAATTTTCAAATTTTATTTCATTTGAATCTAATCCATTTAAACTTAGCCACATGTGATTAGTGGCTATCTTATTGGACAGCTCTAGAAACTAAATGAGGCCAGGTGTGGTGGCTCACACCTGTAATCCCAGCAGTTTGGGAGGCCGAGGCGGGTGGATCACTTGAGGTCAGGAGTTTGAGACCAGCCTGGCCAACACGGTGAAACCCCCACCTCTACTAAAAATACAAAAATTAGCTGGGTCTGGTGGCAGGTGCCTGTAATCCCAGCTACTCAGGCGGCTGAGGCAGGAGAATCGCTTGAACCCAGGAGGCAGAGGTTGCAGTGAGCTGAGATCGTGCCGCTGCATTCCAGCTTGGGTGACAAGAGCAAAACTCTGTCTCAAAAAAAAAAAGAAATAGAAAAAGAAAAAAAATAAACTAAATGAGATAATGTCCTTTATCACTGTGCCTGGCATCAGGGCTCAAAAACTACTAGTGTTTCCATTAAACTTTAGTCTCAGTTTCCTCATCTGTAAAATGATCGTAAAGATATAATAGTACCTAAAGTGAGGCCTGGCTGTTCACACCTGTAATCCCAGCACATCAGGAGGCTAAGGAGGGAAGACTGCTTGAGCCCACGCCAACACTCTTACAGCAAACCTATTGTCCTATTGTTGTTCAAGACCAGTCAGGGCAACATAGTGAGACCCTATCACTATAAAAAATAAAAAATTACCTGGGTGTGGTAGTGCATGCCTGTAGTCCCAGCTACTCGGGAGGCTGAGGTGGGAGATTGCTTGAACCTGGAAGGTTGAGGCTGCAGTGAGCCATGTTAGCACCACTGTACTCCAACCTGGACAACAGAGCAAGACATTGTCTAAAAAAAAAAAAAAAAAAAAGTAACTCATGAGGTTGTTGGGAAGATTAAATAAAATATCATGGGTGAGATGACTAGCACAGTGGTTGGCACTTTATAGGTGCTTAGTGAATGTGAGTTTCTTTTCTCCTTTATTTAAAGTTCTTTGGCACGAATGAAATCACTGTTTAATAATGCACAAGGCCATTGAGAATGTATAGTGAGATTCTTGGCAAGCAACTGGATTGTTCAGTAGTCACGTGCACATCTCTAATGCTGGCTTTGGCTGGGAAAAAAAAAAGTCTGCTTGAGCAAGCAAGAAAAAAAAATATTGGCAGTGATATGTGCACTACGAGAGTTCCACAAATATGCATTTGGCAGAAGCCTGATTGTCCAGACAGATCACAAACCACCAGGCAACGCACCTGCTAGACGACAGGGAATGTTATTACTGTTATAAAGATATGATTTATGATTACTGTTATAAAGATATGATTTATGAGTAATCTATACCCCAGGCAAAGACTCTCTTATAGCAGACCTATTGTCCAGGCTAGTCATCATCTCTCCAACTGGGGAAATGACAGCACTGATGGAAGAGACAGCAGAGGAGGCCATGGAATTAAGCAAAACACTTGACCCTTTGGTCCACGGGAGGCTGAGCCCCAAGACAGGAAAAGACGCTGTGTTGTAGCTACTTATCCAGATGTTGCACAATGGCTGGTGTGGCAGAAGAAAACAGGACAACTGCAGGTGCGTTGGTCTCCAAAGGAGTGACTGTTTTAGCCTTCTAACAGATAGGGGAATTTTAAGCAATGTCTTGTCTGAAAGAAGTCAGAAAAAGAGAAAAGACATGATCAGAGATTGTCTCAGGAGGAGCAGCTTTGCTCATGTCCCCCAAATCATTCCCAATATCTACTCACTGCTTCTTGAAGTTCCAGCTAGAGACTGGATTCTTTCATTTAAAGATGCCCTCTCATGGGTAAACTGATAGAAGATTTGATTCCAAGTGCAGCATTTGAGGAAAGGGGAAAGGCCAGAGTGCCTGGAGGGCAGTGAGTGAAAAGAAAGGAGGAAGAAGATGAAGTCATATAGGTCCAGAGTCAGCAGATCAGGATGAGCATTTTGGTCATTGAAAGAACTTTGCCTTGGGCAAGGACTTCATGTTTAAAACACCAAAAGCAATGGCAACAAAAGCCAAAATTGACAAATGGGATCTAATTAAACTCAAGAGCTTCTGCACAGCAAAAGAAACTACCATCAGATTGAACAGCCAACCTACAAAATGGGAGAAAATTTTTGCAACCTACTCATCTGACAAAGGGCTAATATCCAGAATCTACAATGAACTCAAACAAATTTACAAGAAAAAAACAAACAACCCCATCAAAAAGTGGGCAAAGAACATGAACAAACACTTCTCAAAAGAAGACATTTATGCAGCCAAAAAACACATGAAAAAATGCTCACCATCACTGGCCATCAGAGAAATGCAAATCAAAACCACAATGAGATACCATCTCACACCAGTTAGAATGGCAATCATTAAAAAGTCAGGAAACAACAGGTGCTGGAGAGGATGTGGAGAAATAGGAACACTTTTACACTGTTGGTGGGACTGTAAACTAGTTCAACCATTGTGGAAATCAGTGTGGCGATTCCTCAGGGATCTAGAACTAGAAATACCATTTGACCCAGCCATCCCATTACTGGGTATATACCCAAAGAACTATAAATCATGCTGCTATAAAGACACATGCACACGTATGTTTATTGTGGCACTATTCACAATAGCAAAGACTTGGAACCAACCCAAATGTCCAACAATGATAGACTGAATTAAGAAAACGTGGCACATATACACCATGGAATACTATGCAGCCATAAAAAATGATGAGTTCATGTCCTTTGTAGGGACATGGATGAAATTGGAAATCATCATTCTCAGTAAACTATCACAAGAACAAAAAACCAAACACCGCATAGTCTCACTCATAGGTGGGAATTGAACAGTGAGAACACATGGACACAGGAAGGGGAACATCACACTCTAGGGACTGTTGTGGGGTGGGGGAGGGGGGAGGGATAGCTTTAAGAGATATACCTAATGCTAAATGACGAGTTAATGGGTGCAGCACACCAGCATGGCACATGTATACATATGTAACTAACCTGCACATTGTGCACATGTACCCTAAAACTTAAAGTATAATAATAATACAATAAAATAAAATAAAAAAGAAAAATTATGTGATGGTACACTAACCACAATCCAAAATTGCAGATATTGATACATAGCAGTATTTGCATAATGACTGACAATTTGATACTTTTACATACTTTATTTAGTACTATTCATTAAATTCTCTACATTCTCTACCTATCTGTAAATTTATCAACTTTTTTTTAACGTTTATTTTAATGGTCTCTTCCTATATGTGTCTTTTATTATAGACTACTTCAAATACTTAAAGTCAAATTCTAATTATACCACACTAATCAAAATAAGTTAACCTACAAATAAATGATTAACAGCCTCAGTAAAGGAAAGGAGAAACATGATGATCAGATATTGGAAGGAATTCTCTTGAACTGGCTTTGGTAGGCAGCACTAAAATAATATTTACTGTGGAGAACAAATTATACAGATCAACTCTGTGTTGTCCCAATAGACGAACCAACACAGACAGAGAGAATTCAGAGTCAGCTTCACGCGGGAGGGATGGCTCCTACTGACGTAGCTGCCCAAGCATCTGGATGGATTGGGGCCAGGGCTCTGGTGTCCCTGGAAGCTTGTCTGTCAGGAGGACAAAGCTGTGGCCCCAAACCTGAAAGAAAAAAGGATCACCCACAATTTCGTTGTTAACTACAGAAGTTCCCCTACAAATTGACTGTTCCATAAAATGGTTTTGTGGTTTTGTTTTGTTTTTGTTTTTAAGATTTACAAAGAGGAAGAAAATGTTCCTTTTAACAACTTCTCAGACTTCAGTTTTGTCCCTTTTGTTACATTTCGGGTTATCAGCTCCAAAACACTGATTCTATTTCATGTCATTATCATGGAGGCTAAGAGTTCCCATGTGCATTATTTCATTTGGTCCCTCAAAAACCCGTCAAAGCTGTATAATCATTATACATTATTCAAATGAGAAAACTGAGATAAGAAGTGAACTAACTTGTATTTAGGTTTTTAATCGAACATGTATCTGTGCTCATTGTATGCCAGGCAATGAACGCACCGCTTGCCCATGTTACCTCCTTGGATCTACACAACCATCCTAGGAAGTGGGTTTTATTCTCTTTATTTTAGAAACTGACATTGAGAGGATTTAAATAGCATGCCTGCAGTTATCAATCATAGTAAGCTAGAATTCCAGAATTCATGGAACTTATGTCTGTCTAACTCCAAAAGCCTTGGTGTATTTACGTTGACAGATTATGAGGTGGAAGAAATATATAATGTTTTACTCATTCCATCACTTAAATAAATATCATGCCTAAAATTTCCTGCAGTAGAGGAATGGAGCTTCTCTCCCACTAGCTAGCAACGTTTTGATCTTAATTCTATGATGATACTGATGTAATCAATTACTTCATTATAATTACTTCAAATTAGTTCAATATTTAAATAAACATTGGACATCTCTTTCCAGTGTAGGAACTCAGAATTAAACGGAGGCTTGGAACTGCCTTAGAGGTCAATATTTGACATTGCATAGCTCAAATCATGCTAAATCAAGATTAGAACCAACTGTCCCATCTAGTGTGCTAAGAAGACCATCTAACTGGGTGATAAAGACTGGAAGATCACACGAACCTCCGCGAGTAACTGAATGCAGATACAAAACTTGGACGTTGGCCAGTTCTTCAAAGTAACAGGCACCTTTGCCCTTTCCATGCCCTTCGCTCTGCCCTCAGCCCCTCACCTCGGGGCCGCTGCAGGAGTCCTGGAGGTTGTGCTGCCCCCAGTTTGGGCCCCCAGGAGCTCTGGCCCTGCCAGTCTATGGTGAAAACCTTCCTCTTAACCTACACTCTTCTGATCAAGAACTCCCAACAAATCCTTCGAGTAACACATCTCCAGTGGACACCATCCACCTTGTATGGAAAGGAAAAGGTGCCCCATGGCCTTGGCCCTTGCTTGTAACAGAACATCCATTATTTTGTCTGCCTTATAATGGGGGTACTCTGTGAGATTTAGTTTGAAAAAAACTGTCTGAAGGCCACCAGCCTCCTGCATTATGTGCAGGTACCTTCATTTGTCCCCAAGGCCATTTCTCAGGACCTTTTTCCACAGTCATTAGTTACGGCACACAGTAATAAGATTGATATTCTTTTGTGGCTCATGGGGATTATTTCTAGAATTCTGAGCTACATCTATCCATCTCATATCTTATCACCCTCAGCCCAGAGGCTGTCTCCCTGGCAGCAAGACAGGTCCTTAATTGTCCACAGGCTACCATGGTTTGCCCCATGTCAGAGCCTTTGCTACATCAGAGCTTCCTCAACTTGTGAGTCTGCTGCCAAAATGCCAACTCCATCCTTCCTGTTAATGTTCAAGGACCTACTTCCACTGTGTCTCTTAGTTCAAATTCCCTAAAAGGGTAAATTTGTGGTTTTATGTTCATTGCATTGGTAGGTCATAGGTCATGTGTCCACTCTGTTCCAATCATCTGTGGCCAGTGGACAGCAATGTGCTATGATATGGCATTGAGGATTGTCCCTTTAGCAGGAGCAATGGGAAAAGAATGTTCCCAGAGTAGAATGCCATTGGCAAGGTAGACATTCAAGACAGACTGCTATGAAACTGTGTACAATCAAATTACCTGAATACTTGTCAACCTCACTATTCTAAAAATGTCATTATTTTAGAGTTTGTATTTTGCTTGTGGTCTCAGTCTTAGTACTGAGCATGAGCTTGGGGTATGGCTATTCAATACATGTTTGTAGGACAAATGAATAGATGAAGCAATAGCTATGAGGATGAGTAGAGAGATGGACATAGCACTCACAAATGAATAGATGGAGTCTCCATAGCACAGTGGTGGAGCACATGAGCTCTAGAGCCACACTGCTTGGGCTCAAACCCTGGCTCCACTGCTCCCTTGGCAAATTAGTTAACTTTTTTATTTTTTGGCTCAGTTACCACATCTTAAAACAGGAATAATACTACTACTATCCTCATAAGACTTCTATGACAAGTTAAATGAGTTAATACACAGGAAGCACATAGAATAGCACATGGCATATGGGGACTTCTCAACCAATTCTTGCTATTAGTGTTATTGTATCTATTATCATTGATGGGTGAAGTCATAGGGCAGGTTGCATAGGTAAAGGACAGACAAAATGTGACAAAATGGCTTACGAAAATCAGAAACAACCTTGAACTAATGACAAAGAGAAACAAGACAGAAAATTGTTCCCAATATCAGAGGAAATATAAGACTAAACCTGCAGCCTACTCATCAGAGGGAAAGAAAATGTTGGAGAAAAAGTCATGGAGGAAAGAGTACCTAGGCTGGCCAAGTGTGGTGGCTCACGCCTGTAATCCCAGCATTTTGGGAGGCCAAAGTAGAAGGATCACTTGAGTCCAGGAGTTCAAGACCAGCCCGGGCAATATAGTGAGATGTCATCTCCACAAAAAATAAAAAATTATCTGGGCGTCATGGTGCATGCCTGTAGTCCCAAGCTACTCAGGAGGCTGAGGCAGAAGAATTGCTTAAGCACGTGAGGTTGAGACTGCGGTGAGCAGTGATTGTGCCACTCCACTCAGCTTGGACAACAGAGTGAGACCTTGTCTCTAAGAAAGACAGAAAGAAAGAAAAGAAAAAAAAGAAAAGAGTACCTAGGCAGTGTTTGTGTCCAAGATTTGTGTCTAAAGAGCCGGTAATTACTTCCTTGAACAGGACAGTGCAATGAAACCAATGTTGTTGCCTGTTTCCATCAGTTCATCTGTCCCATGGTGATGTTTGTCAATATCTCTGAGGGGACTCTGCCTGCACAGTGTTTGTTAAATGCAGAGAATTAAGAATACATGCGTAAGCAAGAGAACTTGGTTAGGATTCCAAGCGCATTCCAACTATGGAGACTAGTCAGTGTCGATTTTGTGAGCCACAAAGGATGCTTTGTTGCCGGCCACTGGACACAGTGGGGCCCAGCTGAGGGAAATCTTTGGGGGCCTAAAATCCAGGATGTACTCTGATTGCTGAGCCGTGAGCCCCAGCACAGGCCTGAGTTCGCCTGAAAGAAGGCGCCTCTTCACTAACTGGCCTGCCCAGAGGGGGCGTCTTTCTGCAAGGGTCCCTCCCAGAGGGACCGTCTTTTTCTAATTAGCACAGAGGCCCATCAGCGCTTGCAGCAGCCCCTATGTGCAGGGCTGGGAGGTTTTTAAACCAACTGCAAGATAAGTTGGTTTTCAGGAAGAGAAGAGATTAATGGGGCCACAGAAAGATGGATGGGAGCTTGGCGCTGCCTCTGCCGCCCCTCACACACGCTGTGGCTAGCAGTGAGGCCAAGGGGAATGACCCTGAGTAGAGTTACATATTTTTCACACCTCCTACTAAAACTCAGCAAATGCTTGACTCGCTGTTCCCAGCACAATTTTTCTTCCTGCAAAACGTGTTGGGATTATCGCTTTTAGCCGCATGTGTGCTGGAAGTATTTTGTAGGGGCCCCAGGGGCTGCAACTGTTCAAATCCCTATCCTTGAGAGGGAGCTTGGGGAGGCAGGGACCCAAAGTGCCTGTCCGAGAGCTCCCCCATAGAGGGCTGGCTCCCACTAATTAAGTCCAGTTTCCAAGACTGAATCAAAGCTGCCATCCCAATGATTTTAAGAGTCAGGAGGTAAAATACAAGTTTCAACCCCAACACCTTCCCCTTATCCATCTTCTTGAGCCATTTCAGGACATTGGGTAACATATGATTTTTCTTTAGTCAATTCGAGATATTATCTGCTGAAATAGCTCTACTGGTATGAGAGGGAGGTTTCAAAATATGTAACAGATGCACAGCTGCCACCTGAGATGATGCATTATGAAGTCGAAACTGTCATCACCTCCCCCACCACCCCTACCCTCACCCCAAGCACATATTTGTTCATGTGGTTTACACCTGCGAGATTGTGGGATGCAAGAGAGGAATCTGATTACTGTTTGGGAGACAACCCCATCTCTAAAACCGATCCATGTATCTTTGTTTCCCTGGAGAAGCTTGAAATCTCTTACCAACTCTTCTTGTGGTCTAGCTGAGTTAAAGCTCCAGTCCAAGTTTTCTGGAATTTGGTACCAATAACTAACTCTTGAGGCCATCATACAATAAGCCTTATGATATCTCTCCATCTCAGTCTCTCCATTTGTATCTTGCCAGGAGGGCAGAGCAATTTTTCAGTGCCTTCATAAGTAGGTGCTCTTGTGTACTCTGGCTAAAAGGGAAATGGAAAACTCCTGGCCCATGCTCATCTGAGGCAAATGATGATTTTGTTTCACTGTATTTAGAGGGAGGGTTCCTGCCACTGTCTGATAAAAAACACCATCTAAGTAAGTAAGTACCAGCAATGAAAAACTCCTGAGAAGACAAAGAGAAGCAGAAGGGTATTCCAAGAAGTTGCCATGGACAGGTAAGAGAGACATAATGAATGTCTGATTAGAGAGGGCCCTTCTGCAACAATACAAATTGAAAGAATTTCTGCTCACCAAGACCCTTGCACAGTTTTTAATTATATGTTGATATGTTAACTTGATTAATATTGATTTACTCCACTAGATTTTAAACTTCATGAAAGCAGAGAATCTGTTTTGCTCCTCATTGTATTGCTTATGTCCAGAATAGTACCCAGCACATAGTAGGTGCTCAACAAATATTTTTTGAATGACAGAATACCCCCAGAATACAAGCTGTACATCTGAATAATTGATCTCTAGGACAAACTTCCCATTCTCTATGGAGGGAACTCTGCCTGCAGATGTGAATGTGAGGCAAACTTAGTCGTATTAATTCAAGCCTTTTTTTTTTCTTTTTTTGAGTCAGTGTCTCTCTCAGTCACCCAGGCTGGAGTACAGTGGCACAAGCTTGGCTCACTGCAACCTTTGCCTCCTGAGTTCAAGCGATTCTCCTGCCTCAGCCTCCCGATTAGGTGGGATTACAGGCTCATGTCACCATGACAGGCTAATTTTTGTATATTTAGTAGAGATGGGGTTTCACCATGTTGGCCAGGCTGGTCTCAAACTAATCAGGAGCTCAAACTAAGTGTTTGAATGGGAATGTCAATAAACACAGGGGTCAGAAGTCAAACCAGAAGTTTGACTTAGATGCTTAATTATTAAGGCAATGAAGATAAATGTCTCAGCATCACAAATGTATTGAACACTCATCCACCTACCAGAGGGAGTTCCACCCAGCCATAAGCTATTTCAAAGACTTGGATCCCAAAGGAGAGAGCAAGAAATTGATGTATTTATCACAAACCCTGGACAGAGGGATGAGATTTTAATTGATGCTTTGCTTTGTCCTTTTGGTTCTCTATTCTGACTGCCTAGTGATGAAAGATCCTTAGTTTTGGTCTGTTGAGGAAAGCCTCTCACTCTAATAGTAATAATGATCAGAGCATCAGAAATGTGGACTGCTCGAAGCAGCACTTTGGACCACATTCCTCAGTTTTGGGGGCTTTTAGTTGACTAGCCCTCTTCTTGCTTCCAAGCTTGCAAAACTGCTGGTAGCCAAAGTGAAAAAGCGGAACCTCACATTATTTGCTTAGTGAGCACATTGGGCGGTGTGTCTTCACTCAGACTATTTCTGCCTTCCACCCCCAACAAAACGTTGGAAGGCGCAACACGTTGCTAATACCTCCATTGCATAGCAAACATCTCCATCCCTCATCTCGTGCACACATATCAACACACCCCACTGCAAATAACTAAACAACTCTAAACCCACACTTATGCAAGTAACATATTACCTTAAGGAGGATCCAAACTCTGAAGTCTTCTCCCAGTTCTACTCTCACGGAATGGAGGGGATATGATGTTTGGTACAAATGGAAAAACTAAACCTGGCTCACTGTTTAGGTTTGCAAGAATATATTTACTCCTTTCCTGGCCCAATAGCCACAGAGGGCTCTGTTGTTGCCTACATACTCTGAAGAAGTAGCTGCTCATCAGATTTAATAAAATAAGAGGAAAATGATAGGAAACTATTTCTGCTTTGAGTATCACAGGACTCCAAGAATTTTTTAAGATTCAAAACACAACTATTTATTAAAAGAACAAAACATGATTGCTAATGATTTTTAAGTTAAAGATGAGGTACAGTTTAGAACAATACCTAAAGAAATTCCTGGAAGCAACCTAAATGCCCATCAATGAAACTGTGGTACATATATACCATGGACTACTATGCAGCAGTAAAAAAAAGAAAGAGATCATGTTTTTTGCGGGAACATAGATGGAGCTGAAGGCCATTATTCCTAGCACACTAACACAAGGACAGAAAACCAAATACCACATCTTCTTACTTATGAGTGGGAGCTAAATGATGTGAACACATGGACATATAGAGGGGAACAACAGACACTGGGACCCATCAGAGGGTGAAGGGTGAAAGGAGGGAGAGGATTATGAAAAATAACTAATGGGTACTAGATTTAATAGCTAGGTGATGAAATAATCTATACAGCAAACCCCCATGATACAAGTTTATCTATATAACAAATCTACACATGTGCTCCTGAGCCTAAAACAAAAGTTAAATTAAGAAAAAAGAAATTCCAACACAGGGATAAGCAAGTTCCTTACTCATTAGTCCTTGTCTGGTATTAATCATCCTGGTTTCTCCTAAACTGGAGTATGACATTGGTCATCTCAGTTAGACCCTCTAACATTTGAGTAAATGATTACTGGGCCATATAGATAGATCCAGAAGAATAGAGAGCAATTTGCTATTAAAAGCCTTTGCTGGAAGTTGCTTTCAAATTTTCATTGCTTTCTTTCCCTAACTAGCATATGAATAAGTCCCTTACATGACTGAAAAAGGCAACCGAAGACCTTACTATTCTCCCTGAATCCTCTAAGGTTAGCTCTTTCCTACTTTCTCTTTTATACCAGTTGCACAACACTTCTCCCATAAACAGCATGAATGGCCTGGTTACCTTCGTTCCACGCAGAAGTGGCTCCTCCTTATGTGTTGTGGAAACTTCTCCCTTGCTCTCCAGTGTTCTGTATTAGCAAGCGCTCTCCATAACAACAACTTCTACTTCACAACCAAGATATAAGACTGTTTTCTTCTTCAAAGGGATCAAATCCCCTTTCTTAGTGCAATTTCAAATTTATCAGGACATGATTTTAACCTACAGGGTTGCTGTTTCACCAATCCAAATATCTGGCAAAACTGAGCAAACTTAATGTTGTTTAGTTTTACATGTACATTATATACCACATGTTTGTGTAGCCTGGGATAAGAAGTGAAGAGTATGTTTTCAAAAACACCCTAAAATTTTAATAAAAATAGTCTCCAGCCATATTTCTTGCCAGTTATCTTTGTTAATGTATGATTATAACTGGGCAAGTACTGGATCTTAGTTTCCTCATTCATACAATGAGGGGCTTGGACTAGATGGGTGGTTTTTGTCTCTAGAGTTACAGGATTTCACAAACATATCCTCAGTGGCTACAGAGTGTGGGGTAGAGGGATCTGGGGAGCCAAGTGAGCAGAAGTCATAGCTTCACATCCCTACTTCACAGAGGAAATCTACTTTTTATGTGTTTTATACATGAAGTTTCTAAGTAAGATTTAATAAAATTAAATGCTTGTAGCTTAACCATTTCTTTGGAAACCACTGGCCTACGTCAGCTCCAAATTTTGTCATTCTTGCTCTCAGCTTTCAAGAGACTGATTAAAATTATAGTCCCCATTATACCTCATTGGTATAGACCCTGTTAAGGTCAGAGTGAATTGGGGTGATGGAGTAGAGAATCAGGAAGCATTGGAGACCTGGACTTTAAGCAGCAAGGCTTTAGAATCCTCAAAGAAATTCGGTCCATAAAATAGTGATGCTTACCTACTAAATATTTTTAGTTGTTGGGAAAAAAATAATCTTGTGCTGCTCAAGGAATCCCCCGCAAACCTCTTTAGCGAACATTTTTACGGTTGTCAAATCTGAACACCAAGGATTTAAGGTGCTTCCAAGTGAGAATGCTTAAATTTGTCTGAAGCTTGAAGCATTCTTCTACCTAAAGGAAATAAAGTGAAATGTCAATTATGTATTAAACAAAATTCCCCTGCCAATTAAAAATAAATAAATAGATGGCAAAAATTTTCTCCGATTCTGTAGGTTGCCTGTTCACTCTGATGGTAGTTTCTTTTGCTGTGCAGAAGCTCTTTAGTTTAATTAGATCCCATTTGTCAATTTTGGCTTTTGTTGCCATTGCTTTTGGTGTTTTAGTCATGAAGTCCTTGCCCATGCCTATGTCCTGAATGGTATTGCCTAGGTTTTCTTCTAGGGTTTTCATGGTTTTAGGTCTAACATTTAAGTCTTTAATCCATCTTGAATTAATTTTTGTATAAGGTGTAAGGAAGGGATCCAGTTTCAGCTTTCTACATATGGCTAGCCAGTTTTCCCAGCACCATTTATTAAATAGGGAATTGTTTCCCCATTTCTTGTTTTTGTCAGGTTTGTCAAAGATCAGATGGGAGAAAATTTTTGCAATCTACTCATCTGACAAAGGGCTAATATCCAGAATCTACAATGAACTCAAACAAATTTACAAGAAAAAAACAAACAACCCCATCAAAAAGTGGGCAAAAGATATGAACAGACACTTCTCAAAAGAAGACATTTATGCAGCCAACAGACACATGAAAAAATGCTCATCATCACTGGCCATCAGAGAAATGCAAATCAAAACCACATTGAGATACCGTCTCATACCAGTTAGAATGGTGATCATTAAAAAGTCAGGAAACAACAGGTGCTGGAGAGGATGTGGAGAAATAGGAACACTTTTACACTGTTGGTGGGACTGTAAACTAGCTCAACCATTGTGGAAATCAGTGTTGCAATTCCTCAAGGATCTTGAACTAGAAATACCATTTGACCCAGCAATCCCATTACTGGGTATATACCCAAAGGATTATAAATCATGCTGCTATAAAGACACATGCACACGTATGTTTACTGTGGCACTATTCACAATAGCAAAGACTTGGAACCAACCCAAATGTCCATCAACGATAGACTGGATTAAGAAAATGTGGCACATATACACCATGGAATACTATGCAGCCGTAAAAAAGGATGAGTTCATGTCCTTTGTAGGGACATGGATGAAGCTGGAAACCATCATTCTCAGCAAACTATTGCAAGAACAAAAAACCAAACACCGCATATTCTCACTCACAGGTGGGAAGTGAACAATGAGAACACATGGACACAGGAAGGGGAACATCACACACCGGGGGCCTGTTGTGGGGTGGGGGTAGGGGGGAGGGATAGCATTAGGAGATATACCTAATGTTAAACGACGAGTTAATGGGTGCAGCACACCAACATGGCACATGTATACATATGTAACTAACCTGCATGTTGTGCACATGTACCCTAAAACTTAAAGTATAATACAAATAAAAAATAAATTAGTAAATAAATAAAAATAGAATTTTGGATGTTTGAGGTCAATTTTCCATGTGATGATACAACAGTCTGTTTGCTCAGCTAGCTCAGCCTTTTCATTCCTGGTCTCAACCTGAACACACAAGGCACTACATCCCCCCAGGCAGCCCACCTGGGGTCCTTTTGATTGCCAATTAGCCCTTCACACTTGTTCGGCCCTCTGTAGTAATAACTGAACCCTGACCTCTAGTGGCGGGAAAGAATTAGCAAGAAGAACAATGAGATAGTATCTGAATTCCTAACTAAGGGAGGTTTCCTGTGGTCCATGGGTCCTATGTGGCCCAGTTGCAAAGGCAGCTAATCTGGGAAACTAGTGACACACAACAATGAGTAACCTGTAAAAATCCCAGTCTCAGGGACCTCAGATGTTACCATCCTGGCTCCACTGAGAAGGTGGAGGTATAATCCTAGCATGAGAAACTTTTTTTTTCAAATCTAGTAGGACTTACCCACATGGGACTAAAGGATAGGAGTTGGGGATGGATGGCAAGGAAAACATATTCATCATAAACCAACCTTATGTACAAGGCAACGAAATTTGGTTGATAATTTTAGAAATAAAAAAATTTCCTTCTTAGGGGGACATAAAACTTCATTGGAAAAAATAGGACCTGTTTCAGGTAACAGCATAAATAATTCCCACAAAGATAATGTTGAACAGAAAAGGATACAAAGAATATATACAAAATTCTAATCATATCAGGTTCAAATCTAATCTCTGGTGTTAGAGGTCAGGATAGTGATTAAAGGGTGTATTGACTGCAAGAGGACATGAGAGAGCCTGCAGGGAGAATGGAAATGTCTTTTGTCTTGACCTGGTGTTAATTCCGCAGGTATGTGCATATGTGAAAATTCCTCAAGCTGTACATGTAAGATTTGTGCACTTCAATGTATGTAAATTATGCTTTAACAAAAAAATCAAATTAATACAGCAGTTCCTGCTTATCCACAGTTTTGCTTTCTATAGTTTCAGCTACCTGAGGTCAACTCTGGTCTGAAAATATTAAATGGAAAATTCCAGAAATAAACAATTCATAAATTTTAAATTGTACAGTACACCTTTCTGAGTATTGTGATGAAAGTGACATCCTGCTCTGTCCTGCGTGGGATGTGAATCATTCCTTTGTCCAGTGTATCCACACTGTGGACACTAGCCATCCTTAGTCACTTGGTAGCCATCTCGGTTATCAGATAGGCAGATCACAAGAAGAAGAAGAAGAAAGGTGAGTACAGTACAATAAGATATTTTGAGAGAAAGGAAGAGAGAGAGAGAGAGCGGGAGGGAGGGAGAGACATCACATTATAACTTTTATTACAGTATTTTTTATCGTTCTATTTTATTATTAGTTGTTAATCTCTTACTGTGCCTAATTTATAAATTAAACTTTACCATAGGTATGTATGTATAGGAAAAAACATATAGGGTTTGGTACCATCCAAGTTTTCAGGCATCCACTGGGTATCTTGAAATGTATTCCCTGCAGATAAGGGGGGTAAAAACGTACCTGGCACATAGTTTGAACTTTCTAAATATTAATGAAAGGAATGAATTAACTAATATTTCTGCCTCATATTATCACCAAAAGAAAAGTGACTGGTGCCCAGTGCGGTGGCTCACACCTGTAATCCCAGCACTTTGGGAGGCCAAGGTGGTGGATCACGAGATCAGGGGTTCAAGACCAGCCTGACCAACATGGTGAAACCCCATCTCTACGAAAAATACAAAAATTAGCCAAGTGTGGTGGCAGGTGCCTGTAATCCCAGCTACCCAGGAGGCTGAGGCAGGAGAATTGCTTGAACCTGGGAGGCGGAGGTTGCAGTGAGCTGAGATCGTGCCACTGCACTCCAGCCTGGGCGATAGAGCGAGATTCAGTTAAAAAAAAAAAAAAAAGTGACTGGTTTAGAGAAGAAATAGGACAAAGAGAAAGAGAAGAAAAAGGAAAAGAAAGACAACAGTCTTTTAAAAACAAGGTATGGAAGAAAGTCAGTAGAAGAGAATAAATAAAGAGGACAAAACATGAAAAGAGAAGGGAGAAAGCTGGACCCATGTGAGGATAGAAATGCTTTTCTCACACACTGCTGCTTTCCCCTATGATTGCCCCTGAAAACTATTCTCTATTTAGAAATAGCCTTTTAGATCTTAGGAAAGATCTAGTCTTTTTTTAATGTTTAATTTCAAATTTTCTTTTAAAAATATTTCTTCATAAAATTTTCATTTTATATTTTTTAAAGAAATGACTAAAGTTGTAGCTTTACACTTTGAACCATAAGTTATCTCAATTATCTGTGAAATTTATGAGCCATTCCATGAAAGATCATCTATTGAACACATATTTATTGAATACCCAACATGTGCCAGACCCCATACTGGCTGCCAGGAATACAACAGGGAACAAAGCAGACAGAAACCCTGCCTGCCTGATGCTTCCACTCTTAGTTTCCTGTATTTATTCTTTAAAAACACTAGCATATCTAATTCACAATATCTAGCAGCTGTCTTAGAAGCCATCATATCCCTCTTAGCTGTTTTGTTTTTGTTGGTGTTAGTTTTAATTAAAATTAGGTGTTATTTTGTTTGGTGATTGGGTATAGAGGTAATAATAATAATAAAGCAAGAACACTTCTGGAATATATAGGTTAACTATTTTTTTTTTCCAGTTGTCAAGCTGCCCTTAGTATTCTGGCTCTTGCTTTTCTCACACTATAGCCAGAATGGCCCACCAGGAGTGAAGTTACGACTCAAGCTCTGCAACTTGAGCAATAGCTTCTTATACTGAACAGGATGACATGAAGCAATAAGCCGGACACTGGATGTGGGCTGCAGTGCTCACCCCTGCCTCCAACTGTCAATAATTAATAGCCATACAAAGTCTTGAAGGCCTTCAGTGACAGTTCCTTCCTAGTATGATGCAAGTAATAAATACAACAATAGCAAACCCTTGTTTATCATATGCTAATTATTGTTTATATATATATTTAATTTACAACAATCCCATATAAAGTGGGTACAGATGGGGAAACTAAGACACAGAGAGTAAGTGGAAAAACCAAGATTTGACCAAGCAGTCTGGATCCAAAGTCAGCTTTCTTCGTATAACCTTATCAATCAAGAAGATTTTCATAATTTTATAAAATCAATGTGTACAGGACAGAGAACAGGGGATTGCTTGGATTTTAGACTTCTCCACTATCACTTACTAACTCTGTTAACCTTAATCACTTGACCTCTTTGGATCTCAGTTTCCACATTTTACTTTATTTTATATTTTATTTTTTGAGACAGAGTCTCACTCTTGTTGCCCAGGCTGGAGTGCAATGGCGCCATCTCGGCTCACTGCAATGTCCGCCTCCCGGGTTCAAGCAATTCTCCTGCCTCAGCCTCTCCAGTAGCTGGGATTACAGGCACATGCCACCATGCCCGGCTAATTTTTTTGTATTTTTAGTAGAGACAGGGTTTCACCATGTTGGCCAGGCTGGTCTTGAACTCCTGACCTCAAGTGATCCACCCACCTCGGCCTCCCACAGTGCTAGAATTATAGGTGTGAGCTACCACACCTGGCCTAGTTTCCACATTTTAAAATTGAAGGTGTTAGTCACTTCCAGCCTTTAATACCCTTGAGCTTGTGGATCTTACATTTCAAGATGCCCTTAAATATCGTTTAATCCGGCAGTGATTTTACCTAGATGATGGAATAATCTGGAGAGCTTTGAAAAGATATAGAATCCAGAGCCTCATCCCAGATCAATTGAAACCAAATTTCCAGGGGTAAGGCCACAGATTTTTGTTGTTTAAGTCTACCCAAAGGATTCTGATATGTTTTAGAAGCATTGAATTTGTTCACCTTCTCGCAGTGCTTGTGTCCTCTCCGTATCATTTTTTTCTTAGAAAAAATGTTAAAGATACAAAAAAGCAGAGAGAATATGATAATAAACCCATCACCTAGCTTCAACAATTATCGACTCATGACCAATCCTATTTCATTTTTATTCCCACCCACTTCATAGAATTCTTGGCAGGTGATGGTAAACCTGTTTCCCTTAAATACCTTCAAAGTTGGAGGCCTCACTACCTCCTGAGACAGCTGTTATTAGTTAGAGTCCTTTGAACTGAAAACAACAAAAACAAACAAACAAACAAAAAAAGCACAAACCAACCTGACTCTAGTTTAATTAAGAGAGACCACCCTTTGGAATGATACTAAGGTATTTCATACTCTTCAAGAAAGAGCTGAGTGACTGACAGGGTTGTGGGAGAATAAGAGGATCGTGAGATTCAGGAATATCTGGAATTCAGAACTCAATACTTTTCTCTCTGTTTTCCATCTCTCTCTCTTCTCCTCTTCTCTCCTCCTCTTATCCCCTCCCTTTCTCTCCCCTCCCCTCCACTCTCCTCATTTTCTCCTTTTGATGAGAAACTCTTCTCTAGTTTTGCCTCTTAGAGCTTCAGCCACAGGCAGCCCAACTGTTCTTCACTCCCAAATCCCATAATCACAGGGACAGGGCTCTTTGGCCTGACTCGGGTCAGGTGCAATCTACCGTATATTCCTGTAATACCCATGAGGGTGTGGATAGCTATTCCCCAGAAGATGGGGTGGAGGAGATAAATGTTCTGGCACCCATCATGCGTCCAATCCACTGTATTTTCAGATCTCACTGACTATTGAAAATGTCTTTCTTGTAGAAGACCAATCCCTCCCTCTGTCAACCTCCACCTCTAGGTTTCTACTCCACTCCGGAAACACACAGACCCTGTCTGTTTCTCTTTTCATGTGATTTGAAAACAACTATGAAATCCCCATTTAATCTTCTCCGCCCTAGGCTAAACAGCCTGGTTCCTTCAACACTTCCCAGCCTAACATGATTTTGAGCCCTTTCTTCATCCTGGTCATTCTTGTCTGGATGTGCTCCAGTTTGTCACTTAAAAATTGGCACCCAGACTGAAGGCAATAAATATTCCAGATGTGGATGCGCCTGCAGAGCCAAGAGCAGGACTAAGCAAGCCCCATACACCACACACTTGCACATATACATTGTCGATACAACATTGTGTCAGCACCACTCCAGCCTGCACTCCTCCTCTGGAGCCTTGAAATTCTCAGCTCAGGCCGGGTTTGCAGTCAGCTAAATCCCAGCTGTCTTCATGGGAATGGCTGTTAATCCAGCAACCCCTCCTTTTCTTCAATCTTTTCCTTGAACTCAAAATATTGATTCCAGGTTTTAAATCTATCTTGTTAATTTGGCCTGATTATTGAAGGCCATCAGAACCTTTTGGAATCTTTATTTTGCTCCCTCAAATATTAGTTGTCTTTCTCAGTTCTGTCAGCTGCAAGTGTGAGAAGCAGGCCTTCTTTGTCTTCAAGTCATTGGTAAATGGTTAAAGAGAACCAGTCAGAACCCCAGGACACAGGAACATACTGTTAAAGACTTCCTTCTTATTAACGTGGCTCCATTAATCAGCTTCTTTTGCTGTGATGATTAGTCACTGTACGGAACTACAAGTCCACAATTCCTTATTTACAGTTCTAAAATTTTAAAATAAAGAAATTAAAAACCCTCTCTTCAACAAAATACTGGAAAATCAAGCCAACAGCACATTTAAAGGGTTATATGTGATGACCAAGTGGGACTTATCCCAGGAATCCAAGAGTGGTTCAACATATGAAAAATAATGTAACACATTACAAAAAAAAGGGAAGAACATCTCAATTTTTGCAGAAAAATATTCAACAAAATCCAACACCTTTCTGTGATTAAAATCTCTCAGAAAACTAGGAATAGAAGATAACTTTTGAAACATAATAAAGAGTGTTTATTTTTAAAAACCCACAGCTAATATCATATTCAATGGTGACAGACTGAAAAACCTCCCTTCTAAGATCAGGATGCCTGTTTTAACCAGCATTATTCAGTATGGTACCGAAAGTTCTAGTCAGAGCAACTAGACAAAAAAAGAAATAAAAGACATCCAAACTGGAAAGAAAGAAGTTAAATTATCTTTATTTGCAGATGAGACAATCCTATATATAGAAAAGTCCAAAGGATCTATAAAATAGCTGCTGAAGCTAATAAATTCAACAAAGCTGCAAAATATAATACCAACACATAGAAAAAAAGTTGTTTCTGTATACCAACAATGAACAATCTAAAAAGAACATGAAGAAAATAATTCCATTTATAATAGTGTAAGAATAAAATATCTAGTATAATTTAACCAAGGAGGAGAAGGGCTTGTATGCTAAAAATGATGAAACATTGATGAAAGAAAGTAAAGACTTAAATACATGTGAATACATCTACGTTCATGGATTAGAAGATTTAATATCATTAAGATGGCAACACTACCAAGTGTTCTACAGATTTAATACAATCCCTATCAAAATTCCAGGAATTTTTGTTTGTTTCATTGGTTGTTTTTGTTTTTGTTTGCAGCAATGGAAAAGCTGGTCCTCAAATTCATGTACAATTCCAGGGAGCCCTGAATAGCCAAAACAATCTTTTAAAATGAAGAACAAAGTTGGAAGACTCACACTTCCCAATTTAAAAATTTATTACAAAGCTATAGTAATCAAAACAGTGTGGTGCTGGCATAAATATAGGCATATAGACAAACGAAATAGAATTAAGAGTCTAGAAATAAACCCATACATCTATGCCAATTAATTTTTGATGAGTGCCAATTACAGTCAATGGGGAAGGAATAGTCTTTTCAACAGTTGAGACTGGCACCACTGTGATTTCCATGTGCAAAAGAGTGAAATTGGACCCCTGTCTCATGCCATATATAAAAGTTTACTCAAATGGGATCAACAACATAAATATAAGTACTAAACCCATAAACCTTTCAGAATAAAACCTAAGAGTTAATCTTCATGATTTTGGACTTGACAAAAGAATTTTTAGATATGACAGCAAAAGTCTAAATGACAAAAGAAAAAATAGATAAATTGGCCTTTATCAAAATTAAGACATTTGTGTATCAAAGGATATTATCAAGAAAGTGAAATGACAAACTACAGAATGGGAGAAAATATTTGCAAGTCATACATATGATAAGGGTCTAGTCTCTAGAATATACAAAAACTCTTACAACTCAACAAAAACAAAAACAAACCCAATTAAAAAATGGGCAAAGGATTTGAATAAACATTTTTGAAAGAAGATACACAAATGGCCAAGAAGCATTAGTCATTAGAGAAATGCAAAGGAAAACCACAATGAGATACCACTTCACACCCACTAGGATGGCAATAATAAATTTAAAAAAAAAACACATAAATAACAGGTGTTGGTGAGGATACATACCTCTTGCCCCCACACATGCATAAGACCCCCCTATTATCAACATTCCCTCCAGACTGGTACATTTGTTATGACTGATGAACACATGACACATCATAATCAACCAAAATCCTTAGCTTACATAGGATTCACTCGTGGTGTTATGCATTCTTTGGGTTTGGGCAAATGTATGGTAACATGTATCTGCCATTATAGTATCATCCAGAGCATTTTCACTACCCCAAAATCCCCTGTGCTCTGCTTATTCATGGCTTCTCTCCCCCGCACCCTAAGTCCTGACCACTACTAATTTTTTTTACTGTCTCCATCGTTTTGTTGTTTCCAGAATGGCACATAGTTGGAGTGTCATACAGTGAATTTCATAAGTGAATTTCAGGCTGGCTTCTTTGACTTAGTAACATGCATTTGAGGTTCTGCCATATCTTTTTCTGGCTTAAAAACATATAGCTCATATCTTTTTATCACTAAATAAAATTCAATTTTTCTGGATGTACCACACTTTATTTATTCATTCACCTACTGAAGGACATCTTGGTTATTTCTAAGTTTTGACAAATAAAGCTGCTATAAACACCTGTGTGAAGGTTTTTGTGTGGACATACATGTTCACCTCCTTTGAGTAAATAGCAAGGAGTACAATTGCTAAATCATATGATAAGAGTTTGTTAATTTTGTAATAAACTTCCAATCTTACAAAAATACAAAGGATCATAAGAGACTACTATGAACAATTATACGCCAACAATTTGGATAACTTTGAAGAAATGGATAAATTCCTAGGAGTGTACCACCTGGCAAGACCTAATCATAAAGAAATAAAAACATCTAATATCTAAGCAGACAAATAACATGTAAGGAGAATCAGTGATCAAAAACCTGCCAGCAAAGAAAATCCCCAAATTAATGGTTTCACAGGTGAGATCTATCAAGAATTTAATGAAGAATTAATGCTAATCTTTCTCAAACTCTTCCAAAAAACTGAAGAGGAGGGGACACTTTCAAGCTAATTTTACAAGCCCAGCATTAAACTTACAACAAAGACAGATTATGACACTGTAAGAAAAGAAAATTATAGGCTGATATCCTTGATGAACATAGATGCAAAAGTCCTCAACAAAGTACTAGCAAACCGAATTCAACAGCACATCAGAAAGATTATACACCATGATCCAGTGTGATTTATCCCTGGGATGCAAGTCTGGTTCAACAGATGAAAATCAATATATTTGACATACCACATTAACAGAATGAAGGATAAAAACTGTATGATCATCTCAACATATGCAGAAAAAACATTTGACACATTTTGGTATCGTTTTATGATAAAAACTTTCAACAAATTAGGTATAGAAGAAATGTATCTCAACATAATGAAGGTCATATATGATAAGGCCATAGCTAACATCATACTCAACAGTGAGAAGCTAAAAGGACTTCTGCTAAGATCAGGAATAAGACAAGTATGGCCACTCTTGCTGCTACTATTCAGTATAGTACTGGATGTCCTACCTAGGTCAATCAGTCCAGAAAAAGAAATAAAAGGCATCTAAATTGAAAAGGAAGAAGTTAAATTGTTTTCTGTTTGTAGATGACATGATCCTGCATGTAGAAAACCCTAAAGATTCCACCAAAAATTGTTAGAAGTAATAAGCAAATTCAGTAAAATTGTACGATACAAAATTAAGACACAAAAATCAGCTGCATTTCTATACAGCAACAATAAACTACCTTCAAAATAGATTAAGAAAACAATCCCATTTACAATAGTATGGAAAAAATAAAATACTTAGAAATAAATTTAACCAAGTAGGTGAAAGATTTATATACTAAAACCTATAAGACATTGATTAAAGAAATTGAAGAAGATACAAAATAAATGGAAATATATTCTGTGTTCAGGGATTCGAAGAATTAATATTAAAATGTTCACACTACCCAAAGCAATCTACAGATTTATTGAATCCCTATCAAAATTTTGGTGACATTTTTCACAGGAATAGATAAAACAATCCTAAAATGCGTATGCAAGCACACACACACACACACACACACACCCTGATGAGAAAGAAAAAACTGGAGGCCTCACACTTCTTGATTTTATACTACATTACAAAATTATAGTAATCAAAACTGTATGGTACTGACATTAAAACAGACACATAAACCAATAGAACAGATTAAAGAGCTCAGAAATAAGTCCAGACATATATGGTCAACTAATCTTTACAAGTGCACCAAGCATACACTATGGAGAAAGGACAGTTTCTTCAATAAATAGCACTGGGAAAACTGGATATCCATATCCATAGGTGCAAGAATAAAATTGGATCCTTGTCTTACACCATACAAAAATTAATGCAAAATGCATTAGAGACTTAAATGTAAGATCTGAACCTATCAAATTTCTAGAAGAAAACAAAGGGGAAAAGCTTCTTGACATTGGTCTCAGCAGTAAATTTTGGATATGACACCAGAAGCACAGGCAAAAAAAAAAAAAAAAAAAAAAGCAAACATAAACAAGGGGGTCTACATCAAACTAAAAAGCTTCTGCACACCAGAGGAAACAGTCAACAAAATTAAAAGCAACCTGCAATTGGAATAAAATATTTGCAAACCATAAAACTGATAAGGGGTTATGTCCAAGTAGATAAGGAACTCACACAACTCAATAGCAAACAAAAACAAAACAAATAGCCCAATGCGAAAAATGGGCAAAGGATCTGAATAGATATTTTTCTGAAGACATACATCTAGCCAAAAGGAATATGAAAAGATGCTCAACATCACTAATCAATCAGGAAATGCAAATCAAAATCATAATGAGGCATCACCTCATATGTATTAGGATAGCTATGTGAAGAAGGCTGTAGATAAGTATTGGCAAAAGAATGCAGAAAAGAGAGCAGAGAGCCCTTATACACTGTTAGTGGGAATGTAAATTGGTACTATGGAAAACATCATGGAGATTCCAAGCACTCCCGTATTAATTGCAGTGTTACTCACAATACTCAAGATATGGAAACAACCTAAGTGCTCATCAATGGATGAATGGATAAAGAAAGTGTGGTATGTATACACAATAGGATACTAGTCAGTCTTTAAAAAGAAGGAAATTCTGCTATTTGCAACGACATGGATGAACCTGGAGGACATTATGCTAAGTGAAATAGGTCAGACACAGAAAGACAAATACTGTATGATCTCATTTATCTATGAAATCTAAAAAAAGTTGAACTTATAGAAGCAGAGAGTGGGATGGTGGTTGCCAGAAGTTGGAGGTGGGAAAAACGGGGAGATATTGGTCAAAGATTACAAACTTTTGGTTATAAGAGGAATAAGTTCTGAGGATCGAATGTACAGCATTGTGACTATGGTTAGTAACTATATTGTTTACTTGAAATTTGATAAGAGAGCAGATTTTAAGTGTCTTCACCACGCACACACACACAGTAACTGTGGGTGGTGATGGATGCAGTAATTGATTGTGGTACTCATACACGATGTATATGGATATCAAATCACCATATTATACAACTTGAATATATAATTTTGTATGTCAATTAAATATTTTAAAATTAAAAAAATAGAAACTGTTAAACTGCCTTCCAAAGTGGTTGTATTATGTTGCATTCCCACCAGCAATGAATGAGGGTTCCTGCTCTTCCACATCCTCATCAGCATTTGGTGTCATTGTTCCAGATTTTTGCCATTCTAATAGGTGTGTAATGATATATTGTTATTTTAATTTGTATTTCTCTGATGACAAATAATGTGTAGCATCTTTTCATATGTTTATGTGCCATGTGTATATCTGTGGCTTGTCTTCTCTTTCTCTTGACATTGCCTTTTGGAGAGAAGTTTTAAGTTACTCAATTCTTTCATAGATTGTGCCTTTGGTTTTGTATCTAGAAATCCATCACCATATCCAAGGTCATATAGGTTTTCTCCTATGTTAACTTCTAGTTTTATAGGTTTGCATTTTACATATAGGGCTATGATCCACGAGTTACTTTATGTGAAAGGTGTAAGATCTGTTTCTAGATTCATTGTTTTGCATGTGGATGTCCAGTTGTTCCAACATCATTTGTGAAAAGACTCTTGGCTTCATTGTATTGCTTTTGCTCTTTTGTCAAAGACCAGTTGGCTAATTATGTGAGTCTATTTTTGGGATCTCTATTCTGTTCCATTGATTTATTTGTCTGTTCTTTTGCCAATACCATGCTGCCTTGATTAGTGTAGCTTTATGGTAAGTCTTGATTAGTGTAACTTTATGGTAAGTCTTAATATCAGCTAGTGTTGGTCCTCTAAATTTTGTTCTTCCCTTTCAATATTGTGTTGTTTATTCTAGGTCTTTTACCTCTTCATATAAACTTTAGAATCAGTTTGTAAATATTCACAAAATAACTTCCTTGGATTTTGATTGGGATTGCACTGGATCTGCAGATCAAATTGGGAAGGCCTCACATCTTGACAATATTGAGTCTTCCTGTCCATGAACATAGAATATCTTTTCATTTGCTTAGTTCTTTAATTTTGTTCATTGGAGTTATGTAGGTTTTTTCATATATATCTTAATATATTTTGTTAGATTTATACCTAAGTATTTCATTTTGTAGGGTGCTAATGTAAATGATATTGTGTTTTTCATTTCAAATTCCACTTGTTTCTTGCTGGCATATAAGAAAGGAATTGACTTTTGCATGTATGTTAACTTTGTATTCTGCAGCTCTGCAATAATTGCTTATTAGTTCCAGGATTTTTTTTTTTTTCATTTTTAAGATATGGGATTTCACAATGTTGCCCAGGCTGATGTGCAGCGGCTTTTTCCAGATGCAATCATACTGCACTACAGCCTTGAACTCCTGGCCTCAAGTGATCTTTCCACCTCACCCTCTTGGGTAGCTGGGACTACAGACACACACCACCATATTTGACTTTAGTTCTAAGAGTCTTTTGTCAGTCCTTTTGGGTTTTTACATAGACAATCATGCCATCTGTGAATAAAGACAGTTTTATTTTTCCTTCCCTATCTGTATACCTTTCATTTCCTTTTCTTATATTATTGCATTAGCTAGAAATTCCAGTACAATGTTGAAAAGGAATGGTGAGAGAAAAATCCGTGCCTTGTTACTGATTTCAGTGAGAAAACTTCGAATTTCTTGTCATTCAGTGTGATGTTAGCTGTAGGTTTTTGTATCATGCTGTTTTCATTATCTTGTGAGCTCTTAACCAGGGCTCCATAACCCCAGGTGAATCCCCTGAAACTCAGATTTCTGGGGAGGATAGTTCTATTGCTTGCAATAGGTTTTCAAATGCCATGTTAATTCAAAAAAAAAAATCACATACATTGTAAAATAGAATAACAGAATCTAAATATGCAGAAACTTTAATTACCAAGAATTTTTGGTCTTCATTTTTGGAAGTAATGGCAAATGCCAAGTGAACAAATTCATACTAAGTTTTCATTCCAAAAAGCAGCACACCCGACTCTGCTTTTTCACCTTGTGTGCCAGCATCACAGCAGGGAGCGTTAGTAAGCATACGTGATCATCAGCTGGAGCATCCTGGACCCCTGGCTCTAGGTGTTTCAGGTTGAGATTTTGTTATCCAAATAATACTTAAAATAGTCACATTTTTAAAAAAAAGAATAAGTGAGGCCAGTATGAACGCTGGTTGCTAAGTCTCCTCTACAAGGTGTAATTGGATATTTATCAATTTCATACTTCTGAGAATCATGGGGAATAGGAGCTGAGGAAAGCTACATTCATAGGAATGTAGACATCCATTTTCAAGGGGTAATGGGATTTACATAGCTTTTGGCTCTAAATATCCCCATTTCAATGTATTTGAATATAGATATTCCCAAGTTTCTTGTGCTGATGAAATGAATGTTCTAGAAGCCTGTTGTATATTCATTGCTTGTCACGAGTGATTGTACCCTCTAGATCTACTAAGATACCTGTGTAGTGAAAGAAAGGCTCAGGGGATTCCAGTAGATTAGCCCCAAGCTCTGTAATAATACTCTTTTCAAAAAGTCTTTTTGGCCATAGCTAGGTACATAAAATAGCTTTTTCTATCCTGTTGACTATAATCCCAAGGCTTTGGGAATTTTACTTTTACAACATGAAGAGAACAGTTAGTTACAACTTATGCAAGCGATCCAGCAAGCCAAAATAAGAACAAAAACTCAGGCTCCATTTTTGTTTCATTAAAGTTAATAAAAACATTTCTTTATCTCTTTGTTCCCCCTTCAAACAACAACAACAACAATTAAACCAGGTAACCTCCTTACTGGAGTGTCACTGACATTGAAAGAAGTAGGATTATTTGTTGCAGATCTGATCCTCCAGGGAGTCTTGTCTAAACCTTATTAAGAGAAAACCATGATTATGAAGGATTATCCAACAAATTTGAAGGAGGGTTTTTTACTCATGTAAAATAAGGTTATTTTATCTTTGTCCATGACCTTTCATATGGCCTAAATACAAGAGGTCAGTGAACAAAAAGGTCATTATTCTTCAGAATCCAAACATGCGGGTTCTGGTTTTCTGGCTGAGATGCTAGTAAGTAAAATGAAAAGTCTTCCTTAGAACCACAGGCTTGATCTCCACCAGTGACCGTTGACAGTGTTCTCTTGCCCTTTGTGGGTGCCTCAAGACCTTGTCAACAGGCAGAGCTGCTGGGCATCGATTCACCAATAGTAATTTAGTAGCTAACATAGGCAGACTTATTAGGGATTGTCAGAAACTAGAATAATTACCACACGCAAATCTAAACCATCTGGCCCATAACAAAGTATGTTCTTCCATAGGTTTTATCTTGCTTTTTCAGTAATAAATTATTCTATCACATTCCCAATAAAGTGCTGGAGAGAAAAGGTCAGGTGACCCTAAAGTCTCTGATTTAATTCAGTCTCTGCAGCTCCACATTTTATCACCATCTCAAAAGCAGAGGAGCAGTTCTTTCTTTTCCTATTGGCCTGACAATCAGGAATGCTACTAGCTGAGTTATAGGAACGGTGGAAGCATTAGTCAAGCCCTGTTCACATGGGCAGGTGGCAGGAAGGAGAATAGGTGGTGTAGGTAGTCCAGAAGAGTGGTTCCTAAACTTGACTTATTACCAGAATCACATAAAGAACTTTTTAAAACACAAATTCCTGAGCCTCAGAGCATGTACTTCAGTGAGTGTAGAGATTAGTTTTTGCTAAGGTAACATACCACCTGAACATTTCAGTGACTCACACAAACATGTGTGCTCATGTTTCATGAGAGCTGTGAGTCTGCTGCAGCTCTGTTGGGCTTGCCTGGGCTTGACCTAGAAGCATGTGTATTCTCACTCCAGAAGCCAGGCTAAAGGAATATCCAGTA
Source organism: Homo sapiens (assembly GCF_000001405.40). Lineage (NCBI taxonomy): Eukaryota > Metazoa > Chordata > Mammalia > Primates > Hominidae > Homo > Homo sapiens. The sequence goes on from NC_000008.11 coordinate 95,773,321, forward strand.
ACTAGGGCATGCCATTCTCATAACTGAGGGAAGAAGCTCAAAGGGATGCCAAGAAAAACCATGCCAACACATCTAGGGTTTCTACATTGGTGTGGCATGCATCATGTCCACTTATAATTCGTTGACTAAGGCAAACCTGTGGCCATGCCAATGTTTATGAGGTGAGGACTAAACTACCTAAAGGAAAGCATGGCACATATGGCAATTCCTCGTGTAGCCAGGGAGACAAATGATTGTGAACAAGTAATACAGCAATTACACTTAAGAATATATCATTTTAAGAGCTTCCTAGAAGATTCTCATGAGTCCTTCATCCCTGCTATTTCCTGGAAAAGTCATCTTCCTTTATGCACCTGCTGTGACAACCGAGCCTCCATTGGTATAGACTCTTCAGCAGACAGGTTGAACTAAGTAATTGGTTAGTGCAGCTCAAACTCTCATTCCATCAACAGACATGTCTATCCAATGCATGATGAAGTCTGATGCTTCTGTAAGTCTTAGCAGTTTGTGCAAAGTACATTTATATCCTTAATCTCATGTCATCTTCATAGCTATCTTATTCAATAGCTATTGTTATTCCCATTTTGAAAATGTCAAAACTGAGCCTTGGGGAGATTAAATGCTTTGATGGCAACACATATAGAAAAGAGTGGAGCTGGCTTGATTACTTACTTGTCCAAGTCCAGACCTCCTTATTCTACAATGAATGTCCTGAAAGCCAATCCTTGGTATTGCCATCACTTCTTCTCTGAGGTACATTTACACAGATATGGGGATCTATAACATAAATTTTAACTAATTTACTTATTTGGCAAACGTTTTTTAAGTGCTTACCACATTCCAGGCACTATTATAGGCACCAGGGAAGTAACACAAACAAAACTGATAAAAGATTATAAGCAGGGGCTTATAATCTAGCCAAGAGAGATGAATGTTAAACAAGTAAACAAGTAAACTCATGTTAAATGGCCACAGTTGGAACATATGCCAGGTGAGGACAGTGCAATAAAGGAAAATGACAGATTTTTGGCATGGTCAGAGTCAGCCACAGCTAGATATTACAAGAAGCAAATCCTTTTAAATAAATGAAGAAAGAATTATTAAACTGTTTTGGTTCTCAGACTTCATCAGAGGATGAAATATTTCTAGAACATCCTTTAAATTACTCCCATGCTGCAAATATAAATAATAAACTCACACTGAATTTGATGGGATAAATCACGGTCTTTTTTGACAGGTCAATTACTAAAATCCAATCTTATTAAAATGATACATGTGGCCATTTCAGATTCTTTAGTTATTAGTAATAGTAAAAGTAAATTAAAATGAGCACATTTTTCTTCATCTGTAATGTTAGCTGATAATCTGGAAGGAACATCATTGGCTGCATTGCAACTGAACCTCGGAATTAAGAGCACCTATTACAATGATGAACAGGTATCCTAAAGTATCTTGGTTTTAATGAAGAAAATTCCCATAATCAGTATATTCCCTACCTGTGTATTTCTGTTGAAATTTCTCTTCCCTTGAGGAAAACTGAGGAAAGACCTTACTGTTGGAATCTCCTCTTATTCACTCATATAACAAATACAATTTGAGCAGCTATTATATGCCAGGCACCTTTCTAAGAACAAGGCATACAACAATAAACAAAACAGACAAAAATTTCTTGCTCTTACGGAGCTAATCGTCCAGCTGGATGAAGACAGATTATTAACAAAATTATTTGCTTGTTTGATGGAGGTTCGTGGGATCTTAGGACGAAAAGTCCAGATGGGCCCTTGCCCTCAATCCCTGAGGCCATGCAGACAGGAAGCAGCTCAGTGTTTCAGCACAGTTGTTACCACCTTGTTACCACCGACACAGTTGTTAGGTGTGGGCCCTGGGTACGTCCCTCACTGGCAAGTTGGTTGAGAGATGTTGTACTTTAAGCCTTCTGGCTCCAACTTGGATCATCTGTCAGGCAGTATTTCTGTCTAAACTCTCAAATGTGGTTATGGGCCATCTAAAGGGAGTGCGACACGATCAATCGTTGCAGAATAATTTGTTTGAAGAGGCATCATGGGCCACAGCTGGAAAGGAGCACATTAGGAGTGACAGGATCTTGGCAGTGACAGAATCTGAGACTTTGCGTCTTGCTTTTCAACCAAACCAAGGGGGATGGCTGGGCATTCATTAGGAAGAAACAGCCTTCCCCATTTCAAGACTCTCTCATGACATCAACACCACCAGCTCTCATCCAAAGACTGAAAAGGGAAGCCCCAAGGTTTCAGCTGATCAAAAGTAGGCTTGATCGACTTTCATTACAGAAGTAAAATTTATTTTGCGAGTCCAAAAATGATATAATAAAATCATTACTAATTTGGGTGTTTACTTTATGAGTAGCTTCAAGCATTCAATAAAGAAAAAACAGACGGAAGAAAATTCCTATAGGCACCTTTTGATAAAAGTCAACAAACTTTAACCAAGAGCTTGTTCTGTATATTATGTGCCTGAAGTCCAGCCATTAACTCAGCGAAAAAATAATAATGAGGAGGTTGGGGAATTGTCTTAGCAGCTGGTAATTTTACACTGCAGGCGAAAGGATCTTAATATCTGGAACATCTGTGATATTCAATTGGACACAATTATCAAATGCCTACTTTGTGCCATGCACCATGCCAAGACCTTTGCATGCCTAAACTTTCTGCCTCTCCGTAACCTTATGAATTAGTGCTGTCATGACATTTGACATCTAAGAAACTGAGATTCAGAGAATGTAAGTAACTTGCCCAAGGTCAGAGCTGAGATTCAAGTCTGGGTCTGTCTGGCTCCAAAACCAATGTGCTCTTTTCACTGTTTCTAACTGACGAAAGTCCTGTTTTTGACTTGCAGCAGCAAAGACCAAGAACCTAGCCACACTCCCTCCTGAGACAGTTCTTTATTAAAGACCAACAGCTAATGGTAACACGCCGAGGGTGGGATTTCAGAGGAATTTCACTCTCTTTATCAAATACGACACAATATTTTACTTTTAAAAATAAAGGGTGTATACTTCTTTTGTAATATAAGAGCGTAACTTGTATTTCATAGTTGTAGAGCAAAGTTCAGTGCCCTGAAATCTACTCATTGTCTTTCCTGTCCTTTGACCTTTCTCTTTCTGATGCTTATTTATCTAGGTTCAAGGAAACCCATGCATTGTTGTGAAGTGGTCTAATCTCTAAGGAATCAGTGGCTAAGGAAGACTTGGATTGCAAATGACAATTTATGTTCAAAATCTTCAGAAAGGGGCCACATTGAGAGGTTGAGAGGCTTCTCTTCCTGGAGGCCTTGGGAGAAGAAAGGACAAACATATATCCTGGTAATTCAGGAATTCCCCCAAGGGGCTGGATCAAATGATCCCTTATCTGCAAAGTGGAGATAACATTTCAAGTCCTAGGCATGGTGTGAGGATTAAATAAAATAAGCCATATAGAATAACCAATGTTATGCCTGACAACAGTTGGAGCTCAACTGATGCTACTTCCTGGTCATCAACCAATGAGACCAAATGATATCCAAGAAGTCATTTCTAATGGAAAAGATCATTTTAATATAGAGCCATTTATCCTCACCCAGTTGTGTGGCTCAAAATTGCTTCAAATTGAATTTGATTTTAAACTTAATGTTCTTGGGTTAAAAGTTCACACAAACTAAAAGAGGCCAAAGAGGAAACAGAGCAGGGCGTTTTATTACCTGCTTGTCTTTGTCTTGCAGATGGGCCTTGAAATTGCTTGGTTCTAATCCCAATTTCCAAGACTCTGTCATTTACTAAACACTCGGAAATTTCACTGGCGTAGGATTATTCTTTGTGTGAAAAACCTCAAAGCAAAAACAGTTCATATTTCCAAATAGAGACCCCACTAGTAGTCAAGACAACACTTTGGATCATACCAATTAGTTATTTACTTAAAGTTCCACATCTTCTTTCTATGACTATAGATAGTCTCTGGGGAGCATGACTTGTTTTTTCCTTATGGTTATTATATTAGGTTACTCCAGTTAACGCACTACGTCAGGAATGTTCCACTTGCTAAAGTTTTTGAGGATTTCTTCAATTCACTAACATATTCATCAGCTAAATGTGAAATCCTCTAGAGAGCTTTTGTCTTTCCCTTTCATATTCCTCCCTCAGCTCTGAAGTGAAAATATAGGCTCGATAAATAATAGCACTGTCACCTTCTTTGGGGATACCTGTAACTTTGCCAGAGAGGGGCTATCTGAGGGCTTATGTAGTTCAGCTGGACTTCTGAATATCTGCACGGCTCACAAAGGAACCATTCTGAGACAGCTTGCCCATCTGTGTGCATTTTCTCTGAAAACAAAAGGATCAAGAGATGAAAGAGGACAGGATGGAGGAAAAGAGAAGGCTCAGAGGTGAGAAAGAAAGACATGGAGACAGGACAGACAGAGTATCCCACACTCTGGAACTCCTCCTGGTATGATATTGAATGGAATTGCTCCTGGCTTTACCTGGTGAATGATATCCTTCCCGAGCCCATGAATAATCTGACAGGGATCAAAATTGCCTCTGAGTAGCAGAGGCCCCAGATTACTCACACAACATTCAGGTATGCAAAGGAAATTAGCTACTTTATTTCTTTATACTTGATCTAATTTTTTAATGAGCCTTCCACCTGTTTGGGTAGGAAGAAAAAAAAACAACTATATTTAGTCCAATTTAGTTTAAAGTTAGTTTGGCCCAATTATTTATGCAGAAACTCTGTATTAACTAGTTTTTCTGCTCAGTTCTTCACAGCTATCTTCTTCCTTTCTTGCTTCTCTCTGGGTCCCATAGGCCATGGCTCCGGGGGAAGGGAGGCTATGGATTTGCACTTGTGCTTGGGTGTGAGGTGCCTTGTGTCTGCTGAGGAATGACTGGCACCACCCTATGGCTGGCGTCCCCAGCTGATGCCCACAGCTGACATCTGTGGCTGATGGACTTGTGGTCTATTTCTGCTTTGCTTGCTCAGAGTATGGGGGCCCCTCCAGGAAGCCTTGCCTCGTTCCCCACCCCACTCTTGCTGGTGAAGACCCTTTTGAGTCTCTCCCATATCTGCGACTTTTGGACCCAGCTGACAACCCTGGAACTGAGGCTGCAGGTCACCTCAGCCTCCATCCCAGCAGTCTGTGGCAGGTCTGTGGCTTCTCAGATTGGCATACTGTGGGAGGATGGGGAAACTCAGGTATACACATTTGTCCCTTTCTCAATCTGTATGTCCCACTCCACACTCTGAATTATAGGAGGCTCCTGTAATAGTTGTCTCCATCCAAACAAGGGGTGGGTCAAGAATCCCTGTGTTCTTACTCTGGTCCTAACATATCCACTGCCCTCCTCACACCATGGGGTTTGAAGACCCAGAGAGGAGATATTCAGCTGGCTGCATTCTTTCCCACTTCTCTGGGCTCTTCACTCCATCATTCTCTCTCCACAATCCCTTAGGTCTAGAGGAGGCAAACTTTTCTTTTATGTTCCCTTCTTTTCTCCCTTACATAAAACCATATAATGTATTCCAGTAGGACCAGTATTGATATATTAAAGGGAACCAGAGTAATTTAGAATATCATCACTCTATAATATTTGCCTTCAAGACCACTGTCTTGCTGTAAGTTCCTATTTTGAATGTCAAAACTCCAGTAATAATTTTTCTTTATTTTTTCATTACTTTGCAACAACATTATTTTGTATTGATTAAGAAGCTGATCACGGGAGAAGAAAAGAGAAATAACGTTAAAAAGAAAAGATAAATAATATTAACATCATTCAGAAATATTCAAAATATTATGTTATCACATGTGTTCTGAGAAAGAAATTGGACCACCAGTAGGGGGATAGTGGAAGGGAGAGATGTCCTCCCTGGGCTCCGCCCTCAGTGGGTTGTGCCTCAAGATGGCTAATGCATCTGACTGGTGCTGGGGCTTTCAAGATAGCAGCTCCTACTCCATCTCCTAGAAAGTGTCTGTCACTGTTTCTTCAGGCTCTAGGCTATGGGGGCCACCTTCTCATGGGATGCTGCCAAGATCCTGTGACTAAAAATGCAATCATTTTGATATTCTATCCATTCATCAAACATTTCTTGAGCACCTACTAGGTAATATACACTGATGCAAATGCTATATGGCACTGAAATGAAGAAGATGAGATAAAATAAATCTTCCAGAAAATATTTTAGCTAAGAATTTGAGCAGCTTGAAGTAGTGAAAGTAGTTGATTTCAGTTGCCTCTCCGTGGCTTTCTGAATAACAAGAGTTATTTAAGCCTCTTCATTTATTCGTTCATTCATCTTTCCTTTCAAGATATGGTTATTGATTATCCGTTATATGTCAGGTGCTTTGCTAGGTTCTAGGGAAGCTGAGATGATTAAGATATATCTTCTTACTCAAGAAGTTCTAGTTCATAAGGAATATGGGCATTTTACTGGCAAGAGTAATGCAGTGTTACATCTGTTCCCTTTACCCTTTGTTGGTGGACTGTGCACAGGTTCATTAAACCACCTGTAGTGAGCACCAGGAAAGGCATGGTCAATCAATTTTTGGTTGAAGGGGAAGGTGCTCAGGAAGGCTAAATGAAGAAGATGATGACTTAATTGAGACTTCCAACATTCACAGTGTATTCTTTTTCTGTTTGTTGTTCTCATATAAGCAAGGAAAGATTTCTAGGCAGAGTGAAGAGCAAGAGCAAAGGCCTGAAGGTGATCAGTGCATAAAGTGTCCAGGAAGCTACAAGCAGATGGAATGAGTATAGAAGGAGGCAGGGGACAGAAAGAGGTGGAGACCAGCTCCTTTTGCACATGCCAGACAGTGGGGACAGGGGCCATTTCTGGGTGGAAACTTTCCTGGTTCTTTTCACATCATACCCCTGATATGGTTTGGCTGTGTCCCCACCCAAATCTCAACTTGACTTGTAGCTCCCAGAATTCTCACGTGTTGTGGGAGGTAATTGAATTATGAGGGCTGGTCTTTCCTGTGCTATTCTCATGATAGTGAATAAGTCTCACAAGATCTGATGGGTTTATCAGGTGTTTCCGTTTTTGCTTCTTCCTCATTTTTCTCTTGCCTTCGCCAAGTAAGAAGTGCCTTTCGCCTCCTGCCATGATTCTGAGGCCTCCCCAGCCATGTGGAACTATAAGTCCAGTTAAACCCCTTTTTGTTCCCAGTCTCGGGTGTGTCTTTGTCAGCAGCATAAAAATGAACTAATATAGTAAATTGGTACCAGTAGAGTGGGTCATTGCTGAAAAGATGCCCAAAAATGTGGAAGCAACTTTGGAAGTGGGTAACAGGGAGAGGTTGAAACGTTTGTAGGGCTCAGAAAAAGAAAGAAAAATGTGGGAAAGTTTTTTTTTTTTTTTTTTAATGGAGTCTTGCTCTGTCGCCCAGACTGGAGTGCAGTGGCACCATCTCGGCTCACTGCAACCTCCGCCTCCCGGGTTCAAGCAGTTCTCCTGCCTCAGCCTCCCTAGTAGCTGGGATTACAGGCATGTGCCACCACGCCCAGCTAATTTTTTTGTATTTTTAGTAGAGACAGGGTTTCACCATATTGGCCAGGCTGGTCTCGAACTCCTGACCTTGTGATCCACCTGTCTCAGCCTCCCAAAGTGCTGGAATTACAGGCATGAGCCACCGCACCCAGCCCAAATGTGGGAAAGTTTTGAACCTCCTAGAGACTTGTTGAATGGCTTTGGCCAAAATGCTGATGATGATATGGACTATGAAATCCAGGATGAGGTAGTCTCAGATGGAGATGAAGAACTTGCTGGGAATTGGAGCAAAGGTGACTCTTGTTATGTTTTAGCAAAGAGACTGGTGGCATTTTGCCCCTGCCCTAGAGATTTGTGGAACTTTGAACTTGAGAGAGATGACTTAGGGTATCTGGTGGAAGAAATTTCTAAGCAGTAAAGCATTCAAAAGGTGACTTCAGTGCTGTTAAAAGCATTCCATTTTAAAAGGGAAACAGAGCATAAAAGTTCAGAAACTTTGCAGCCTGATGATACAGTAGAAAAGAAAAGCCCATTTTTTGAGGAGAAATTCAAGCCAGCTGCAGAAATTTGCATAAGTAACAAGGAGCCTAATGTTAATCCCCAAGACCATGGGGAAAATGTCTCCAGACCATGTCAGAGACCTTCACGGCAGCCCCTCTCATCACAGGTCCAGAGGCCAAGGAGGAAAAAGTGTTTTTTTGGGCCAGGCCCAGGGTCCCTGTGCTGTGTGCAACCTAGGGACTTGGTGCCCTGTGTCCCAGATGCTCCAGCCATGGCTGAAAGGGGCCAATGTACAGCTCAGGCTGTGGCTTCAGAGGACAGAAGCCCCAAGCCTTGGCAGCTTCCACATGGTATTGAGCCTGCGGGTGCACAGAAATCAAGAATTGCGGTTTGGGAACCTCTGCCTAGATTTCAGAAGATGTATAGAAACACCTGGATGCCCAGGCAGAAGTTTGCTGCAGGGGCGGGGAGTTCATGGAGAACCTCTGCTAGGTCAGTACAGAAAGGAAATGTGGGGTTGGAGCCGGTCTTTCCTGTGCTAGCCTCCTGATAGTGAATAAGACTCATGAGATCTGATGGGTTTATCATGGGTTTCCGCTTTTGCTTCTTCCTCATTTTGCTCTTGTTGCCACCATGTAAGAAGTGCCTTTCACCTCCCGCCATGATTCTGAGGCCTCCCCAGCCATGTGGAACTGAAGTCCAATTAAACCTCTTTTTGTTCCCAGTTTCTGTGGAACTGAAGTCCAATTAAACCTCTTTTTGTTCCCAGTTTCAGGTATGTCTTTTTCAGCAACATAAAAATGAACTAATACAACCCCAGAGAAAACCATCAGCTTATAAAGTCAATCACTAACCAGCACTTCAAAGGAAGGCCACATGCAAAGGGCTGGAGAGAAGGGAGAACTGATACTCTTGTTGTGGACAATCTGGTCTCATAATTTGGAAAAATCTGCCGGTGGCACCTGCTCCTTTTGTTACATCACTGATTCCATATCCCCAGTACCCAGAAATTTCAACACAACCATCTCCCTGGAGTGATAGGCAACAGTTTCCAGTACTCTGGAAATTTCCCCAATCATTTAAGATGTCAACTTGAATCATATGACTTTTTAAAAATTCACCCAATTTTGCTCCTCATTTTAAATTTCTTTCATTTTTATCCTCATAAGCTGCTCGGACCTGCACATAGTAGGTCCTCTGCACTGCGTATTTCACAAGCGCTAAATGAGATAAATGCAGCAACTATCGATTTTCCTGTTTTTACAGATATAACATGCAAAAGCAGAGGGTAAGGAAGGACTAGTTACAGAACAGAAATAGCTAATGATTATTAAGCACTTGTGTGTGCCAGGCAATATTCTTAGCAGTTATGTGGATTAACTCTTCAAATCCTCAAGATAATTTTGTGAGATGGGTACTACTGTTATTATACCTATTTTACAGATGAGGAAACTGAGTCACAGAATGTTTAAGTGACTCTTCCAACATCACACAGCTAGGTAGTGACAAGGTAGACATTCAAATGTAGGCAGCCTGCTTGAGTCCACACTCATTTATTTATTTATTTATTTATTTGAGATGGAGTCTTGCTCTGTCACCCAGGCTAGAGTGCAGTGGCAGGATCTCAGCTCACTGCAACCTCCGCCTCCCGGGTTCAAGCCATTCTCCTGCCTCAGCCTCCCAAGTAGTTGGGATTACAGGCGCCCACCACCGCGCCCAGCTAATTTTTGTATTTTTTAGTAGAGATGGGGTTTCACCATCTTGGCCAGGCTGGTCTTGAACTCCTGACCTCATGATCCACCCACCTCAGCCTCCCAAAGTGCTGGGATTACAGGCGTGAGCCACTGCACCTGGCCTGGAGTCTACACTCTTGTGGGCCACTTAGGCCAGGGATATGCCCATGAGCAGAGAGCTGGGTAGTCACAGGGAAGAAAAATTGTTTATCTATCTATCTATCTATCTATCTATCTGTCTATCTATCTCAAATCTGGGACAAAATAATTTATCCAACTCATCAAAAATATTATGAACAAAGAGGGAATTAAAGTTAACATTTGTTAAGTGACTTCCATGAACTGAGGCCTATGCTAGATGCTTTAGAGCAGGGGTCCCCAACCCCCAGGCCATGGACTGGTACTGGTCGGTGGCCTGTTAGGAACTGAGCCACAGAGCAGGAGGTGAGGTGTCAGTGAGCAAGCATTACAGCCTGCGCTCCACCTCCAGTCAGATCAGTGGGGGCATTAGATTCTCATAGGAGTGGGAACCCTACTCTGAACTGTGCATGCAAGGGATCTAGGTTGCAAGCTCCTTTTAAGAATCTTCCTAATGCCTGATGATCTGAAGTGGAAGAGTTTCATTCCGAAACCATCCTCCTGCCCCCCGCCACACCCCATCCATGGAAAAACTGTCTTCCATGAAACCAGTCCCTGGTGCCAAAAAGGTTGGGGGCCACTGCTTTAGAGTGGTCGCCACACTGAACGCTCACAACAGCCTGGGTCTGCATGAAATGGTGAGGTCGCTGCCAAGAGGGTGCCTGGGAGTGGTGGCTTGGACGTCCTCCTCAAGTGTCACTCTACAGCGTGCCCACTGCATGCTACCTGCACACAGTGTGGAGTGCAGAGAGATGCCAAATATCCCACACAGCCCCTATCAGATTTCAGGTAAACAATGGGGAGAACGAATGAAAAAGGAAGATTCCTTCTGCAATAATTTTAGTTTATGATGGATGGGATCCAACCAGATGCCAAGTCCTAGCTCTGTATTTCTTTATTTTTGTGGGGTTGATTAGCCCACAGGCAGCCTGCCAGGTCCCTGTCCTCTTCCAGCTCAACTTGCTTCAGAGGAAATGCCACACATGGAAGAAACGTTCGGGAATTGACAATTTGGTTACATATGCCTGGGGGACAATATAAAGTAACCACAGAACGATGTGGAGCTCTGTGGCTCCCGTCCTGCCTCACTCTCGCTATGGCTGTCCTGGTGAGCCAAGAAAGGCAGAAGTGGTTTTTGCAGCTAATTTTTACAGAGCCCAGACACACTTAAATATCTGTTTCCATCTGTCACTCAAATGTAACCTGTGTCTGCACAAAGCAAGCAGGAATAATTTGATACCTACTCTCTTAGGTCTCATTATTCAAAACAGACAGAAATAGTGGAGTGTCACCCACAAACCAGAATCAATGGTTAGCAGTCTCTGGGATCTCAAGCATATCACCTAATGTGCCCCTCAGTTTCCCTCTTTTTGTGGGAGGCAAATGAGATCAACCCTGGGGTGCTTGGAGAAATTCTTGATTCTAGGTAAATAAGAGGAGGCATGAGAGTTGAGTCTTTAGGAACACCAGGGAATCAGATCTATTTGAATTCCAGTGTTTCATTTGCAAATCACTTATAACCCCCAAGCCACTGATTCCTCATCTATAGTATGGACATGATAATAATGTTCACCTGTGAGGGGCATTATCAAGTTCAAATGAGATAATGCATTAAAAATGCTAAGCCCAACGCCATTCTAGAAATAAGGAATCAGTAATCATTTACTTTTTTGATTAAATAAGTCATCTTTATTCTCTATATCAGCAAAGAACTCTTGTTTAAGTAGGAAGCACCACAGAAGAGAAGCAAGCCAGATGATTAGAATGCATTAAACAGATCACTTGGCATTAATAAACACACACGCACACAAAATCTAAAAACAAAACAAAACATTTTCATTGGTATTTGAAATGGTCATCATATTAAGAAAAAGAAAAGTCCTAAAACTGGGTGATTTCCCAGACAAAATATATAACTCAGCGTGATAATCAAGAAAATAAAAACATGGTTTTGATGTATAGCTGAGGAATGCTGCACAGAGACGGGGAGTGAAGAAAGGGATATTGAGGGCTGAAGGGATTGAAAAGCATAGGATATTGAAGAAAGTCCACAAGTTGGTTGAAAGTTTTTGGCTTGGGTTTGGTTTATCTACCAGCCCTGAAAACAGCCTTCTGTTTTCAGATCAAAAGCCCTTACTGGAAATGTATCATGTGCCCCAATAAATGCCTTCAAGAATTCATTAAATTTGCACACAACTAACTCAACTAAGAGGAATGCTGTGATAAATTCTTTAATGAAGACCCAGCAAGATCACCCTTGGAGCATAATGGAGGGGGTGGAATTGGATACTGGCAAGGATGGAAAAAGATGACAGACAAATCTCCGACCTCCAGGGATTTACGGTCTGGCTATAGAGACAAGACAAAAGGGTTAGGAAAGGACTAACAACTTAAAGACAAGTTGTGACTAAAAGGGGCCAAGTTGTCTCAGAGAGCATATTTTTGCATACAATTTTGTGTTGATTAAAAATACTTTTTCATTTTTAATGATGTGATGTGATGGATATGTTAATTAGCTTGATCGTAGTAATCATTTCATAATGTCTATGTATATCAAAACATCACATTGAACACTGTAAATATATACAATTTTATTTGTCAATTATACCTCAATAAAGCTGGGAAAAATGAGATACAGGAAGATTTTATTCTTTAAAAAAAATTAAAAAGCTATTTCATGCATGAGTTATTGGATCAGAAGAAAATATCATTTTGCATACCTATTCTTCCCAAAACACCAGAAAACCTATGTCCTCTACTTGAGGAAATATTTTATTTAGCAAATAGGTATTGAGAACCCACTACGTGTATTGCACCTTAATATTACAGACCTGCTTTTTTTTTTTCTTAAGTCCAATCAGAACAGAACTAACCTACATGTGGAAGTGGTAGGTTTCTGTACGAAGGGGCTGTTTTGTCTGGTTCCAGACATGGCCTCTGCAGTGAGGCTGTGTGAGAGCGAGTGTGTGCTTCTACTCATTTATTCTGTGACTGAGCAATTCACTTAATCTCTCTGGGCCTCGGTTTCATCTTCAGCAAAGTAAGCATAGTAATGGAACCTGCTTTGTAAAATTGCCATGAGGATTAAATAAGGCATTGTATGTAAAGTTTTTAATAGTGCTTGGCAGATAGAAAATATTCAATAAATGAAGGAATAATATCATGATTACAGCCTAAGTAATACTATTATAATGTTCATAATCTGTTTTCCGTATACACAAAACATTGATAAATTTTATACCATCTCAGAACCAGTGGAACTGAGGCTGCTTGGAATATCCCTTCTCTTTGCCATCCACTTGACCTGACTAGTCTCGATTGGTTCTTTGGGAGCCCTTCAAGATCCCTTCAAAACCAGGGTGAGTGGCTCTTCTGTGTGTCCCTGGGGTACCGTATACGTAGTCTTGCCACAGCGATGTGGCTTTTAGAATGTGTTATAGATGTGATTTTCTATTCATTTGTCTGTTTCTGCCTCACTCACTACCACCATTACTGCCCACGAAGGCCAAGGGCTGCATCTTGTTTTTTGTTATTTCTCCAGGACCTAACGTGATGCCCGACATAATATTAAATACATATATGTTTCAAGGAAGGGAGGGAGGGAGCAAAGAGGAAGGAAGGAAGGAAGGAAGGAAGGGAGGGAGGGAGGGAGGAAGAAAGGCAGGAAGAAGGAAAAGAGAAAGAAGGCAGGAAGGGTGGGTAGAGGTGCTCTGGTCCTGGCAATGTAACATTTGTCTGAGTCTGCACAGCCTCTTCTCTCCCTGCTCTGTCCCTCCTGCCCTATAAAGTGGAGGGAAGTTTGAGCAATGAGAATGTTTTACTTACCCCGAATCGCCACTGGAGAAATCCATTGCATTACTGAGCACTGGTAATGGGTTGGCCCTGGTTCAGAATATAGGGTTTTGCTGCCCCTGCCAAGCAGGCTTATGCACGTGGGGCTTAGATGGTGCCTTGCCCACACCTGTCTGGCTCAGAGACCCTGCTGGGCTGTCAAGGGGAGAGCTGGGCATTGAGACAGGCTGATGGACTTTGACGAAAAAGAGAACCGGGCACACAGGTCTCATTTATAATCCATTCCAGCTGCTCCTCTGCTGGGGGAAACTGGCATTCTGTTTTGTTGGCCCCTTTTCCATCAGGACAGCTGTGAAACCCTACTCAGTGAAGTAATCGCAATAACAACCGCCACTTTGCATGTTGATGCCTTTCTTCCAAGGAACTCAAAGTTCTTTGGAGACATAACCTCATTAATCCATCCTGCTTGAAGTGGTGGCTGATGGGGAGGGGTAGGACTTCTTACTCATATTTCCAGGGCTCGGGGATTTAGGAAGAGAGAGTAAAAAAGGAAGAGAAAGAGGTTTCAGAGGTAGGAAAGATAAGCAATGGTATCCCTTTCCCCTTGAACCCCACTCTGGGACAAAGATAACACTTTGCAGGACAATACTCAGCTAAATGTGTGAGTAAAAGACACACACCGTATACTCCTCACTCTCCCTGAAAAGGAAGAGAATTCTAGATGAGGAGTTAGAAAATCTGATTTCTAGAACTGATATTGACACTGAATAGCTGTGTGACCATGAGCCAGCCCCACCCTTAAGAGTAGTAGTTTCATATTAGAGCATGTGACCTCTTGGTAATGTCGAAGAAGCACAGAACCAAAAATCAGTAGACTGATGCCTGCCTTGAGAGGGGCATGGTTTAAGATCCTGAGTCTCAATTTTCTTAGCTGTGAGATGAGGAAGTCAGACTGGATTATCTCTAAAGTTCTTTTCAGTTCCAATAAAACCAATGGTTTTAGAATTGGTGGGCTGGGGAATATCAAATCTGCTTGGGGCTTAGATTTTAGGAAAACCAACAACTATTTGTTTCAGTTTTCTATTACCGCCACTCCAAAACTCAGTGACTTCGATGAAATGGTAATTTATGATTTCTTACAATTTTGTGACTTGCTTGGGCAGTTCTATGGCTTCACCTCAGTGCCCAGCCCACCCTCAAGCTGAGGTTTGGCGGGGCAATGAGCTTAGCCAGGACATGTGAGATAGCTGGGCCTTGCTGGCCTATAGTCCTTTCATCCTCAAAAAGGCTACACCAGGCTTCCTCTTATAGTGGGGGCAGCACTCCAAGAGGGCAAGCCTCAGTGCTCGAGTGCTCATCAATCCTTCCTTCCTTCCTTCCTTCCTTCCTTCCTTCCTCCCTCCCTCCCTCCCTTCCTCCCTTCCTTTCTTCCTTCCTTCCTCTTTCCTTTCCTTCCTTCTCTTTCTTTCTTTTTCTTTCTTCTTGCTTTCTTTCTTTTCTCCCTTTCTTTTCTTTATTTCTTTCATGGGGTCCCACTCTGTTACCCAGGCTGGAGTGCAGTGGCACGATTTTGGCTCACTGTAACCTCCGCCTCCCAGGCCCAAGCGATCTTCCCACCTTAGCCTCCTGAGTAGCTGGGACCACAGGTGCAAGCCACCATGCCCAGCTTATTTTTTTGTATTTTTGGTAGATACAGAGTTTCACTATGTTGCCTGGGCTGGTCTCGAACACCTGAACTCAAACTATCCACCCATCTTGGCCTCCCAAAGTGCTGGGATTACAGGCATGAGCTACCATGCCCAGCCCAGCCCAGCCTTTTCTATGTCAAATTTATTGCTGTCTTGTTGGCAAAAGCAAGTCATATGACCCAGAATCAATGAGGGAGGGAACAACACAAGGCCATTGTTATGAGCTAAATCGTGTCCTTCAAAAACAGAAGTTGAAGTCCTGACCCCTAATACCTCAGAATGTGACCCTATAGGGTAGAAATAGGATAATTGCAGACATAATAAAGTTAAGACGACACTGTACTGGAGTAAAATGGGTCCTGAAATCAAAATGACAAGTGTCTTTATAAGAACAGGGAAAGACTCACAGACACAGAAGGAAGACAGACAAGTGAAGGTGGCAGAGATAGGAGTTATACTGCCACAAGCCAAGAAACACGTGGAACTACCAGAAGCTGGAAGAGGCAAGGAAGGATCCTCCTCCTAGAGGCTTCAAAGGGAGCATGGCCCTACCAACACCTTGATTTCAGACTTCTGAGCTCCAGAACTAAGAAAGAATACATTTTTGTTTGAAGCTACCTAGTTTGTGGTACTTAGTTACAACAGCCTTAGGAAACCAATACAGGCCCAAACACTGGGCAACATGGTTCTTTGGGAACCATTAGTCTAACAATCTAACATATCACCTATTTTAATGGGCATAAATACATAAGTGTTATGGGATTATTGTCCAAAATATGAGAAAATGCAGGTGTGATAGATTGCAATAATGATCTCAATCCTTTACCCTTTCCTAAATCCATGCCTTTTGCCATATGACTACATGTCCCAGTGCTGCTAAAGAGGTAGAGTGTATTTCCTCTCCTCCTGACGTTGCAATGGCCATGTGACTTGCTTTAGGGAGGAATGCCTGTATGCCAGTTTCTTAAGAGGGTTTTTATGTTTCTGCAACACACTGCCTGCTGCCACTGCTCTTGGAAGCCAGTCTCCTGTCGGAGATATTCTCTCTTGGTGCTCCCAGAGCAGTCTCTCCTAGGCTGAACACAGCACCTCCACTCTCAGCATGCTCAGGGTTCCAGAGCCATGTGCTACTTTCGGTTGAAACTGGAGAGAATGCCCCCATCTTTATAGGGATCAAACCATTACCTAGGCCAGCCACGGTCTTCCCTCCTGCTTCCTCCTTTTCCTTCCCTGGGCACAAGTGTCCCTAACACTTCTCTCTGGTGTCATTTTCTCCCATGCTTAGCATGCATGCCAATAGAAATGAGATCCAGCTTTTCCACTCTGGTTAGAGACATGCAAATGCCTTTATTACTGAGATGGGATCATACTATACCAATTACTCTGCAACCTGCTGTTTTTATTTAACATTATATCTTCTTCCATTACTGTAAACACAAACTCATGTCATCATTTTAATAGCTGCATATATTTCCATATGCACATAGAACCCTATTTTACTTAATTCTCTATCATGTAACTTTCTGTTTGTTTCCATTTCTACTTATAAATAATGCTGCAATAAACACACTTTTAAATTAACCTTTGTGTACTTGTTCAGTTATTTTCTCCATATAAATTCACAGAGCTACAATTGTATGCATAAAATGCTTTTTAAGGCTTTTGATATTTGTTTCCCGATTACCTTCTAGAAACACTATATCAATTTACACCCACCAGTGTATGAGTGCTAATTTTTTTATTTTCATATAACCACCATTTTTTACAACCTTTGCCAAGTAATAAAGTTTGCATTTATAATGTATTCTTCAGCCCATTTTATGTTTCTTTAGTTCCCTTTTAAACAATTGGGTAGCTTAAAAATGCATATCTAATGTTGAATAGAACAGGGATCACAAGAATAGATAATATTGATGAAACTAGAAATGAGCTCACAAAAAGAAACAGAGAGCAAGGAAGGAACAGATGCAGTATATTGAGGCACAGTTGATAATAGTAGTGCCTCATGGGTTTTTATGTGGCTCATTAATTTAAAGTGGCTAAGATGTGAGTGAATTCACACTGTAAGTCAGCCTGCTCAGGGAGGTTGGTAAAGCAGTATAGAAATACCAAGGAAGAGAAGATCTGGAAAAATATAAAATAATACATCAGGGGAGAAAATTATTCCAAAAACATGATACTAAGTAGGAGAAAAATGCAGTACTCAACAAAATATACTGCGGAGTAGCCAGATTAGATATGTGCTTGCAGAGTGAGAGGACTGAGATCAGCCAAGATTAATGGTTTGAGCATGGGCCTGTGCCTGCCATATTGCTCTAAGATGCGACTGGGTTCTGCAAACTGTGGACAAATCCACTTGGTTTAATACCTCTATATTATCTACAGTGGGTGGTGGTTTTAGAAAGGGAAGACCTGTTCTATCTGTTAGCTAGAGGTCAACGGAATTAAAAGGATAACATTATATCTGTCACTTTCATTCAGTGCTGATAGGAGGAAGTTGGTTCAGCCTCCCTAAAGGGTATATAACATATATGTGTTTGGTACATGTCAGAGGTTTAAACATATGCATACCATGTGACCCACAATCCTACTTCTAATAATTCATCCCAATTAAATGATTTAGCATTTACCCAAGGATTTAGCTATAAGGATGTTCACTGACCCACTGTTTATAAATAAATTGTGAGAAAATGTATATGCTGAAACCACTTTAAATGCTATTACAGAAATATATTTACTGGAGTCAACAGAAAATCATAATATACTCAATTCTTAAAAGCAGGTTATAGAGTATGACACAGCATTTGTATGTGTATGTTAGGGAGGACATGACAACAGTCTGTGAAGTTCCCATTAAGGACAACTATCATTGATGCCTGAGTTTTACCAGCTTCTTAATTCTCTTTTTATGCTGAGGTAAGGAAGAACTACTGCAAGGTTGTTTGGAATCCTAGATTTTAAGCTCTCATTTTTCCTCACTGTGTCTTCATCTTCAGAGTGTACTAACCTAGGAGTCTAGGGCATTGGGAGTGGGATGGACAGGGGTTGACATTATAACTACACCCTGAATCCAGAATCATGACTTTCTCCTTCAGTCCCTGTTTCTGAGTTTGCCCCAATTAGCTTGACTTTTAGGATGGATTCTTTCTCAGGGACTTCATAGATCTTATTTAATACTGGCTTCTATGGAGTGAACATCACTCCAAACATATACACACTAAGTTTGCCAAACATAACTATACATGTTAGAACCTCAAATTTGGACATGTTTTGAATTCCTTTCCCATAAGACTCCTCAGGCTCCATGTAGATCATGTGGAACAAACAGGTATTTGAGAAGAGCAGGAAACAGGTAGAAGGTGACACCAAATAACATATACCAAATGTATCTGAATCTTAGCTCTGCCCTACTCAGAATATCTTGTCACATGTGTTTGTGTGTATATTATATACATATACATAAATATATTAAATATTACTATTAAGTCTTGAAGGATATACATCAGAAACATCAACAGTCTCATGATGGAGTCATAGATAATTTTTTATCTATGTCTTCTAATTTTCTACAATGATCATGTATTTCTTATGAACCATTAAACATGAAAAGTAAATTTTTAAAGGTACTCTTAAAAGTACCATTTTGAACAGCCACTGAGAGGAATCTATTAGTTCATCTTCAGTCATTCTATAGTGACAGCTATTACATTGGTTTTTGATCCCAGTGCTATCAACTCCATTGCTTTTGCATCTTCTTATAGTAATTTTTAGTCTTTTTTAAAGGATCCAATCCATTATTTCACAGCAAACCTACACATGGTCTGTTTATTTGGGATTGACAATTTTGATGAGTATTGTGGAAAGAATAGGTAAGGTATCCAGGTTTGAAAATACATGAGAAAGCCTTACAGAGAAGCTTCATGAAACACTTGGGAAAGCAATTGGAAATTATTGTAGGATTATAAGGGGTACTGTACAAGCTGGAAGGTTTGTAGTATGATGGAAGTGGCCAAATTTATGATAAAGACACTGCCTTAAAGTGCGGGAGATGGAATGAAATGTGACTGCAAACAGAACAAATAGAGACTCCGGTAAGGACTGGAGTGGGGGAAGTGAAAGAGATAAACGCAGATTCCAAATTTATGGTAGAAGAAGAGGAGGAGACACTTGGCAGCAACCACAGATTGACTCCTTCAGTGTCTGTTCAATTTTTCCCCAACATTCCAGCCCCTCTGACTTTACGTGGTGCTCAGTGGGCTGCCCCACCCTTCAGATCCACCCAGCCTTGATCTCAAGAGTGACCTCCATGTTCATGAAGGCATTCAGCCACTATTTGGTCCAGCCTCAACCCCACCAGCCTTCTCAGAGATGGGGCATGCCAAAGTTCTTTCGCAAGTATGTAGTGAGAGTTTGAGTCACACTCTTGCTTAAGAGGATACTCTATGCATTTTCAGACGTATGACTAACTGGGCAAAAAGTTTAAAGAATAAAATTCAGAATAACAGTGTTCAGCAGGACAGTTGTTCTTTGCTTTCCATGTTATTTGGGGAGCTTAGGAAAAGGACAGAATAAGATTGGCCTGAAACACGGAACACCATAAAGAGACAGATAGAGAATCAAAGTCCCTGAATGGCATTTAATTTCCATGTTGCTGTTTTTCCTGGTCTGGTTTCAGAAATCCTCTGACAGTTGGACTATTTGCTATTTAGTCATTCTACTGTACTCATTTTACTGACAATCAACAGGCATTGCCTAATTTGACACTGAAATGAAAAAAAAAAAGACCAAAGTAGATTACAATGTAAAATATACATTTAATTTGATGGTACTTTTTGAATATTTTCAAATAAAATATCAATCATAACAGCAGCAAATATCCACTGTTGGAAGACATTTAAGTACATTCGGGTTTTAGCTAAAACAGCTTGCAATAACTAGATTTAAAAAAAAAAAAAAAGCCTAATTGGAGGCTTTCACATTAGGTTCTGACACACAGTTTTTGGTCCCCTTGTGTCTTATTTCCAAGATGGTAGCACCTGGAAAAACATGCAGCTTGATTTTCGTAATAGATATGAGCTCAGATAGTAAGGACTGCATTACAGCAGTTCCTTTGAAACGGGTGGCAGTTATTGCTGGAGTCCAAGTGGCTGAATCGCATGCTTGGAAATAGGAGTATATTCATCTGTTTGTGAAAATCACCAGGCATAGACCGTTTCCACCCAACACACCGTAGAAACTCGCAAGCCTCCTGTTACCAGCAAGAATTGAAGCCAAAACTCAGCAAGAGCAATGCCAGATAATTGCTGCTGTTTTCCTTAAGCCTTTATTTTGAATGCTGGACCTTGCATTACTATACATTCTTTCCTAAGTGAGAACCTTCTGCCAGACTAATGACAGTGTCCTTCATGAGGCAGTGGCAATTTCCAGCAAATCCCTGACCCAAAAAAAGTGTCCAGTGTGTGTTAGCTTTTCATCACGACTTGATTAATTACCCCAGGAAACTTCATTTCATTCTGCTTGCTAAAATGAGAGTAATTAGAGCAGCCTTTGACCCTTTCTTCCCTACCCCTCTTAGTTTACAGTGAGCTGTGAAACGTGATAAGTTAATTCTTAAATATAGACTTTTATGCCAAGAACAAGTATCTCCTATTTGACTTGCTCTTCCCCCACAGGAAGTTGGTATTGTTTGTTTAAGAATTTGACATCGAGCCTTTTTGTTAGATGAAATTGAAAAGAAATGTCCTCCAGATGACACAACTGCCCTGTCAATACAGGGTTCATGAACTTGCCCTTTATCTTAATATCTGTAGTAATAACTGGTCTCCTGCCCCACGTGGAAGGTACCGTTTTCATTACCAGTTTGAACTAAATGTGCAACAGGGCTAGATCCAGTAGGTAAGGATCCACTGTAATGAGATACACAAACACCAAAGGGATTGCATTTGGAAGTTAAACACTCAATTGTTCAGGTGTTTTGAAACACAACCTTTGATATGTTTGGAGGTGCGCTGTGGGCTAAAGGAAGCTATCTTGAATTAACTCATAAGTATGAATTTTCAGACTTTAATAATATACTGTTTATTCAAGATTATAAACACGGTTTATGTGTAGTATGGAAAATCTGGGAAACAAAGAAAACTATAAAGAAGAAAATTAAAACTAAAATTTTTAATTCTACCTACATAGATAACCACTTCCAAAATTCTGGTACATTTCTTTCCAGTCTACTTTGTATTGAATTATATAAATATATCTCTCACACACACAAAAAAACTAGATCTTGCACTATAAACAGTTAATTGTTTTATCATGAGCATTTTCCCATGTCGTTAAGCATATGCCAAAAACATGATTTTTTTGTGGCTGCAAAGGTTTCATAACATAAGAAAGTCTCTCCCATGGTATCAAGAGTACCCTGCATTCTTACTGAAATGCAGTGAACAAAGAACACCATATAGTTGCTAGAACACCTCAGTTGCAAGAGACAAAAACACAAATAAGTGTGATTCTTGCTCCATGTGGAAGGTACTGCACCTGTTTGAACTAAAAGTGCATTCTTGCTGAAACGCAATGAACAAAGAACACCATATAGTTTTCAGGAATCCTCAGTTGATATCTACTGTTCCAGAGTTTCAGCTATTGACTTCAGGTCTCAAAATCTCTCCTCTGTCTCCCTCTCTCTCAGCAAGAGAGCACTGACATATCTAAGCCTACTTTCCTCACAGATTGAGATCAACGAGAAAGATAAAGTACTTTTTTTCCACTCTATCTTTTTTATTTAACTTTTATTTTTATTGTATTTTATTTTATTATTATGATACTTTAAGTTTTAGGGTACATGTGCACAATGTGCAGGTTGGTTACATACGTATACATGTGCCATGCTGGTGTGCTGCACCCATTAACTCGTCATTTAGCATTAGATATATCTCCTAATGTGCCACATTTTCTTAATCCAGTCTATCACTGTTGGACATTTGGGTTGGTTCCAAGTCTTTGCTATTGTGAATAGTGCCACAATAAACATACGTGTGCATGTGTCTTTATAGCAGCATGATTTATAGTCCTTTGGGTATATACCCAGTAATGGGATGGCTGGGTCAAATGGTATTTCTAGTTCTAGATCCCTGAGGACTCACCACAATGACTTCCACAATGGTTGAACTAGTTTACAGTCCCACCAACAGTGTAAAAGTGTTCCTATTTCTCCACATCCTCTCCAGCACCTGTTGTTTCCTGACTTTTTAATGATTGCCATTCTAACTGGTGTGAGATGGTATCTCATTGTGGTTTTGATTTGCATTTCTCTGATGGCCAGTGATGGTGAGCATTTTTTCATGTGTTGTTTTTTGGCTGCATAAATGTCTTCTTTTGAGAAGTGTCTGTTCATGTCCTTTGCCCACTTTTTGTTGGGGTTGTTTTTTTCTTGTAAATTTGTTTGAGTTCATTGTAGATTCTGGATATTAGCCCTTTGTCAGATGAGTAGGTTGCGAAAATTTTCTCCCATTTTGTAGGTTACCTGTTCACTCTGATGGTAGTTTCTTTTGCTGTGCAGAAGCTCTTGAGTTTAATTAGATCCCATTTGTCAATTTTGGCTTTTGTTGCCATTGCTTTTGGTGTTTTAGACATGAAGTCCTTGCCCATGCCTATGTCCTGAATGGTAATGCCTAGGTTTTCTTCTAGGGTTTTTATGGTTTTAGGTCTAACGTTTAAGGTCTTTAATCCATCTAGAATTAATTTTTGTATAAGGTGTAAGGAAGGGATCCAGTTTCGGCTTTCTACATATGGCTAGCCAGTTTTCCCAGCACCATTTATTAAATAGGGAATCCTTTCCCCATTACTTGTTTTTCTCAGGTTTGTCAAAGATCAGATAGTTGTAGATATGCGGCGTTATTTCTGAGGGCTCTGTTCTGTTCCATTGATCTATATATCTGTTTTGGTACCAGTACCATGCTGTTTTGGTTACTGTAGCCTTGTAGTATAGTTTGAAGTCAGGTAGCATGATGCCTCCAGCTTTCTTCTTTTGGCGATGCAGGCTCTATTTTGGTTCCATATGAACTTTAAAGTACTTTTTTTCCAATTCTGTGAAGAAAGTCATTGGTAGCTTGATGGGGTTGGCATTGAATCTATAAATTACCTTGGGCAGTATGGCCATTTTCATGATATTGATTCTTCCTACCCATGAGCATGGAATGTTCTTCCATTTCTTTCTATCCTCTTTTATTTCATTGAGCAGTGGTGGTTTGTAGTTCTCCTTGAAGAGATCCTTCACATCCCTTGTAAGTTGGATTCCTAGGTATTTTATTCTCTTTGAAGCAATTGTGAATGGGAGTTCACTCATGATTTGGCTCTCTGTTTGTCTGTTATTGGTGTATAAGAATGCTTGTGATTTTTGTACATTGATTTTGTATCCTGAGACTTTGCTGAAGTTGCTTATCAGCTTAAGGAGATTTTGGGCTGAGACGATGGGGTTTTCTAGATATACAATCATGTCGCCTGCAAACAGGGACAATTTGACTTCCTCTTTTCCTAATTGAATACCCTTTATTTCCTTCTCCTGCCTAATTGCCCTGGCCAGAACTTCCAACACTATGTTGAATAGGAGTGGTGAGAGAGGGCATCCCTGTCTTGTGCCAGTTTTCAAAGGGTATGCTTCCAGTTTTTGCCCATTCAGTATGATATTGGCTGTGGGTCTGTCATAGATAGCTCTTATTATTTTGAGATATGTCCCATCAATACCTAATTTATTGAGAGTTTTTAGCATGAAGGGTTGTTGAATTTTGTCAAAGGCCTTTTCTGCATCTATTGAGATAATCATGTGGTTTTTGTCTTTGGTTCTCTTTATATGCTGGATTACATTTATTGATTTGTGTATATTGAACCAGCCTTGTATCCCAGGGATGAAGCCCACTTGATCATGGTGGATAAGCTTTTTGATGTGCTGCTGGATTTGGTTTGCCAGTATTTTATTGAGGATTTTTGCATCAATGTTCATCAAGGATATTGGTCTAAAATTCTCTTTTTTGGTTTTGTCTTTGCCCGGCTTTGGTATCAGGATGATGCTGGCCTCATAAAATGAGTTAGGGAGGATTCCCTCTTTTTCTATTGATTGGAATAGTTTCAGAAGGAATGGTACCAGTTCCTCCTTGTACCTCTGGTACAATTTGGCTGTGAATCCATCTGGTCCTGGACTGGTTTTGGTTGGTAAGCTATTGATTATTGCCACAATTTCAGATCTGTTATTGGTCTATTCAGAGATTCAACTTCTTCCTGGTTTAGTCTTGGGAGGGTGTGTGTGTCGAGGAATTTATCCATTTCTTCTAGATTTTCTAGTTTATTTGCGTAGAGGTGTTTGTAGTATTCTCTGATGGTAGTTTGTATTTCTGTGGGATCGGTGGTGATATCCCCTTTATCATTTTTTATTGCGCCTATTTGATTCTTCTCTCTTTTCTTCTTTATTAGTCTTGCTAGGTCTATCAATTTTGTTGATCCTTTCAAAAAACCAGCTCCTGGATTCATTAATTTTTTGAAGGGTTTTTTATGTCTCTATTTCCTTCACTTCTGCTCTGATTTTAGTTATTTCTTGCCTTCTGCTAGCTTTTGAATGTGTTTGCTCTTGCTTTTCTAAATCTTTTAATTGTGATGTTAGGGTGTCAATTTTGGATCTTTCCTGCTTTCTCTTGTGGACATTTAGTGCTATAAATTTCCCTCTACACACTGCTTTGAATGTGTCCCAGAGATTCTGGTATGTTGTGTCTTTGTTCTCGTTGGTTTCAAAGAACATCTTTATTTCTGCCTTCATTTCATTAGTACCCAGTAGTCATTCAGGAGCAGGTTGTTCAGTTTCCATGTAGTTGAGCAGTTTTGAGTGAGTTTCTTAATCCTGAGTTCTAATTTGATTGCACTGTGGTCTGAGAGACAGTTTGTTATAATTTCTGTTCTTTTACATTTGCTGAGGAGAGCTTTACTTCCAAGTATGTGGTCAATTTTGGAATAGGTGAGGTGTGGTGCTGAAAAAAATGTATATTCTGTTGATTTGGGGTGGAGAGTTCTGTAGATGTCTATTAGGTCCACTTGGTGCAGAGCTGAGTTCAATTCCTGGGTATCCTTGTTAACTTTCTGTCTCATTGATCTGTCTAATGTTGACAGTGGGGTGTTAAAGTCTCCCATTATTGTGTGGGAGTCTAAGTCTCTTTGTAGGTCACTCAGGACTTGCTTTATGAATCTGGGTGCTCCTGTATTTGGTGCATATATATTTAGGATAGTTAGCTCTTCTTGTTGAATTGATCCCTTTACCATTATGTAATGGCCTTCTTTGTCTCTTTTGATCTTTGTTGGTTTAAAGTCCGTTTTATCAGAGACTAGGATTGCAACTCCTGCCTTTTTTTGTTTTCCATTTTCTTGGTAGATCTTCCTCCATCCTTTTATTTTGAGCCGACGTGTGTCTCTGCACGTGAGATGGGTTTCCTGAATACAGCACACTGATGGGTCTTGACTCTTTATCCAATTTTCCAGTCTGTGTCTTTTAATTGGAGCATTTAGTCTATTTACATTTGAAGTTAATATTGTTACGTGTGAATTTGATCCTGTCATTATGATGTTAGCTGGTTATTTTGCTCGTTGGTTGATTAAGTTTGGGGTAAAAGTGCAGGTTTGTTACACAGGTAAACTTGTGTCATGGAGATTTGTTGTACAGATTATTTAATCACCCAAGTATTAAGCCTTGTACATAGTACACATCAGTTATTTTTCATGATCCTCTTCCTCCTCTCAACCTTCACCCTCCAAAAGAACCCAGTGTGTGTTGTTCCCCTCTATTTGTCCATGTGTTCTCATCATTTAGCTTGCACTTATAAGTGCGAGCATGCAGTTCCTCAAAGACTTGAAGACAGAAGTACCATTCAGCCCAGCAATCCCATTACTTGGTATATATCCAAAGGAATATAAGTCGTTTTACTGTAAAGACAGACACATGCATATGTATGTTCACTGCAGCACTATTCACAACAGTAAAGACATGGAGTCAACCTAAATGCCCATCAAAGATAGACTGGATAAAGAAAATGTGGTAATATACACCATGGAATACTATGCAGTCATAAAAAAAGAATGAGATCATGTCCTTTGCAGGAACATGGATGGAGCTGAAGGCCATTATCCTTAGCAAACTAACACAGGAACAGAGAAAGTACTTTTCTTAAAGGTCCCAGCGAGACCCATGGAGATAATATCTGATTAGCCTCATAAGGGTCACATTCTTCTGTGTAGCTGACTGTCCTCCTCATAGTAAACACTTCATACACATGAATCCCCACATGACCTTACCGAGTTCTTCAAGTTCTAGTTCATCTGTCTGTCAAATGGGAACATAAACATTTGTTTTATAGAGTTGCTATAAAGATTTAACATTAGGTCCTTAAAAATACTGGTTTTCTTTTCCCAAAATATCTACTTTCCTTTCCTCCCCTCTTCAGTGAAACACACACATTGCATTTAAGAATTCGTTTCTATAATGAGACCACATGGGCACAGGAAGGGGAACAATACACACAGGCCTGTGAACCCCCGGGGGTGGTTGTGGGGAGAGAGAGCATCAGAAAAAATAACTAATTCATGCCTGGCTTAATACCTAGCTGATGGGTTGATAGGTGCAGGAAACCACTATAGCACACATTTACCTATGTAACAAGGCTGCACATCCTGCACATGTACCCCAGAACTTAAAATAAAAAAAATAAAGAATTGGTGTCTAAATGTGTGGCCCATGGCTCTGAGCTGAACAGTTGGTGCAGGAAATCATGTGACTAATTTTTTTTTGTTTTTGCAGTCTCTGCACCCTACAATACACCAACTGGCAGTTCCATCATTTGAAAGAAAATCTTCAAGGTAAAGACATTTACAATGACACAAAAACCTTTCAAAGGCATCATGGTCCTAAAGGGCTTTCCCCAAGGGACAGCACAGTGTGTTCCAGGCCCTGACAAGAGGTGAGTGTGTGGGCACGGGTGTCTCGTGAGCCTGACGCTCTCCATCCCTCTCTGACCATTTATGCCTTTGTCTGTCTGTGCTTTCAAAGGTCAGACCCTTGTGAGAAATACTTGCTCTATTAATCATCTTGGAAGACTGCTCCAGACACATTTTCAGAAGGGATGCAGTAAGTTTTGTCTGCACAGTGCACCCTGGGAAAAGAGTTTCCCTTCTGAAAAGCAATCTTGCTTTCAGCCAAGTCTTGTCTTTTCCTTTTTTTTTTTGTAAAGCAATGAAGTTATTGCATGTTCCAAAGGCATCGTGAGGT
The DNA here is from genome assembly GCF_000001405.40 of Homo sapiens. Classification (NCBI taxonomy): domain Eukaryota; kingdom Metazoa; phylum Chordata; class Mammalia; order Primates; family Hominidae; genus Homo; species Homo sapiens. The sequence goes on from NC_000008.11 coordinate 95,800,964, forward strand.
ACGGCCACCCCTTTGGCATGGCATGTCTGTATGCCCAGGATGCATATACCCAATTAGTGAGTTCCACATGACTGCTGGTGTTGGCAAACATCTACATCCAGCTGGTGCTCAGACTTTTGGGGATCAGTGGAAATTTTAACAATTATTTGACACAGACTTATTCGGTCAGAGAAACGGTTGTATCACAGAGAGCTAAATGTCCAGAGCTAATGAAAGATGATGCAGTGATTAGATTGACTTGCAATCTGGGTAATAATTTTTATACTTGCATTTTGACCACATAAATAAAAGAATGGGACTGATTTTCCGACTGCATTGCATATGAAGGGAGGAGAACGTTATTCTCTCTTCCCTCTTCATCTGAATATTAGAACTTTTTAAACCTTCAAACATGGCAGGGGCACTTCCACCCATCATTTGAATGAAAGCCAGTCTCACCTGTCTGTCTTTCCATTCAGCAGGGAATCACTTCATGTGTGAAGCAAGCAAAAAAGATAGACATGTAAGCGCTTTCTCTGTCTCTTGTAGAATTTTTATCTTTTGGCCTTTTCCACTTCCTAGTCTGCATATGACCTAATATCCTATTCCTCATGGCCAACTCTTGATAACAATGAGAAAACAAGTCCTGATAAATGTGTTATGTATTCATTAAGCATTTCTATCTTGTAAGACTTTTTCGTTTTTGTTTTGTTTTTGCAAAATCATGACAATATCTGCTATATTTCAGATATTGTTTTAACAAATCTGTAATCTGAATGAAAGCAGGATTCGTTCTATAATTCTCAGTTTGGATGAGAAATAAATGATAAACAATGTCCCACTGGAAGAGACCCCTCCAAAACATCATGCCAAAGGAGGGAGACCACCATATTCAGTGAAAATATTTAACACCTTGGACTGTTTCCCAGTGGGATGCAGACCAGACAAGAAGAACAATTCAGGCTGCTTAGGAGACTGTCTGGGGATCTCTGTGAATGGCATCTGCACTGGATAGATATTTCTTCCCCTCAGATTCCTGCTCCTGTGTATGTGCACGACTTACAGCTGAGTCATACTTTTCAAGAATGAATGTGGGTGTCACAGTCAGTGATCTGTGATCTATTCCTGCTCCTGTGTATGTGCACGACGTACGAATGAGTCATAGTTGTCAAGAATGAATGTGGGTGTCATCAACAGTGATCTGTGGTCTATCATTTCATAAATAGATTGTTCCAAAAGTACTTTAGGCACAACTGAGCACAGATAGTCTTTGGATGGCTTTAATCCAAGCCCATTTCAATATGCCTCTTTTTATTGTCCACACTTCTTTCTACTACCACTAACTTAAATAATTCATATAATCAGCTAGAAGAGTTTTCAATGAAAACTCATCTTTGAACACAAGAAATAAGGACTGAGAAGTGGTGAACAACTTGCAACTGAGGTATTCTGAAAATAGTCCTAACATAATGTCCCCCAGGTGTAGCCATATATGGTAATTTGGTAAATCAACAATGAAGTCTTATGCAACAGTGAGAATCTAAGTATCAAGCACTAGATGAGGTACTGGGCAAGAGAAATACAAAAGAGAACACTGCTTTACCCCATCCCCAAGGAGATCTCAGGGACAGAAATGTCAGCATCTACCTCAATACAATGACAGCTGAGTGACTATCTCAAGTGAGAACTGAAGAACGTATCACAGGAGAGCTGATCTTGGAGAAAGAAGAGGAGTTGGCTTATTAGAAAAGAGAGCCTGGTCGCGGGTGCCTGTAATCCCAGCTACTCGGGAGGCTGAGACAGGAGAAGTGATTGAACTCATGAGGCTGAGGTTGCAGTTAGCCAAGATCACACCATTGCACTCCAGCCTGGGTGACAAGAGCAAAACTCCATCTCAAAAAAAAAAAAAAAAGAGAGAAACGAAAAGAAAAAAGAAAAGAAAAGAAAAAGAAAAGAAGAGGACATAGTCATTGAGAGAACAATGGCTCTGTGGTCAAAGGCATGCCAATGTGAAAATCATGACACATTCAGAAGATCGTATAGCTGGATATGTCTGGAGAGGGTCATGGGCGGGCCACGGCACAAAATGAATTTCTTGTCAAGACACTATAAAAACCTACACAGATAAATCAGGGGAGATTTGTTATAGGGAATAATAATATTTCACTGAACTCAAGGCTAGGAGGTACAAGTAGGCTGAGGAACAGGAACAGTATTGGAAACTGAAGCTCTCTACCTTTGTCTTTGTCTTCCTCTTTCTGGGCCATGAGGTCACTTATGGCTGCAGCTCAGTTCACTGGTCAACAGTTCTGAATTGTTCAGTCATTCATCATTCAGCAAGAATGCATGTGCCCATCCTCTGTGCTCAGTGTGCTCTTTATTAACTACATTGTGATGGAAAATGGATCAGGGCTGGTTTCATGGGCAGAGACTTACACAGTCAAATGGTCCCACATTTGGTTTAACGCACTGCTACCACTATCTTGCAATTCTGAATAATTTCATGAAACTTGTGTTTTGTAAGAAAGTCTAATGGGATGAGGGAGCATGCACATGAGCAGAGGAAATGTCCACAGTGCCTTCCCATTCACATATAGCATTTGTGATGACACCCCATGAGCACAGAAGTTGGCGGCCCACAATATTCAAGCATTCAGTGAAACTAAAAGCAAGTACAAGGCAATTGTGTTAGGGCTACTACTGAGAAAGGTGGGGAGGAGGCAGGTGCTGACATCCTAGAGGCCATGCTTTTTTGTTTGAAAGAGAACAAGAACCAAGGGACCCTATTGCATTCTTTCTTATTCATGTTGTTTCCCTGTATTAGCCAACTACTTTAATGCTGAAATGCTAGGAGAGAAAATGTTAATACCATAGTTTCTTTTCCTTTTAATTTTTCCTTACCCATAAGTAAACTGAAGGTAAAGAGTGTTGGTAGAATGTATCATGATGTGAATTAAAAACTGTTGAGTTTCATGTAGCATTTCCACTGTTCTGGTAAGAGTGAAATAGATATGCATTTTTGAGCTACAAATATTAATTGTGTAATTTTGGTAATTGTTTTGTTTTATTTTGTTTTTTTCTCTCAACTTTTTTTAGATTCAGGGAGTACATGTGCAGGTTTGTTACATGGATAAATTGAATGTCGCTGAGGTTTGGTGTACAAATGATCTCATCACCCAGGCAGATAGCATAGCACCTGATAGATATGTTTAGCTCCCACTTATAAGAGAGAACATGCAGTATTTGGTTTTATATTTCTGCATTAGTTCAGTTAGGATAATGGCCTCCAGATGCATCCATGTTGCTGCAAAGGACATAATTTCATGCCTTTTTATGGCTGTGTAGCATTCCATGGTGTACATGAACCATATTTTCTTTATCCAGTCCACCATTGATGGGCATCTAGGTTGACTTCATGTCTTTGCTATTGTGAATATTGTTGCAATGAACATATGAGTGTATGTGTCATTTTGGTAGAACAATCTATTTTCCTTTGGGTATATACCCAGTAGTTGGATTGCTGGGTCAAATGTTAGTTTTTAAGTTATTTGAGGAATCTCCACACTGCTTTCCACAGTGGCTGAAGTAATTTAGATTCCCACCAGCAGTGTGTAAGTGTTCCCTCTTCTCCAGGACCCAATTTTAAAAATGGGCAAAGGGCATAAACAGAAACTTCTCAAAAGAAGAAATACATGTGGCCAACAAATATATGAAAAAATACTCATAATCACTAATCATTAGAGAAATGCAAATCAAAACCACAATGAGATACCTTCTCACACCAGTCAGAATGGCTGTTATTAAAAAGTCAAAAAGCAACAGATGTTGGTGAGGTTGCAGAGAAATTTTCATGATTTCTGTGTAAGAGTTAAATGCTGTTATATTTGCACTTAAAACTGACATTACACATTGTAAAGATAAACAGTAAACCATGCTAATAATTTTAAATTTCCATTTTTAACTTAGAATATCATTAAATAGCAAATAAAGAAACACAATGGCAAGTTGAGAGACCGTTCAAGAAAGGAAAATATCACACTTTAGTGCCCTTAGCAGTGCTTTTTCCCCTTCTTTTTTTGAACAAGGCACCCTACATTATTTTGCACTGGGCCCCACAAATTGTGTAGCCAGCCCTGACCTGGAGAGGAGTGGGTGAACAAAGCAAACAGAGTCCCTGTCACCATGGAGCTTACTTTCCATTGGGGAGAACAATAAAAATAAATAAACAAGAAACCTCATGGTCTCAGAACTGTTTTGAGGAAATAAGCAGAGTCACATGATTAGGCAAATCAAGGGAGGGAGATCTACTTGGGTGGCAGAGAAAGTCTCTCCAAGGAAGTGATCTTTGAGCTGAGACCTGAAGTAGGGACTGTCCATCAACTTTGCTGAAGTGAATTCTCCCCCTCCATTCTGATACCCTCTATTCCACACTCTGCAGCCAGTCAGACTGAGCCTGTTTCCCTTGCACAGTTTCAAAGATCCAACCAGGTCTTCCCCAGGCTTCCACATTTTTATCCACTCCACCTCGGTTCCTGGGTGACCATCCTCTGGGCTCCCTTGTCAAAAGAAGTTCCAGAGACTTTTCTTGTCAAAGCTATCAGTAGCCCAGAACAGGTTGAAAAGAATAACATGAAGTGCCCTGTTTCTTCCTGAAAGCTTTGAAGAGCCCAGAAACAGTCTCTGGAGTAAAAATTCCCTTTTTTCCCAGTAACTCCTGGGAAAAGCCACCTGACCAAACCTCCTGCCTTTGTGAGTCACGGCAAAGAAAGTCACCTCAGAAGGAAGGGTGATTTGAATGAGCCCAGATGTTCCACTTAAAACCACAACCAGGCATAGCATTTGAGCAATTTTTATTTGCAGTCATTTCTTTTCATGTCATGCAAATGATCAAAAGTGGTCTAGGGAGACAGCATGTCTTAAAAGATGACAATTGCAAATGGCAGCAAATAGCAAATGCAATAATAACTTGTCATGTTTAACACAAAGTTACAGCAAAGGCAGGCTGTTCAGCAGTAAGCAGATGTGGACTAAGTAAAAGATAGTTTGCAGATAGCTAAATGCAGGCAGGTCACAAAGCATTTTGATAAAGGATTATAAAACTACTACCCATGGTAGAACATATATAGTAAATATAATATTTCAAGAAGGATTTAGAAATACACAAGATTTACTACTGGAGAGTTAAAAAAAAGCACAGTTGATGTCTCAATCATAGAAGTTAAAAGTTTTGCCAAGTGAAGCAGAATATGATTATGTAGAGGATTTTAAACTAGGATTTACTATTTTTTTTCCAAAAAGAAGCCTGCACTTGGCAGCTCTCTCAATTCCAGTGCACAGAAGTTAGTAAACTGATGAAATAGCAGGGGATTCTTCTAGAGAGGCTAATTGCTACATCAATTTCTGCCAACACCATTTGAAAATAAACCCCTCTGTCCTTGTTGTGCTGTTTCTGGAAAAAAGACTGGAGTTGACAATTAAAATGTCAACAAGTAAGATGTAAATTTAGGCATCTGGGCATAGTATGTTTTCACCAAATATTTGTTGAATTAATGAAAAGATAGAGAGAACCTAGAAGTTTAGGCTGTAGGACAGTCTTCTGGCCTGTGCCATATATAGGGAGCTATAAATGCTTTTCAAGAGCATAAGCATAGATTCTTACACAATCCTGTACATATACATGTGAAATTACCTGGCATACCTGAGTTGGGAAGTCCTAACTCATGCCAATAAGGAATTTGAGAAGTTTGGTCAAAACATGGAAAAGATGAGTTCACTTGCCAATGGGACACCTTTGGTATGAAAGAGGACAAGGTGGCTTTGAGAGGTGACTGCAGTCAGTAGCATAGGTTGCATGGAGGCTGCCATTGCCTCTTCCTGAAAAAGTTGGGACTGTGACCTCTGTGGGGAGGTCCATGTGTGATGCAATGCAGCAAATGATTCCAACTGTGATGGTTCTTCAAGCCAGTCCCCACAGCCATCATCAGTTTATTAGATATTTTGAAGCACATAAATCAGTGTAGGCAGATGCTGTTTATTTTTAAGCCCTCAGATGGGGAAACCTCACGAGATTCACTGAGCTGCCTCCTCAGATCAAGAACTTTGGGGATGAAGGACTGAGAAACCAACATTGTTGGAGTGCTTTTTGTTCAATGACGATGCTTTCTCATAGTTGTGACAAAACATGGATGTATACTGAATTCAAAATTTCAAGAGAAAAGCAAAGTGCAGAGCATCACCGATAATTTCAGAAGTGCAGCTGTCTGTGTTCAAACTGGATAGATACCTTTTGAAGAAGGCAACCATCATGCAATAAAAATTTTAAAGGATTATAGAAGTATTGATGAAAACAGAATTTTCATCAATTCCAGAAGTAAATTATAGTCTTTGTTGGATTGGAATCACAAGTTCAAAGAATGAACAAGGATTTACTTTGAAAAAGTAGCACTATTTAAGAGCCTCCCATACACCTAAAAGCAATGCAACTTCCACCAACAGCTTTGTTGATAAGTACATGAATCCAGTAACTGATATCCCTACTATGTGTCAAATTCTGGAAAATGTTTAGATTCCCCTGGGTCTGTTAAAATGGATTGTGATTTTTATGCTTCTGAAAATCCAAGCAGTAAGTCACCATTGATGCTACAAACCTGGAGTCTGAATCAGGATGTGGGTCCTAATTAAATATTAGAAATTATTCATTATGTTAAACATCAACATTCTCATCAACGTGCTCAAAATGAATCAAATATATAATTCGGCACATATGCTGTATGCATGCAGTAATAAAATTGATTAAAACTTGTTATTTGGGGGCTGGGTGCAGTTGCTCACTCCTGTAATCCCAGCACTTTGGGAGGCCGAGGCGGGCATATTGCTTGAGCTCAGGAGTTCAGGACCAGCCTGGGTAACACTGAAACTCCTGGCTACTTGGAAGGCTGAGGTGGGAGGATTCCTTGAGCCCAGGAGGTCGAGGCTGCAGTGAGCCATGATGGTGCCACTGCACTCCAGCCTGGGACACAGAACAAGACCCTATCTCAAAAAACAAAACAAAACAAGTTTGTTATTGGGAGGGACTTTTAAAAATTATTATTGTTGTTACTGTTTTAAGTCTTTCATAATTTTGAATCACCAGTGAGTTTTTCCATTTTTCTTACCTTTACCTCTTAGGATTTCTAATTATGTGGCTTACTACCAAAAATAAGTAAATAAACAAATAATGCATCTGGGTTTTCCAGCTGTAGGGCATAATATTTGCTGAAAGTGAACTCTGCCTTGGAATTTAGTCCTCACTCCCTGAAGCCACTTTGTACTCCCTCTGGGCAGGCAGTAAGATCCATCTGTTTATCTTCAGCCTTGTCCTCACTGGCAGGCCCACTCACACACTGGTAAAGAGATGCCTGTCACCTTGCATTTCATGGAGTCCCATGGACTTTGTGACTCAGACATTTATGGTCTATTCTCTTCCATGCTGTCTGGGGCCGGGATACTGGGGAGTGACATAAATGGTTAGTCATCAGCTGTTCTGAGAAGACTTCCAAGAAAAACTGCTACAAAACTTTTAGCAAAACTGAGTTTTAAAGATCTAGAATGTTGTCCATCAACTGGTCTAGAATGGAGACCATAAACTGATGGCCAAATCATCCCACAGGCATGTTTTGTTTGGCCACACTAGGGTTGGCTTGTGGAGTGCTTAAAACGTACTTAATTAGTTCCCAACATTGAAAAATCGGGAGATTTCACGTAAAAAATCCAGATTTCTGGCATTACTTGACCTAGTCACATGGAGTCTGCATTCCCACCTGGCAATCATCTGCTTGCAGCTAGAGGGCAGTTGCCCCATCTAGATGGGGCAAGCCAACTCCAGTTCTCATCCCTACCATTCTCCACCAGGCCTGCTTCACCTGTCTCCATAAAATGCCTGGCTTTGGTAAGCCTTTGAAGTTGGGATCTTTACTTTAGAACTACACTGTGCTAAGAAGTGTAGGGAAAAACAGGAAAAGGATAAAGCATTTGTAAGTCTTCCTGCGTTATCCTCTGGTTAGAGAAAACAATGATACAACAATAAACAATAATAGTAATAAAGCTAATTTATGGGTCAATTAAGGTCTTCATTGTGAGGTATCAAGCACAGAAGTGGTCCTGACCTACTGTGTTAGTCTGTTTGTGTGGCTATAAAGGAATACCTGAAGCTGAGTAATTTATAAATAAAAGAGGTTTAATTGGCTCATGGCTCTTCAGACTGTACTGGAAGCATAGTGCCAGCATCTGCTTCTGGTGAGGGCCTCAGGAAACTTACACTTTCATGCTGGAAAGTGAAGGGGTAGCCAGTGCATCACATGGCAAGAGCTGCAGCAAGAGAGAGTGGGGGAGGTGCCACATACTTTTAAACAAACACATCTTGCATGACCTCAGAACAAGAACTCACTCATCACCAAGGGCATAGCACTAAAACATGCATGAGTGATCTGCCTCCGTGATGCAAAATACCTACCAAATCTCACCTCCAACACTGGGGATTATGTTTCAACATGAGATTCAGAGAGAACAAATATCCAAATGATATCACTTACAATACCACTAGTACCTGGCTCATCCATAGAAGTGATGGCCAGGAACAGCCAGTTTGCAGGTCCATTCATGAGACCAGTTGAAGAGTTCAAAAAGAATTTGTCTAGTTAGGCCATGTGGGTTCCTCTACCATGGAGTTCAGAGATTTATCATGCATTTATCCACTCATTTTTTCTTTTAACAAATGTCTAGGAACTGCTGCGGAGACCTTGGGTTCACCATTCAGGTACCTCTTCAAGTTAATCTACATGGGGAGCCTTGTGACTACAGCCCCAGAAGCCGCCCCTTTGGGTCCACTATGTACCCAGCTTTCTCAGGCTCACTCTCAGCTACTATCTGAGCATGGTGGGGGGCCTGGAACCAGGCCATTCCTGTCCAACATGGGGCTTTTTTAATGGGCAACCTTTGAATGGGCTCTCCTTTTCAGCCTGACCAAGACTTTCTCAGAACTACACTGTGGTCTGAGGTTCTTCTTAATTAAACCTCCCTTTTCTCTCTTCTTTCACAGGTTTAAGACCTGTGACACAGACTGAAGCTCTCCTGGCATACTCTGAAGCTCTCCTGGCACCCTCCCCTTTATGCTTCACAGGTGTTTCTCCTAATAAATTTCTTGTATGTCTCATCCCATCTGGGAATCTGCTTCTCAGAAGACTCAAACTAACATATCTGCCCACTATGTATCAGGCACTGTGCTAGGTGCTGGAGACCTAAAAATGGATAAAACAGACAAGAGCCCTTCATTCATGGTGCTTGCATCATAGTGGGGGTAAATATTCCATAAGCAAGAGAATAAATAGATAAGATAAATTTAAAAACTAGAGAATGACTTGTTATAAATTGATTGGTAATCAGGGAAGGTCTTCTGAGGAGATGACACTTAAGCTGACACCTGAATGAGAAGAAGGGGCTGGTCAACTGAAGACCTAGATGAGAGTATTGTAGGCAGAGGGAAGAGCAAGGACCACAGGTTGAGAAAGAAACTAGTTTGACATATTTGATGGGGGAAAAGCCAGTTTGAAGAATAATAAAAAAGGGAATGAATGGAATAAACAAGGACATTAAAGAACTAGAGAGGAGCCTGATCATCACAGTAAGGCATTTAGAATAGGTTAGGGAGAAGACCATTCTCTATCAGGGTAGAACTGAAAAGGCTACGTCTGCTGCTAAATGCTGCTATAAAAAGACAAGGGCTTTCATATACTACAGATGCAATCTTTTGGATCCACTTATATTGAGCAGACTTCGTGGACCCTCCTAAGAAAGTAGGCACCACAAAAATATTACATCTATACAAAATGCAGGGCTCCAAGCCATAGATGTATATATCACATTGTGTGTGTGTGTGTGTGTGTGTGTGTGTGTGTGTGTGTGTGTGTGTGTGTCTGTAAAGCCAGCCAGTTTGTAAGCTGAACATGACTCCCACATGCTTTCAGAGAGAAGAGAAAAGAGAGAGGACCGTGTACTGGAATAAGCCCTAAGAACTTCTTGGAAGAAGGGGAAGTTAGCTGATCAAAATTATGTTGCTTTCTAGAAAAGAAGTAAAAAGCCAGGCAGTTTCTTTTGCTAGAACTGTCTGGGTAGATTTCCATTCTAAGAAAATTACAACAATGTATAGTTTTAAATAGCTAGAAGGAGAATACTGAATGTTCCCAACACAAAGAAGTGATAAATATTTGAAATGACGGATATATTCATAGTCCTTATCTGATTGCTATACACAATATGTATTGAAACATCATTATGTACCCCATGAATATGTGCAATTATTATAATTCAATTTAAAAAATAAAATTAAACAAAGAAAGCAAGGGGTCAACAGCATCCATTGTAAATGTGCTACCTCTCCACCTGTCTCATTTATGAAGTTGGGGGAGCTCCTGAACAGATAACGAAGTGCAATGAAATTTGGAGAAGAAATCTAGTACCTAGGTCTAGAGAGCAAATGTGCAACTTCTTTGGAGAATATGTTTCAAATAAAGCTTCAAGAGCTGTTCCTAGTAGCATATGGCTGTTGCTCTTGGTGTGGAGGTTCATGGAGTAATGTTTCTTGATCAGAGGATCTTGCAGGTTATTGTTCACTTCTACTGCTGCCTCTACCCAATGTATAGTTTGAGTCCTAAGAGGCTTGGCCTTTTTACTTTGCCTTCCACCCCAATAGGGACAGCACAGTGAGAAACAGATCTACAATGGCTCCGCAGACCTTTCCTTTGGAGAGATGCTGGGCAGCTGCACACACTAAGAAAGTTTCCTGAAATAGAATTGCATTATCTGAGGCCTGGAAAATGTGTTGGAAAAGCTCACTTAGCTATGGGAAAGCCGATGAAAGACCTGTCTGGTTTCTGAGCATTGTCTGGGGAGCTCAAATTCTATAAATGGGCCCCCAAGGTATCCATCATTTAGCCCTTGCCAAGGCTGGGTCAACATGCTGGCAAAGAACTGTCTGAACATTGAAAAATCCTCCAACCTATTATCTCCTGAGAGAAAGCTAGTTATTTGAAATACAAGTTGGATTTTAAAATTTCTATCAGCATGTTTTTAAATTAATCTTTTGTTAATGTAAACATACAGAAAATTACATGCATTATAAGTGAACAGATCAATGAATTTTCAAAAAGTGAATATAACTTTATAGCCACATCAGATCAAGAAACAGACATTACCAGCACCCCAGGAGTCTTTCTACTATTTCCTTCCTGAATCCAGAATAGGGTAACTACTATTCTGGATTGTAATACAGATAAGTTAACTTTGCCTGTTTTGTATTTTATGCAAATAAAGTCATACCATATACAGTACTGATCTCAAGGAAGAAGCTTTTAGCATTTTAATATTAAATACAATAACATGTAATTTTTTGGTAGATTTTTAAAATCGAATTTAGAAAGTTCCCTTCTATTTCTAGTTTGTTACAAATTTTCATCATGAATATATGTTGAATTTTGTCAAATGCTTTATTTTATTGAGATAATCTGCTGTTTTCTTCTGTTAATATGGTGAATCACATTGATTCATTTTTCTAATGTTGAATCAACATTTCATACCTAGAATAAAATATATTGGTCATATTGTATTTTCCTTTTTATATAACACTTGTTTGCACTTTCCAAAATTTTGTTTAAAAATTTGCATTTATGTTTATAAGAGAGTTGATCTGTCATTTTAATAGTAAATTTTATTATTTAAATAAATCTTGTACCAAAGTTTCTTTTGTCAGTTGGGATAAGTAATATTTTTATCTAAATTACCAAGTATGTTCATGTGAAGTTTTTAATAATACCTTCTTATTATAATTTGATCTATAGGATCTGTAGTAATGTTCTCCTTTTCAATCCTGATATTGATAATTTACTTTTAGTTCCCAATCAATTTTGCTAGGGATTTATCAATTTTATAATTTTCTTACGGACCTAACTTTTTGGTTTTGATTATTTTTTTCTATTGTATGTTTGTGAGTTTTCTTAATCTTATTGATATGTGCTCTTACCTTTATTGCTTATTTCACTTAATCTCCTTAAGTTTGATTTGATGGGCTTTTTACTCATTTCTCGAGATGGAAGTTTAAATCATTGATTTCCTGAATTTGTTCATTTATCTTCATTTAGAGTTATAAATCACACATTAAGTAGCATATTCGCTGCATGCTACAAGGTTTAATATGTCATATCTATCACAATGTAGTTCAAAATATTTAATTTCAATTTGATTTATTCTACAATACCTGAATTATTTATAAATCTATCATTTCCAGGTAGTTAACATTTTTCTAATCATCTTTTTATTTGATTTTATGTTTTTTATTTCCATAGGTTTTTGGGGAACAGGTGGTGTTTGATTACATTAGCAGGTTCTTTAGAGATGATTTGTGAGATTTTGGTGCATCAATCAACAGAGCTGTATACACTGTGCCCAATTTGTAGTCTTTTGTCCCTCACTCCTGCCCACCCTTTCCCCCAAGTCCCCAAAGTCCACTGTATCATTCTTATGCCTTTGCATCATCATAGCTTAGCTTTCAATTATGAATAAGAATATATGATGTTTGGTTTTCCACTCCTGAGTTACTTCACTTTAGAATAATGGTCTCCAATTCCATCCAGGTTGCTGCAAATGCCATTATTTCATTCCTTTTTATGGCTGAATAGTATTCCATGATTCCATGGTGTATGTGTATATATATATATATATATACATATCTCACAATTTCTTTATCCACTCATTGATTGATGGGCATTTCGGCTGGTTCCATATTTTTGCTGTTGTGATTGTGCTGCTATACAATTTCTTTATCCACTCATTGATTGATGGGCATTTGGGCTGGTTCCACATTTTTGCAGTTGTGATTGTGCTGCTATAAATATACATGTGCAAGTATATTTTTCATATAATGACTTATTTTCCTCTGGGTAGATAGCCAGTAGTGAGACTGCTGGATCAAACAATAGTTCTATTTTTAGTTCTTTAAGGAATCTCCACACTGATTTCCATAGTGTTTGCACTAGTCTACATTCCCACCAGCAGTGTAATGTTCACCACATCCCCACCAACGTCTACTATTTTTTTATTTTTTGATTATGGCCACCATTCTTGCAGGAGTAAGGTGGTATGGCATTGTGGTTTTCATTTGCATTTCCCTGATAATTAGTGATGTTGAGCATTTTTTATATGTTTGTTGGCCATTTGTATATCATCTTTTGAGAATTGTCTCTTCATATCCTTAGCCCATTTTTTTTGGTGGGATTGTTTGTTTTTTTTTCTTGCTTATTTGTTGGAGTTCCCTGTAGATTCTGGATATTAGTCCTTTGTCAGATATATAGATTGTGAAGATTTTCTCTTGCTCTGTGAGTTGTGTGTTTACTTTGCTGATTGTTTCTTTTGCTGTGCAGAAACTTTTTAGCTTAATTAAGTCCCACCTATTTATTATTGTTTTTGTTGCATTTGCTTTTGGGTTCTCGGTCATGAAGTCTTTGCCTAAACCAATGTCTAGAGGGTTTTTCCAATGTTACCTTCTAGAATTTTTATGGTTTTGGGTCTTAGATTTAAGTCCTTGATCGATCTTGAGTTGATTTTTGTATAAGGTGAGAGATGAGGATCTGGTTTTATTCTTCTACATGTGGCTTGCCAATTATCCCAGCACCATTTGTTGACTAGGGTGTCCTTTCCCCACTTTATGTTTTTGTTTGCTTTGTCAAAGAACAGTTGGCTGTAAGTATTTGTCTTTATTTCTGAGTTCTTAATTCTGTTCCATTGATCTATATGCCTATTTTTATACCAGTACATGCTGTTTTGGTGACCATGGCCTTATAGTCTAGTTTAAAGCCAGATAATGTGATGCCTCCAGATTTGTTGTTTTTGCTTAGCCTTGCTTTGGCTATGCGGGCTCTTTTTTGGTTCCAGATGAATTTTAGGATTGTCTTTTCTAGTTCTGTGAAGAATGATGGTGGTATTTTGATGAGAATTGCATTGAATTTGTAGATTGCTTTTGTCAGTATGGTCATTTTCACAATATTGATTCTACCCATCCATGAGCATGGGATATGTTTCAATTTGTTTGTGTTGTTTATGATTTCTTTCAGCAGTGTTTTGTAGTTTTCCTTGTAGAGGTCTTTCACCTCCTTGGGCAGGTATATTCCTAAGGTTTGTTTGGTTTTTTTTGCAGTTATTTTAAAAGGGGTTGAGTTTTTTCTTTGATTCTGAAATCAAAGAACTGCTCGGTGTTGGTGTGTAGCAGAACTACTAATTTGTGTACATTAATTTTCTGTCCTGAAACTTTGCTGAATTCATTTATCAGTTCTAGGAGCTTTTTGGAGGAGGCTTTATGGTTTTCTAGATATACAATCATATCATCAGCAAAGAGTAACAGTTTGACTTCCTCTTTACTGATTTGGATGCCCTTTATTTCTTTCTCTTGTCTGATTGCTGTGGCTAGGACTTCCAATACTACGTTGAAAAGAAGGGGTGAGTGGTCATCCTTGTCTTATTACAGTTCTCAGAGGGAATGATTTCAACTTTTCCCCATTCAGTATTATGTTGGCTGTGGGTTTTTCATAGATGGCTTTTATTACATTAAGGTATGTCCCTGTATGCCGATTTTGCTGAGGGTTTTAATCATACAGGGATGCTGAATTTTGTCAAATGCTTCTTCTGCATCTATTGGGATGATCATGTGGTTTCTGTTTTTAATTCTGTTTATGTGGTGTATCACCTTTATTGACTTGCATATGTTAAACCATCCCTATACCCCTAATATGAAATCCACTTGATCATGGTGAATTATCTTTTTGACATGCTGTTGGATTTGGTTAGCTAGTATTTTGTTAAAGATTTTTGCATCTATGTTCGTCAGGGATATTGGTCTGTAGTTTTCTTTTTTTCTTATGTCCTTTCCTGGTTTGGGTATTAGGGTGATGCTGGCTTCATAGAATGATTTAGGGAGGATTCCTTCTTTCTCTATATTGTGGAATAGTGTCAATAGAATTTGTACCAATTCTTCTTTGAATATCTGATAGAATTCAGCTGTGATTCTGGCTGTTCCTGGACTTTTGTTTGTTGGCAATTTTGTTTAATTACCATTTCGATCTCACTGTTTGTATTAGTCTGTTCAGGGTTTCTGAGTCTTCCTGTCTTAAGCTAGGAGAGTTGTATATTTCCAGGAATTTATCCATCTCCTCTAGGTTTTCTAGTTTATGTGCATAAAGGTGCTCATACTAGCCTTGAGTGATCTTCTGTGTTTCTGTGGTGTCAGTTGTAATATCTCCTGTTTTGTTTCTAATTGAGCTTATTTGGATCTTCTCTCTTCTTTTCTTGGTTAATTTGCTAATGTTCTATCAATCTTATTTATCTTTTCAAAGAACCAGCTTTCTGTTTTATTTATTTTTTGTTGGTTTTTGTTGTTGTTGTTGTTTCAATTTCATTTAGTTCTGGTCTCATGTTGGTTATCTCTTTTCTTCTGCTGGGTTTGGGTTGGGGTTTGGTTTGTTCTTGTTTCTCTAGTTCCTTGAGGTGTGACCTTAGATTGTCTATTTGTGCTCTTTCAGACTTGGGGATGTAGGCATTTAACGCTATGAACTTTCCTTTTAGCACTGTCTTTGCGGTATCCTGGAGGTTTTGATATGTTGTGTCACTATTATCATGCAGTTCAAAGAATTTTTTAATTTCCATCTTGATTTCATTGTTGACCTAGTGATCATTCAGGAGCATATTATTTAATTTCCATGTATTTGCATGGTTTTGAAGGTTATTTTTGGAGTTGATTTCCAATTTTATTCCACTGTGGTCAGAGAGAGTACTTGATATGATTTCAATTTTCTTAAATTTATTGAGACTTGTTTTGTGGCCTATCATATGGGTCGATCTTGCAGAATGTTACACGTGCTGATGAAGAGAATGTATATTCTGCATTTGTTGGGTGGAATGTTCTGTAAATACCTGTTAAGTCTATTTGCTCTAGGGTATAGTTTAAATCCATTGTTTCTTTTTGACTTTCTGTCTTGATGACCTGTCTAGTGCCATCAGTGGAGCACTGAAGTCCCCACTATTATTGTGTTGCTGTCTATCTCATTTCTTAGGTCTAGTAGTAATTGTTTTATAAATTTGGGAGCTCCAGTGTTAGGTGCACATATACTTAGGATTGTGATACTTTCCTGTTGGACAAGGCCTTTTATCATTATATAATGTCCCTCTTTATCTTTTTTAACTGCTGTTGCTTTAAAGTTTGTTTTGTCTGATATAAGAATAGCTACTCCTGCCTACTTTTGGTTTCTATTTGCATGGAGTGTCTTTTTTCCACCCCTTTGCCTTAAGTTTATGTAGTCCTTATGTAGGTAAATCTCTTGAAGGCAGCAGATACTTTTAAGTGGAGCATTTAGGCCATTTACATTCAAGGTTAGTATTGAGATGTGAGGTACTATTCTATTCATCATGCTATTTGTTGCCTGAATACCTTGTTTTTTATTTTAATATTTATTGTGTTGTTGTTTTACAGGTAATTTAGATTTATGCTTTAAGGAGGTTCTGTTTTGATGTATTTTGAGGAGTTGTTTCCAGATTTAGAGCCACTTTTAGCAGTTCTTGTAGTGCTGGCTTGGTAGTGACATATTCCCTCAGCATTTGTTTTGTCTGAAAAAGACAATCTTTCCTTCATTTATGAAGCTTAGTTTCACTGGATACAAAATTCTTGGCTGATAATTGTTTTGTTTAAGGAGGCTGAAGATAGGGCCCCAGTCCCTTCTAGCTTGTCAGGCTGCTGCTGAGAAATCTCCTGTTAATCTGATAGGTTTTTTTAATAGATTACCTCATGCTTTTGCCTCATAGCTCTTAATATTTTTTTTCTTTGTCTTGACTTTAGATAACCTAATGACTATGTGCCTAAGTGATTATCTTTTTGTGATGAATTTCCCAGGTGTTCTTTGAGCTTCTTGTATTTGGATGTCTAGATCTCTAGCAAGACCAGGGAAGTTTTACTTGATTATTCCCCCAAATATGTTTTCCAAACTTTTCTCTTCTTCCTCAAGAATGACAATTATTTTTAAGTTTGGTCATTTAACATAATCCCAAACTTCTTGGAGGCTTTGTTCATTTTCTAAAATTCTTTTTTTCTTTGTCTTTGTTGGATGGATTATTTCAAAAACCTTGTCTTCGAGCTCTGAAGTTCTTTCTTCTGCTTGTTCGATTCTATTGCTGAGATTTTCCAGTGCATTTTGCATTTCTGTGTGCGCCTTGATTTCCTGAAGTTGTGATTGTTTTTATTTATGCTATCTATTTCACTGAAGATTTCTCCACTCATACCTTTATCTTTTTTTTTTTAATTTCATTAAATTGGACTTCACCTTTCTCTGGTGCCTCTTTGATTAGCGTAATTATCAAATTTCTGAATTCTCTTTCTGGAAAATCAAGGATTTCTTCTTGGTTTGGATCCATTGCTGGTGAGCTAGTGTAATTTTTTTCAGGGTATTAAAGAACCTTGTTTTGTTATATTACCAGAATTGGTTTTCTGGTTCTTTCTCATTTGGGTAGGCTATGTCATAGGGAAGATCTGGGGCTCAAAGACTGCCGTTCAGATTCTTTTGTCCCACGGGGTGCTCCCTTGATGTAGTACTCTCCATTTTTTCCTAGGGATGTGGCTTCCTGAGAGCCAAACTGTAGTGATTGTTATTTCTCTTCTGGACTAGTCTCCCAGTGGGGCTACTGGGTTCTGGGCTGGTACTGGGGGGTGTCTTCTGGTCTCTAAGCCATAGATAGCAATACCTGCTCTAGTGGAGGTAGCAGGGGAGTGAAATGGACTCTGTGACGGTCATTAGTTGTATTATTGTTGTTTATTGCACTAATGTTGTGCTGGTTGGCCTCCTGCCAAGAGGTGGCACTTTCCCTGTGAGACAAAGTCAGAAATGGCTTCCCTGGGGACCGAAAGAGCTGACAGGGCTCTTCCCGCTGCTTCCTCTACTCCTGTATTTCTCCCGGCTCTCTAAATTATCTTAGGTCCAGGTAAGGTCAAATGCTTTTCCCATGATCTGGACCTTCACGTTCCCCCATGAGGGTGTGTGCTTGAGGGTGAATGATCCCCTTTCCCACTTTTATGCTTTGGGCACTCACAGTATTTGGGCTGTCTCCTTGGTCCTGCAGGAGCAATCCACTTTCTTCAGAGGGTCTGTGGGTTCTCTCAGCTTTCCTGGTATGTTCCTGCAGTAGTTCTTGGAGCAAAAGTTCACAAGGTGAGTCTCCACACACTGCTCTGTCTGTCCAAATGGGAGCTACAATTTAGTCCTGTCTCCTGTCCACCATTTTCCCCTAAAATGTCTGATCATCTTTTTGTTACTGATTTTCTTTTTCTTGATTCCACTGTAGTGAAAGAGCATATTCTATATATCAATCTTTTAAACTGTGTTTAGACTTGCTTAATGGCCTAGCATCTGGTCAATTTTAGTAAATATTTTATGTGCATGAATAGAATGACATTTTTGGTGCAATGTTCCATATTTATCAAGTAAGCCAAGTTTGTTAATTGTGTTATTCAGATTTTATATTTTGTTCTGAATTTTTTGACTGGTTGTTGTATCAGCTATTGACTATGTTAAAATCTTCTACCATGATTAGGTACCTATCTATTTTTTATATCTTGCCAAATTTTTCTTGAAATATTTTGAAGATTTATGGGTGCGATCAGATTTAGGGATACACCTTTGAGAAGGATTGAACCATTTATTTTCGGGAATTATTAGAAACTGTCTAAAAGCATTATTTTATGAATTCAAATTTTCTGTTAAATTCTGTCTTTTCATTTGTCCATCTTCTGTTTTCTTTAATGTATTAATCTTTAGTCTTCATCTGCTCATTCCAATAGCTAGAATATATGTGGATTTGTTTCTATTATTTGTCTTTTCTCCTGATTATCATCCATGTTTTCTTATTTGTTCACAATGTACTTTAAAGTATGCCAGACTTTGTGTAAAACAAACAAACAAACTATAGAGGCTCCAGATGATATTATCTTCTGCCAAAGATGGCTCTTTCTTTCCTTTGTTAGATAAGAAGGATGAGGGGTGGATTACTTCCATCTAATTGAGAATTGAGCGGGGATGGTGCTGGTTGCAGTTGTAGATTCAGTCGACTTCTGATTCCTTGTATGGCCCTGCAGGCTCTTGATTAAAGGCCTGCAGGTATAAATTGTCTCATCCTTGGGATACCATGGAATATAGAGCTTTATGTTTCAGAGGTTCCCAGACCAACTCTCCAGCCTCCTGCCTCAGGACTTCAAAAGATAGCAGATGTATTGAGGGGGAGGCTGGACATGTGCTTTAGACTGGTCAATTTTCCCAGAAACTCTTTTTTTTCTAAGCACCGAGCAATGGAGAGGGATTGCACTCTGCCTTTTTGAAGCTCTTGACCTCAGTCCCCACATATGATGGTTATTTTTATGTGACAACTTCACTAGTCTATAGCACCCAGTTATTTAATCAAACACTAATCTAGGTATTGTTATGAAGGTATTTTGTAGCTGTGATTGACATCTATAATCAGATGACTTTAAATAAAGGAGAATGCTCTCAGTAATGTGGGTAGGCCTCACTCAATCAGTTGAAAAGCCATAAAAGCAAAAACAGGTTTTCCAGAGGAAAAAAATCTGCCTCAAGACTGCAGCATTGACCCTTGCCTGAGTTTCCAGCCTACTGGCTTACCTTTAAAATGTCAGACTTTCTAGTGCCCAGAGTCACACGAGCCAATCCCTTGATATTGTTCCCTCTCTATCTCTCTCTGTAAGTATAGATGAATAGTTATGAACAAGGTATCATTTTATACACACACACACACACACAGACTTGTTCCTCATTATCCATGAGGAATTGGCTCCAGGACACCTTGCCTTGCCTCCTGAGACACCAAAATCCATGGATGCTCGCTCAAGTCCCTTATGTAAAATGGTATAGTATTTGCATATAACCAATATGTATCCTCCTGTATTATTTAAATCATCTCTAGATTACTTATAATACCTCATGCAATGTAAATGCTATGTAAATTGTTGTTATACTCTATTGTTTGGGGACTAATGACAAGAAAAAAGTCTGTACACATTCACTACAAACGTCTATTTTTTTACAAATATTTGAAAGAGAACGATTTTCAATTTTTTATTCCAGTCTTGTAAGAGCACTAAAATTGTTGCTAGTTTCTTTCCCCCCAGCAGAGGTTTGCTCCCTTGGCAAAGATCAATCACACACTCATTTCACAATTCCCAGACTATCTAGGAAATGTCTTCTATTCTTGCATTTCAGTTCTTCTAGTTCTTACTTCCCCAGCTCTCAGAGGCTACGGTATGATTTTTAGAATATATTTGTAATTTTCTGATTGTTGAACTGCCATAATCTACATGCTTTCTGGAATTAGCAGCAAGAAAATACCTTTAGCAATAAAAATATTAAGGGCACGATCTCAGAATAGAGAAAAATATTTCCAAAGAAAAGAAAAATCAGTTATTTTATGCCAACATGTACATTATGTTATCTTTATCTCATCTCAGTGTGTACCAGTAAAAGCTGGGGCTTTGTATTTATTTTGGGCTTAATTGTTCTGCTAGAAACAAAAACTCCTTGGCAGCAGGAAAATCAGTTTTTGATGTGACAGAAGCTCAAAAGTTAGTGAAGTGGGATATATGGGTGAGTAGTTATGAACAAGATATCGCAAGAAAATCTAAAGTCTTAGTTCTGAAGTTCAGTCATTCACCAGTCAAAGAAGGCATTACAAACACTGGGAGGTGCCAATGAAAGACCAGGGAGTCATGAAAATATATGGAGCATTTAAGATATTGTGAATGTATCAGTACAATTTTACCAGAGGCTGAGGGTGGAAGAGCAATAGAAGAGGCTGGAAAGGGGGTAGAGATGATGGAAGAAGTTTAGATCCCAAAATCACTCATCTGCTATGAAATATTTATGGCAAAGAAGGGGAGCCATCTGAGAAATTTTCAACAGCTAAGTGACACAATCTCATCTATATCTTTTGTGTTATATACACTACTTACAATCTTTCCAAATGAGAACTGCACTTAAGTACAAGGGTTTATTATAAAATTACTAATGCATTATTTTTTCCCCAGCCTTACTAAGGTGTGTGTCTCTTTCCAACTCCACTTTCAATTACTTCTGGTGAGTAGCAGGAGTATTTACACCATAGAAATTGACATTCGCTACAAGTTGTGGTTCTTTTTTTCTTCTGGAGAGCAAGCTGTTAAATACTTTTCATCACATTACTGCCTGCAGGCAACAGAGTTGAGACTGCAGGGGATATGGGGCTGCTGTTCTGTTATGTAGCCCTGTGCACTCTGTAATGTCAGGGAGCCTCCAGATGAGGGTCAGTGAATCACCTAAATGACCACCAGTGCCTGGGCATTGCTTGGGGCTTAGTCTGGTCCAGCATCTCACCCAATGAGGAATGCAAGGGTTTTTTTCTTCTCACTACTTCCCAACCTACCATCAGGATAATCACCCTAAAGAAGTAGGGTAAGCATAAGAAAATAGCCACTCCTCTGTTTCACCGCCTCTAAACTGCTGGAGCCAAATGTCTGAACTGCCCTCAGGCCAGGAGGAGTGCTATAAAATTACAATGGATGGAACCAAGCCTTTAATGCCGGAATGAAGCTGCTCTATCAGCTGAAATTACATAAAAGTTAATATGACTAACATGTTGATTGGTGGCCATTTTTGGGGAAAAATAAATCTCATTTTTATGCCAAAGTAGTTGAGATGTCTTATATGATTGAAGAGGAATAAACCTAGTGATTCAGAGCCCTAACCATCTATAATTCAGGGTGATCCAAGTTAACTAGAATCTTAAAATATTTCATCAACAATCTGAAAGGGGTTTTGAGAGATGAGTATTTACTGAAAGGAGGTTTGATGGATGACGCAGTATGCTGAACTGCTTTCCCCAGAGGGTGTACCCTCTGATTCCTGGACAGATCTGTGCTATAATTATCCCACGATAGATTGCTGCAAATGCTTATTTGATTTTTCTGGATTTGTAGTGAATAAATGAAAATAGGAAAGTCAAATCCACTCAATTTGTAAATATCTGGGACTGAGAATCCAGTTTGTGAATTCTCTCTACATCCTTTGTCTCTTGTCTGTACATACCTGCCATCAATCAGTTCCAAAGAGGAAACTTGTTCCGAAAGAAGAAAGACAAATTCAAATTTACCTTTGTATTGTAGCAATTTATCAGCTCTGATAAATGTTTGGTGGAAGAGTTTGAAAATTAAAGTTATATTGAGTTTTAATAAGTTATCTGTTGATTTTCTTTACCTAACTGTATTCTACTTCAATATGAATCACTAATAACAGCAGAAAATTGGTAGAAGACATAATTACAATAAAGAATATGTGTTTTGTAGCTTCCTTGGGCTGATTATTTTTAATTTCATCAAATCTTAACAAGGGCCTTGTTGAGGTAGGTGCTATTGAGAGGTGACAGCTTGCTGGCAGTCCTCACAGCCCTCGCTCACTCTCGGCGCCTCCTCTACCTGGGCTCCCACTTTGGCAGTACTTGAGGAGCGCTTTAGCCCACCGCTGCACTGTGGGAGCCCCTTTCTGGGCTGGCCAAGGCCAGAGCCGGCTCCCTCAGCTTGCAGGGAGGTGTGGAGGGAGAGGCGCCAGCGGGAACCGGGGCTGCGCGCGGCGCTTGCGGGCCAGCTGGAGTTCCAGGTGGGCGTGGGCTTGGCGGGCCCCGCACTCGGAGCAGCCGGCCGACCCTGCCGGCCCCGGGCAATGAGGGGCTTAGCACCCAGGCCAGCGGCTGCGGAGGGTGTTCTGGGTCCCTCAGCAGTGCCAGCCCGCCGGCGCTGCGCTCGATTTCTCACCAGGCCTTAGCTGCCTTCCCGCGGGGCAGGGCTCGGGACCTGCAGCCCGCCATGCCTGAGCCTCCCACCCCTTCCGTGGGCTCCTGTGCGGCCCGAGCCTCCCCGACGAGCGCCACCCCCTGCTCCACGGCACCCAGTCCCATTGACCACCCAAGGGCTGAGGAGTGCGGGCGCACAGTACCGGGACTGGCAGGCAGCTCCATCTGTAGCCCTGGTGCGGGATCCACTGGGTGAAGCCAGCTGGGATCCTGAGTCTGGTGGAGAAGTGGAGAACCTTTATGTCTAGCTCAGGGATTGTAAATACACCAATCAGCACCCTATGTCTAGCTCAGGGTCTGTGAATGCACCAATCGACACTCTGTATCTAGCTACTCTGGTGGAGAGGTGGAGAACCTTTATGTCTAGCTCAGGGATTGTAAATACACCAATCAGCACCCTGTGTCTAGCTCAGGGTCTGTGAATGCACCAATAGACACTCTGTATCTAGCTACTCTGGTGGGGCCTTGGAGAACCTTTATGTCTAGCTCAGGGATTGTAAATACACCAATCGGCACTTTATATCTAGCTCAAGGTTTGTAAACACACCAGTCAGCACCCTGTGTCTAGCTCAGGGTTTGTGAATGCACCAATCAACACTCTGTATCTGGCTACTCTGGTGGGGCCTTGGAGAACCTTTGTGTCAACAGTCTGTATCTAGTTAATCTAGTAGGGACGTGGAGAACCTTTGTGTCTAGCTCAGGGATTGTAAATGCACCAATCAGCGCCCTGTCAAAACAGACCACTCGGCTCTACCAATCAGCAGGATGTGGGTGGGGCCAGATAGGAGAATAAAAGCAGGCTACCCGAGCCAGCAGTGGCAACCCGTTCGGGTCCCCTTCCACACTGTGGAAGCTTTGTTCTTTTGCTCTTTGCAATAAATCTTAATACTGCTCACTCTTTGGGTCCACACTGCTTTTATGAGCTATAACACTCACCGCGAAAGTCTTCAGCTTCACTCCTGAAGCCAGCGAGACCACGAACCCACCAGAAGGAAGAAACGCCGAACACATCCAAACATCAGAAGGAACAACTCCAGACGCGCCACCTTAAGAGCTGTAACACTCACCGCGAAGGTCTGCAGCTTCACTCCTGAAGCCAGCGAGACCACGACCACGAGCCCGCCGGGAGGAAGGAACAACTCTAGACATGCCGCCTTAAGAGCTGTAACACTCACCGCGAGGGTCCGTGGCTTCATTCTTGAAGTCAGTGAGACCAAGAACCCACCAATTCCGGACACACTATTACCCCATGTTATATAGTAAATTTGAAGAAAATGAGGCTTGGAAAGGCAATGTGACTCGAACAAAGACTGAGAGTAAATGGTAGAGTCTATTTTACACCCTAGTTTCAAATCCAATGGTTTTCCCAATATACCAAAGCCATCTTGATATTATGACTTGGTTTCATATTAATTGTATTATTGGTCATGGTAGGAATATTTATGAATACAATTACCAACTATTTAGTAAGGGAACAATTTTAAAAGCTTAAGTTTAGTAGAAATGGCCAATTTAGTTTTATAAGGAATAGGTCATCCTGAAGTAAGTCACTGGATTTTTCTAGGATATAGTTTCCATAGTGACCTTGGAAAGACTGGCATTATATACTTGGAATTCTAAAAAGGTTTTAGTAACATCGCAGAGATTATTAGCTCAGATCTTGGACTGTGGCTGAAGTAACTTATTAGAAATCAGGCTCAAAACAGCAAGTGGAAGGACAGTTTTGTGGCTGGAAAGTAGGCAGAAGTAGAACACTCAAGCGTTAGATTAGGTATTTTTATATTTGTGATTCCTAGTAATGTTTATAATTGTAAATCTAATGTTCCTGATTGGTTAACAATATATAAATTACAAAAAAGTAGCCAAATTCGAAAGAATGTATTCACTTTAACACATTCTAAATATTATAATTAATCTAATTCCTTTTGCAAAAGATAACGGGCCAACTGGTTAGACAAATGGCTGGATGTACAGTCCAGTTCAGAGTAATCCCCATAGGAAGGAAGTACAAGAAACGCTGAGTCCTTTTTTTTTGTTTTAAGTAGGAGAGGTATAAATAATAAATATGTAAGAAAGGAAAATAAGATAGAATTAAATAGGAATATATGCAACTCAATGTCAAACAACTAAATTGCCTTCTAATTTTTAATCTCTGTTAGCCATTCTGCATTGACCAAAATGTGACACAGAGACACAAAGTGAGCACATACTGTTAGAAATATGGCACCAATAGACTTGACTCAGGGTTGCCACAAACTTTCAATTTGTAAAAAATGCATTGTCTGAGAAGCACAATAAAAAGACGTGTAATAAAACAAGGTGTGCATGTAAATTGGAACCATACAACATTTGACTCTTTATGTCTGGCTTCTTCCATAGCATAATGCTTTTGAGGTTCATCCATATTTTAACATATATCAGTACTTCATTTTTTATAGATGAATAATATTCCAGTGCGCGTATATACCTTATTTCATTTCTGATTTCATCCCTTGATGGATATTTGGGTTGTTTCTACCTGTTGTCTCTTGTGAATAGTGCTGTTATAAACAGTTATGTACAACAATTTGTTTGAATACCTGTTTTCAGTTATTTGTAGATATATATCTAGGAGTAAAATTGTGGGACTATATGGTAATTCTATGTTTAACTTTTCGAGGAACCACCAGAATGTTTTTCATAATGGCCGAACCATTTAACATTTTCCAGCAGCAATGTATGACGGGTTTAATTTCTCAACATCCTCACCCCCACTTGTTATTTTCTGTTTTAGTATTATTATTACTATTATTGGTATCTTACTGACTGTGAAGTGGTATCTCATTGTGGTTTTGAACAGCATTTCCCTAATGACTAATTCTTGTTAGCCATTTGTATATTTTATTTCAAGATATGTCTATTTATCTCCTTCACCCATTTTTAAAAATTGGGTTGTCTTGTTTTTGAGTTGTAAGAGTTCTTCATATATTCTGAATACTAGAACCTTATGGTATATATGATATGAAAATATTTTCTCCCATTCTGTAGATTGTCTTTTCACTTTCTTGATAATATTCCTTTGATGCACAAAGGTTTTTAATTTTGATGAAGTTCAATTTCCCTATTTTTTCTTTTGTTGCTCATGCTTTTGGTGTCATATATAAGAATCTATTGCCAAATCTAAGTCATAAAGGTTTACCTCTATGTTTTCTTCTAAGAGATTTATAGGTTTAGTCCTTATATTTATGCTGTTGATCCATTTTGAGTAAAAATGTTGTATATGATGTGGGGTAGGGGTTCAAGTTCATTCTTTTGCATGTGGAAATCCAGTTGCCCAGAACCATCTTTTCAACAGACTATTAGCTCCTCTTTTATTGAACTTGCCACCCTCATAAAAAAAATCAACTGACGATGATGTATGAGATTTTTTTTCTGGTCACTTAATTTTATTACATTGGTCTATATGTCTATTATTATGCCAGTACTATACTCCCTTGATTAATATAGATTTTTGGTAAGTTTTGAAATCAAGAATGTGAGTCCTCCAACTTTTTCCTTCTTTTTCAATATTGTTTTGTCTGGCCTACATTGAAAAGAATGAATAAATTGGAGTTTAAGAGTAGGATATAGTTCTAGATATTGATACCAATATCATGTTTGGCTAATAAACAACATTATAGTATAAATAGTCAAGATAATGCATTACCAACAAACTTGTAGTAGAGATCAGATCTTCCACTGGTGGAAATATACCTCCAGGAGTTCATCTTGCCTTTAGCAGAAGATGACTGTGGTCCATTTTTCACCTTGATCCACAGTCATAGAAAATCTTCCTTCATCTCACTTCTCAGTCCACTACTTCAGTTGGGCCATCATGAACACTTGAGAGATTCACTCCCAAATGGCTAACAATGCAACCCAGAAAGAGTCAACGACTATAATATGTTTCAGTTTGAATATACACTTCTGGTATGGAATTGTTAGAGAGAAAACCACCACAATATTGGAAAGAATCTATTTTAATATCTAGGAAAAATTGGCATATTCTGCTAACCCTATATTTTTTTTAGTGGCTGATGTTGCTCAAGTACCTCTGGTTTTTCATATGAATAGTTTATCTTCTGTTAATATATCTTCTAAATAAACCCACTCTGTTTTACTTGCTGACAATTTATTCTAGTTGCTCACTCTGTCATATCTGTTATATTAAATGAAAATATTGTTAATTTAGGTCTACTTGATCTCACTCCTAAGATACAAGTACAACAAAATGGATGTTGTGTTCATAAGGAGACCATCCTATCCCCTTTATGTTAGTCACCCAGACTTTGACAAAGTTATTCCAGTAGAAATCTATCTAGAGCTTCCTCACAAAACACGCTTTTTTAACAGTAGAAAAATTAAGAAATAAAGGATTTATTTCTGAGTTCTTAAATTCATCTACTTATAAGTTTCGATCTGCTTTTCTTTAAAGTTAAAACAATAGATCCCCAAATCTTACTTAATATTCTCTCCTTGGAACAACTTTTCTCTTAAATTAAAAGGTCACAAATTCACTCAACTTCCCATTTATATTTCTAGGTTTTATTTATCTTCCTATGCTATTTCTTAAGCTAATAGATAGTTCCATTCTTTATGAAGGCACATATTTCAGCTAGTTCACATTGATGGCTTTCAAGAACCATTGTTGCCAATGGAAAGAGGGAAGAGCTATGGTCTATATCTCAAAACCCTAAATTCCCATATAATTTCCAACTCACCTACCAGCTCTCTGAAACTGTCTGTTCAAAGACATCCCAGGAAAATGCACACCAAATGGGAGCTTCATTCCCAAGCTCTCTCTGGTTTCTCACGAAGTAGAATTCTCAAAAACCTCTCTTGCTTCTTTAGCACTTGCCCTAGGTCAGAGGCAGAACAAAGAGGTTTGCTCCAGAAACCCTATTCTTGGGTTCTTCACTGGCTTTGCCTGGACTTCTAAGCTGAGAGCATCTCCCTGTTACAGCATCATCACAACATTTTAAAATGAAAGAAGAGAGCACTGAGAGAAGAAAGATAAAAGGGAGAAAATGCTTGCATTCATTTCCACTTATAGTCCTTTTATTCCTTCTGCTAAAATTCCACTCCTGGCTGACATTTGGGTCCCCTAAGAACTCTGCAGTCTTTGAATGTCTTCCTCATTCTCTTACCATGTATGTGCCAGGCACTATGGTGGGCATAGGGATACAATGATGGACATGGCAGCAGAGGTCAAGCCTGCACAAGACTACAAGCTACTCCATGGTGAGGGAGGAGAAAAGCTTAGAGGTCACAGAGTTGTTCTACATTTATCTATATTCTCCTTAATAGCCTGAAAAATATGATTATCATGTATCTAACTCAGAAAGTAGTAGAATAAGCTTTTAAAATCTAAAATAAACAATAACAGAATAAGCTAGGTACAAAGCACAAACATTTCTTTCCACTCAATACATTTTTATGAATACCTTTCATTGCTCCAAGAACTGTCATATGCACTGAGGATATAGCAATGAATAAGTTTCACAAAGGTCCAGCCATCAATAGCCTATACTTTGGTGTAAAGAGATAGATAATATAAAAGTACACAAGTAAATGAATAAATATAATAAATTCAGAGAGTTATACCGGCTATGAAAGAGATACAATTGTACTGTGAGACTGAGTATGGCTAAGATAGAGCAAGCAGGAAGGTCTACTTTGGCCAGGATTGTGGAGGAAGTTCTCTCTGAGGAGAAGGTGAAAAAGCCCTCCCATACAAAGATCTGGGGTAAGAATGTATTGGACATAGGAAAAAACAATGGTAAAGGCCTTGAGTCAGAGATGAGCTTGGCATGTTGTAGGAACAGAAGGTGCCTAGATAGTGACCAACGTTTAATGAATGATGGGTAAGCAGTGAAAGATGAATTTAGGGGATGATGGGAGCTGGACCGTGTACGATCTGGTGAACCAAGGTCTGGACTTCAGATTTCACCCTAAGTGAGATGGACAAAATTTGGAAAGGTGATCTTATATACAAATCAAAAACATCTTGCTAATAGAAAACTAAATAAGCCTATATCCAGTTAAAAAATCAAATCAATAATTAATAACCATCCAAAATAGAAAGTACCAGGCCCAGATGGGTTCACTGGAGAATTCTACCAAACATTTAAGAAAGTAACTATATAAATTCTCTACAATCTCTTTCAGGAGACAGAAGCAGAGGGAATACTTCCTAATTCATTGAATGAGACCAACATTACCCTAATGGCAAAACCAGACAAAAGCATTATAAGAAAACTACAGACCAATGCCTCTCAGGAATATAGCTGCAAAAATCCTCAACAAAATATTAACAAATGAAACTCAACAATGTATAAAAAGAATAAAACACCATGACCAAGTATGGTCTATTTCAGATATGCAAGACTGGTTCAACATTTAAAACTCAATTAAGGTAATCCATCAAATCAACAGGCTATAAAAGAAAAAAATATATGATTACATCAATAGATGCAGAAAAAACATTTGACAAAACCCAACACTCATTCATGACAAAAATGTTCAGAAAACTAAGAATAGAGGGGAACTTTTTCAACTTGATAAAGAATATCTACAAAAAACACTACAGCTAATATCATATACTTAATAGTGAGAAATTCAAAGCTTTCCTACAAAGATCAGGAACAAGGCTAGGAAGTTCCCTCCCACTATTGCTTTTCAACAGCATACTGGAAGTCCTAGCAATGCAATAAGACAAGAAAGTGAAATAAAAAGTACACAAATTTGGAAGGAAGAAATAAAACTGTCTTTGCTCCAAGGTGATATAATTGTCTATTCAAAAAATATAATTGTCTGTATAGAAAATCTGAAAGAATTAAAAAAAAACCTCCTGGAACTAATAAGTGAGTATAGTAAGATTGCATGATAAAAGGTTAAAATATAAAAGTTAATAACTTTCCTTTATATCAGCAATAAAAAAGTATAATTTGAAGTTAAAAACACAATATTATTTACTATAGCATCCCCAAAAATGAAATACTTAGATAACAAAATATATACAAGATTGATATAAGGAAAATTACAAAATTCTGATGAATAAAATTAAAGAAGAATTAAACAAATAAAAAGATAGCCCATGTTCATGGACAGGAAAACTCAATATTATCAAAATGTCAGTTCTTTCAGCCATGATAAAGAGATTTAATGAATTATTAATCAAAATCCTAGCAAGTTACTTTGTGGATATCAACAAACTGATTCTAAAGTTTACATGGGAAGGCAAAGGGCCCAGAACAGCCACCACAATATTGAAGGAGAAGAACAAAGTTGGAGAAATGACACAACCTGACACCAAGACTTACCCTTGAAGCTACACTAATCAAGACTGCATGGTATTGGCAAGCGAATAGACAAATGAGTCAATGGAACAAAATAGAGAGCCTAGAAATAGACTCGCTTAATACAGTCAACTGGTCTTTGACAAATGAGCAAAGGCAATATAATGAAACAAAGATAGCCTTTTCATAAATAATATTGAAACAACTGGGCATCCACTTGCAAAACAATAAAGCTAGACATAGATTTTATACTTTTCACAAAAAGTAACTCATGGATCTTTGCCCTATATGTAAAATGCAAACCTGTAAAACTTCTAGAAGATAACATAGAAGAAAACCTAGATAACCTTGGGTATGGTGATGGCTTTTTATACACGAAACCAAAGGCACAATCCATGAAATAAAGAATTTATAAACTTAAAAACTTCTGAGAAAGGAAATGTCAAGAGAGTGAGAAGACAAGCCATAGACTGGGATAAAATATTTGCAAAAGACACATCTGATAATAGACTTATTTAAAATGTACAAAGAACTCTTAAAACTCAACAATGAGATAGCTAACAACCTGATTAAAAATACATCAGTATCTTAACAAACATCTCACTAAAGGAGATATACAGATGGCACATAAACATGAAAAGATGTTCCACATTGTATATCATCAGAAAAATGCAAATTTAAAAGAATGCAATAACACTTCATACCTATGAGAATGGACAGAATCCAGAACACTGAAAACACCAAATCCTGGTGAGAATATGGAATAACAGGAACTCTCATTCAATGCTGGTAGAAATATAAAATGGTACAGCCACTTTGGAAAACAGTTTGGCCATTTCTTACAATAAACATTATCTTATCTTGTGATTCAGTTATCATATTTCTTGATATTGACCCAAAGGAGTTGAAATTTGTGGCCACACAAAAACTTGCACATAAATGTTTATAACATCTTTATTTATAATTGCCAAAACTTGGAAGCAACCAAGGTGTTCTTCAGTAGATGAATGGATAAATAAACTGTGGTACATCCAGAAAACAAAGTATTATTCCATGATAAAAAGAATTGAGCTATAAAGACATAAAAATGCATGGAGAAAACTTATTATGAAGCATATTACTAGGTGAAAGAAGCCAATATTACAGGGATACATACTGTATGATTCCAAGTATATGTCATTCTGAAAAGTCAAAACCATGGAGATAGTAAAAAGATCAGTGGTTGCCAGGGTGAGGGAGGAGGGAGAAATAAATAGGCAGAGACAGAGGATTTTTAGGGCAGTGAAAATATTTTGTATGATACTATAATGGTAGATACATGTTATTATACATTTGTCCAAACCCATGGAATGTGCAACACCAAGAGTACACCCTAATGTAAACTATGGAGTTTGGGTGATTATGATGTGCTAATGTAGGCTCATCAGTTGTAACACATGCACCACTTTGATGGAGAATGTTGATAACGGGGAATACTATGCATGTGTGGGAGAAGGGGGCAGATGGGAAATCTCTGTACCTTCCTCTCAATTTTGCTGTGAATCTAGAACGTCTCTAAAAAATAGTCTTTAATAAAAATAAACAGACACACAAAAAGCACCCTGCTTGTTGCTGCGCTACTTTATGGAGAATGAACATTAGGGAAGAAAGAGTAGAGGTAAGGAGACCAGCAGCTATTAGACAACACATGGCATCTCTGAAGCTCAATACCTTGACTGTTTTCAGATAAGGAAAAATATGCAGGGTTTCCCATACCCAAACACAGGTCTACACAGCAAGAGACTTAGCCTACCTCAGGATGCCTGGGAAGAGAATTCAGAGTCTTTTCCTATAAAATTTCTCTCTCCAAACAGCTCTGTATAAAGAGGAGGGAAACTGGCTTTTAAATAAGAGACTTGTGCCGGAATCCCAGCTCTATCAAGTCACCTCTCTAGCCTTCGTTTTTTTTCTTTGTAAAGTGGGACTACTGGGCCCTCCTCTCAGGAGGTTAATTGAGGTCAGGGATTGAATGAGACAATATAAGCAGAGGCACTCCGGAAATGTTAACTTCCCTTCCCTCTGGGGGTGGTAGCTTTCAGAAATGTGGGTGCAAGAAGCTACTCCTGTCCTATGCATCTCAGACCAGAATAGATCATGTTTAGAAACAACTCTTGTTTTTATTACTCTTCCATAAGAAGCGTGAAGGTAATGGGACCAGGGGACAAGGCAGTTCATTTCAATCTACCTTATTCAATCAACAATAAGCTAGAACTGAGAGTGACCCAAAAAATCAAGAAAAGCCGTCATGGAAAAGGTTAGCTCAGCTCACTCTATGCCAAATCAAACCACAGCATCACACCTACTCTGAGACAAAGCCGTGAGGACTAACTTTTGCATAGTTGCAAACTGTTTCAAAGTGCATTCCTTTCTGTAACACTCTCTGGGAATGTGATTTGGACAGGGAAGCAGTTTTGAAGAGTTTGGATCTGCATGTAAAGAAAGGGCCAAAATGAAGGTTGGAGTAATAGTTTTCACCTGACAGCCAGTGGAGGGGTTTACTTGGGTAAATGGTTTTCTAATTGACAGTTTTAGGCCCTGGCAACTGCAATTGAAGTGGAGCCCAAATCTTTTGGAGGGACTGTAACTCTAAAAGCTGTGTTAATGCGATAGATTAAACGTACCAAAGCTGCGGCAGGCCAGCAGCAGACCCCGGTGCTGGGGATTGCCTTTTCCTGGTTTCACAACTGTTTATTTTGATTGCTTTAAGTGTTGCAAAGCTCCATCGCCTTTCTTTCACGTTTCTGGCCCACCTCTACCCATACTGCTGGTTCATTGAAGCTTCTATCCAAGTTTTGATTCCTCACAAAGCCTCTGTTAATCATGTGGTCAAAGATATTGGGTGGTAAAGTTTGGTTACCCTGAAAATCCACATGGTCTAGAATTCTCCCTTTTCCATGCATTTGCAGGACTTTTTCCACACACGTTTCCACTGTAGTAGCCAGCTTACGGTGTATCTAAAACAACCTCAGAAATCTCAGGGTCTTGTGGGTTATACGTCAGCTATGGTTTGGCTTATTTATTCTGGGCTCAGCTGAGAGGCTGTGCTTTAGGGTGCAGGTTTATTAAGTTGGCTCCAGGCTTTAGTTTGGATTCAGGTGTGCTCCATATGGCCTCCATCCTACTGGGACCAGCAGCTACCTGGTGCCTGTCCTCATGGAAAATGGAAGAAGCTCAAGAGGGAAAACCAACCACATTTCAGGCCCCTACCCATGTCACTTCCTCTAACATCCCATTGGCCACAGCAAGTCACAAGGCTAAACCAAAAGTAAAGGGCAGGGAAACACACTTCTTCCCTAGCGGGAATAAGGAAAGTCACATGGCCAAGGGTACAGATGTACAATACTAACATAGGGATGTGTGAAGCCATCTATTACGGCCCTCTTCTCCAAGTCCTGGTCCCAGTGTTGGTCCTCAATAACAGTGGACAGAGAAGACAGAGAGAATATGGAACCCCATAGGGGATTATGTTCATTTCCTCACTTTCTACTTCATCTGCTCTTAAATTTGGAGTTTTCCTGGGTCTTACTAGCCCTTATGTACTGATGAAGTTACAAAAATCATGACAACTCCAACTTCACTAGTTGTGCTCCTATTGGTGTAATGTAAGACCCACTTCAAAAACTTCCCCAGTTAAATCTGGGACTCCCTAGGAGTATCTGACAAGATCTCACAAAGACTGCCTTCATATCCTTCTGCCCTGGCACCCCCTTGCAGATACTGATACTGACGTCAATGTCTGTGAATCGCCCAAGAGAGGGAGCCTCATCAGCACCAGTATTACCAGGGCCCCTGTGACAGCTTCCCAGTGCTCTCAAACCCTAAACCTCAGCATTTCAAAAAGGCAATGCATTCCCTGTAAGTTCCGCTATGAGTCAAAGAAACAGAGCTACATGTTCCCCTCCAATACGCTGTCATCTTCCTTGTCATGTTCTGAAGAAGGCTTGCTTATTGTTCCCACACCAAACTAAGTGTAGCAGATGCTGTCAGCCCCCACCCCTCATGTTTCGTACATATTTCACTCTCCTCCAGATAACTTCCACTACCAATATCTGCATCTCTGTTGTTGGAAGATTTTTTTTCCCCCAGAACTGGGAAAGATGACTCTTCCTGCATGTGCAGTAGGCCAGAGGTGCCAGGGAATTCACAAAAAATTCTCAGCAAATGTTTCTTCTATGAGTAAAGTGCCCACCGAGCACTCCAGACAGACCAGGACTCCCTTGAGGAAATCATTTCACCTCCAACGGCTTCAATGTGGCGCTGCAAAATTAAAGTGTAGAACCAGAGCGACCCTAAGATTCCTTCCATTCTCAAACATTCTATGGATCTATATATTCTGCCTATGCTTTCCAGGGAGGTACTGTGAGATCATTTCTAGGATATATTCTTGAGCCAAACTCCTAAATGATGTTAAGAGTGGGAAAGTTGTTCAGCAGAAAAAAGAAAGTTTCCTGTTAGATCTTAACAGGAAAGAATCAATATAAGAAAGATGTAATTTTTAATAACTCAGAAATAAAGTGTGCTTTTAGCATGCTAAGAATTGAAGGAGGGAGTGAAAAGCAGAGGAAAAAAATGTGGCCTGGTAGCAATTATTGCGAACGCCAATTATGAATTTGTCCCAAACTCTAATAATTGGGTAGAACCATGAAGAGGGAGAAGAAAACTCATACTTAACTTGCCAAATGGCCAGGCGCAGTGGTTCACGCCTGTAATCCCAGCATTTTGGGAGGCCGAGGTGGGTGGATCACCTGAGGTCAGGAGTTCGAGACCAGTCTGACCAACATGGTGAAACCCCGTCTCTACTAAAAATACAAAATTAGCTGGGTGTGGTGATGCATGCCTGTAATCCCAGCTACTTGGGAGGCTGAGGCAAGAGACTCGCTTGAACCTGGGAAGCGGAGGTTGTAGTGAGCCGAGATCACGCCATTGCACTCCAGCCTGGGAGACAAGAGTGAAACTCCGTCTCAAACAAAACAAAACAACAACAGCAAACTTGGCAAATAATCGTTCAGTGCCTAGTATTAGCCATATGCTGTGCCAGGCACGGGATACACAGTACTAAGCAAACAGACATTCTCTGATCTCTTAAAGCTTGCTGTCATCTCAAATCTCACCATTTTACTGAGTGGGGTTCATTTAGCTCACATCAGTCCCAGTTCCATCCTTCCCAAGTCATGCAAAATGAATTCATTGCAGTCTCCATTTCCATAATTTAGCATTAGCTTATGACCTGTTTGGGGTTCAATGCCAAGTTCTTAATATTGCCCAAACATCACCTAAGAATGAGAGGAGAGGCCAGGCTCACAAACATTCTGGGGAGGGTGGCAGAGTCGTGTTCAGAGGAGGAGGCTGAACACAGTTATGTCCTAGAGGGAGTTTGTGGGCCTGTTGCTCTGCTGTAAACAGCAGTTGTTCAAAGCAAGTCAGAGAAATGTAGCAACAGCAATGCCCATCTATGTGGTTGGCCATTTTCCTTTGCAATGTAAAGAAATAATTAACAAGAAATGGAGCTAGGGTCCTCACAGCTGCTTTGAGAAATTCTGAAGACAAGGCAAACCAGCAGGGGAGGCGAGGGAATGAGCAGGGTACAGGAGAAAGATTAAAATATCAAAAAGGAAATCAGTAAATTTGAAACCTCAGACCTGGAAACAATTAGAGGTCAGCTGGCAACTGTCAAGAATCAATATAAGAAAGATGTAATTTCTAATAACTCAGAACTAAAGTGTGCTGTTAGCACGCTAGGAATTGAAGGAGGGAGTGAAAAGCAAAGAAAAAAAATGTGGTCTGGTAGCAATTATTGCGAATGCCAGGGGCAGCTTTAAGGAGTCACTCTCACCTTCTCAATGCACCAGCCTGAGTTGTGTTTCTGCCTCCATGCAGCGCCCACAGGCATGGCATCCCCAGGGCACAGTTGGTGTTTCTGCCACTCAGCTAGTTCAAAACACAATGTATCCAGGGTTCCTCTACATGCCATCAGTCCAAACATGGATGTATCTGCCACTTTCTTGTTCTCCAAAAACCCAGTGTAATGGAAAACTTTTTTTTTAATTAAAGAGCCCTTGATTCATCTATTCATTCATTTTTGTGCTAAATTGATACTTTTAAATATTGAAGCTTCCAGGAGCAACTCAAAAGTAGCTTAAATAAAGACTTTCACATTTGGCAAGTTGTTTTTTTTTTTTCTGAGACGGGGTCTCGCTTTGTCGCCCAGGCTGGAGTGCAGTGGCGCGATCTTGGCTCACTGCAACCTCCGCCCCCGCGGGTTCACGCCATTTTCCTGCCTCAGCCTCCCGAGTAGCTGGGACTACAGGAGCCCGCCACCACGCCCGGCTAATTTTTTTGTATTTTAGTAGAGACGGAGCTTCACTGTGTTAGCCAGGATGGTCTTGATCTCCTGACCTCGTGATCCGCCCGCCTCGGCCTCCCAAAGTGCTGGGATTACAGGCGTGAGCCACCGCACCCAGCCCCATATTTGGCAAGTTTTTGTAGATCTAACTAAGATAGGAATGTGCAGCCAAATGGAAAAACTTATTTTCAAAAGACTTGGGGATGAGCGCAACCTGAAGATAACTGGAAATGAACACTTCTCCAAAGAAAGAATGAAAACTATCTTAAAGACCATGACATGCAAACAGACAGGAGGATCCCTGAAAAGGTTAGACTGGCATTTTCCAAAGTATGTTCTGTGGAATCTTAATTCTGAATTATTTTAATAGCCATTGCAGAAAACAAATCAAACAAAATGGGTCCCAATATCAAGTAAGTTCACAAAATGCCGGGTTACCCAAAGTTAAACAGATTTCTTTATTGTAGCAGTTTTCAGATCCTTTCTCGGATCTGAATGGGAATTTAAATGGGATGGCGAAACACAGAGTTTGTACGTGGAGTGGAATTTACTGTTGTACCATTTTAGAGTTAAATCACCCCTAAGACCGTTTTCCTGTTGACGATTTCACCAAATTCAGGTACTGGTTGGCCTAGGATTTTCCCTTTAACTCGGCAGATATCCGTATCTTAAGTACATTGAAATTCAAATGGAATATTACAAGAATAATAATCACAGAAAACACCTCTGGCGCCTTTTTCAAATATTATTGCTTCTAATAAGATCTCCGGGATAAAAGAAAACTCTAATGTTCCTTGCTTCTGAATGCCTCTGATCAGTGAGTTTGACCCAATTCAGGCTCGTCAGGATCCCAGACGAGCATCAGGCAAGCCTCCATGCCAGTCTCATTTGACCTTGGAGTACAAGTAATTGTTCCCTGCTTTGTTTCCCTGGAGCTGAAAGTTATTAGACCTGAAAGGAGCCTGAGAGGTCGCCCGTCCCAGCAACAGCCAAGGAAACTGAGGCCAGGAGATGGGAAGCAACTGGCCTAAAAGCCACACACCAGCTTTTCCTAGAAGCCAAGCCCTGCAAAGCCCACCCAGATGACTACACTATGCTCCCCCTCCCTGCACTTCTGAGGCATAAAGAACCTCACATTTCCTTCAACCTCATATCCCATTTGGCTCTTCAAGAGTCTAAAGTAATTCCAGTGAGCCTCCCTATGCCCTGTCACAGACTGGAGCACATTAAGGGCAGGAAATTAGGGCAGGAGTGTGTTTGTAGATCCGGTGCTGATTACTCTTCCACTCAGATTGTGCATCTACCAATACGGAATGGATTTATCTCTAATTTATTAAAGGTTGGTCAGCATGGATTGATAAAGGAGAGGCCAAGTCTGATACATTTGCCTAAATTGAATTCTTGGGCCACATTACCAAATCAGCAGACATAATTTATCTGGATTTCAGAAAAGCGTTTAGTGGTTTACCATATAACAGATGCATTTGCTAAGGCAAGGCATTGTGTGATGGTTAAGTGTCAGGTGGCAATTCTGGAAACAGGTTTAAAATGGCCCAGAACCCAACACTGGGTGCACTGACAGGAGACGTTTAAGAGTACAGACAGAGAGGTCAGTCTGGGGGTCATTATTTCAAAGTCCTTAACCCTAATTATAATTTAATTTCCACAATGGTTATATCTCTTGAGAGCAAAATTGGGATGAAGGGGACAGTTTTAAAAGGAACAGACTGAAAACAAGTTCTGAATTTCTTTTTTCCAATCAAACCAGCTCAGGGATGAAGGAGTTATTCTTCCACCAAATGAACACAAATAAACAAAAGAGAAAAGAAGCCAAAGACTTCTGTCCAACAAAGAAATGCAGTGAACTCTGAACAGGACGGCCATGGCAGGCAGTGGGTTTCACTAATACTCCAAACTCGCAGAGTCTGAATGGATACCTCAAGAAGAAGAGAAATGGCATTTGGTGTTCCTGAGATATAAACAGGCTCAAATAATTACATAACTGTGAGTCATTAATATTCCTGCTATGGCCTCAAAAGGCACGAGCTCCTAACTCTGGTTTGAATTTACCTCTTCTTAAAGTTAAGATTTATGCATCAGCTTTACATCTTTATGCAGGCAATGTGGAATGGATTTCTCTCTAATTCATTAAAGATCAGTCAGCATGGATTGATAAAGGAAAACCCATGTCTGATATATTTGCTTAAATTGAATATTTCCTCTGGGCTACTGCAAAGGTGACCTGAGGTGACTGAAATCAAGAATTCGGCCAGGCAGTGTTAAACTGAGATCTACGTCTAATATCCTCACAAACTCCTCAGGAACCCAAAACAAAGCAGTAGCCAAATGCAGCCTCATTTTCTTAATCGGGAAGAAGCTGTGGTGTTTGGGCTACTCAATGACTAGTTTCCAGGTCTGCCTGCAAGGTTGAAGCTAAGGATGTCCACAGTACTACAGTGGCCTTGAGCATGTGTGTACTTGCACACATTGTTCTGTCTCCATGCCTCACTCTCCCACTCCACCCTGGATGCCTGCCAAAGCCAGCTAGACACCACAGCCATCTCTGGCTGACACTTACTTCCCTCTGGGATGCTCTTTTTGTCTGGAACTGCCAAAGGTATGATGGCCAGTTTTATCTGTCAACTGGAAGGGTGTTTTTGGATGAGATTAACATTTAAGATAGTGAACTTTGAGCCAGCAGGTTGCCTTCCATAATTTGGGTGGGCTCCATCCAATCCATTGGAGGCTTAAATAGAACAAAAAGAGAAGCCTCTCTGAAGCAAGAGAGAATTCTCTAGCAGACTGCCTTCAGACTCCATCTACACCATGAGTTCTCCTGGGTCTCCAGGCTGCCTGTCCATGCT
Source organism: Homo sapiens (assembly GCF_000001405.40). Lineage (NCBI taxonomy): Eukaryota > Metazoa > Chordata > Mammalia > Primates > Hominidae > Homo > Homo sapiens. Next base: position 95,840,455 of record NC_000008.11, read on the forward strand.
AAAGATTTGGATGTGCAAGTCTCCATAATTGTATGTACCAATTGATTATAACACATTTGTTTTCATATATATAGTGTATATATGTGTGTATATACATATATATACACACACAGTATGTGTACACACATATATATATACACAATATGTGTGTGTGTGTATACACACACACAAATACACATCATGTTAGTTGTGTTTCTCTGGAGAACCCTAATATGCAGAGATATTAATAATTACACTTCTATTCAGATTTGGGTAGCCTCCACCTTCAGGTAAAGCTCTCAGTTTCCACTTCACTCCTCTGTTTCTAGGAAACTCTTGGGATCTGCAGTTTTAAAAAAGAAGTCACGGAATAGTAATGCTACAGGATTGTAGTAGCGGGAATTAGATTGTATATCTACTCTAAGAATCCAGAATTCCAGAGATGTTATCCTGACTCCTACAGTCGGAAGCTGCTAGTCTTTTAGCATTTAAGACAAGCTCTTTGCATCCTCTTTCCAGCTTTTTTTTTTTTTAATCAGCTTACTGGGATTCCCAGAGAGTGGCCTGAAAGGCTTTGAGTGCCAGTACCCTGAATCTACATCCTAACAATCTCCTTGAACCATCACCGTACTCTCCTTGGGCCACCATCCCTTCATCCTTAAGAGCCACAGGCAGTTCACGTCTCCTTGTTTTGGCCAAAAGCCTTAATTCCAGTGTCCCAAAGCCTTTCTCATTTCTCCCATGGTATCTAGCATCAAGAACGTCCTCAGGGAGAGAGTCCTAAACCCAAGATGAAGAGTGGGACTACATCAATCCAATTCCAGGGTGGTCATTGAGAACTAAGGGGGAAGCTGGCCCAGAGAAAAGGGAGAGAATACAATTTTTGAATGAATATATTGGAATTATTATTGGTGTCAATTACACTGTCAGTTCATTTCTGAAACAAGGCAAGGAAGAGCAGAACAAGTTCAGCTGGAATGAAGACAAGAATGTCTTCCCACACCTGCCTGGTGACATAGAAACCCCTGGTACCCCAAGAGACCCAGGCAGAAGCAGAGCAGGCAGAACCTCATGCTCCCCTCAAGGATATGAAGAGTGGGGAATGGATGCATCCTGATGGCACTGGGGGAGGTCATGGCACATCCATCCTTAGCTTAACTTTAAGCTCCTAAAGTTGTGGGTTGAGGATTCTTACAGCATATAAGCCTTTCATTGGTTGAAAAAATAAAATGGATCACCTTACAAAAAATGGATCCTCCTTCTTCAAAGACAAATGGGGCTAGCAAATGACTAACATATATGCTTTGTAAAAGTGGGGTTTCTGGACATCTGCACTGACAATCAAAAAGTGGTTTCAGGGTATGCATGGGGAAAATAATTAGTGAAGACTTTTTCTTTCCTACCAAGTCGTCCAAGTTATAGGTAGATTTTTTAAAGTAATTTTGTTGTTTATAAATCTGTAAGTAAAAGATACAAGGCTCTAAGAACACATATAAGTCTAAAGGATTTTTCAACCAAATAACTATTTCATCTCTTCCTTTTTTTTCAAACTTAGAGTAATGTTGAGTAATAACAGTATTTGACCATATTGGGTTCTCGGGCCTCCAGTGGTGCTCTGAAGTGTTTCCAAGCTGTGGGCAAAGATTTGAGAAATGCTCTGTTGGTTCTACCATACATGTCATCAAGACTTAGATTGGGCATACCAAAAGAGCTTTGTTCACAAACATGATCTGGTCATTCCTTTCCCCGTTCTAATGGTCCACCTCCCGCTTTTACACCCAAGATGATTTACAGCAATAACATCCAATCACAGCATTCCCTTTCAAATGCATTTGAAGCACAGAGACATAGATTTCTTCAATTCTTTAATAGAGATGATACAGAAAAGCAAGCTTGCCAGAATATCTCATGAAAAAATGTGGGACATAAAGACTGGAAACCAGTCTTTATGGAAAAACAAATTCTTATTTCTCCAGGACAGTTGTCCAAATCCATATATGGATACATGGGATGGCTTTCCATGTGAGTGAGAAACTGGCCAGGAGAGTAATCAATGCATGTCTGCAGGACTGTCCAGGGCTCCTGGCCCATGTACATGTGTACAGCCAACCTCAGTGGGAACCGGCCTACACACCTATTAAATGGGCCATCAGGTGCCACTGTGCCCACTGCACTGACCATAAGACATAAGGCCAAGAAGGTGAGGTCATGTATCCAAGTTCATACAAGCCATTTAGAAATGGAGCTGAGAAGACTCAGTGCTGGGCTGTGTCCTCATCAGCCAAATGGATCTTTGGATAAGATCACTACCTGGCTTTCCTCCAGAGGACTGCTGTGTTCAGAATCTTGAACTTGATTTAGAATAGAGCCTTCTGAGCCCTGCCTACCACCCCGTACCACACACAGCTATTCAACCGCAGAAAAAGAACAAATATAGAGAAAGAGAAGGAAGAATTTTGTGCCTTCTTGTCTTCTAGTCCTTGATGCAATCACTACTTTCAAGCTTTACATATGATGCTGGTTTTGATGTGATAAATTCATGTTTTCTTGAGCTGCTAATATATATATATTTTTAAATTTAACATGGGAGGCAAGGAAGAGAAAGCATTTACTACAGTGATTCTGTGGAAGTGTTTGGGTAAGGCCACCGTTGTAGGGCCATAAACTAGCTACCCACTACCATTTGAAACACCGCCAATTCACTTATCGCTAACATGTTTCCTAAGAACAGAGCCTCTCCTCTCCTTCCCTTGTCAGCTTGCCAAAAGCTTTATATTGCCACAGCCAGTGACAAAATGGGATGGGATAGAAGTGTGCATTAATTGTATTCTGAAGCTTGCTATAAATTCGCTGCAGTGAATCTGGATGGGAAGATTAAACAGCATTTAAGGACATTTTCCAAAAAATTACTTGAGGATAAAATAATAGTTTGTGTAGGACAGAAATAAGATGACACAAGATGACTCTGATTTATGTGTGTTGCTTGCCAGGTCACTGCTCTTCAGAGGAAGGAGTGAAGTCTTTATTCCATACAATTCTCCATGAAAACGTATTCAATATCCCGCCCATAGTGTCCATTCACTGAATAATGACATTGCCTTGTGGGCCGAATCATGAATGGGGCTACTTTATGGGCACCCCGGGGACATAGCAAATATTAGGCTTTGAAGAAAGAAGTGACAAGTACATAACAAGGAAGAGATTGAGAATATGTGAGAAAATTACAAATAAAAGAACCAAGGGTTAAACAAACTTAGGACAGCCATGCAATTTATTGTCCAGGCTGAGATATCTTTGAAAGATAAAGGAAGCACTATAAACATTATACCAGCACAGCAGGCATAAACTGCAACTATCCTGTCCAACGAGGTATAGGCAACCTAAGCATAATGTTCTTTAGCAAAGGAACTTAAATACTACAAAGAAAGTGTATCTATGAATCGCATGAATTAATGACAAGGTCAGGAAGAGGTACTGTGTTAGAATTTTAGAGCTGCCATAACAAAATGCCACAGACTTGGTGGTTTAAACAACAAAAATGTATTTTCTCACAGTTCTGCAGGACAGAGGTCCAAGATCAAGGTGTGGGCAAGGTTGGTTTCTTCTGAGGCTTCTCTCCTTGGATTGCAGGTGACCATCTTCAGCATTTGTCTTCACATGGTTTTCCCTCTGGATATGCCTGTGGCTTGATCTCCTCTTTTTGTAAGGACACTAGTCATATTGGATTAGGGCCTGCCCTAATCCACCCTTCATTTAGCTTAATTACCTGTTTACACTACATCTTAGCCAAAAGTCTGAGAAACAATTAATTGCCTCTTTAAAGACCCTATCTCCAAATACAGTCACATTCTGGGGTACTGGGGGTTGGGATATCAAAATATGGATTTGGAGGGGACACAACTCAGCCCATAACAGGTACTGATTCCAAAAAAGACCAGAGTTTTGTAAAAGCAGTTTGTGTATCCAAAAATGGCTGGGCCCTTAAAAACAAACAAACAAAAACAAACACAATACAAAGATCAAGGATTCCCAGATTCTGAGATTCTCAGACTCCCCAGGTAGAGGTCACTGGAGGCTGTGGTCACATGCCAGCACAGCAGATGGAGCCAAGTTTCACAATTAAGAATGGGAACCATGTTTCAATATTTAACTGAGATGTTACAGGTCCTGACAAATTGGTAGGAATACCAGCCATTGAGCTACAGCAGGGTGCGGGAGGCTTCCTGCTGTGTCTAGGGCTGACCTTCAGTTGCAGGATAATGAATAAGGCCTGCTGGGTGAACGCTGGAAGAATTAGGGCAGCAGGGGTTACTTGGGGATCAAGGAAATAGTTATTTACTAACCACACAGAAATATGTCAATATTTTAGCAAATAGTCCAAGAGAGTTGAGTCTTACCAGTTCCTAGGTATACGGTTTTGTCTAATAACACCACCTCTTCGGGCTTTAGTTTTCTAGTTTGTGTGAAAGCTACATGTTTACTAGGCTCAGGTACTTGAAGTTCAAGGTATGGTCATTGCCATGTTAACAGTTTTTCCTTAAGTTTATTGACTGGCACAAAAGCCCCACCTTCCAAGGGTACCCATTTCCTTCACTTTCTTTCCTTTTCCATTCCCCTTTCTGTCACTCAGGAATTATCTAGAAGGGTAACAGAGGTCTCTCTCACATAATCAGTCAATACTTTTAGCTTGACATGATGAACTTAGCTTTTGAAAGTAACCAGTTGACACTTTGAGAATAAAAATCCAGAAAGCTTTACATGGGCCAGGGAGGATTTTCAACCTCATCCAAGAGACCGGATCTACTTACATGGAACAATTAAAATCTTTTAGTAAGCAACAAATTGTAAATTAATACTTTTGTATGTACTTGAACTGTTCTCAATTCCCTGGATTTTTTCATCTTGTGATCTGGGTATTGGATTTTCCAAATTCAAAAAGATGAAGCAAGTGACAGACAATACATGGGGCATGGTATTAAAGGCTAGCTGAATTGATTGAGCTGTGGTGAAAGTTCAGCAACCCCCAGCTTGGAAGCAGCTCACCTAGAAAATATTTTCATCATTTCAAGTTGTGTCACCCAGAAAATAATGATAGACTGTTCACCATTTCTTCCATAATCTAAAATAGCAAGAAATGGGCATAAGAAACAATTATAAAGAAGTATTCCTGAGGTACCAGAATTCCTGAGTGAAACAGCAGAATTTTGTGCTTTTACAATGTTTAAAATCAAAGCAGAGATTCTTCTCTGGAGACAGCAGGATGAAAAGATGACTTTTAAATGTTCGATCCAGTTTTGTATGATGATCATTAAAGTACTGAAGACAGTAAAAGCCAAAAATTATGTGTGAGGCTTTGTAGGCAAGGAATAGGTGTCAGTTCTTTAAAAAACAAATGAAAAAAAAGGTCTGATTTTCTTTCCTGGATTTATTGTAAAACCATTTGCAGAGGAATTTGGGGGAAACCCTGGAAGAAGAGATCATTTTATGTAGTAAATAACTCCAGCCAAAGACCAGACACGTAGCTCACCCCTGCCTGACAGAGGAATTGGGAAACCCACCAAGCAAAGAGAGGATTATGTTGTATTGGAGCTAAATCTCAGAAGAAAATATTGCTGGGAGGATCTTCATACTTTTGTTTCTAATACAGAGGATGGAAAAAGGAGGGAGATAATGACCACCAACAGTGAACAGGAAAATGTAACTAAATATGGCAGCTCCAAGAAGATAGATGGGAGGGGGAATCCCAAAGCGCTCAGACTCACTTTAGAGTTTACAGGTGATGATTCCCTTTGATTCATGGTTGCCGTTCTTAAGGGCAAAAGACTTAGTTGGCTAAAGATGGGATACAAACAGAAAGAAAGGCTACTCCAGCTGGGAAAACAAAAGATGTTTGGGATGATGTTGATGAAAGCTTTTTTAAAGTGAGAGGTACAGAGAGAGTGTAAGAGGAAAGCAGCTGGAGTTTTTCCAGGTCGGCTAATGATGCATGGAGCTGCTGACACAGCAGTTCATCCAGCCAGTGCAAGAGAGAGCTGCCTTAGGGACCTGCCCTTTCTCGTAGGGCTGGACCCTAAGAGCCCAGGGCGGGGAGGCTTCACCACTTGGTTTATAAGACTTTTTTTTTTTTTTTCCTTGAGCTCTGATTTAAATGCTCACCACTGGGACACACTTAACTGAAACTCAGCTTAATTTTCCCCTTTTTGGAATTTGTCCCCCTTAGCAGATATTTAGTTTCTAAGATCAGAAATCAGCAGGGGAGAGGACGTTCATCTGGGTTATAAAATAAAATGAAACGCCTCCACTTTTTCGTCCTCGGTTACTCAAATGCCTGGTACTTTGCTCATGAGGCTGAGAAAAATCCAAACTGGATGTAAAATGCTCACCTAGTTGGTGATCATTTACTCATCCCAGGGACTAAGGGAACTGTGGGTCTTGATAATTATGTCCGCTGAGTTGTGAGGCTGTGCCTATGTGATTGGAAATGTAAAATACGGTGCATGATGAAATGTTGCATTTTAATCTCTCTTTGTTCAGGCTGTTTCTCCAATTGAGACAAGATGACATCCAACACAAAGCCAACATATTTGATGTTCTTCAAATTTATAACTTCAAATTGCAGATCCCGTTTCACTGTCTTCCCATTATCAGTAAGTGATCTCTAACCCCTCCTTACATAATTTCAGTAGGGGTAACTTACTGCCTCTGAAAGTCACTCATTCCGGCTTCAGAATTTAGTATAGGATAGACTCTAAATTTGACAAAGGTTCTTTCCAGGTGACAGCAATAAGATTGATGTGTTGATGTCTGAAGCCTGTGCTCACCTGAACCCACACCTATTTATAATTCACATCTACAGCCAAGCTCTTCCCATGCTATCAGGTTTTATGGAGGAACAATTCAGATGCATTAGTGTTTGGCCTCATTTTGGTGATAATGCTTTACCTCTAGCACAATGGATTCAATTTAGACCTTGGGAAGAATTTTCCTCACATGAAGGTTTCTACACATTGGAACAGTTGCTATGGGGAGGAGTGGAGTGTGAAGAATGTCCTCCAAATACCTTTCAACATTTTACCAATTCTAATGCCTCTGTGACAGTGCTGCATATGGCCATGCCTGAAACAAAGGAATGTACTAGCTGTCCTTTCCCTCATTACATCAGATACCTCTCAAATAACAACAGGATGGTCCCAGAAATTAGTCCATCTCAGGGGTCAGCAAACTATGGCCTATGGGCCAAATATATTGTATTGCCTGTTTTTGTAAAGCCTTGTGAGCTAAGAATGGTTCTTAGACATTTGTTAATGGTTGAAAAACGATCAAAGAAAGATTTTTTTTGTGACATGTGAAAATTACATGAAATTCAAATTTTAATACCCATAAATAAAATATAGTTTTCTTGGACAACATCCATTTATGTGTTGTCTGTGGCTGATTTCACATTACAAGAACAGAGTCAAGCAATGGTAACAGAGACTGTATTGGCCAACAAAGCCTAAAATATTTTGTCTCACCCTTAACAGAAAAATTTGCTAACTTCTGATATATATCCTCCCCAAATCTTCCTGATCATATTGCCTTAAATTCAAATATAGTCTTTTTGTAGTTCATGGTTTATAAACCTTTCTGTATAATGCCTGGCACATACCAAATTCTTCACAATGCTTAATGAATATAACCAGTAATTTTATTATAAGACAAACAGAATAACAGACACTCTGAAGATGAAAAACCAGTGGTACTTCTTGTTAGAAACAGCACAGCACTGTGCCTATTGATCAAACTGTGCCTATTGATCAAAAGTTTTTCTTGATCAATAGGCAGAGTTTGCACTAAAATGCCTGCCATTTTCTCTGTATGAGATCTGAAACTCAACAGCCTGTGCACTGGTTCTAGATCCTGGCTTGTAATTACAAAGCAAAATCCTCTAATGCCAATAACAAGACCAGCCTCTATACCTTTTAAGTGCAATCTTCTTGATTATAAGCAGCCACTGACCAAAGACATCAATTAGAGAGGGAGATTTCTAAACCCTGCGGCAAGAGTTTAGTTAAAAACAACTTGGGAAGTGGTTTAACTCCTTGGCTATCACCCACCCTCAGCACACGGCATTCAAAGCAGATCCATTATTTCCTACAGCAGGGAAGAAAATAACCACTCTGTTTCTAGTTGGGTGGCTCCTCTTTTCTAAACACCATCACCCCATTTAAAGCCAATGTAGAGGAAGTGCAGGCGGGGGATAGATCTGTTTGTTTGTCCCTGTCTCATTATTCTGTTTCAAAATATCTGGCCCTGGTTTTAGAGCATTTGGGGGCTTCAAACCCTTTGGAAGATCACAGACATAAATCGAAGCTATACTTACCCCAAGGGACTGCTATCATCCACCATATCTCAGAAAGAGCCAAGAATTCCTGTCCTGAAGCCAGCCAGCTGGGAAGTAGAATGGCAAGGAGAAACCTAGAGAAATTCCAGAAAGAGAACCAAGAAATGCCTCACCCCCACCCACCCCAAATAGAATGCAGCCTGTAATTTACATGCATTTTTCAAGGATGTAGAATGAAAAATTTGAGCAATCAAGTATAAACTAGAGCAAGGTGACACTCCTATACACATTCATACACTCACTCATTCTTTCTGTTGCCTTTTCTATGAAGCCTTTTTTGAGTTTTTTTGCGTTGGACCAAGTCACTGTCTCTCATTAGTCTCAAAGTTCCTCACACTTGGCTACCTTTCAACCTGTTTGAAGTGCCATAAATATATATGTATACGGTAATGATTTGTTCTTACTGGCACACTTCAGCCTCTAGAGGGAGTTCAAACCCCCAAGCCCTGAAGAGGAAGGGTTCTGTTGTGTTGTATGGGTTAACAAATGGGACTAAGGTGTCAGTGGTGGGGCATTTGGTAGGAGGAGCAACAAGGTTCAGAGCTCTTGCTCTTCCTGGAGAACCCATCAGAGGCTCCTCCTTTCAAGATCCCCCTTGTCCTCTTAGCTTTCTTAGAGAAACCCTTTTGAAAAACTGCTTCACTTTTTTCTTTTTCTTTCTGCCCATGTAGCTGCTATGGTCACCTAAGCAAAATAAATCCTCCCAGCTCAAATAACTAGGTAATGAAGAAAGGGGATCAGATAGGTATTTCACAAAAAAATTCCGATTAGTAATATATGATAAGATAAATATTGAGATAGCAGAGTTCTGAGACTCAACCCCCAATCGTAAAAAGGTTGAGAAAATTTTTTACTTGTCAGTTGAATGTCCAAAGCCTCCTGTCTACTCTTAAAGAGGGAGGCTTCTTTCTCTTTGGGAGCAAGGCTAAGTTGACCTACTTAACGAGGTACACTCCAGGGGAGAAGCAGGAATGAAGGCAAGGAGAAGAGTGGCTGGAGGGGAGGCCCTGTAGCAGCTGTAGGTATAAGAAAAATGGATGGGAGAGGAAAGGGGCTCCAGCAAGTGTTCCTGTGGATCCCCTTTAATGTTCATTGCAGCACAAAGACCAGAATCCCTTTTTCATTTACTCTTGGCTTTAAATTTATTTCCGGACACAATGTTTTGAGACTGAACTACGTGAGTCACCAGGTTAATATGAGCTACCATAGAAAATGTTCATTTGTCTGTCCAGTATTCTTTGTACATTTCCTTTGAAACCCATAGAACGTGGTTGGCTGAAAATTTGCAGATATGTAGGTAACAAAATATCACTCTGTATTCCATAAATATGTATGATTATTACATGTCAACTAAAAATAAAAGAGAAAAAATGGAGTCTACTATTAACAGGATCCTCAGAATTCTCTAGGTATAAGTGCAACTGCTTGGACTATTGCATGACAAATCACAGAAATCATCAGGCGTCTCGTCTTGGCATTAATAAGAGCTCAGTTCTAGAGTCAGGGCAGGGTTGCCTGCATGCTCTTGGTTTGGTAGATGGCATGATATTTGCTTTCTCAATTATCTTTTTCCTCTTTAAGTTGCCAAGGATCTCTAGGGCTACCAGATGAACATATTACTCCAGAAGGAACAGATGTATCTGCTTTCACAGGTAAAGAGGTATCCCAGATAAGGCTTTCCATCTGAGCTACTTTTCCCCAGTGATCCACCCTACACACTGCCACAAGCCAGGCTCATTTTTCTGTCCTCTCATTGGTCTTTATTAATCAAATATGTACCATATGCTCAATACTATTGGGCTGAAAAGTAGCTTATAGGATCCTTCCTGTTGGACTTACAATACAGCAGGAAAGCGTAACATGTTAAACATTAGGAAAATCATTGCTGCACTAAAAATCACTTGGAGCTAATCATCTAATGGCAGTACCCAAAAGACACAGTATGGAAATTCATATTGCTGAAATCCAGAGACTAGCCCGGTTTCTGAGCTTTCTGATACTTGATTGATCAGCTCCTCCTCCCATTCTATGAGCTCCACAGAAATTGAATAAATCTCTTTTTATTGTTTAAGCTGGCCAGAATTGCTTTCTGTTGCTTGCACCAATGATATCTAATTGATACTGATAAACTGGAGGTTACACTCCCATGGGATGATTTTGGAAAGAGAGAAATGTGAGAAGCAAAAGATGAACCAGGAGGCTACTCCAGTTAACAAAGTACAAAGCCATAGGGACCTGGACAGAAGAAGAGTATGAGAAGAAAGGAGAGACCAAAAGGAGACATTTTGAAATAACAAAATTTTGTGACAGGTTTTATATCAAGATGAAGGAAAGGGACAGTCAAGTATAACTCCAAATTTCCTAGTTTAGTTTGCAAGATAAAAACATGGGAGTAGTTCATTTGTTCAACAAACCTTATGATGAGGCTACTATGTGCCCAACCCTGGGCTAGTTTTCAGTGATGCAGAGATTAAAAGTGACATGCTGCACAGTTTAGAGGAAAGGGGATGAGCTTCACTTTGGACAGGAAGAGTTTAAGGTACCAGGAAGAGTTGGAGAATAGAAATAGGAAACTAGAATGCTTCTCAAGGATCAGAAATTGAGCATTAGATTTGGGTGTCATTGATTAGTTGAGATATTGCTTTAGATACAGTCTCAAGTGGTATTACCAAGCCAAAGTTATAAAAATATTACATGGTTCTTAATATTGACATATCATTTCCCAAAACAACTATATCAATATATGAGTGCCACCAGAAAACTATATCACTACAATTGTTAGCATGGTTGCTATCCACCAAAAAATTAAACTTTTGCTTATTTAGTAGGTGTATATAATTTTACCTTGTTTTAATTGTTATGTCTTTGATGGTCAATGAGGTTTAACATGTCACCATGTGTTTAATAATTATATCACATTTGGCCAATTCGTCTATTTACATTTCTTTCCAGTTATCTTTCCAGTTATCTATTAAATCTTATTATGTCATTAAAGGGCTTTCAAATTTATGATATTTCTTTTGATTGTATGTTTGTTATTTTACTGAACAGTTTGACCTTTTCTATGTGTTCAAATATTTTAAATTATCTTATTGCTTCAATCTCACATAATTATATTATGCCTCTATTAACAAAATAAATGTATTTTCTATTTTTTAGGGGGCATGACATTTTTTGTAATTAGGAGTTTGTTTTGTGTGGCTATACAAGATGATTTATCTCAACTTGATATTGTTATGCAAAGGCATTTATTAAGTAATATTGGGTCTCCACGTATTCTAAGGGAAAACTAGTGAAAGAGTAACAAAATGTAGTAGTTCCACTGCCTAGCCTCTGACAATAAAGGGCTGTGTGACCTTGGACAAGTCCCTTTGGTTTGACAGACATCAGTTTATGCATCTCTAAAACAAGTGAATTAGACTAAGGTCTTTTCCAGAATTAACGTTTGATGATTCTGTGAAAAACAGTGACCCTTATGTGAGGATAAGATAGGTGCCTCCTGAGCACCCATCTGCAGCATGGTCATCCAGCCCTTTGGCTCTTGCTTTTTGCACTTCACAGCTACCTTACAAATGTCCATGGCCATGCAGCCCTGCTAAAAGCCAAGGATCTTGCATATTTACTTCATTTAAGAAGGCTGCACAGGATATGCCTGGCTGACATAAATGGTGCCTAATGGGCTGTAAATGACTTTTGACCACTTGACCTTGGTCATGTTGATATGACCCCCATCAGGTCTCCTCCACTGTGGGACCACGCGGATGCCCACGTACCACTTCATAAATGAAAAGGTATTTCCCTTAATTGGGGAGAGGAAACAAGGTAATGCGGAGCAGCAGCAAGTCATGCATTTCATGAATGTGCAGCCTGATTGGATGCCACAGTAAATCACCCACAGCCTGGCCCTGTCAATTTCTTTGAGCCACAGCTTTGAATTACTTGCCTCAGCTTCCATTTAGCTCCACTCTAATCCCCACCCTCACCCTCACCCAGCAGCATCTCCCGCCATGCTTGCATGCTCCTCTACTACATTTTGCTTCCACTTTCTAGTCAAAGATATTTTTCCTATCATCCCAAACACAACATTTTCTTTCATCAAGATCTTTGTTCAGTACTCAGATTCCCTGAAAAGGTTTTCCTGTGTGATGATAATGGTAACAATAGTTACAACTACTGTACTACTGCCCCCACCGTCACCACCACCACCGCGAACTGAGCCCTGCTGTGTGGCTAGCACTATATTACATGTTTTATAAACCTGTTATCTCACAGCCAGCCTGCCTGAGTCTGACTCTTAGCTCTGTCACTTTCTAGCCTGTTGACCTTGTTTAAGTCATTCAGATTCTCAATGACTCAATTACCTTATCTGGAAATTGGGAATATCCATAGTACTTATTTCACAGGAATTATATGAGGATTAAATGTCTTAATCCATTTGGCTGCTATAACAAATATAACTGGGTGGCTTATAAACAACAGAAATTTATTTCTTACAGTTTGAGATGATTAGAAATTCACTGTCAAGGCGCCAGCAGACTCAGCATCTAATGAAGGATTGTTTCTCATAGACGGTGGCTTCTCTGGCTGCATGATCACATGGTGCAAGAGGCTGACAAGCTCCCTCAGACCTCTTTTCTAAGGGCACTAATTCCATTCATGAGGGCTCAGCCTCATGTCTAACTACCTCCTAAAGGCCCCACCTCCTAATACTATTACTTTGGGGGTTAGCATTTTAACATATGAATTTGGGGAGAACACAAGCATTCAGACTACAGCAAATGGGAAGTATTTAGAAGAATGCCTGGCACATAGTAAATTTCCAATAAATTTTAAGTAAAAATGATGTTGATGGTATCTTCATCATACAGATGAGGAAACTGAGCTCCAGAGAGATTATTTACCCAAGTGTTCAGGTTACCTGCTGCTGCATAATTAACTACTCAAAATTTTAGTTGCTTTAAATAACAATTATTTTATTCTAGTTCATGGTTTTCTGTGTCAGGAGTTTGGGCTGGACTCAGCTACTCAGTTATTCTGCTCCACCTGGCATTGACTAGGGTCACAGCTTGTGGCTGGGTTGGAGGGTCCAATGTGACTGAATTTACATAGTTGGCACCTTTGTAGAGATGTCTTCAGACTGAAATCAGCTGGGCCCCTATCCATCTCCATGGAACCGCAGGCCCCTCCTATGTGATCTCCCAATAGAATCTCTTCTATTGGTCAAAGCAGTCAATGTCCAGCCCATATTCAAGAGGAGGGATGTAGACATTACCTCTTGTTGGGAGGAGCATCAAAGAACTTGTAGCCACCTCTAATCTAGTACGCTGAAATCTCATACTAGCAAATGAAGTTAAATCAGATATTACTTTAAAAGTATTAAGCATAATATGTAGCACCTATTGAGCATCCCCAAACCAATAGCTATTAAAAATTGGAAACCTTTTTCTCTCTGACTGCAAATTCTGTGCGCTCAGCCTATGCTCACCTCACATCATGGAGGTAACATCCCTGAATAATGCACAGCCTGGGTTCAGCGGGCTTTTATGAAGGACTGCCCATGAACATGTCTTATTTCCTAACGTAGGCCCAAATTTTCATGAGACAGGGATCTAACTTTATTTTTGTTTGAATCACTCAGAGTACCTAAAATAATGCTGTGCATTAAATAATAATTCAATGAAATCATTTAACTAATGTTTATTAGTCACAAAACACCAAAAGTAAATATTTAGTAAGAGTGTTGTTTCTAAGCACTTCGTCCATTCATTCACTCCTTCAACAAATGCTTGTTAAGCAGATAAAAACACATATTCTATTTATGGAGTTTGTGTTCATAGATACAGAAAATGTTAGAGCTGAGGGGGAATATAAGGATCATCATGTTCGACACTCTTATTTTGCATAGGGAGAAATCCAGGTCCACAGAGCATAACTGACTGTCTTAGCTGGAAGTTTGCTACATCAGAGCAGAAAGTCAGATTTTATGACAGGTCACTATTTTTTCCAGTGGGTCATCTGACTCTTCCCAATACATAGTAGGTGTTCCAATCCTGTTCTAAAGATGTGCTGTATGTTTAATTAAATTTGAGTTGGAAATATTAAAATGACTGCACAATTTTGTATCTTTTTGAAAATGCATATTTTTAGTGCTGTGCCCTGAAAAGACTCTAAAGCAATGATGACCCAGTAGCAATGAGCATCCTTAGCAGCCAATTAAATGGCCTGTAATAGCATTTCCAACAAAGAGGAACAAGAGATCTTTAAAGAAATAAATAACTCCTAGTTTGTGGCATTGTTTTGTGCCAGAAATCAAGAAAGCTATCAAAGACTAGCTGGGTCCTGTCAAAAGGACAATGTGAAGGGATTTTCAGTAACAAAAGAATTAGCAAAGAATGATGACTGCAGTGAATTTTACATTACAAGCTCATGGAAAATAAAATTTATTCAATAAATGAAAACCTTTTTCTCTCTGACTGCAAGTCCTGTGTACTCAGCCTATGCTCATTTCATGTCATGGAGATAACATCCCTGATTAATGCACAGCCTGGGTTAATATAAAATTCCATAAGCTTGCAATGCTACTTTACACAAAGAACAAAAAATACCTAATTGGTCATTATTCTGATTGCTAGAGTATCAACTATTTACTCTGAAATCTTATAAAGGAAAAGAATTAAGCATTTATTTTGCCTTTCCTGTACAAGCTGTATCTTAGAGTTGCCAAATAGAATGCCAAGGTAATGTTCTTTAAAGAGGAATTCCAGCCAATAAAGAATAATGGAATTAGAGAACTGCACTTGTACCACTACTAATGAAATAATGGGTTTAGGCAGATTCCCATTGGATGTTAAAACCATTAGGTGGAACTTGGTAATGGAAGGATCAGGCTGAGTCAGCATTACTAAAAAAAATATACATCATAATGGGCTGCAGTAAGAAATATGCAGCACTACCTGTGCAATATTATTGCCTAAAAAGTTAAAGCTGAATCCAATAAGGCCTTTACATCTAACTATTGATTTAGAGGAAATACAGGAGATGGAGGAATCAAATTAAACAACCAGGAAGTAATAAGCCCATCCCAGGATATAAGAGTGTCAACACGACAAGTAGCCTGGTTTCTCCAACAAATCAACTAGAAAAAAAGGTGAGAAAGAAATTGTTCTAGAATAAGAATTGTATATTATGTGTGGACTTTGAATCCTGATTCAAACAAACTAGTTAGAGAAAAAAAACCTTTAAACAATTGTAGAAATTTGAATATGGGAAAACTATTATGTGATATTGAAGAATTACTGTAGTTTTATTATGGCATAGTGGTGATAAAAAGTAAGTTCATTATCAGTTATAACTGTACATCAACATGAACCAATTCTCTGAATATTTGCTTTGGATTTTCTCTTGCATCCATCAACAGCTTTCCAGCACCATAATCTTGACCCCAATCGCCCTTTAAATAGTGCCTTTATTGACCTCATTTAACTTCTCCTTTAAACCAAACATATTTAAGAATAAATTTGGCTTCAAATTGATCATAGTGACTTGAATGGATACAGGTTTATTTTTCTTATAGAAGAAGTTTGGAGTCAGGCAATTGCCAGCTTTGATTTAACAGACAATGAATGATAGAACTGACATCTACATTTCGATTTCTTGAGCTTTCCTATGTAATAGCAAAGCAGCTGCAACCCTTAGAGCCATCACATCCATGCTCAGGTTGGGAGTATGAATAGGGGGTGTGACCAGCTGCATCTTTAAATCACTATCAAAACAAAAACATTTCCAGGAACTTCCCCACTAGATTTCTTATTATTTCTCTTTGGCCAGATCTGAGGGGAGGCTAGGAATGTAAGTCAGGATTGTCATGGCTGGGTTGCACTATCATAATTCAAGCCCTGGAAAAAGGCAACAGGGTGGCTCTGAACAAAACTGGAATTTGCTTAGTAATAAAGAAAAGAAACTGGCTATTTGGGTAAGTAACTAACACATATATAATAATTATCTAGATAAGTCTTTCTAAAATATCAATTTCATCAGTTCCTCTTTTTCACTGCTGTTCAAAAGTTTTCAGTTGTCCTTGCCTGAAGCAATATTCCCAAGATGGCTCTCTGGCATGCTGGTCTTGGAAGATATTCCTCTCACCAAGGCTGGATTATCTAATTACTGCCACAGCTGAATGTCCAACATGCCAAGAACAGAAACTAATGCTGCCCCTCGATATGGTAACATCACCTGAGGAGATTCAACAGTCACTCGGTGACAACTTGATTATATCAGAATCCTTGCATCTTCAAAGGGGAACAAACGTTTTATCTCAACAGAGAGAGACATGTGTTCTAGATGTGTGTTTGCCTTTCCTGCCACACTGCCTTAGCCAGCACCATTCCTTGGGGGCTCTGATCTATTGGCATGAGATCCCTCATAATACTGCCTCAGAGCAAGGCACCTACTTAAAACAAAGGAGGGATGACAGTGGGTATATGACAGTGGGTCCTACTGACCCCACCACATATGGCACCATCTAGAAGCTATCAGCACTGGAATGGCCTCTTGAAGGGGAAGCTAAGGCTTCTGCTTAGAGATGACCCTGCAATGATGGGGTGCCATTCTTCAGGATGTGCTATATATCTTAAACCAATTACCATCATATGGTGCCCTGCCCCCAGAAGGAAGAATACATAGGTCTGAGAACCAAGACATGGAAGTAGGGGTGGCCCCACTGACCATCACTCCCAGGGACCTCCTTGAGGAATTCGTGCTTCCCATAACCACAACTTTAGGTTGTGTGGGTCTAGAAGTCCCAAGTCCTGGATAGAAAGATTCAATCGGGTGATACAGTAAGAGTTCCACTGAACTTAGAGCCAAGGCTTCTGCCTGAGCCCTTTGGGCTACTTCTGCCAGCAGACCAGCAGGAGCAGAAGGGAATGATGATACCAGCTTGAATAATTAAACCTACTCATCATGAGGAGGTAGGACTGCAGTGACCTAATGGAGGTGGGAAGAAATATGTTGGGCACTCATGGTCAACTGGGTCACTCAGGATTTCACTAGAAATTGTCAAGTAGAGCAAATGAGGCCTAATAAGGGAATGATAGAGAGAAACTTACACCTACCCCACCCCATGCAAACCACTTACACTAGCAGAAGTTTGGCCAAGAGATAAGGAAAATGTAGAAGGAAAGGGACTCCTGAGAGTCAGCTACAGCCTCAGGACCAACTGTAGCAGCCACTAGCCATTACTCCTAAGCTTTTCTGTAAAATGTGACAGCCAAAAGCTGAAAGAAATTGTGCCAGAATGAAGGGAACTTAGTGTGAAAGGCAAGCAGATCTGAACAGGACCAGGGGTGAAATGCGGTAAATGCAGTTGGAGTCCCACCAGATCCTATTCACCAGGCTGATGTCCCCATCCCCAGCTGCTGTGTTTGTTGGCTGCTACCTGCTCATAGCACCTCTTTCTCCAGAAAACTGCCTTACCATGAAGTAATGCATCTCCCTTCCTCAGGGGCTGGGGAACCACAGCCAGTGACAGGGAGTGAACAGACATGGGGATACAGCCTGGCCCCTTTTCCTCAAGGTGGGGCAACTCTGTGGTGCTGTTTGTGATCCGGAGCCCCTCGTGAGACCAAGCTGAGACTGGACTCCAGTTGAACTCACTTCCTTGGCTGGCTTCTTGACCCTCTGTTAGCCTGCTCACCTCACTCTCTGTCTCCTGAGAACATCTTGTCCAACATTTATCTTCTCAAGATTCCCCATTTTGGGGCTCTGTTTCTAGCAAACTTGATATAAGATACTGTCTGTTTTGGGTTAAATTGTGTCCCCCAAAAAGATATGTTCAAGTGCCAACCCCTGGTAGTCATGCATGTGAACTTATTTGGAAATAGGGTCTTTTAAAATGTAATCAAGTTAAAATGAGGCCATATTGGCTTGGGATAGTTCCTAATCCAACAACTTGTGTCCTTGTAGGAGGACAGACACAGATAGACACACACAGAGGGAAGACTATCATGTTTCAATGGGAGCTGAGATTAGAGTTGCCATAAATGAGACCATCAGGGATTGCCAGCAACCACAAGAAGCTAGGGAGAAGCAAGGATGGATTCTTCCCTAGAACCTTCAGAGAGAGCATGGCCCTACCAACATGTGGATATTGGATTTCTAGCTTCCTAGTTTTAAGCCACTCGGTTTAAGATACTTTTGTTGCAGCAGCAACGGGAGCCACATACACTGTCTTTGAGGTCCAACTTAGATTTCATTTTCTCTGTGAACCTCTCTCTCTATTGAGTACTGCCCCACTGACACCAGGATCTCCACAATAGCACCAGTAGCTCACATTTTCCCCTCCATTCACAGTTTCTTACCACATGCAGCCTGGTAGTACATCTTCACTGTTTGTAGGTGCTAGACTATAAGTTCTTAGAGAGCAAAGACTAGAGATGATACTTATGCCACTTTCCCAGTTTAAGGAGTCTCTTTAGTTAGTATTATCTTTGTGATAGAAAACTCGAAAGATATTTTATTGTGCATTCCTATTTTAGCAAACGCTCCTTATGAATAAGAGATAGAAAAAAAGTTGAGAATCATTCAAAATAAACAGTTTTTCTGTCTATGAAAGGTTTCATTTCATTTATGTGTTGGACCACTTTGGCTGGTGGGGAGGAGGGTATGCTAGAGCACTGACATAGCTAGGAAGATAGACTTTTTAAAAATGTGGACTGGTAAAAGTATCGGCAGATGCATAGAATACTTTTAAAAGTTGGCATTTGTTAGCCTGCTTGCTGAAAAAGGTGCTAAGACTTGGTATTCTGAAGTCATCTCATTTTCAAGGCTCATGTCCTTAAATTCCTCTGGAAGCTGAAGCATATCTAAAACAAATTCAGGTGAGTGGGAAAAGGTTATTTATAGATTTAACTGGAAAACAGAAACATGCTGGCCTCAATTTCAAACTGTTTGATTTTAGCATCCAACAACATTTATTAATTAATGAGACATTTGCATTCTTTTTACTGTTCTCAATTCACATCTGGAATGTTTCCTTTGAGAACAAGTGTCCTACAGAATGCCGTGATCTATTAGGACCACATTTCAGGGACTAGTCTCTTCTGATTAGACTGTTCTGGGAGGTTAGTGGAAGGGAGGCAACAAGGAGAGTACTGCTAGCCCCACAGAGCAAGAGATTAATCATATCAATAAAACAATCTCATTCTTGGGAGCTGTTGGAAATTGAAGCCTTAGTATACATTCTTCATAAACAATTTGTGAGACTGAACTTCAGGGAAGGAATTCACTGGTCAATGTGAATAACCACAAATGCTTTAAATTTAACATTTTTGCCTAGTCATCTTAAAAATAAGTCCTAAGAAAATTAAGCCTAATGTTAGTTTTCTTCTAAGTTCCCAAAGGACAGGTGGAGATGATTCAACTGTAAATTACTTGGATAACTTTAAATACAGTAAGATGGGCCATCATCAGAGTTTTGATCTGGAATACTGCAGATGGTGAGCAGAATAAAGGCAGGATCACTTACTGACATATCCAATTTTATATTTGTAATAGAATTAAAAATAAGAAACCCATTACTGATTTTCCTGGAAGATTTAATTTTGTCCCTTAAGGCTATCTTGTTTTCCTTCTTCTTCTTAAAATATGTCAAAATGTTAGCAGAATGAGGACACTGTTCTTCTGTCCTAGATGTCTTATATTCAAAATATTCAAATGTAAAATCAGATCAAAAAAGAGGTCCAGTTTAAGAAGGCAAAGAACATGAGAACATTTAGAGTATCTAGTGTCATTCTACAAAAACCTTTTCTTTCCTCATGAGGGCCTTTGATACCCTGCCCTGGAAAACCAATACACATTATTGTACAACTTGATAATGTGTGCATACTGCTCTGTGAGAAATTGGCAGAAAAAGTAAAGTGAAGAAATAATACTTGTAGTTATAAAGGAAAATAATAAGGTCACTGCAAGCACAATTTTTCTTTTTTCCAAGGCTCAGTGCTCATCATCTTTCTAAGATTGGATTTCATTTGCACTTTAATACTGGATGGGAAAACTTCACGTTAGTTCTATCAGCTCACCTGCCTGTGACAATCTCAAGATCTTAATAGCTAGACCACCAAACAGGAAATAGTCTCGCAGATCAAGTTTTTGAAGCTATCAGTCCACAAACCTTGCTTGCCAAGAATATTTTCCAAAGCCTGTACAAATTTACCATTATTTTACATAAATTTAAGACAAATATTTTATGTATTTTTATATACAACAGAAAATAAGATATATCTCAGGGTAAATTATTTCCATGTATCTATTGGTTTATTTGCCTTTTTTTTTTTTATCATTTATTCCTTCAACTAACCCAAGTCAGGAACTGTGTTAAGTGGTGAAAATGTAAAGATGAATAATCCATTTTCCTTCAAAGAGTTCTTAGGCAAGTCGGTGGGCAACCACTTGCATCCAGTTCTAAATAGGCCAAAACAGCTCCACCCAAGTGGAAAGAAACATTTAGAGCCCTTCAGAACCACTAGGACAGTTGGCTCTGATCTCAGATAAGTGGAGAAAACAGATCCCCACTCAACTGGGAATTTGTTCCTCTGTGCAACTTTCTAAATCTTCTTGGCTAAATCTTTGAAAGCCAAGTTCTTCATTTTCTTTCTTGTTCTCATTCCAAGAGCAGTTAACGTTGAGTTTGCTCTGCCCCAAACCCCTCTTCAAAGTGCTGGTATTTCAACTGGTTTTAAATAAACCTCAGTGTTTTGTTTTGTTTCTTTAATGCTGAGAGGAGGTGGGGGGAGGACAGGACTGCATCTCTTTCAGGAATGTTACCTGCCTGTGAGCAGAACCACTCGCTGCCTACACTCTGCTTACCCGGCCTTCAGTACCCATGCAGCTCCGCAATCCCTTATCGGGTAAGAGACAAAAAAGGCAATCAGAGCTATAGCAGCAAACTGTTTCAGCTATCAAGTCTTGCTCTAGCTAGTCTGATTCCTCTCAATTGTTTCTTCTCGATCCTTTCCACACTCACTAACCCCTCAGCTCCTGGTCTCCAAGTTTGTTTCCTCATACAGTAGGTCAGTGGCTCTGCTAGTCTCTACTCCCTCATTCTGCTTATAGACGAAAACGTATTACAGACTTTCAGCCTCATCCTGGCATTCAAATTTCTCTGACCTTTATATTTTACTGCCTCTTTCCTAGAACTAGGTACCTTCCTTGTCCTCAGGGAGAGCTAACAGCATAGTGGATAGAATGAGGCTTTGCAGATAGAACTGGGTTTACTTCTTGGCTATAGCATTTCTTAGCTATGTGACTTTAAGCAAGACCAAACCTCTCTAAGCCTCAATTTCAAATACTATTACCTTACAAGGTTTCTATGAGGATGAAATGGGATAACAATTAAAAAGCACCTAGCATATAGTACAACCAATAAACAGTGGCCATTTTATGATTATTTTTGTACACACCTTGCTTATAGCCAAGGCTGGGCATGCCCACTTTCTGGGAAGTATATATTCATTCATTTTCAGTATGCCAAGAACTGTGCAAAATCCTGACACTATAACAGTGATATATACAAGGTCCCTATCTTAAAGGAACCCTTGGATCCTTCAGAAGAGACAAGTGTGTGTACAAATTATTATGACACTTAGTTATCATACAGTGGCAGAAAGGAAGATACAGTGCTTTGGGAATAGAAAAGACTGTAGCATGCAGCTCACAAGAGCTGTTAAGTTAGAATTCCAAAAAAAAACCAGTTGTACAAAAATTTTGCCCTGGGAGAAGCCAAATTAACGCAAGCATACTTATCAACAATGAACTATAAAAGGTACACAGTAATCCCCACAATTTCCTGAGTGTATCAGTAAGGGTTTGGTCAGAAAATCAGAAATAATTCTAGATATTTCAAGCAAGAAGATTTTAATACACGGAACTGGGGGTACTAACAAAACTGTGCATAGAACTGGCACAAGGGAGATCAGAGAAGACCACTGCTAGCTTTAAGGAAGTCAAGAAATTACAGCAACAAGAAACTGCTGGCAGTACTCACAGCTCTGAGGTGGGTGTTTGGCAGGAAATGTCTCTGGAGTTGACGCAAAATCTCATGCCTGCCTACTGGTGCTGGAAAACAATAATACAACTTCTGCTTCTGCTCAGCCTTCCAAATCTCATGTGAGTGCCTACATTACCCATGTCTTTATTTTCTGTTGCTTTGACATCTTGGGACCTTGTTTACCCAAGAGGCACTGCCCCTCCCAGGGTTAGCTAATTCCTAGAGATAGCAAATAAATATCCTCTGAGCATACCTTTTAGAAACAAGCTAGCCCATCCGGACTCCATACCCCAACCACCTCCTTTATGGGAGTCTACTACTCTGGGTCACTATCCATCTGCCCTAATCACTCCAGGCCCAGATACCAGACAACTAAGGACAGCCCCTACATCCCAGAGCCCACTGAAATTTTTCAAACTAGCCAATCCTAAACCTGTATACCCTACCCCACCTGTTCTTTCCAGTGGAAACCACAATAAAGGTTCTTGTTCACATTTCACCCTCACCACCCACCCTGCCTCTTGAGCAACTCTGGAGCTTCTCCCATGTGCTGTCCCCCAGTGGTACAACATATCCCCTCTCTTGGGATCTGTAAACAGAGCTAGCTTTTCAATGGCAATTGTATCCTTGTCTGCTGGCCTCACCATACTTGAATAACTTTAAAAACCTACATTTTAATAAAGTGCTTCCCATTGAAGAAACCTAATCTAGAATTTGCTGGCAGAAATTTTGAAAACATAGTTCCCAGGCTTCAGACTACTGGAAGAGAGAGCATGGAAAGAGAAAAAATAGTGCTGAGTTCCCAAGACACAATCCAGCACACTGAGCCACAAATGGGTGATAGCCATCATTTACTGTGGCTAAAGAAATAGCTCTAGTGTGGTCTGGATTACTCCATCTGAGCAGGGTTGGCTACATTTTACTGAATTTTTGATTACGTAATAAAGTTACTAATTTTTGTTTCTAATTTTGAATTTTTTTTTTTTGAGACAGAGTCTCGCTCTGTCGCCCAGGCTAGAGTGCAATGGCACTATCTCGGCTCACTGCAACCTCCGCCTCCCGGGTTCAAGCGATTCTCCTGCCTCAGCCTCCCGAGTAGCTGGGATTACAGGTGCCCACCACCATACCTGGCTGATTTTTTTTTTTTTTTAGTAGAGATGGGGTTTCACCATGTTGGCCAGGCTAGTCTTAAACTCCTGACCTCAGGTGATACACCCACCTTGGCCTCCTAAAGTGCTGGGATGACAGGCATGAGCCACCGTGCCCAGATAAATATTGATTACTCATTGCTCAGATGAGCCTCTCCACACTCACTGGTGATCTCCATAGAAGTTTTTGTGGCCTTCTTTGAGTCCTGCACACTGCTTGCCGCACACTTCACTTACTAACCAGAAAAGCTGTGCAGTGACCCAGCCCCTTAATGACCATGAATGACCCTGTTTTCTCTCTCTTCTCATTGATGTCACATATACTATAGCAATAGAAGAGAAATTAAGAAATTCTTTTGGCAGGAAAAGGCACTTCCTGCTTAAAATATGAGCTCAAAATGGATCCCTCCCGAGTACCACAACAAGTGATACTTCCTGTGCAGTATCTTTAAACTTTCCCCATCCCAATAGTGGGGTCTTGGTAGTTTCCGTGTTTAATCTCCTCCTATTGCCCTGCCACTGGCATGGACAGAAAGTTCAGAAGCTGGAGAGATTTAGGCTCAAACATGTGGGTTAGCCACCAATCTATGGAGAACTGTGACTATAGAAGTCTATGCTAAAACCTCTTTGAAGATGGGTATGACTTCCAGCTTTGATTTCAGTTAGAAATTGATCCCTCCTGTTGTGAACAATGTAACACACTCCCTGTACAATATGGTTAGGCATCCTATAGGGAGCAATAGTTCAGCAGTATGGGATTTTTTAGCATTTATTTATTCGAGAAATACTTATTGCTTCCTTTTCTCCTTCTTCTTTCTCTTCTCTTCCTTTTCAGAACAATTCAGTCCTAAATCCATTTTGAGGGCATCTTCACCAGGGTGGAGGAAGTACCAAGGCCCACAGCAGGTGTCAGAGTCTGACCAGGGAGGAGGTGACCACACAGAGGGTGGGGTGGGAAGCACCTCCAGTGGGGTATGTTAGAGCTCATGTGGGGTGAGGAAAACATCAGCAAAGGAGGACATACTGCACAGGTGCCAGCTACAGCAGTGAGTAAGGCATCTCCACCTTCCGCAGTGGCCTGGCGCACTGTGTGGGAGCCCACAGGGGTGAAAGGAGCATCAGTGCAGGGAGACACAACCTGGAGTGGGGTGTCAGAGTCTGAGAGGAGAAGGCGGGCATCGTGCTGGGCAGGCAGTGGGATGAGAGATTGGTTACATGAGAAGGAGGATTGATCAGCAAATATATTAAAGATAATAGATGCTGGTGTTGTCACTGTGAATGGAGAAGTAACAAACATGGAGAAGCAGAAAACTAGACCGAATCTTGTGCAGTTTGGATTAGAATGATACGTCTCAGTGAGAATTTATGATCTTTGGGGTGTGTGTGTGTGTGTGTGTGCGTGCGTGCATGTGTGCATGTGTGCATTCTCAATGAGAGCAAGGACAATGAGCACATCCTGACATGAAACCTGTTTCTGGACACCGTTCTCCACTGAAAAGAACCCCTCTCTGGAGCAACTGCTGGTTCCAGGGCTGGGGAAAGGAAAAACTAGAGGAGTCTCAAACATTTTCTTGTGTCTGAAAAGTAAGAATGATGATGAGACACCAAAAGTCCACAGAACAGCTTAACTCTAAACCAATGCAAACATCAAAATAAAAAATGATAGCCACAGATCATATAACCTGTTGAATACAACAGGAAACCAAGAGTCAAAACTGATATAAAAAAAGTAAACGAAGAAATTGAAAAATGGATGAGAAAGAGGATGTATACATTGTTTCAAAGTATATCCCCCCAAATAATTTTTAGCTACAAAAGGACCAAGAGTAACTTTACAGTGGAGGAAACCGGTAGACACTACCTAAACTGAGTGATTAAAGTTAAGTTCATCATTAATGGGACACATCCCCACCTGATATCATGCAGTAAGAATAAGACCATCACTTCTGTGATATTCCTGCCAAAGATGCACAACTTGAATTTAACCTCAAGAAAACATTATATAGGCCGGTGCAGTGGCACACTCTTGTAATCCCAACACTTTGGGAGGCTGAGGAGGGAGGATCACTTGAGGCCAAGAGTTTGTGACTAGCCTGGACCACATGGCAAGACCCCATCTCCACAAAAAACAAAAACAAATAGGCCGGCGTGGTGGCTCACGCCTGTAATCCCAGCACTCTAGGAGGCCGAGGCGGGCAGATCACTTGAGATCAGGAGTTCAAGACCAGCCTGGCCATCATGGTGAACCCCGTCTCTACTAAAAGTACAAAAATTAGCTGGACGTGGTGGCAGGTGCCTGTAATCTCAGCTACTTGGGAGGCTGAGGCAGGAGAATCGCTTGACCCTGGGAGGCGGAGGTTGCAGTGAGCCAAGATTGCACCATTGCACTCCAGCCTAGGCAACAAGAGTGAAACTCCATCTCAAAATAAATAAATAAACAATATTAATTGTAATATTAAAAATATTTTACAAATTCAAGGTGAGGGGCATTCTACATGATAACAGGTTTGTAATTTTCAAAAAAAAATCAAGATCATGAAAATCAAGAATATTGAGAAAATATTCCAAAGTGAGTGAGATTTTTTAAACTTGACAATTAAATGCAATGTGTGATGGACTGGTTCCTATGTGATAAAAGGACATTATTGAGGTAATTGGAGTCTGTGGATTTGATGGTAGTGATACATCAATGTTAATTTCCTGATACTGATGGTTGCATTGTGAGGATGTGGGAGAATGTTCTTGTTTGTAGAAAGCACACACTTGAGTTTCTGAGGGTGGTGGGGTATCTGGGGGCATCATTTCAAATGGTGTGGGAAATAAAGGGTTCTTCGTACTAGCAAGTTTTCTGTAAATTTGAGATTCTTTAAGAGCTTTTAAAAAATACACTTGTAAATTTAAAATAGTTTTAAATCTACAGGAAAACTGGGAAGATAATGCAGAGAGTTCCATATACCCCACACCTACTTCCCCTATTAGTAACATCTTACATTACATGTATTAGTATTGTGCACTTCTTACAATTAATGAACCAATATCAATACATTATTATTAACTAAAGCCCATAGTTCATTCATGTTTTCTGAATTTTAGTTTTCTTTCTGTTCCAGGATAGCATGCAGGATACTCCACTACATTAGCCATCATGTGTCTTAGGCTCCTGATAGTTTCTGAGACTTTCCTTGTTTTTCATGACCTTGACAGTTTTTAGGAGTACTGGTCAGGTATTTTGTAGAATGTCCCTCATTTGTTATTTTTCTGATGTCTCTTCTCATAAGTAGACAGGCGTTATGAGTTTTTAGTAAAACCACCACAAAGGTAAAGTGTTATTGTCACCATATCACGTCAAGAGTACATAATATCAGTCTGGGTGCAGTGGCTCATACCTGTAATCCCAGGAGTTTGGGAGGTTGAAGAGGGAGGATCACTTGAGCCCAGGAGATTGAGACTAGCCTGGGCAACATAGCAAGAACTCGTCTTTGAAAAAAGTAATAATTATATATTATATATATTATATTATATAGCCAGGCATGGTGGTGGATGCCTGTAGTCTCAGCTATTCAGGAGGCTGAGATGGGAGGATTACTTGAGCCTGGGAGGTTAAGGTTGCAGTGAACCGTGATCACGCAGCTGCACTCCAGCCTGGGTGACACAGTGAGACCTCATCTCAAAGTTTTTTTTTTTTTTTTTTAAAGAGTACATACTATCAACAGAATTTATTACTCCTAATGTTAAACTTGACCACCTGGCTGAGGGACTGTTTGTCAGGTTTCTCCAATGTAAAGTCTCTTTTCCCCGGTTTCCACACAATGGGGAGTTGTGCTCCACCTCTTTGAGGACAGAATATCTACATAAATTATTTGAAATTCTTCTGCATAGGAGATTTATCTATTCTCCCCCATTTATTTATTTACTTATTTATATCAGTATGGACTCATGGATATATATTTTATGCTCTCCAATACTACTTTATTTTTTGCTCAAATCTTTTCAGTTGGGTCATTTGGGAGGTCTTTTAGTCAGCTCCAGTGTCCCTTTGACCCTTCAACATATTGTCATTATTGGGGTGTGTGTGTGTGTGTGTGTGTGTGTGTGTACATGTTTGAACACTTCCTTTCTGCACTATAAGATGCTCCAGGCTCATCTATATTTCATCTTTATTTCTTTTCCCAATATTAGAACCCATTATTTCTCTAAGGAGCTCTGGATCGTTTTATTGGAGAATAGCACTAGAAATCAAGACCTGGGTGCTAGGTATGCTCCTTGTTGCTGTGGTGTTGTTGCTTCTAGTACCTCCCAGGCGATAGAGCAAGAAAACCTGTATCTAAACTAAACTTTTTATATATACATCTCTATAAATATTTCTATATGCAATTTTCTATATCTATACTAAACTAACTGCGAGTTTACACAAATGCCTCCAACTCTAATTCATTACTACATGAGCCATCATAGCCTCTTCCTCCCTTGCTTATCTGTAACTTCCTACTTCAACAGTGAGAAATTAGGTTCCCACCATCTACCATCCATTTACTTAACTGTATAGTTACATGCATATTGGAATCAAACAATTAGGTAAATGGGTTCCTGATGCTGGAAACCAGGTACAGAATTATTAAACTTTACTCCCATGGGAAACAACTTCATCAACTAGACTTCAGCGCTTATATATAGTTCCTTCTGCCTTAGTCTTACAGGCTATACTTATCTCCAAAGTTACTTAGGCCATTCCTTCTTCTGCCTTCTCCTGCAGTGAGATTGTTTCATACACTGAAATACAGTTAGATTATTTTGTTACATTCTGAGTTCCATCCTGAGATTCCTTGACCTCCTAAATATATTTTATTTGCATACATTAAGGTTTACTCTTTGTGCTAAACTTTTATGGGTTTTGACAAACAGATATTGTCAAGTATCCATTATTGCAGTATCATACAAAAGAGTTCTACCATCCTAAAAAATCCCATGCTTCATCAACTCAATCGTCTCTATTACACCTGAACTTCTGGCAAACACTGATCTCTTTACCATCTCTTTTATTTTGCCCTTTCCCGAATCCCATATAATTGGAACTATACAGTATGTATGTACTCTTTTCAGACTGGCTTCTTTTATTTAGCAATATGCACTTAAAATTCATCCATGGCTTTGCATGGTTCATTAGCCCATTCCTTTTTATCACTTTTTGTTGGACTAAAATTCCTTTATA
The DNA here is from genome assembly GCF_000001405.40 of Homo sapiens. Taxonomy (NCBI): domain Eukaryota; kingdom Metazoa; phylum Chordata; class Mammalia; order Primates; family Hominidae; genus Homo; species Homo sapiens. Next base: position 95,869,218 of record NC_000008.11, read on the forward strand.
TGTATGTACCATCATTTGTTTATCCAGTCACTTATTGAAGGATTATCTTTTCTCCCAGTTTTTAATAATTATAAATAAAGCTACTATAAACATTTTATTTGTGTTTTTATGTGAAGATAAGTTTTTAAATCAGTTGAGTAAATACCTAGGAACACAATTGCTGGTTCAGATCATGTTTAGCTTTGTAAGAAACTGCAAAAGTTGCTGTACCATTTTGTATCCCCACAGGCAATAAAAGAATATTTCCATTGCTTCACGTTTTGCCAGAAATCAATATTGTCAGTTTTGGGATTTTTGCCATTCTAATAGGTATGTAATACTTTCTAATTGTTCTTTTAGTTTGCATTTCCCTGATGATAAATGATTTTGAGTATCTTTTGTATGCTTATTTTCCATCTATGTATCTTCTTTGGTGAGGTGTCTATTCATCTCCCACTTTTAATTGAGGTGTTTGTTTTAAAGTTTTTAAAGTGTTTGTGTACTTAGAGAAAGAAAAAAAAAGAGAAAGAGAAAACAAAGAAGTAAAATTATTAAGCATATACTCTATGCAGGCACTATTCTGGACACTGGAGATAAATAAGGGAACAAAATAAACAACACCCTGCCTGTATAATGATTTTATTCTGCTGGGGAGAGTAGAAAAAAGCAATGAATAATATAAATGAATGAATCAAAAGGAAATACAAAAAAAAAAGAAAATAGTAAAAGGGATGTGGAGGGTGGGTACAGGTAGCAGTATAAACATTTGTTGTCAGAGAAGGCCTTATGGAAAAGGTGACATTTACACAAAGACTTAAAGGAGATTAGCAAGCCAAGGAATATCTGGAGAAGAGTTCCTGAGCTACAGAATACTTGAACAAAGGACCTAAGGCAGGAATACGCCTAGAGCATTTCAGGAAAGGGGAAAGGCCACAGTGCTTCCAGGGCAGTGAGTGAAAAGAAAGGAGGAAGAAGAGCAAGTCATATAGGTCCAGAGTCAGCAGATCAGGATGAGCATTTTGGTCATTGAAAGAACTTTGCCTTTTATCTGAGTAAAACGATGTTTTGAGTAGAGGAGTGGCATTACCCGACTTACATTTTAAAGGGATTGCTCTAGCTGATGTGTTGGAGAAAGACTATAGTGGGGAAAGGTTAGAGCCAGAAAGTCTTGTTAGAAGACTACTGCAATAGTCTAGGTAGGAAAGGAGGGTTGCTCTAGAACGGAGTGGTAGCAATGGAGGTGGTGAGAAACAGTTGGATTATGGGTATACTTTGAAATACCCACAGCATGATTTCCTGATGGGTTGGATATGAAATAAGAGAGGAATAGAAGAGTTAAGGTTTCAAGATTTTTAGGCCCAAGCAAGAGGCAAGATGGATTTGCCATCACCTGAGATGGAGACAGCTGCGTGGGAAACACTCAACAAATGGGCTGGAGTAACACACCCAAATGAGGAATATGCTGCCTCCAAAATCCAAATAAGCCCACTAGGCATTGTGTCTCTTTCTTGCTTGTAGGAGGGGCCAAATGCAGCAACTTATCCTTCACCTTAGAATGAATATCTTGACAGGCCCCACACCACTGGACCCTAGAAATTTTACTGAGGTAGAAGGTCCCTGAAATTTAGTCAGATTTGTTTCCCATCCTCTGTCATGCAAATGTCTCACAAATTAAGTCCAGTGTGTTTGCTACTTTTTGCTCACTGGATTCAATCAGCATAATGTCATAAATGTAAATGACCAGTGTGATATCTTGTGGAAGCGAAAAGTTATCAAGGTCTCTCTGAAAAAGATTACGACACAAAGCGGGAGAGTTGATACACCCCTGAGGTAGGACAGTAAAGGTATATTGCTGGCCTTACCAGCTGAAGGCAAATTGCTTCTGGTGGGCCTTATGGACAGGAATGGAGAAAAAGGCATTTGCCAAGTCAATGGGTGCATAGCAGGTACCAGGAGATGTGTTAATTTGCTCAAGCAATGAAACCACATCTGGTATAGCAGCTGCAATTGGAGTCACCACTTGATTAAGCTTATGACAAACCACTGTCATTCTCCAAGATCCATCTGTCTTTTGCACAGTGTCTACTGGCAAGGCTGTGCATGTACCTTTTGTTGCAGGTCAGCCACTTGCATGATAAGAGTTTCTGTCTGTTTTTCCAAAATTTCAGCTCATTTTCTACAAGAGATAAGACCCTTATCCAGGACAATCTTAGAAGATATGAGGCTCAGTATCTGCTTCTGAAGTCAGAAGTTAGAATCCCTGAGTTCATCATTTTCTTTCATCACTTTGTCCACTAAACTTACGGGCAACCAACCAGCTTCATTAATGTTCTTTAGTTCTCCACATATGGTCAAAGTTATGATGTATGGAGTCACTAAACTCCTTGCCTCTCATGAGTGGTGAATCAGGAGTGTCAAATGCATTTATTTTGCATAACTCTCTAAACATTTCACACCAAGGACTATCAGTATTCTTCATACTATTAGAAGTAGAGTCCTTAGCATTTTTGTGTCTAATCTTATTAAGCAGCCAACTCCAGCATCCCAAAAACCAACTAAAGAACCCTATCCTTAATTTTCTGTTTCTCTAGAACCACCACCCCTTGTACCAAAATCTGTATTAGTCAGGGTTCTCTAGAGGGACAAAACTAATGGGATATATATATATATATATATATATATATATATATATATATGATATATATCTGTCTCTAGAGGGACAGAACTAATGGGATATATATATTTTATATATATGTATATATATATATGAGTTTATTAAGTGTTAACTCACATGATCACAAAGTCCCACAATAGGTCATCAGCAAGCTGAGGAGCAAGGAGAGCCAATCTGAGTCTCCAAACTGAAGAACTTGGAGTCTGATGTTCAAGGGCAGGAAGAATCTGGCACAGGAGAAAGATGTAGGCTGGGAGGCTAGGCCAGTCTAGTCTTGTCACATTTTTCTGCCTGCTTTATATTCTAGCCATGCTGGCCGCTGATTAGATGGTGCCCACCCAAATTAAGGGTAGGTCTGCCTTTCCTAGCCCACTGTCTGTGGCAACACCCTCACAGACACACTCAGGATCAATACTTTGCATCCTTCAATCCAATCAAGTTGACACTCAGTATTAACCATCACAGACAACAGCAGGTTTTGCTTTCCTTGCCCCACTGGCGTATGTGTGTGCACCCTGCGCTGCCACCACTGAGGCAGGAGTACAGTTCATCCCTTCTCACCACCGCTGAATGCCATTGCAGTTAGAGCCTTGGCAGGCACAGAGCCTGCCAGCCCCACCCCTGCCAGCCCCCTGCCCTGTGCCAATACTGCCACAGGAGTCAAACTAGGCACAGAGAACAGTAGACCCTCCCCTGCCTTGAGTGACCACCCCTGACTGTGGTGCACAGACGACACATACAGACCTGCACCTGCGAGTTTCCTGCCCCCATGCCAACACCACCACCAGTGTGACCACAGAGTTGCCAGCAGGGGCCCCCTGCTTCCCTGAGCCATGCTGCTTCCACCACTGTGGTGAACAGCTGCACAGAGGCAGGCACCCCAGTACCTGCTAGCACCCTGCTGCAACCAATAAGTGTGCACCCTGCTGCACTGCCACTGCCACCGCTGCTGCCATGCGCAAAGAAGGATGGATCCCATTGTCACCATACTATAAAACATTGTAGCTGACACCACCCATTAGAGTGTAGTGACCAGTGGTCCAGGAGCACTTCAGCACCCCTGGCACAATGGATTCCAAACCTTGAGGAGCCAGAGAACAAAGTTGCGGCCGAAGACAAGTCCCCCAGAGTTAGAGTACACAGTCCAGGAGTTGGAAACTGAGTGTCAGTCCCCTAAAATAGTCCAGAAATGAAGCCAGTTGGCCAAATGCACCTTATACCATAATCGAACCCCCAAGGTTATCAAGTAGGATAAAAGAAAAAAATCCAAAGGTCAGCAACTTCAAAATTGAAGGAACATAAGCCCGTAAGAGGGGAAACAATCAGCAGAATTCTGACAACTCAAACATCCAGACTGCCTTCTTTCCTGCAAATGGCCACACCACCTCTCCAGGAAGGGTTCTGAACCAGGCTGAGATGGCTGAAATGACAGAAATAGAATTCAGAATATAGACAGGAATAAATATCATTGAGATGCAGGGTACATTGAAACCCATTTCAAGGAAGCTAAGAATCACAATAAAATGAGACAGGAGCTGAGAGACAAAATAACCAGTATAGAAAAGAACATAACTAACCTGACAGAGCTGAAAAGCACACTACAAGAATTTTATAATGTAAGCACAAGTATTAATAGCAGAACAGACCAAGCAGAAGAAAGAATATCCACAGCTTGAGGACTGAAATTAGGCTTTCTGAAATAAGACAGTCAGACAAGACTAGAGAAAAAAGAATGAAAAGGAATGAATGAAACCTCTGAGAAATATGGGATAATATAAAGATACCAAATCTACTACTCATTGGTGTCCCTTAAAGAGATGGGGATAATGCAAACAACTTGGAAAACATATCAGGATAACATCCACGAGAACTTACCCAACCTAGCTAGAAAGGCAAACATTCAAATTCAGGAAATGCAGATAACCCCAGTAAGATATTTCACAAGAAGATCATTCCCAAGACACATAATCATCAGATTCTTCAAGTTTGAAATGAAAGAAAAAAATGTTAAAGGCAGCTAGAGAGAAAGGTTAGGTCACCTACAAAGGGAAGCCCATCAGACTAACAGTGGACCGCTCAGCAGAAATCTTACAAGCCAGAAGAGATTGGGGGCCAATATTCAACACGACTGAAGAAAAGAAATTTTAAACTAGAATTTCATATCCAGCCAAAACAAAGCTTCATAAGTGAAGGGATCCTTTTCAGACAAGCAAATACTGAGGGAATTTGTTACCGCCTTACAAGAGTTCCCAAAGAAAGCATTAAATTTAGAAAGGAAAGACCATTACTGGCCACTAAGAAAACACACTTAAGTACACAGACCAGTGTCACTATAAAGCAACTACATAAACAAGTCTGTATAATAACCAGCTAACATCATGATGACAGGATCAGATCCACAAATGTCAATAGTAACCTTGAATGTAAATAGGCTAAATGTCACCAGTTAAAATGTACAGAGTGGAAAGCTGAATAAAGAACCAAGACCCATTGGTATGTCATCTTCAAGAGACCCACCTCACATGCAATGACACACATGGGTTCAAAATATAAAGGGATGGAGAAAAATCTACCAAGCAAATGGAAAACAGAAAAAAGCAGGGGTTACAATCCTAATTTCAGACAAAACAGACTTTAAACCAACGAAGATAAAAAAAAAAAAAAAAGACAAAGAAGGGCATTACATAATGGTAAAGGGTTCAATTCAAGAAGACCTAACTATCCTAAATATATATGTAACCAACACAAGAGCATCCAGATTCATAAAACAAGTTCTTAGAGAACGTCAAAGAAACTTAGACTCCTACACAATAATAGTGGGAGACTTTAATAACCTACTGACAGTATTAGATCAGCAAGGCAGAAAATTAACACATATATTCAGGACCTAAACTCAGCACTGGATCAAATGAATCTGATAGACATCTACAGAACTCTCCAACCAAAAACAGAATATACATTCTTCTCATTGCCACATAGCACATACTCTAAAATCAATCACATAATCAGACATAAAACACTCCTCAGCCAATGCAAAATAACTGAAACCATAACAACCACTCTTTCAGACCATAGTGCAATCAAATTAGAAATCAAGACTATGAAATTCACTCAAAACCACAATTTTATGGAACTCAAGTAATGTGCTACTGAATAACTTTTAGGTAAATAATGAATTCACGGCAGAAATAAAGAAGCTCTTTGAAACTAATGAGAACAGAGATACTACATACCAGAATCTCTGGGACACAGATAAAGCAGTGTTAAAAGGAAAATTTATAGCACTAAATGCCCACATCAAAAAGTTAGAAAGGTCTCAATTTAACAACCTAACATCACAACTACAAGAATTAGAGAACCAAGAGAAAACCAACCCCAAAGCTAGCAGAAGACAAGAAATAACCAAAATTAGAGCTGAACTGAAGGAGACTGAGATACAATAAACCATCAAAAGATCAATGAATCCAGGAGTTGTTTTTTTTTTTAAATAGACCACTAGCTAGACTAATAAAGAAGAAAAAAGAACATTCAAGTAAACATAATTAGAAACAACAAAGGGGATATTACTACTGACCCCACAGAAATACAAATAACCATCAGATAATATTATGAACACCTCTATGCACATAAACTACAAAATCTAGAGGAAATGGGTAAATTTATGAACAAATATACCCTTTTAAGACTGAACCATGAAGAAATTGAATTCCTCTACAGACCAATAACAAGCTACAAAATTGATCAGTGATGAATAGCCTACCAACCAAAAAGAGCCTATGACTAGACGGATTCACAGCTGAATTCTACCAGACGTACAAAGAAAAGTTGGTACCATTCCTGCTGAAAATATTTCAAAAAATGAGGAGGAGGGACTCCTCCCTAACTCATTCTATGAGGCTAGCATCATCCTGATACGAAAACCTGGCAGAGACACAACAAAAAAAGAAAACTTCAGGCCAATATCCTTGATGAACATTGATGCAAAAATCCTCAGCAAAATACTGGCAAACCAAATCCAGCAGCACATCAAAAAGCTTATCCACCACAATCAAGTAGGTTTTATCTCTGGGATGCAAGGTTGGTTCAACATACACAAATCAGCAAATGTGAATCATCACAAACAGAACTAAAAACCAAAAAAAAAAAAAAAAACCAACATTATCTCAATAGATGCAGAAAAAGCTTTTGATAAAATTCAACAACTCTTCATGCCACAAACTCTCAATAAACTAGGTATTGAATAAACATACATCAAAATAATGAGTCATCTATGAAAAACCCACAGCCAACATCATACTGAATGGGTAAAAGCTGGAAGTATTCCCCTTGAAAATCAGCACAAGACAAGGATGCCCTCTCTCACCACTCCTATTCAACATAGCACTGGAAGTCCTGGCCAGAGCAATCAGGCAAGAGAAAGAAATAAAGGGCTTCCAAATAGGAAGCAAGGAAGTCAAACTATCCCTGTTTGCAGACAACATGATCCTATGTTTAGAAAATCCCATAGTCTCAACCCAAAAGCTCCTTCCGTTGATAATTTCCACAAATTCTCAGGATACAAAATCAATGCACAACAATTACTAGCATTCCTATACACCAACAACAGTCACACCAAGAGCCACATGAGGAATGCAATCCCATCCACAAAATGAGATTGCCATAAAAAGAATAAATACCTAGGAATACAGCTAAACAGGGATGTGAAAGATCTCTACAAGAAGAACTACAAAACACTGCTAGAAGGAATCAAAGATGACACAAACAAATGGAAAAACACTCCATGCTCATGGATAGGAAGAATCAATATTGTTAAAATGGCCATACTATCCAAAGCAATTTACAGATTCAATGCTATTCTTATTAAACTACCAATGACATTCTTCAGAGAACTAGAACAAAACTATTTTAAAATTCATATGGAACCTAAAAGAGCCTGAATAGCCATGTTAATCCTCAGCAAAAAGAACAAAGCTGGAGGCATCATGCTACCCAACTTCAAACTATACTACAATGCCATGGTAACCCAAACAGCATGGTATTGGTACAAAAACAGACACAAAGACCAATGTAACAGAATACAGAGCCTGGAAATAAGGCTGCACACCTTTAACCATCTGATCTTTGACAAAGCTGACAAAAACAAGCAATGAGGAAAGGAATCTTTATTCAAATAAATAGTGCTAGGATAACTGAGTAGCTATATGCAGAAGATTGAAACTGGACCCCTTCCTTACACCATACACAAAAATTAACTCAAGATATATTGAAAACTTAAAAGTAAAACTGAAAACCATAAAAACCCTGGAAGACAACCTAGGCAATACCATTCTGGATGTAGGAACGGGCAAAGGTTTCATAATGAAGACACCAAAAACAATTGCAACAAAAGAAAAAATTGACAAATGGGTTCAATTAAACTACAGAGCTTCTACTCAGCAGTAGAAACTATCAACAGAGTAAACAGACAACCTACAGAATGGAGAAAATTTCTGCAAGCTATGCATCTGACAAAGGTCTAATATCTATGGGGAATTTAAACAAAATTAAACAAATTTACAAGAAGAAACAACCCCATTAAAAGTAGATAAAGGACATGAACACTTTTCAAAAGAAGATATACATTTGGCCAATAAGCATATAAAAAGAAGCTCATCACTGATCATTAGAGAAATGCAAATCAAAACCATAATGAGATACCATCTCACACCAATCAGAATGGCTATTTTAAAAAGTCAAAAAATAACAGATGCTGGTGAGGTTGTGGAGAAAAGTGAATGATTTTACACTATTGGTGGGAGTAAGTTCAGCCATTGTGGAAAACAGTGTTGCAACTCCTCAAAGACCTAAAAACAGAAATAATATTCAACCCCACAATCCTATTACTAGATATATACCCAAAGGAACATAAATTGTTCTATCATAAAGACACATGCATGCATAGCACATGGAATCAACCTAAATGTCTATCAAAGGTACACTAGATAAAGAAAATGTGGTACATATACACCATGGAATACTATGCAGCCATAAAAAAAGAACAAGATCATGTCCTTTGCAGGACCATGGATGGAGCTGGAGGCCATTATCCTTAGCAAAGTAACACAGGAATGGAAAACTAAATACAACCTGTTCTAACATATAAGTGGGATCTAAATAAAGAGAACACATGGACACTGAGGGGAACAACAGACACTGGGGCCTATTGGTAGATGAAGAGGCCCCCGAGGAGGGAGAGGATCATGAAAAATAACTAATGGGTACGAGGCTTAATACCCAGGTAATGAAATAATCTGTACAACAAACCCCCATGATACAAGTTTACCTACAAAGCAAACTTGCACATGTACACCTGAACTTAAAAGTCAAAAAATTAAATTAAATTAAATTGTAAAATGTTATCTTTTTTTTAAGATAGGAGAAATAATTGTAGGCAGTTGGGTGCAATGATTCACACCTGTAATCCTAGCACTTTGGGAGGCTGAGGGGGGCGGATCATGAGGTCAGGAGTTCAGGACCAGCCTGGGCAACATGGTGAAACCCTGTCTCTACTAAAAATACAAAAATTAGCCAGGCATGGTGGCGGGTGCCTATAATCCCAGCTACTCTGGAGGCTGAGGCAGGAGAATTGCTTGAACCTGGGAGGTGGAGGTTGCAGTGAGCTGAGATTGTGCCATTGCACTCCAACCTGGGCAACAAGAGCAAAACTCTGTCAAAAAGAAAAAGGAAAAGGAAAAGGAAAAAAGAGAGAAAGGAGAGAAAGAAAGGAGAGACAAGAGAGAAAGAAAGGAGAGACAGGAGAGAAAGAAAGGAGAGACAGGAGAGAAAGGAGAGAAAGGAGAGAAAGAAAGAAGAGAAAGAAAGAAAAAGAAAGAAAGAAAAAATGAAAGAAAGGAAGAAAAAGAAAGAGAAAGAAAGAAAAAGAAAGAAAAAAATGAAAGAAAGGAAGAAAGAAAGAAAAAGAAAGAAGAGAAAGAAAAGTAGACTTGAGTGCTGATGGGAGTGATTCAGTAGAGAGTGCAAAAAACATTGATGGGTCTAGAGAGAGGTGAAGAATTGCTGGAGTGCCACCCTTCAGTAGGTGACTCAGGGTGGGATCAAGTGTATAGACAGAGGAACTTGCTTTATATGGGGACATAGAATGCAAATCTTACAGTAGTAGGCAGGAAGGTAAAATGTGTAAACTACATGTGCAGATACTGATGGGTAGAAAGATGTGGTGGGATTCTGGTGAAGTTCTCCCATGACTGCTTCAATTTTTTGTGTGAAACTGGAGGCAAGGTCTTCACTGGCAGATATTTACTTTTAATCATGTCATACCTACTTTCATGTTGACTACAACTTTGAGGCTAGAGAAGGAGGAATGCCTTCCCACAAGAGATTATATTTAGCTGAACTGTGGGGATGGGAGTAGGGGTGCAGGGCTCCCATGCATAAAAGCAGGCAAGCCTAATGGAACATTGGTCAATTTTTTCTGCCACTAAAGCACAGAGTGCATGTTTGGACAGAGATGGGAGAGGAGGCTGGAATGGTATTTAGGGCCAGATCACGTGATAACTTCAACACAATTCAATATCTAATAGATAGTGATAATAAGGGGAGTAAAATAATACAATTTTCACTTTACAAACATAATTTGTTGGTCTCATGGTAAATGAATACCAGTGGAAAGAGAGATGCAAGTCAGGAAAATGGGTTAAGAAAATACTGCATTTGTGCAAATGGAATGTGTTGAGGACATAAATGAAGGCAGCAAGAGAGGAACAGCACAAAACGAAGAGAATTCATTGAGATATACGCAGTAGAAAAGATGCAAACTGGTAGCTATTTGAAGGTGGTGAAAGAAAAGAAGTCATCCAGGATGAGAAGGTCCCTAAATTAGGTTACTAAGTGGATGGTGGAGACATTGACTATGGTTAAGGTTGAAAATACAATTCGAAGAGAAAGTTGGAGATAGGGAAGAAAAAATGAGTTTGGTTTTAGACATTTGACCCCAAAGTGCTTTGAAGTCATCCACAACAATAGCAGATTTCACAGAAGAGAGTTGGGCTTAAGTAGACTTAAGTATTGGAAACATCAATGTACAGTTGAGAGCACCCAGAAGAAATTACAGAATGAACCAAGAAATACAAGAGGCATATCAACAGTTAAAAGGGAGAAGTATCAATAAAGGGAACAGGAAGAAATGGCCAGGGAGGAAGAGAAGAACCAAATAAGGTGATGTCACGGAACTCAAGGAAAAGAGAGTTTTAGAAGGTGGGTGTGGGGTCAGGGGCAGTGGCTCGCGCCTGTAATCCCAGCACTTTGGGAGGCTGAGGTGGGCAGATCACTTGAGGTCAGGAGTTCAAGACAAGCCTGGCCAACATGGCAAAACCTTGTCTCTACTCAAAATACAAAAATTAGCTGGGCATGCTAGTGCATGCCTGTAATTCCAGCTACTCAGGAGGCTGAGGCATGAGAATCGCTTGAACCCAGGAGACAGAGGTTGCAACCACTGCACTTCAGTCTGGGTGATGGAGTGACTCTGCCTTAAAATAAATAAATAAATAATAAAATAAAATAATAAAATAAAAGAAGGTGGGTGTGGTGGGGATAAGGGAGTTTAATACTATCAATCACAAAGTGAGGTTTGTCCATCAGAAAACACAGCGATCACACCAGCAGAAGCAATCCAAACAGAGTTGTGGAGAGTATTCACTTACAGCATTCCCAGATCTGAACAGGCTTTTCTCTAATTCTTCATTCACCCTGAGGTTTAAATAGCTGAAAATGGCTTAAAGCTTCCCTTGGAATGAAAGAAGAAATGCACTGAGGTCACACATTATTGAGCCAATATAGGTGGGCTTGGTGGAAGGGGATGAGAGACTAGAGGCTTTCCTGGAGCTCGTAACATCACACCATTGCTCACTATGTAGTGGCTCTTCCATTGTCAGATGTAGCTAGGCAGGCGGAGTGTTTCAGTGTGTTGGTGCTGCTTACAATGATTGCTGTCTGTTTATGGGTTTGTGGCCAAAAAGACTAATGTGTGGCCAGCCTCCTTCCCATGCTGGGCACATGTGCATATTGATGTGTGCTTGGCAGACGTATTCATGATTTGCACAGCCTGTTGTAATTTTCCTCTTATGTTCACAATCACTCTGTGGGTTTTACTCAAAAATAGCTATATCATTCCTTGGAGTTGTGTTCCAAGACTGCCTCTCTGTGCTATATTTTTTCTCATAATCACCAAAGGTGATTCTTTCATGCTTTATGGTTTCCAAAGCAAGTCCACATTCAATATATTTTATTCCAGACTCACAACAACTTTGAGAGATAGTTGAGTAGTTGTTAATATTATTTCTCTTTTATGTATGAGAAATCCAGCCTCAAGGAAATAAAATAATTTAATGAAATTCAAACAGTTAATATTTGGAAACAATAATAGTAGCTAATTCTGCTACTGCATTTACCCTGTACCAGCACTGTTCTATACAGTCTACATATTAACTTATATTGTAACTTATATAATCCTTTCAATAACCCTGCAACAGAGATGTCATTATTACCATATTTTATAGATGCAAAAACTCTGGCACAAACAAGATACATGCAGTAGAATAGAAGCAAACTCTTAGTTATTTGAATTTGGAGGATAAAAGGAAAGAAATCCTCCAGGATATGAAGATCCCTAACTTACATTACTAACTGGATGGTGGAAGAGATCTTGACTATTGTCGATAAGGTTGGAAACACAATTATAAGAGAAAGTTGGGGGTAGGGAGGAAAAAGGGAGATTGGTGTTACTTGTCTAAACTAATGAGTAATATAAGATGGATTCAAATTCAAGTAGTCTTATTTTCAAACCAGCTATACTGTCCTTGATCCTTACTTCCAACTAAACCATAGTATTTTCCATATTGTATGGTCTTGGGCTTAACATAGCAATAAAGTGTTTCATATAGCACTTGCTGCTTGAGGTAATCTACTTTATCTAATTCCTCGAAAGTCACCTCAAATTCTACTTTTTCATTTTCCATATATATCAAGTCCAACAGAAGTGTAATAAGATAAGCAATATCTAATTTATATATATGTATATATTTTTATTATACTTTAAGTTCTAGGATACATGTGCACAATGTGCAGGTTTGTTACATATGTATACATGTGCCATGTTGGTGTGCTGCACCCATTAACTCGTCATTTACATTAGGTATATCTCTTAATGCTATCTCTCCCCACTCCCCCCACCCCATGACAGGCCCCAGCGTGTGATGTTCCCCTTCCTGTGTCCAAGTGTTCTCATTGTTCAATTCCAACCTATGAGTGAGAACACGTGGTGTTTGGTTTTTTGTCCTTGTGATAGTTTGCTGAGAATGATGGTTTCCAGCTTCATCCATGTCCCTACAGAGGACATGAAATCATCATTTTTTATGGCTGCATAGTATTCCATGGTGTATATGTGCCACATTTTCTTAATCCAGTCTATCATTGTTGGACATTTGGGTTGGTTCCAAGTCTTTGCTATTGTGAGTAGTGCCGCAGTAAACATATGTGTGCATGTGTCTTTATAGCAGCATGATTTATATTCCTTTGGGTATATACCCAGTAATGGGATTGCTGGGTCAAATGGTATTTCTAGTACAAGATCCTTGAGGAATTGCAACACTGACTTCCACAATGGTTGAGCTAGTTTACAGTCCCACCAACAGTGTAAAAGTGTTCCTATTTCTCCACATCCTCTCCAGCACCTGTTGTTTCCTGACTTTGTTTCCTCACACCTTTGTTTCCTCACACCATTCTAACTGGTGTGAGATGGTATCTCACTGTGGTTTTGATTTGCATTTCTCTGACTGCCAGTGATGATGAGCATTTTTTCATGTGTCTGTTGGCTGCATGAATGTCTTCTTTTGAGAAGTGTCTGTTCACATCCTTTGCCCACTTTTTGATGGGGTTGTTTGTTTTTTCTTGTAAATTTGTTTGAGTTCTTTGTAGATTCTGGATATTAGCCCTTTGTCAGATGGATAGATTGCAAAAATTTTCTCCCATTCTGTAGGTTGCCTGTTCACCTGATGGTAGTTTCTTTTGCTGTGCAGAAGCTCTTTAGTTTAATTAGATCCCATCTGTCAATTTTGGCTTTTGTTGCCGTTGCCTTTGGTGTTTTAGACATGAAGTCCTTGCCCATGCCTATGTCCTGAATGGTATTGCCTAGGTTTTCTTCTAGGGTTTTTATGGTTTTAGGTCTAACATTTAAGTCTTTAATCCATCTTGAATTAATTTTTGTATAAGGTGTAAGGAAGGGATCCAGTTTCAGCTTTCTACATATGGCTAGCCAGTTTTCCCAGCACCATTTGTTAAATAGGGAATCCTTTCCCCATTTCTTGTTTTTGTCAGGTTTCATATGGAACCAAAAAAGAGCCTACATTGCCAAGTCAATCCTAAGCAAAAAGAACAAAGCTGGAGGCATCAGGCTGCCTGACTTCAAACTATACTACAAGGCTACAGTAACCAAAACAGCATGGTACTGGTACCAAAACAGAGATATAGACCAATGGAACAGAACAGAGCCCTCAGAAATAATACCACACATCTACAACTCTCTGATCTTTGAGCAATATCTAATTTTTAAGACCTTGTTCTTTCCATCAAATGTTTAGTACCACTCAAAGAACTCAAAGTTGCTTGAGATGCTGGTTTTGAAATTTGAGGTAGTCTCAGAGCTCAGTCCTATGTGGGTTTTCTGTTTCTCACTTTCTTTCCTTTTCTTTTCTCTTTGATTTATAGCATTTTCCAGCTTCCATGGTGTAAATACTTACATTATTGCTTATTTCCATCTACCAACATGATGTCTACCACCTTGTGAAATTCCTGAAAGTTTAATTATCAGCTTTAATGCTATCTTAAGTGCTTTTTAGATAACACACTTAAAACTCCTGTCAACATCCTTGTAAGGAATATTCCATTTATTAGCAATGTTTTACAGATGAGAAAACTGAGGTATAAAAAGTAACTTGCTCAAAATCAAATGGGTACCAAGTGGCAGATAAGGACTTGGGCATGGGTGTAGCTTTCCCCTGCTCTTTTCTGCTATGCTATACTGCCAGCCTCAGACATGGGGGTGACCTTTCAGCTTCATTCTGTCTCTAAAAAAGAAGACAAAACTTCAGCCATTGATTCCAAAGTTCCCTACCTGGTTTTCTAGCCTCCCATCTCTCCATTCCATCTTAAAGGCTACTGACAAAACTCTTTCTAAAGAAAAGAGCTGAACATATAAATCCCCTGCTCAAATGTCTTCAGTTTGCTACTACATATGGGATAAAACACAAATTCCTCATCTGCGTACTCATGTCCTCTGTGATCAACTCTAAATGCCCCTTTTTTAAAATCTTTGTTATGGCTCCCCCTGAAAGTTTCATCTGTTTCAAATATACCAAATTAATTGTGATTTCTAACAAGCCATGTGCTCTGTTGCGTTCACTGAATGCTCATCTCTCCACTAAATTCCTACTATCTTTGAAGGTCCTGTGCAAATGCCACTTTCTCTCTTACAGAGAGAAAGATGGTAGGATCTTTGTAAGGTCCTCCCACATGCCCCCAGTGGGAATAATTTTTTTCTGCTTCCCAACTGTCCCACTACATGTGGCATGTCACACCTCTATTATAGCACTTACAACAATATGTTTTTATTATAGTTATATTCTACAGAGTGGGAAATATGTCTGTCTACCCTACAGTAGAATGAGTCTTTGAGAGCGGGGGCATGATCCATTCCTCTTTATATCTTTCCCACAGATCCTAGGAGAGTGTCTTGCTAATAGCAAGAGCTGAATAAATATGTGAATTTCATTGCTACATGGGATCAATGAAAATCTAAGTTTGGTGTAAACTGAGTATCCATTCTCATCTTTTCCAGATCATGGTGTACTATCCACCCTAGGTCATTCCCTGAGGACAGTAGTGTCGGCTTCCTCAGTCAACTAGGGAAGCAGCTTGGGGAAGCAACTAAGACAGTCAACTAAGGAAGCAACAAAACACCTGTACTGTGGCCAAAATGGGGCACATTTGTAGAAGATCAGCAGCTGGCCAGGGGAAGTCCCATTTTAGTTCTGAGTCTTGGTCCTCTCCTCTTCCAATGACCTGAGGTGGTAATGATGCCTTCCACTGCCATCCTCTTCCTGGTCACAGACACAGGCACCTCCAAGACTGCAATTCCATTCTATAAGGTGGGATCTTCCACCTCATGAACTCAAAGCCTAAAATATCTTTGTCCACCCCACCCCTCCTTTGTGTCTCTGCTATCTCACTTTAAAGCCTACAAAAGGAAAACAGACCCATGTGTCCACCCTCCTAAGATGCACAGTCACCTGAAAAGTCAATACTCCCTACCTACATGGCAAGATAAGTAGAGTTGATAGAGTGCCTCAAAGGACTCTCAGGCATGATCAAGGTGAGTTTCTGGGACTATTCCGGATAGACCATGAAAGAAAAACAATAGCTCCACTTCAATTGTGCACTCACCAATCCAATTCCCAGCAGGCATCTCTCTGTATTAATATCTCAACAGCAGGACTATTGGTATTTGGGGCTGGGTAATTCTTTGTTGTAGGGTCAATTCCATGCATTATATTAGGTTGGTGCAAAAGTAATAGGATATTTAGCAGCATTCTGAGCCTCTACCCACTAGATGCCTATAGCACCCCCTCCCTCAGTTGTTACAACTGAAAATGTCTCCATATCTTGTCAAATATCCCTTGGGTGACAAAATTTCCCCCAGTTGAGAACCATCAATGTAAGGCTTTCCTGGCACAAATTGCCACATATGTGACCCCTGTAAGGCTGAGATTCCACTGGTCTCAGCTCCAGCCCTCCAACTGGCAGCCCACAATCAGCTACATATCATCTTTGGGATTAGTGTCCATAGTTCAGCCCCTGGCATGTGGATGTTCCTGGATGGCTGCCTCCACCATGGGTGGCAAGGCTGTCAACTGCAATGCTGGACGTAATTCCCAATGGAACAGAAGGTGAGAGGGGTGTGTCTCCAGTAGATGTTTTGTCCAGGTTGGGTACTATTCCTTTGAGAAGTCTCTGTCTCTGGGGCTGGAACTCTGAACCAGAGTCCAGCAATGGGCCCAATGAAGTGGGGCAAATGAGGTCAACCCCGAGGCTCTTTTTCTAATTGGACTGCATTTCTTTGTAGAGAATAGTTTTGAAAGGATTTCATTTTATGGAATCTTACCCTAATTTCAAGCAACACAAGACATCCTCCTCAGCTGCTTTAAGAAAACTCCTCAACAGGCCAATAAAGCATTTGGGTTAATATATAGCATATATTATTTTATTGTGAAATTCCCATCCTCTTTCAACTACTCACACACACACATACTTTTTTTAACCCAAGTTCTTCTTTTCCTTTTTGAAAGGCTTAATACATGTTTGTAAATGAAAATATCTCGTCATTAATTATAAGAAAGTACAGAAAACGTTCACAAATCTCTCAATAACTTGTTTTTCTGTAAAAGGTAAAAGGACAAGTTTATATTATATTGGTGCTCAGAACATTTCTTTATGAAGCTTTTCCTTGGTGTTAAATGGCCTAAAGTACCATATGTTTCTTAATAAAAAGCCATGTAAAAACCTAAATTAATAAACTGAACTCAAAGAAAAGTTGCCCCAAGACGGCTCTAACTAAGCCTTTTTATGGGCTTGCCAACAATTTCAAGATTGTTTTAATGAAAAAAATTTATGTTCCTGTCTTTGTGGACCACAGCACACCAATTCCCTCCAACCCCCACCTCATTTACCCCCACCCCACTCCCCAGGCCCAGCCAATACTCCAGTGCCCTACAGAAGAGGTCACTCATACCTTGGCAAGCAGTTCACTAGAAGGGCTGAGCCATCTGGAAGCCCCTTAGTGTGTGCACATGCACACACACACGCACACCCCTTGAGTGTGCACATGCACACACACACACATGCACACGTGGCCAAGCAGCCACTTCCAAGTCGTCTCCTGCTGACATTTCCAGGCACCACACTGCTACCTCCATGCCCACTCCTTCCTCTCCTGGGGCCATATCATGCAGAGTAAGCAGAGCTGGCTCTATGGCCCAGAGACTTTTACAGGGAGAATTCCTTGGAGCCCAGCCTAAGGAACCATCAGCATGTTTCCAGATTTCATGTTTCTCAATGTGTTGGAGGGAAGAGAGCATAGCCTTCAGACCAATATTCTTCATTCTAGATTGTGATTGCTTATTTGTTTGCTAATCTGTTACTGAAGGGTAAATTCCTTGAAAGTGGGATTGTAATTTGTTGATCAAACGTAGTGCATAGCATAATGCCTGGCTTGTCAATAGGCCTTCAATCTATACACATTAGTTTGATTACTTTCAAACTACAGTTTAGCCATGTACTGGTTATAAGTTAATAATATTTAAATGAATGAATGAAAAAGAATATGTCAAGTAACTGCTACATGTAACTACTATGTGACAGACGTTAATAAAGGATGGTTACTGTCTTAGTCCATTTTTGCTGCTATAACAAAATACCTGAGACTGAGTAATTTATAGGGAACAGAAATTTATTTCTCACAGTTCTGGAAGCTGGGAAGTACAAGATCAAGGCACCAGCAGGCTTGGTATCTGGTGAGAGCCCAGTCTGTGCTTCCAAGATGGTGCCTTGAATGCGACATCTTCTAGGGGGGTAACAAATGCTGTCTCTTCACATTGTGGAAGGGCAGAAAGGGCAAAAGTTCCTGGCTATTTCCCTCTAGGCCTTTAATAAGGCACTAATCCCATCTATGAGGGTGGAACCCTCATGACCTAATCACCCCCAAAAGGCCCCACCTCTTGATACTGTTGCATTGGGAGTTAAATTTCAGCATGAATTTTGTGGGGGACACAAACACTCAAACTTAGCAGCCACCTGTATTTTTAATACTATTATTAATGCTACTATGTGCACTTGAGGCAATTTACCCTCTCTAAACTTCCGCTCTTTCATCCATAAAATGTTTTATAATGCATGCTTCCTTACTAGGTTACCATGAGGAGGATTAAGAGGTCCCTAGTAGGTGCTCAATAAAAGGTTGATTCTTCTAGTTCTCTTTTCACAGTAGAAGTAATGACCACTGTGCTCTCTGCCAACCATCTGAGTAGATCACCACAGCTCCCTTGTTCAACATTTGACATAACACTGCTATAACTCTTCAAAAGGAAGATGAAATTCCACAGCAGTCTCCTTCCCCTGTCTTATAGAGAGCAGATAGAAGGAATCACCCTGGCT
The DNA here is from genome assembly GCF_000001405.40 of Homo sapiens. Classification (NCBI taxonomy): domain Eukaryota; kingdom Metazoa; phylum Chordata; class Mammalia; order Primates; family Hominidae; genus Homo; species Homo sapiens. The sequence continues at coordinate 95,888,131 of NC_000008.11, forward strand.
TAGGAGAAATACAGGGCAAATTTATGAAAATGTCTATTATTCATACAGTCACTCTTCTTTTTTCATTTTTTCTTCTGCTGTTTTTTTTAATCTTTCTGACTCTTAATACATTTCTTTTTGCAAAATGCTAGCTTGTTTTTACATAGTTAATGAGAAAAAGAAAGCACTATTAACTCTCTAGTTTTGCAAAGACAGCAGGATATTGTTTAAGACTTGGTATCTGAGGGTGAACTTTCCTTGGAGTGGGAGTGAAAATGGAAACATTGGACTACTGTTGGGTGTGGCGTCTCTTCCCACCTGTAACTATAACCCTAATAAAACAAGCAAAGACACCTGGGGCTTTTTTTTAATCTGTGGGAAGATTTTTGTATCTTGGATTTTTAAAAACATTTTCATCTCTTACAGGTTTGTCATATAGAAAAAAAATGCAAGTATGTGCTCTTGGCTGGTCACAGACAGACAGTCAAGATAATGGACAGCAGTCATAAGGATGAAATTCTAGGCCTTTATAGAAAGAACATGCCAGCGATTAGAATGTTGTAATAAAAGAAAGGAGCTGGCTAGAAGGCAGTGAGCTCATCACCCCTGGAAACGTGAAAGCAAAGATTGCATAACCTGATCAGAGGTGCCACCGAAGAAAGTCTCCCTTTGAGTGGGGACTTGAACTAGATGACGTGTAACAAAATTGTAGATTTTTTGCCCCTGTGCTTAATATTATATAAAGTTGTTCTTATTTCTGACTTTCCATAGCTACCCAAACTGAGTGAATGTATATACTTTTTGCTATAATCACACCTAAGGAGCTCAATATCAAGTTGGTTTCTATCTCAACAAATGCCACCTGGCCAGGATGGAAAACGTCTTTCAGACAAGGGACTTTTATAGCTAAGGCCTTATTCTCCTAGCCCCCTTGTCTTGCCTGGCCAAAGTTACCTTTTTTTCTTCTCCTTTTATCATCAGACTAGTTTTCTCCCCTCTCTGGTTTTCATCTATGTGAAAAGGTTCTGACCCTTGACTTCTCTTGACTCCAGGTCCCTGCACATGCCCTGATTTTTGTTTGTCTGCTTGGTGTCTGAATTTCTGCTTTTCCTAGATCTTAATTTATATTTGTGCCCAATTCCTAACTACCTGAAAACTCGCTATGATGGTTAAGTGACTGAGCTCTGCATTAGGCTGGGTTCAAATTCTGTTTCTTGCTAACTGGCACACTCTGGGAAAGTTGCTTTATTCTGGACAAGTTACTTTATTTTTCTTTATGCTTTGTTTTTCTTAACTATTAAAAAAATAATTATAGTACCTATGTAACGGAGGATTGGCACACAGTCTATGACCAATAAATGTTACCACAATTATGATTTGATGAAGACCCCAATTTAGCCTATATTCTCTGGTCCCAGCTTCCTAATTCTCTCAGTTATGACACATTAACCACTATCCCAATACAGACAAAATCTTAATTTAGGCTTCCCCTTGCTCAACAGAATGAATATGTTCCAGCTAAGTTGGTTATAAACACCTTTTCCACAAACTTAGTCCTATTTTGTCATTAAATTGCATTCTAAAATTGAAAACACAATTTTCTCAAAAACATTTTGGACACTGTATATACTGAAGTTGGACCTCAGAATTCATAACATCTTTTAAAATGAAAAATGATAACTTACCAGCGAGATATTGTCTATATTTGAAACAGCTGTCACAATCACACACTGTTTGCATAGTTACAATGGGGACAAGAGAGCAAGCACAAGACACATGTAGCCCCCAGATTCCATCCATCTATGAGGTACAATCTTTTAGAATGAATGTGTGACTAAATTCATGAATTTGTGAGTTTAGAAGTCTATCCAGCAAAGTGAGATCATTTGTCAGTGTTGCAAAATCACTACTCACTACTATGTTTAGCATTATTATTCTGTCTCCGGACAGCCAAGTTAAAGAGAACCAGATATCATACGGGTCCAGACAAGAGAGCCGTGGAAACGTTTTTGAGGAAACAGGCGCAGTGCATTCTTGTTAGCCATTGGCTGTTTCCTGAATATGTCCATCAATCTAAAATTCACCAGACTCCTGGAAATAGGACTTGAACCAAACCTAACTCCAAACCAATCTTCAAATAGAACTGAACCCAAATGTTAATGTTTCACTAAACCATGAACTGAAGCGACTTTCCCTGGGGAAGAAAAAAAATGCCTACTAAAGCAGTTTGATTTGAAGCCAAAACTGTATGTTTTATGAAACTATTGAACTGGGACAAAATCAGATCAAAATATTCCCTGAACTGAATTTAAACTAAACTAAATTTTTATTTCTTTCAAACTGAATCCCTGGCTACAAATAAGGATTACTTTAGTGCATATGATATTTCATTTAATCCACATATAGCTTACATACAGCTTTTCTTAGGTAAATTCTCTTCTCAGCATCAATGTTCTTCTTTATACAAAGGTGACAATGATTACTACCTATTTCAGTAGAATTATTTAGGGTATTACATAAAATAAGCAAGTATTTCGGCTGTCATCATCATCATTACAGTCTGATCTACATTGTATTCAGCACACATGGGGTCAACTTTGGGTTTTAAGTCCTCCGATATGTTCACTGGCCACCAGAGGGCAGCAAAAAGGTAAAAACCCTTGCTGGAACTTACTGTGGAACTTGTCCTATTTATAAGGACAAGCACTGAGGACTTACTATGTGCCAAGCAGTGTTCTAAGCACCTTACATATATTAACACATTTAATTCTTAAAGCAATGCATTGAGGTGACTTCTGTTATTTGCACAGAGCAGATGAGAAAACTGAGGCAGAGAGGTGAAGAAATTTGTCCAAGATCACACAACTAGCAGGTAGCTGAGCCAAGATTTGAACCCAGGCAATCTGGCTACAGAGCCCCCACTGTAAACCTCCAACTGCTATCTGATATTCTGTTTAGAGGATGCTAACCCGGGAGAGGTTCAGATCCTGGCCTTGTGTGGTTCAGATCCTGGCATGGGTGGAACTGCAACCCAGGATGACCTTATAAAATCTGTCCACAGTCTAGGACCTGGAGTAAAAAGAGTCAAAACTTGAGCCAGAGGACTGTAATGTTGTCAACAGTAGTGTTATGGGATTAGTAAAGGCACAAGCATTAACCAAGTCAACGGGAGAAGGTTCAGCGAGGGGGCAGGAGATGGGATTCAGGTATAAATGTAGGAAAATGATCAGGACAGTCGCCCTTGACAAAGAAAAAAAAATTATTCTCGTGGTGGCTTAGTCCAACTGGCTCATCCTTCTGAAGCTGCAGTATGTCCTGGGACTTAAAGAGCAAATACTAGCAAGACCACAGGGAGCTGACTCAGTTCCATTTTCACAGCCATTTCCATCTCCTATTTTTTGTTTATTTTCTTAAATGAAAAAAAAGAAGAAAAAAAAACCTGTCATTCTGGTCAGTGTCACAGCCAAGCACCTTTCAGAATAACAGGCCATACTAACCTCCCAACATCTTCATTTCCCAAGCCCTCCTCAACACACTCAGACTCTTTCCTCGCCACTTTACTGAAACTAACCTTACCAAGGTTACCAGTCATCTGAAAAATGCCAAATCCAGCAGCTACTTGTGCATCTTTTCAGATGTGCCTGCAGAATTTGATATTGTCAGCCACTCTGTATTCATGAAATCCTCCTGCCTTGGTTTGAAACTCTTGATTGGCTATCCTCAATCCTGGATCTACCCCTGCTGCTTGGAAGACCATTTTTTAAAGTCTGCTTAATGACTCCTTTTTCCCACACCTCTTGGCAAAAATAATGCAAAGGCTTCTAACTGGTCCCCCTACCGCCAATCTGGACTCTCGAATCCATCTTCAACATTGCTGCAGAGAGAACTTCTAAAATACTAACCTGATTGTGTTTCTCCTTTGCTTCAAATCATTCGATGGTTGCTGTTTCCCATTTCATGGAAGTTATTTACCATGATATTCAAGATTCCTTTTGGCTTCTTGCCTACTCTTCCATGTGGTTCTAGCAATGCACCTCCATGTGCCCTTTTTCTACTCATGCTACTCAGTCATTCAAATTCTCATAGCTTCTCAAGCCTCTTTTCCTTTGCATCTTTCAAATTTTGGCTTAATCATCTCTTTTGCCTTCTATAAAGACTTCCCCGAAATCTTATCCACAGACAGAGATGCGCCAGCACCCAGGAGGCACTGGATGGCTGTGGCTCATTCACACCATAAGCTCCCATGCCAGTCCCTGACCTCCTTGAGTAAGGGACCATGTGGGATTTGGTATCTGCAGCACCTAACACAGACAGACACTTAATATATGTCCTAAGGAGTGAATACATTTTCTTAAGAGAAAACAGGGGAATGATGAAACTGAGATACAAGGACAGATACATTTGTGCTTACAAAATGTGAGATGACTTGAATCAGAATTCTGACTTTGAATATATCTCATTAGTTCTTACAGATTGGAAGGACAGAGGCAATGCTGCAAGCTATATATCATAAGTCAAGTACTAGTCATCATATTGATTTTACTTCATGAATGGGAAGGCAATGAGAATATTAATTAAAACTAAAAGGGGCAGGTCGAACAGTGGGCCCAGCTCAAGTACCAGTCCAGGCGCCGAGAGCAGCCTGCAGGATTGGCTTTTCTCTCCACCTGCCACTCAGCAGAGCAATCCCTGATAGTTCACCAAGGGGCATAAAATGTACTTTCTGGGTAACAGGGCATTTAGCATATTTGACTAGAATCATGTGGACCAGATTTTTTTGTCTGTTTGCTTTGCTTGCCAAAGGGAGTAGAATCTGCTCATTCTGCCTCACTCCTATCTCCTAACTTGGTAGTAATTTAATAGTCTGAGAAAATGTGTATGTGTAGCTTCCCCAGTTATTTAGTAAAAGTTCAGAGAAACACCACCATTGCTCTAATCTGTTGTCCTAAGCAGAGAACTGGGCTACAGCCAGAAGAGGCAGAGACACCTCAGGCAGTGCCCTTGAGGCACCTGCTCACCTGCTGAGTCAATTTTTATTTTTTGCTTTGACTCCAAGGGCTATGAGAGGGAGATAAATGTACACTTTCAGCTCTTCCCCAGTCTATTCTCTGACCATAAGATAGGCTTCTCTGATTTGGGGTGAGATGGGAATGGGAGCAAGGCAATCTTCTATTCTATTACTGTAAGTCGCCAATGCAGAGTATTTCATTCCTTCCCATGGGACTTACCCCCAGTTTCCAGTGCTGCATGGTGATTATGCACATGGACTTGGGGTTCAACTTTTTGGTTTCAAATCCTAGCTCTTCAAGTTATTAGTCATGTGACTTTCAGACAAGTTATTTAACCACTTGGGTCCTCAGTACTCTCAATTCTAACACAGGGATAATAACACCTTCCTCAGAGAGTTGCTCTAATGAGAAAATGCCTGTAAAATGCTTGGCACTAAGCCTGAATCAGCACTTTGTAAATGTGAGCTGTTATTATTTAAATTCTTGGTCTAAATTCTTAGAAACTGAATTGGCTTTCAAGAAGCTCCAAAATCAGTCCAAGCTCAGTGTGCCTTCACATCTGGCCTAAAAGCATTTGGAAACCTCAGAATGGCTGCCATGACAGTAATGGCAGAGGACCATGTCAGTTGAGGAGAAAGAGCAGATCTGCTCCCTGTGGCGGAAGGTAATCGCTCTTGCAATCACAAGCAATTTTTGCTACTGTCAGCATTACTGAGCCAATGTTGATCTGGACGAGAAAGCTGAATCACTCTTAGTTTGTTCATATATAAGCCAATCTATCAACAAAGTTCCAAATGCCCCCTCTTCTGAGTGATGAGGTAACAAACGAGTTGACAGGCCAGGTCATCAGGTCTGAAATCCTGCATCCCACTGCGTACTGCATGCCCAACATCAGATCAAAGTGAAAAATAAATCATGAGAGAATTGAGCCAACTTTCCATGTGCAAGACTAAACATAATTTGATTTTTAAATTTCAGACCAAGTTCTCAGGCTTGACCACTGGAAAAATTCTTTCTGGATTTTCTTCTTTAAAGTCAGAACTAAAAATCATAGAAGAAATAAAGATGTTGTTTTCATAGCCACTCTCTTAGGTGTAATCTCCTTCCTGTAGATGTAAAGTAGACTAGTCAACAGAGGGACACCAGTAGAGAAGAGGAGTAAGGAGAGGTTAATAAAAGCACTTTGGAAATCTTCCCAGATTTTACAACTTCAGCTCTTTTAAAGTAATCTCTTAGGGGAGGTGCTAGAAAACCACTACAAGGGCATTTTCACTAACACAGATCACCCAAAATGAAATGAAGAATGCATTTCAGCAACAAGAATAACAACAAACCTATGCCTTCAACCCAAGCCTCAATATCAGTGTGACCGATAGAGATGGTTCATCAGTCAAGATTCTCTCAGAAGCAGAGGGAAAGGATATATATACATACACACATGTGCAGACACAAGCGTCTCTAAATGTATCCTGTGGTTCTGCTTCTCTGAGTCCTGATCAATATATAAACTGATACACACCATGACAGGGATTTGACCTGGAACTTGAAGTCCACAGGGCAGGCAGTTAGGAAGGGAAGATGAATGTAAAGCAGGGGAGAATCCACAAGCATGAGCTAGACCTCTGCAAGGACAGACTGCACCCATGCCAGTCCTTGTCACCTCTGACTCTAGTGGTATGGATGGCTGGGATCCTTCATTATGGAGCTAAACATGTCTACTCTCCCAGGAGTTGAAGAAGCTGAAGGAGGATCGAGGGGACTGTGAAGCAGTTGCAAGCCTAGCTACTACCTCACACCATTGAAGGGAGTCAGCCGATTAGTGACAACATGCTGAGCTATAAAATGGCGACTGCTTCACTTCCCTCCTCCAAATCTCCCACTTCCTCTTGTGGCCCACCCTTTCTGAAAACAGAAAGGGGAATTCTGGGAAGTGTAGTTCAGCTTTGCCACAATGACACTTTATGAAACCACCACAGGTAAATATTAGACCTCTTTGCCCCTTTCTGTGTAACTCCTCTTTGGGGAATGCCTTTGAGTCTAGAATGGTTTCAAAGTCCATAGAATAAAGATTATATTCTTAATTCATCACATCAGTCACAAACTAAAAAATAATTGTTTTAATTTCAAAAGTAATTTGAATATTCAGAACTTTCAGTTGAATTCTCGAGGCCAAGAAAGACCATTATAAAGTCTATAGGCAAAGTTAGTCTATTATATCAAGACCCCCTTAGTCCTATACATGTGCATGCACATAAACACTAATCTGTAGTCCATAAACATCATTCCACAAGTTCTAGTTTCATGTATTTTCAATATTTGGTAAATGTTAGATCTTGGCCGGAATGTTCAGTGTGAAGTGAATCTGGCTGTCCTCGCTGTCCACCTGAGCACCTGTGCCCTTCAGATTGAGAGATCACTTTGCCTGACCACGTCATCTGGAAAGCATCAAACCTCGGCTGCTCTTTAAAGTTATGTGTCTCTTAGTTTTATTATAACCACAGAGTATTGGGATCTTAGAGGTGAACAATACCATTTTAACTAACTCTTTAAAATAGAAACAAAAATGTAGGAAGCAATCACATGGCAATATTAAATATTTCTTTCATTATATTTTATAATAATTCTCAAGCACCGGTAATCATAAAAGTCTTCATAATGTGTTTATTGAGACCAGTAATCAATGCAGCATGGAATTTTCAATATAATGCAGGCAGCCCAGGTTTGATGGAACACTGCCCTTTTGCCGGAATATAAACTTGACTCTTTCTTTAAGGCATTGAGGCAGTAAAACACAAGAGAACTTCCTAATGGAAATGAGACCATTCTCATTAAATTAAATGAGAACATTTAATGTGGGTGAAAGTGATTTAAAATTCACACACCTCCTGCAAATATGTTCTTGATTTACTTTTTAAAGAGTAAAATGGGTTTAGTAAATATTGCTAGTTATAATAAATCATAAAACATTTAAACACCGATTTGTCAAATGTAGTTTACATGGACCAGCACTTAGCATTATTTATGCCAGACTGAATGAAATGGCTGATATGTTAGCAGGGTTTTCAGCCAGTTAGGAAACATGCAGTGAGAAAAACATTGTTCTGGGTGGTATGTTGGTTATAGAAAATTACACGACACCACATTATCCCCAAAGTGCTTACCATCTGGATAGGGTACTCAATCTTCAATACATGGCAGAATATGAGACGAGCCTGTCTACACCAGCTCCGTTTCAGTTAAACCAACCAATCAAAATTACCCATTCTTATCTAATTCCGCCCATCACCCATAGCTGGACACCATCCATTAAGACAGCTCCAGCCCTCTAAAACTGTTGACCTGAACCTATCTCATTCCTTCTTGTGCTCTGCTTCTAATACTTAAGTTTTCAGCATGAGATGTCTTGTCTTGGATGGCTTTACAATCTCTTCTGGGACCAGCCCTGTGTTCCACTCTTTAAATATGACTGTTTCTTATAGCTTAGATACGTAGAACTTGAGTCATTCTGTAATGTCCCGATGCAATTCAATTCATACTCTGGGACTGTACCATAATGCAGGCTGATTTGACTAATGCATTGCCTGATCTGCCCCTGTTCTAACAATTTCACAGATTCATAAAGGTGCCATGGGGATTTTCATCTTTCTTCAGAAATTAAGGTAGGTCACAGAGGAAAGGAGAACAGTATGATCAGTGGAAATTTATTCCCCTTGCATGATGATACACTGAAGTTCTCAGATGAGAGGACTTCACCAGGAGAACAGACCAGTTGCAATGTTCAAGTGCTTCCTAAAATTATAAATAATGTCTTCCTCCTTAGCATCAGCACAAATTTGTCATCGTGGGCAGAGCCTGATTTCAACTATCAATGACAAATGCCCTGGTATAGTCCCATACCTCCCAGTTATTTCATAATGAGCAGGATATATACTTTGTTTTATCTGTTACTCTTTCATCTGTTAGCTCTATTGTCGAGAACTCAAGATTGGTGATTTTCATCCAGAGACTTTATGATAAGGGCTTGAATTCTAGGAGAGGAGTTATGTTGTAAGGAGAAGAGGTCAGATATAGTTGTAAAGTTTGAGTTGGTATGCTTAGAGTCAGGAGATATAAGAGGAAATGTATCCTCTTACATGGAGATTTAGAATTGGGGCAATACCACGTTGTTAAATCATTTTTTTCTGTTAGTGTCCTATGACTTTTTAATAGACATCAAGTCTTTTTAAAAGTATTATTCAATGATAACAGCAGGTCAGCATCTGGTTGGCCAGGATTTGCTAAATCTGAGGGTTTAAGGTTATTTTCTACTGCGGCCTTACTCAACAGGGTGTTTTGTGGGGTAGAAAGACCCTGGAACTCTAGGAGTAGGGGAAGAGGTGCAGAACATTAAATCGTTGGAAAAAGAGGACCGAGAATCCAAGCCAGGGGAAGCCTGTTATCCAAAGGAACCCAGCCTCTGTATAAAATGTGTGCTCCACCCATCCCCAGACCTTTGCTCTGCTATATTTTTCATTTCTTTCTCTCTGGTGGCAAATGTATAAATGATTTAACTTATAGGCTGGCCATAGGATCCCTTTTATCCAAGGCTACAAATTTCAATAGGAAACTACATTAAGACCTAGGCTTGGTTACAGCCCAGTCAGACTTTCTTTCATGGTCTAGTCTTGAGGATGTATTGTGTTCTCATCCCAAAAATTACACTGTAGCCAACATCTGTGGTGCCTGTTCCACTGCTCCTTGACTCACCTTTGACTTCAGCTGTAGCTCTGGTGAATATCTCCAACTCCCTTTGCACTGCCAGCACCCATCTCAAGAGTGTGCCTGGTTTCTTTACACATTCTAACCCCAGGGCCTTCCCCATTGCCAAGAGGGTTTGAGTGGTATAGGAGCAAAGGCAGCCTGGGAGTACAGAGGAGTTGATGCTCCCCAAGAAAACTCAGCTTCCAATACTTTTGATTTATAGTTCTATATACTTTTTAGAGATCACAGCAGAATCAAATTCCATTTTTTTCTTTCTTCTACCCTGGTCTTCCTCCTGATGTGTCTCACTCCCCACAACTACCTCATATTGTTTTATCTAATTACTTTCCAAATAAACTATCTGCACACAAGTACTAGTCTCATGTTCTGATTTAGGAGAAGCCAAATTGGCGCCCATACTAAGCCATAAATCCTCCCTTTTTCTTTCCCAAAGTGTGTGTGTGTGTGTGTGTTTGCACAAAAGAAGCATACACTTCTTAAAAGCTATCATAATATTTTGAAGCAGGACTTCCCTCAAGTTTTAGGGTATGAGAATCTGTCTTTAAAGGAGTAGGGAACATTTGTTTCTTCCCTCGAAGGATTAATTGCTATGGGAATTGCCCTTCTAATAGAAATCTGGAATAAATATATATATATATATATATCTTATTAGATATTGGCCAACAAGCAACATGGCACTGATTCCTGACAAAAGGGAAGCAGATCAGGTGGGCCTTACAATGCAAAAGCTTACTGCCTGGAGGCAGTTTCTGGAATGCAGCTCAGAGTGTTAACCGCACAGCCTACAAGTCTTGCTTAAAAGAGGAAATGGTGTATCTCAGGAGGCTGTAATGTCTTGGATTTGTAAGGGCAAATACTAGCAAAGAAGAAGAAGATGCACAGAGTGAGAGCTCTGAAAATATTCAGAGGGTCCCCTTGAGTCTTGGTTGAGTAGTCAGTGTACACACGAGTAGAAATTCCCTGAGACTGGGAAAAGAAATACTGGAACAAAGTAGACCAAACAATCTCTAGGGCTCAGAAAGGAAAGCCATTGTGAAGAAATGTTGTAGTCTACCGAGAATTTGATACAGCCCTCAGAAGTCTTTCACCTTTGTAGTAGAACTGAATTATCCCTAGAAAAAAGGATACTCTAGACCTGACTTAATAGAAATTAAAAGCATGCCATAAGTGGATCAAACTGACCCAAAATAACTGTATATCAGAACAAAACCCAACTCTCCAGAAGAATACAACAAAACACATCACTCGAAGTGTAAAACTCACAATGTCAGTATCCAATCAAAAATTAACAGACATGCAAAGAAGAAAAGGGAAACTACAATTCAGGGACAATCCAATCATTATAAACAGGCCTAGACATGACAGAGAGGATAGATTAGCACACAGGATCTTTAAAAACTATTATAAATATTAAAAACATTCTTGCCGGGCATGGATTACAATCCCAGCACCTTGGGAGGCCACAGTGGGCAGATCTGGAGGTCAGGAGTTTGAGACCAGCCTGGCCAACACGGTGAAACCCTGTCTCTACTAAAAATACAAAAATTAGCAGGGTGTGGTGGTGGGCGCCTGTAATCCCAGCTACTTGGGAGGCTGAGGCAGGAGAACTGCTTGAACCCAGGAGGTTGAGGTTGCAGTGAGGTGAGATTGCGCCACTTGCACTCCAGCCTGGGCAACAGAGCAAGACTCCGTCAAAAAAAAAAAAAAAAAAAAAAAACCATTATCGAGAATGTGAATGGAAGTATTAACATTATTGGGAGAGACATAGAAGACATTTACAAATAACAAAATGGAACATGTAGAAATTAAAAGTGCCTGAATTAAAATACACTGGATGAGATTAATATCTGTCTAATATCTTAAGACACTGAAGAAGAAAAGATCAATAAACTTGATCAAATAGCAACAGAACCTATACAAATGACACACAGAGAGAAAGAAAAAAGTTGTAGGAGTCTCCATGATATCTATTACAATAGCAAGTGGTCTAATATAGGTATAATGGGATTCTTCAAAGAGGAGAAAAAGATTTTAAAAATTTGAAAAAATCTGAAAAAACAGTTAAAACTGGTCTAAATTTTATAAAAACTATAAACCTATAGGATCAAAAAGATCAATAAATATCACATAAAATAAACATAACAGAAATGAAACTAAGGCACATAGTAAGATTGCTCAAAATCAATGATAAAGAGAAATTTTAAAGACAGCCAGAGGGGGAAAGAGACACGTTAGGTACACGAAACAAAAACATGAATGACATTGTACTTCTCATTATAATTTTGCACACCAAAGGAGCAGGAAGTGACATCTATAAGGCATTAAAAAAAAAAACACTCACTAGAATTCTGTACCAAATGAAAATATCTTTCAAAATTGAGGGTGACACAAATATTTTTTTCAGATATCAGACCCTCAATATAAGAGATGTTAAAGGAAGCTTTTCAGGCAGAAGGACAAGGACACCAGATGGAAATTTGTATCTACACAAAGGAATGAAGAGGTCCATAAGTGGTAAATATAGAAATAATATTGCACTTGTTTCCTATTGCTGCTATAACAAATTGCCATAAATTTGACTTACAATAACATAAACTTATTATCTTACAGTTCTGGAGGTCAGAAGTCTGAAGTGAGTCTCAGCTAAAATTAAGGTGTTGACAGAGCTGCATTCTTTTCTGGAGGTCCTAGAAAAGAAATGGTTTTCTTGCATCTTCCAGCTTCCTTGTTCATGTCTTTTTCTATCTTCAATGGCTGATCAAGCCCTTCTCGTGACGTCTTCTCTCTGGTTCTGACGTTTCTGCCCCTCATCATCCCCATTTAAAGGTCTTGTGATTTATATTGGGCTCACCTGAGTTATCTAGGCTACTCTCCCTATTTTGAGGTTAGCTGGTTACCAACCTTAATTCAGTCTTCAAACTTAATTGATTCTTGCCTTGTAATGCAACAATCACAGGTTCTGGGGATTAGGATTTGGAAAGCTTTGGGGGTCACTATTCTACTTCCCATAAATATAAATTTCAAACTTCCCAGTTTTAATCCTTTTAAAAGACAATTCTCTGCTTAAATAAAAAATAATAACAAAATATTGCAGGAAACGCAAACAAAAAGTAACTTCATCTACTTGCAGAATTATTTAAATAAAACAAAAAAGGGAACTTTATAATGGTAAGGAGTACATTTCACAATGAAGATAACAGAGATATGAATATCTTTGCACCCAAAGCCATTCCTGAATACAAAAACAAGACTAGAACTCTTATAACAAATCTAGAAATTTAATAATAAAACAAGAAGGTAAAAGGCAATTCTTCTAAAAGTTAAAAACAAAAAGTTTTAAAACAAAACAATATCATCACTAACAAAAAACTTCTCTTTTAAATCTTGTGTCAAAAAAAGAAAAAAAAAGAAAAAAGAAAGAAATCTGAAGGAGATTCTTGGAAGATGACAACAATGTCATCACAGATTTTTGAAAAATCTTTCCAAATCCCCACATTTAAAACAGAAGCAACTAGATAGAAAAAGCAAATTCCACAGACACTATTTATATTAAAAACTGAATGATGAGATGGTCTGTGAACTCCCAAATGCAACCAGGTGAGAGCAAAGCACCAGGAGGCCCACCTGAGAACAGCAGCTGAAATGGAGAATGTTTTTCCTAGTTCAATCGTAGACCAATGCAAGGGGCTCACAGGGAGATTTAAAGGAGTTGGATCAGTCTAAACTCCACATGCTCTCAAAACTGACTTTCCAGGGCTCCCTTCCAGGACAGAATTTTACACTGAGGAAAACCTGTTGGAAGGAGAATCAAAATTGAGCAGAAAAGGGTCACTAGAGATGAAGGCAAGAGAAGATTCAAATAACAATGGGAGAGAAGAATAGTGCCAAGAAATCTCAGAAAGTGAGCCATCATATTTTTTAACACAACACCCACCCCCCTAAAATGAATGAATGAATGAATGAATGAAAAATAAAGAAAAGAAGAGAAGAAAAAAGACAAAAAAGAAAAAGCAATAAGCAAAAAACAGAAGGAGCTCTGTGAAATTTAAAAAGCTAGCCTGAATCATGCCTCCTTCTAGAAAACTAATTTTACATAAAAATGAATGATATAAATATATCAAAACCAAATCCCATACAAAGTTATTAGGGAGAGAATGGGAAGGGGAGAGAGAGAGAGTGGAAAAGAGAGAGAGAAACAAAATGCTGTCTGTATATCAGAAGGACATGCTCAAACCTGGGTTAAAATTGTAATGCGCTATTTCAAAACAGGCTAAGAAACGCCAAGAAAATTATACAAGATATAACACCGTATAAATTGTCTTAAATGACATATGATATTTAATGTATAATATAAATAACATAGTAACATATAATAATAATTACACAAGATCAAAGTTAGAATTGAATTATAAAATAAAATATCAGACAACAGAAAAAATTTAAAAATAAAACCTCATTGCAGAAATAAAGACGAACCTAAAAGGAAGACAAGAATAAATGAACACAACAGCTAATGCCTTAAGAACAGAAGGTTAGAAAAGAGGAGGAAATTTTTAAAATAGAAAAGAAATGAAGTAAATAGTATTTTAGAAAAAATAAATATGTTGAGGAGAGGCAACACATATCCTGTAATTCAAAACACTTTGCTGAATTTTTTTTTTTAGATGGAGTCTTGCTCTGTTGCCCAGGCTAGAGTGCAGTGGTGCAATCCCAGCTCACTGCAACCTCCACCTCCCGGGTTCAAGTGATTCTCCTGCCTCAGCCACCCAAGTAGCTGGGATTACTGGCACACACCACCATGCCCAGCCAATTTTTGTATTTTTAGTAGACACGGGGTTTTGCCATGTTGGCCAGGCTGGTCTTGAACTCCCGACCTCAAGTGATCTGCCCGCCTCAGCCTCCCAAAGTGCTGGGATGACAGGTGTGGTTCATTTATTTTAAATTAACACTGAAAGAACACATCATGTACCTGAGAATGTGATGACCAACACAAAAATATATTCTAGTCAAATTATTGGGCTTTAAATAAAAATAAAAATGCTTCATACTTTTAGGCAAAAACAGCAAGTGACTTATCAAGGCAAAACTATTGTATTATCAACAGATTTTTTTGACAGCAACACTTCATGCCAGAGGAAAATGGAGTGACATATTTTGGATGTTCAAGTAAAGAAAATGTAAGTCAAAGATTTCACATCCAGAAAAATGGACTGTTGTGCATGAAATTTATCACTAGCTATTAACAGTACACAAGAACTCAGAGGAGATTGTCCCATGTACCCTTCTTTATAAATTTAACAGAAAAAATAGCTTCAGACAATGAAAACGAATGGGGAGACATTGCAAAGACTGGTGGTGAGCATTAAGCCTCTAGTTGATTATAGCACTGATGAATAAGGGTTTGAAGAGGGAAAGCATCCAATCTAATGGCTATCTTCTTAGATAATGTATGTACTGCAACTGTTATAATTTCAGTAATTATATTGCTGTGGTATAATAGTTCTTCTGAAACTTTTATGAGTGTAATGTTAGACAAAATAAATGAGTGATTATGGAATATTCTAATTCTATTATCTTCTCTGTCCTTGAGAATTAGGGTTTTCAGTTTGGGAGAACAGAGATGAATAGATGTAATACTGAAAAGTTTTAGAGAAAAAAAAAGGAACACTGAATTGGAATTGGAATTGTCCTATAAATCCACAAGGTGTTGATGGGTTCTGTTTACTGGAAAGATGCCCTTAGTAGCAGTGAGCACTCCCAGCACCTACATGATGATTTTGAAATAGAATTTGTCACTGAAAGAAACCAGAGATGTTTCTAGGAATGGTTGGTTGCAGTTCTGGGGCAGGAAATTCACAAGATGAGCCTAGAACATTTCATTATTCTGGAAAGCAAGGAAGCTACCAAAGACTTCAGGATTGTGTCAAAAGGACCCAGGAGCCAATATGAAGAGACTCTCATTGGCCAAAAATAGAACAACTTCAGCTTTACAGAAGATAATAACTGCAGTTGATTGAAACCCATCAATCAACTATGTTTAAGTCCATGAATTATGATGATTTAAACAGGCTAATTGGTCACTCAGAGGAAGGCAGCAAACCAGGTAAAGTTGGTGAATAAAGGGAAAGATCTGAGGACTTAGCCTGTCTTTCCTATATGACTGGCAGGTAGGAAAATAAAAACCTCTTTGTACAGGTAATAAATGATAAAGAAATGATGAAATTAGATGATCACCATTTGAAGCCCCCAATGAATTAATGGATCTAGGTAAGGAGCATCAATGGCTGCCAGCACCAACAAAAGGAGAGAGAGACAACCCAATGGAAGAACCCACCCTCACTTACACTTCCTGCCAAAGGGACAGAGCACAAGTCTGATCTGGCTGCCAATCTGGAGAAAACGCAAGGGTCAGAGAGGCAAGCCTGTGGATTAAAGAGTGTGAAAGACACTAAGGTTTTTTAAATGAGAAACACTAAGATCTCTAGACTGCATATGGGTGATAAACTGCGAAGATATTCAAGGAGGTGAAAAACTCCAAATAAATTCTGAACACTGTCTAAAAATAAAAATAATAATAATAAATAATAATAATAAAAATATGCATCAAAGCAGCTAAAAGTGTTCACAGGAAAATGCATAGTCCACAGTACTTATACTAACAAGAAAGAATTTTTTGTAATGGATTAAGAATCCAAATCAAGAAATTATTTAATGAAAGTAAGAAAATTATTAAAGTTAAAATAATATGTTTTATAAAAACACATACATTTTTAAATTAATATACCAATCCAAAGGCTGAATGAGAAAACCAATAAGCTCAATTAACTGTTTAATAAGCTGATCCAAAAAAGTGAAAGGAGAAATCATAAATATGTAAACAAAATATGATAAAGGAAAATAACTACAAATATAGAAGAAATCAAAAAGTACCATATGCAATGACTTTCTCAACTTTATGTATATGTTAGGAAACCTTAATGAAATGAATAAATTTTCTAGCAGAATAAAATTTACTAAGCTAACTGTCTATAGAAGGAAAAAACAATCTAAATAAATCAATTACTATAGAAAAAATGGAGGAAGCTAATAAAGAGCTATTTTCCTTCAAAATCACCAGCCCTAGACAGCTGTATGAGGAGCCTCCATGTCTTCCTAAAAATAATAATAATGATCCTTCAGCTAAACTGTTCCAAACAGAAAAAAAGAAAGCTCCCACTTTTTTATGCATCAAGCATAACATTGGTAAAATCCAACAAAGACTATACAACAAATCTATAAACCAATCTTACTTAATGATTATTGATGCAAATATCAAATAAACATTAGTAAACAGACCCCAGTAGCTCATTAAAAAATACACTACATCTAGTAATGTATTCCAGCAATGTAAAGGTGGTTTAATAATGAGAAAAAAAAATTGTGATCCAATATATTAATAGCTCTAAAGAAAACAATCTTGTGATTTTCTTCATAGATTTTGAAAAGGCATTTGGTAAAATTCAAAACCCATTCTTGACCTTAAAAAATAATTGAAGAAAATTCTTAATTAAATAGAAGATATAAAAATGTTCTTAACATAATAAAAATCTCTCAACACATGAGCCAGAATAATGACTAATGGTAAAGCACAGGAAATATTGCCATTAAAATCTGAAAAAAGACAATGATTTCCACTATGACCACTAATATTTGACTTAATATTGTTTATTGGCATTAGTCAAAGCAATTTTGCCAGATAAAGAAATTAAAGGTATAAAAACTGGAAAAAAAGGAAGTAAAATTCTCACATTTTGCTGGTGACTGAGTGAAAATTAATATCTAACCAATAGATGTAATATAGTCAGAAATAAGGAAGATAAATTTACATTTACAGTAACAGCAAAAAGGAAAAGTACTAGAAAAAACAGCATGAAATGTGAAAGTTTTCTCTTTGAATAAATAGTTTAAATATTCCTGAGGGACATAAAGAAGACTTGAACAAATGACAAGTAATACCATGTTCTTGGAGGGGAAGACTCAACATCATAAAAATGCCAGTTTCTGCTAGATTAATTTATAAATACAACATAATCCCAATAAAACTATCGACACATTTTTTTTTCTGGAACCAGACAAGGTGATTCCAAAGTTTATGCAGTGAAATAAACAAGCAAGAATAGACAGAAAAACTCTGAAAAAGAAAAGTAATAAGGATGTATTACAGAAGAAAAAAACATTATTATAATAAAGTTTATATTATAGGATCAAGAATTAAAACAGTGTCATACTGGCACTTGAATAGGTTACTGCACCACAGTAGAAAGCAAAGAAATAAATACAAATCTATAGAGGAATTTAGTTTTTGCCAAAGAGGATATCTCAGTTTTGTAGGGAAAAATTAAGTAAATGGCCAGGGAAGTCAGAGGTACCCATCTCTAAAAACAAACAAAAAACAGTGGATTTACATCACATACATTACTCAAAATAGATTATACAAAGATAAAATAATAAGTATTTTAAATATAAACACTGCAACCATAAAAGTTCTATAAGAGGGAACATTTTCTTATAACCTTTGAGCAGGAAAGGATTTTCTAGCTATGATATAAAACCCAGAAGCTATAAAAAAATTCGTAAGTTTGGCTACCTAGTTTTTTTAACTGCAAAGTAAAAACTATCATATGCAAAGTTCTTTTTTTAAAAAAAGACAAATTAGAAAAAAGTACTATCAATTTATGTTACAAACTGAGGATTAATTTCTCTAAGATACAAATAACTCATAAATTAATTAAAAATACAATATGCCAATAGAAAAATGAGCAAAGAAGCAATTCACAAAAGATACAATTAACTAGTTCTCAAAAAACATAAGACATTTAATCCACTCATAAGAGACTTGCATATTAAAAATACACCAAGAAATCATGTTTTATGTATCAGATTATCAAATATCAAAAAGTTTGATAACACACTCTATTGATACACATGTGGAGAAATAGGCACACCCATGTATAGCTGGTGAATACAAACTGGTTCAACCTCTGTGGATGCCAATTTGTCAATATTTTACAGTTAGACATCTATACACCCTTTAACTCTGTAATATCACTTCTCAGAATTGGTTCTAAAACACAAACTCACACACTTAAAATGGCTTTATACAGTTTTACACAGTGTAAGTAACCATAAAGTTTGGAAACAGCCTAAATGTCACCAATAGGGGACAGGTTAATGCATAACCATGCAGCCATTTTAAAAAGACTTGGGAAACTATATATTTATATAAAAATTTTTCCAAGATAAATTGTTAAGTAAAAAAGAAACAAAGATATTTGATCTTTTTGGAAAATGACAAGGTGTACATAGCATTTTACCATTCATGAATGAATGGGTATGGAGGTGAGAGTGTGTGTGTGTGTGTCTGTGTGTGTGTGTACACATGAATGTACCTACACACATATACATACATATAAAACATATTATATATGTGCATATGTATATATGAATATATGTATGTTCTTTTTTTCTTGTATGGATAAAATAGTTCTGGATAAGATATCTCCAGAGAGCCATTCAAGAAACTATTAAATTGATGCAAATGTAATTGCAGTTTTTGCCATTGAAAGTAATGGCACCAACCTAATGTGTTTGCAGCAACCTAATAACCTAATACAAATTATTTTGATATGTGGAGAGGGATATTGCAAGGCTAGAGAATAATGGCAGGTAAAAGACTTGTAGTCTTTATACCTGTTGAAATTTAAACTGTGTACATGCACTAACCTACATATATGTGTGTCTGTGTATATAACAATATATATATATTAAATATATAAAGCATATATGTATATGCCTGCATATACATATATATGAAACATACAGAATATGAATAGTAAGTGCTTCTGTTTGGTGTGATTGTTGGTAATTTTACTCTTCTATATTTTCTGGGTTTTCTACAATAATGTTACATTATAATTACATAACTATAAATGTCATATTTAAAAGATTACAGGGATCCTGGTATACTAAAATAAAGCTCAATATAAGAATTAGACAACCTGGGTCTCATCCCAGATCCAACAGTTACCAGCTGGGTGCTATTTATCATGTCTTTTAACTTTGCTACCATATATGACAAAATGGGGACAATGCTGGTTTTCCTGTATTCATGGGAAAAATCAAGTGAGAAAATTATCTGAAAGTGTTTATTAATTATAGTACTAAAGAATTTTGCAGTAATACTATAGTTAATGATGTAAGAAGCACTGCCGAAGTATTTGATTTCTCTATTTCCTGCTTAAGATTCAAATTGGCCAGTGAGTTGAGCAAAACTAATTAGGGTCTCAAACCGCTACAAGGCAATTGAGTCCTGTTCTCCACTGTAACTTCCATTTGGAAAATAGAAAGCAGAAAGAACAAGTTAGGAAGGTTCTACATGATCACTCTAAAGGAAAAAAATTATCACCCAAGGAGATAGCATTGCCTCTTGTTCTCCTAAAGCCAATAAGCCACATCCAATTCTACCCACTGCATTTTACCAGGACCAATTTGTTTCTGCTGCACAAACAGGTTGCACTATAAATACTAGTGCTTTGGATACATCTGCTTTGTTGTCCATACTCAGAAAAATCTGAATGGACCCAAAGCCAGATCTGGCACTCCCCTGAGAGACTTTCCTCCCCACCCTACACCTAACACACACACGTGCATACACATGTACACACATTTATCTCACTATTTAAAAAATACTATGCATAGGGTTACCGGAGAAGATACTGAAACCACGAAATAATTATAGTTGTATCAGTAGGAATGGAGGATTGGAGCTCAGCACTGCTTGTAAAACAGTACATTGTTTCAACAAAAACAAGGCCAAAAGATCAAAAACAGTTCCAAATCAGTGTCCAAAAAGCTCTATTTTTAAGTAATGGTTTCAAAAGATTTTTTCCTTTAACATCTGAGGCAACAAACCAGACATGGGTAAGCGCAGCTGGATTCCCCTCACGCTGGCCAACTTGCTGGCTCTCTTACTCTTCCTTTTTTTTTAGGCATCGGGATCTTTCAAAATGTGTAAAGTGAGAACCCTAGCCTTTGTGAGTGCTAGGAAATTCATTCACCAAAGGTCAGGGGCTCACGCACTCCTATCTGCGGCACGGCTCAGCAGAGTGCTGCTCAAGGGCAGTTGCAAAAGGCTAGAAATAAATGAAAAAAAAAAAAAACCACACATTTAATTGTTTCAAGTTTTTTTTTTCTTTTAGTTTTTAAATACCATACAGAGCCCTTTAGGATAAATCAGGATGGGGTAAAAAAAAAAATTAGCCCCTCTGAAAAAAAATTACTGTGCCTCTTTTTTTCTACCACATAGAGTTACTGAAAGAATTTAATGTAATTATTCCTGGAAAGTATTGAGCACAATGCCTAGGACATCATAAGCATTCAATGAATGGTAGTTGTTATTTTACTTATTATTAGTGGTGCCACAACAAAAATTACTAACTGGCGCTTGAACACCTTGAAAGAGTTAATGTTCTTCCTTAAGCACCTACCCTCAGCATCTTAATACCATAGAGACTTGGGTACTATGGAGAATTGAACTCTCCAGATAGCAAGCACTGTGTTGCTTCTTGTCTCAAGTTCAGAAACTCTGCCTCTCAGCATGGACTGTCGATGTGTGCTTCAAAAAAAACATATGCAAGCAGGCCAAAATTATATCTTCTGTCTTGCAGTGAAGGATGCTGATGGGTTGGTATGTTGCGTTCGATTTTTATTAGACCGGCTCTTCTCTTCCTGCATTCCAGCTCATCCCTGAGCGTCAACA
The DNA here is from genome assembly GCF_000001405.40 of Homo sapiens. Lineage (NCBI taxonomy): Eukaryota > Metazoa > Chordata > Mammalia > Primates > Hominidae > Homo > Homo sapiens. Next base: position 95,909,677 of record NC_000008.11, read on the forward strand.
GACGGGTGGGCAATGCAGAAGCAGCATGGAACACACTGCTTTCTTTAGGCATCTTAACACTTCTGACAGATGAAAAGAATAAGCCTTAAACTGGCCCATCATTGTAGACTGTGTCTTCAACAGGACATACTTCATTTTTTCCACAAGTACAACCAAATGACCTATTGGTGAATGTTTTAGGGAACAGCTCATAGCAAGAAGAAAACTAAAGGCATATTTGGGTTTATAGAGATACCTAATTTTCCATCCCTGAGAGATGTTCTTCTTTATCTCCATGTATGTTATTCATCAAGGCATCCTGACATTATTTACTGGAAAGTAATGGCACTGTTTACCAGAAAACTAGCTTAATCTGCTACTCATTGTTCTCATCAGTTAAATAAAACTGACCTTTCATCTTTAGCATTGTGCTTCCAACAAAATCTTGCCAAAATCACTAATGATCTGTATTCTTCAGACAGCTGCAAGACATTCTCCATGAGCTAAGGAATGGTGGGATCGTCACCCCATTCAGAGATAGGAGGGACCAGGCTTGCAGGCTATGTTAACAGCCTGTCATTCAAACCAAGCCGTTAGGATCCGGAGGAAAGAATAAGTGAAGGTAAAAAGCTTGGAAAATAAAATACCCAAACCTGGTATAGAAATCATAAATTAAAATCCCCTAAATCAAGAGCATCATATCATTAAGACTGAACTGACAAAGGTGAGGATCAAGGGTAGATTAACAATCAGTTGATAAAATCAAGTTTTATAGAGTTTCACACCACGAAATTAGTATAGATATTACACAGTGGAACATGATTTACCCTAATCAGTGTTCTTTAGTCATCAAGACTAGGCAAAGACCTGCCAGCTGTCCTCTTGTCCATCATGTAGAATGATATCAACACAATACGTAGTTTTATTTTACAGCTCACATTGATAAAGGTGCTTATGTGAACTTAAGTTCAGTCTCAGTTTATCTCTAAAAGACAAAACTTTACCCATTCACAGGTTATAGGGTGGTTATTCTCAGCTTAGATCTAACACCCCAAAGCACGCTATCAGCATTCTCACATAGTTCAACCAAATTCCAAAAGTAAACATATTTAATTTAAACAGGTAAGTTCTCCAATCTTGAGTTTTTGCCTGACGCTTTTGCTCACCCACCATCCATCGATCCAACCTTCCTGAAGTAACAGTACCTTGATTCTCCTTTGAGAAATCATCTCATCTCACACCTATTCATGTATTTTAATTTGTACTTCAAGTTACATATACAAAAATTTTCAATGCAGTTAACGTTTAGAAAAAAAACTAAATTTGGGCTGTTTAATAGGAGGATAGTTAAAGAAACTATAGGTCAGCCACTTAGTACAGTTTCCTCCTGTTTCATCCATGTTGTCACACATGGTAGTATCTCCTTCTTTTTTTTTTTTTTTTTTTTTTTTTGAGACAGAGTCTTGTTGGGTCACCCAGACTAGAGTGCGGTGGGGTGATCTCGGCTCACAGCAACCTCCGCCTCGCAGGTTCAAGTGATTCTCCTGTCTCAGCCTCCTGAGTAGTTGGGATTACAGGTGCCCACCACCACGCCTGGCTAATTTTTGTATTTTTAGTAAAGACAGGGTTTTGCTATGTTGACCAGGCTAATTTCAAACTCCTGACCTCTAGTGACCTACCTGCCTTGGCCTCCCTAAGTGCTGGGATTACAGGCGTGAGCCACTGTGGTAGTCTCTCCTTTTTAAAGGCTGAATGGTATCCCATTATATGAGTACACACACACACACACACACACACACACCACAATTTCTATATCTGCTCATTAAAATATAGAATTCTGGACACTTAGGTTGGATTCATATCTTGGCTGTTGTGAATAAAGCTGGCAGGAACATGGGGATGCGGATAAATCTATGAGGTGCTGATTTCATTTCCTTTTATTATACACCCAGCAGAGGGATATGCATGTGGTCATATAGTAATTCCATTTTTAAATTTTTGTGAAACCTCCATATTGTTTTCCATATGGCTGTACCAATTTACATTCACAGCAGCAGCGCACAAGAATTTCCTTTTCTCCATGCTCTCACCAACACTTATCTCTTGTCTTTTTTGTAATAGCCATCCTAACAGGTGTGAGATATTTCATTATGGGTTTTATTTGCATTTCCCTGATGATAGTTATGTTGAGCACATTTTCATATACCTGTTGGTCATTTTTATGTCTTCTTTACAAAAATGTCTGCTCAGATTATTTGCCCATTTTTAATTTAGTTTTTTGTGTGTGTGTTTGGGTTGGGGGCAGTTGCTATTGAATTGAGTTCTTCATATATTTTTGATATTAACCACTTATCAGTATGTGGTTTGAAAATATTTTCTTCCAGTCTATAGGCCACCTTTTTATTTTATTGATTGTTTTCTTTGCTGTGCAGAAGCTTTTTAGTTTGATCTCCCACTTGATTATCTTTGCCTTTGTTGCCTGAGCTCTGGCACTATATACAAAAAATTATTGCCAAGATCAATATCAACGAGATTTCCCACTATGTTTTCTTCTAGAAGTTTTATGGTTTCAAGTCTTATGTTTAGGTCTTTAGTCCATTTTGAGTTTATTTTTGTGTATAGTGTAAGACAAGTTTTCAATTTCATTATTTTGCATATAGATAGCAGTTTCACAACACCATTTATTGAAGAGACTCACCTTTTCCCATTGTGTCTTCTTCATGGTGGCCTTGCTAAAAAATTAATTAACTATAGATGCTTGAGTTTATTTTGGGGCTTTCTATTTTTTTCCATTGGTCTATATGTCTCTTTTTATGCCAGTACATTACTGTTTTAATTTCTATAGCTTTGTAGTATAATTCTAAATCAGAAAGTATGATGTCTCCAACTTTGTTTTTCTTTCTCAAGACTGCTTCAGCTATTTGATGTCTTCTGTGGTTCAACACAAATTTTAGAATGATTTTCTTTTCTAGTTCTGTGAAAAATGCCATTGGAATTTTAATAGGGATTGCATTGAATCTGTGTATCTGCTTTGGGTAGTATAGACATTTTAACAATATTAATTGTTCTAGTTCACAAATATGGGATATCTTTCCATTTATTTGTGTTTTCAATTTCCTTCATCAATGCTTTAGAGTTTTCGGTATACAGGTCTTTCACCGCCTTGATTAAATTTATTCATAAATATTTTATTCTTTTTATAGAATTGTTTTCTTGATTTCTTTTTCAGATAGGTCATTATTGATGTGAAGAAATGCAATTGATTTTTGGATGCTGATTTTATTTCCTGCTACTTTAAAATACTACATGATCTCGTCTATATGTAGAATCTTTTAAAGAGCTGAGTACCATAGAAACGGAGAGTAGAATGGTGATTACCAGAGGTGGGAAGCGTCAGGAAAGGGAAAGCTGTAAGTCATAGGGTACAAACATGTAGTTATGTAGGATCAATGAGTCTAGAGAACTAATGTACAGCAGGAGGACTAGAGTTAATAATATTGTACTTTATATTAAGAATTTGCAAAGAGAGTAGATTTTATGTTCTCTTACCACACACAGAAATGAGGTAACTATGGAAGATTATGGATATGTTAATTTGTTTACTTTTAGTAATCATTTCACTCTCTCTACATATATCAAAACATGCTGTACACCTTAAATACAGACATAAAATATAAAGAAAAAAATTGAGTAACAGAATTTCTTACTTCTTTCAAAATGGTTTGTTACTACATGCACTATAATTTTAGTGCTTTCTACAAACTTCAACACTATAAACACTGTGTGATATTATTTGGTGTCAATGTTTAATTTCTACAGAAAATCAACAAAATATTAGCAATTTTCTGCTACAATTTCTGCCAAATGAAGACAATTCTCATTACTGTATTCATATTCATGAATAATCATCAGAATACTAGATATCACCATGCCAAAACTGAATTACATACATTCAATAATGTTATGCCAATATTTTTTCTTAACATTTGTATAGTCTATTCTTCAGCATTTCTATATATACATATGTCTTCCAAATTAAATTTCAGTGTGGATATTATTATTGCTTATGTGTATTACAGTTTCTTTGCATTTACTAAGCATATCTGATAAATGTTGCCAATTTTTATACTAATTCTCATTCTTCAGTGGGTTTGTCTTATTCCCACTGCAACATTGACAAAATACAGAATAGTAAGTAGTAGAATAAATAACTTGAATCTAGTAATTAATTTCACTATTTGGAATAATTAATACAGAAAAAGTTTTACAATATATCTGTAATATCTTTCAGAAGCTTAAATTTTGTACTGAGGTGATTAAATTTCTGATAGGACAATAACACTGCATAATATTCAAATCACACAACTACATACTTGGAGCCACAGAGAGTATGTTCAGTTTAATGAATTCTTCTATTTTGTCTTACAATAAAAGAAATTATAGAGCATCCAAAAAATATTATGCACAATTGAAAAGAATGGGAGAAATCTATATGTACTAACATGGAACAACCTCCACAATTATCACTAAGGGTAAGAGTAAGCATAGAATAATATGTGTGGCTTAATCTAATTTATGAAAATGTGTTATAAATACAAATGTAAATGCACAAAAATTATCTCAATAGATATTTACTGAATTAATAATGATGATTACCCCTGGCTAGAGGAAGGAGAGGTGAAGGGGAACATTAGCTTAAATTACATTATTCTACATTAATTCTTAAAACTAATAAGATACTATATTATTTGAATTCTATATTATTTAATTTTTATAATGAGCATGATATAAACATGTAAGAGTTTAAAAAATTTCATGAAAATGGTATGAGATCAAAAATAAAGCCTTTTTATAGAAGTGAATTATGTCCTAAAACTTTTGGGAAACACTTTGTTAACAAAAGTAGTGTCTGTTAATGAATTTGTGGGCCTAGCTTTTATATTCTCTTCAGACATAGATAAATGAAAAAAGTGAGTTTTCAGTATGTAACTCACTCATTGATGAAGCAATATAGTATGTCTTTAAACTGCTCAAATAAAGCTGACACCCTCCTTGCTCCAATAACAAGCCCATGCCAAAGTAACTATTGTTTGTTAGTGTAAGATATTTCCTTGCAGATTTACAAGTAAGTACATGAACATGGAAATACGTGTAGTTTAGCTGTATGTTTTGATTCCTCAGGCGAGTTTTCAAGACCTGCTTTCTGGGCCCTCAAACTCCAGGAAACACGTATCAGCCTTTCCAAGTGGTCCTCACATAGCCTCTCTCACATCAAAGAAATAATGTCCTTAATTTTTAACTGTAAACTTTTAATTCTTTTACACTCTGAGTTACATCAAAAACTCAAGGGTCACAAAACTGGTTAGTCCTTTATGGATGGCCCAGACCCTAACTTTGGAATATGGAAACAATTGCCACCTATTCTTGGGACGTCATCCAGAATGAAGAATGAATTGCATTGTTTTGATTATAGATTGCCAAATTTTTAAAAGTAATTATTTTTAATATGTTTTTCCCATATCTAGCCACTTTGCTTAACTATCTTATTGGTTTTAAGAGTTTTCAGTTACTTTTCTTGGATTTTTAATATAAAAAAGTCATTTTGGACATACGTGATAATTCTTCCATTCTTACATGTTTTATTTTTTCTTCTTGTTTTAGTGCATTGGTTAAAATCTCCAGTACAAAGTTTAGAGTCTCAGTGATAATAGACATCCTTGTCTTTTTGCTAAGTTAGTTAGAAATGCTTCTAATGTTTGCCCATTAAGTATGATGTTTGCTCTAGATTTATATTAGATGCTCATCAAAAATTTTTAAAAATCTATCTTATTTTTAGATGACTAGAAGTGTTTATGATTTACTGGTAAATAGATTGTATCAAATACCTTTTCAGTATCCCTTGGAGATAACTGAAAGGGTTTTGTTTAATTAGTCTATTTTTTATTATTTGCATAGATTTAATCAGCCTATTAATGTACTAAATTACATGGGCAAAATTTTCTTGCATGGAGTCATCTTTGCAGTCCTTGTATAACTTTACTGAGTCATGTGCTTTATTTTTTTAATAGAGTTGTGTTCTATTTACTGACATTTCCATTTAAAATTTTTGCTTTGTATTTTTAAGTAAGAACAATCTATACTTACCTTATCTATTGTTTCCCTTTCTAAGTTTTTGAAGTCTGGTAAATGAGTTATATAGGTTTCTAATTTTTTATGTACTGGAATAGCTTGTGAATTAGGAACCATTTTCAAATTAAGGTTCAGACATAATTTTAAAGGGTACAAGCCATTGGGCGGCATGGATTTTTATACTTTGTCTATGCAGGGACAGGGGTACCTTTATAATATTTCTAGTTTACCCACGTCTTGAGCTTTCTACTTTCACCAAAAAAAAAGCCACTACTTGTATCTATTATATTAACATGGATGTCTGGGCTTCCAATTAGAAGTTTTAACATCCTAAACTAAATACTCTTAAATAGTATATGCCTGATTAGAATACTAATCATGCCTTAACTATAGATTAAAATCAACTCAATAATTATCACAGTGCTTAGGCAGTAAAAGTAAGTTATAGATAAGATAACAAGAAAGTATAAGAAAATAGCAATTTCTTAATTTCTTATTAAGTTTCATTCTTATAGAAAGAAAGGTCTTCACCTTGCCTCACCTTCCAACCACTACCACGTTGCCCTACTTCCCTTTATAGAGAAACTTCTCAAGAGCGGACTTCTCTTGTGGCCTTTGATTCCTCACCTCTCCCTCATTCTTTATTTCACCTGGTCTAGCCTCTGCCTCTACCGAGCCTCTGGGATAGCTCTTATTAAAATCACAGTGCAAATATTTGATCTTCCTTCTCCCTCCTTTCTAGATATCATTTTACTTTTCAAGTTTTCCACCTAACTTTCTAAGCATTTCTTTTTAGTCTCCTTTGCTGACTCAATCCGTTCTTCATAATTTTAAAATCTGCTCACTTTATTAGCCCATCTTAAATTATTTCATCCACAACTATGTCTTCAATCACCATTTATATACCAATATCCAAATATATATGTCCAATTCTAACTTCTCCAGGCTTCAGACCCTAATACCCAACTGCCTACTTCACATTTCTCTTCAATGTCTCAAAACCAAACCTCAGCATCATGAAATATACCCATGTAACAAACCTGCACATGCTCCCCTTGAATCTAAAACAAAAGTTGAAATTATAAAAAAAGCACTTCAAACTTAGCATACTTCAATTGGAATTTATTATTTTATTCAAAACAAGGTCTTCTCCTAGTGATTTTTATTTTAGTAAAGGGTTCTACTATCTGCTCCCAGCCATTCTAGCCTGAATTCTGGAAGTCATCGTTAACACATTCCCTCCCCTAGGCCATTGTTGACTCTAGTTCCTTGATGTCACTTGACTCTGTCCATTTCTTTACATCTTCATTGCTGCTATTCTAGTCCAAGTCATCATGACCTCTAACCTGAATTCTAGCAATTCACTACTAGTCTTGCCAGGTAACTCAGTCTCTTATGCTTTAAAACTCAGTCTGCTTTATGTAATGCACCAGAAACTGCTAATTGTATTCACAATTTATTTTGCCCTTCAAGAAAAGGCTGATTTTATTTGTGACGCTATAAAAATATCACATTTCTCAGCCTCTTGGAGCTAAGTATGGCTTATATGGATAAGTTCTGGCCAGTAAGATGCAGACCAAATAATGTATGAGCCTTCCAGAAAGACCTTTTAAAGAGAAGTGTTCAATTGAAGATGGCACCTCCTTTATCTCTGTCCACTTAGCCCTTCTTGGTGTCTGGAACACAGGTATGTCATCAATGTCCCAAAAGCATTGCTGAGATCCCATACCAGAATTGTCCAGTGGAGCCCATCCTGAATTCCTGACCCACAGAAGCCATGATTGATAATAAAAAAGGATTGCTCTTGTTTTAAGCCATTGTGTTTGGGAGTGATTTGTATACAGCAAGAGAGGACTGGAACATTATTTACTAATTAGGTGGAGGGCTTTTTGAACAGGTGTATGATATTCTATGCTCCCCTTGAGAAGACAGCAATGATGCCATCTGCTCTGGGATTCTCCCAAAAACTTACATGGGGCATTCATTGCCCTCCTTTTCTCCAGGAATCCTCTGTGGAGGAGCAGCCGAGGTGCTGAGCCTTTTCCAGAGACCCACGATGTTTAAGTTCTAGCTGCTTCCTTTCTCATCTCCTCCTTGTTCTCTCTAGTGAAATACGATGCTACTCCCTTTTCATTGAAACCAGCTCTGGGCAGATTCTTTCCAATCTACTGTTAATGAATGAAGTTTGTGCTCTCTTCCTTCGGGTTTGGACTTGATATTTCCAGTCAAAGGACCTTTATCCTCTAGCATTTTGAGTTGAAAGCCATGGCTTTTACAACTCTTGTCTCTGCTATATGTTTACAAAAGTCAATGTAGTAAAAATGGTTAAGATGCTAAATTTTATGGTATGTGTTTTTAACCATAATAATAATAATAATAACAATAAAAAAGTCAACATAGGAACTCAAAAGCCAGGATCTGAAGTGTTTATTCTCTATATATCAAACTTTCCTGAGAACAGTGCATATGGAAAAATAGAGAAGAAAAAATAACTGAAAAACGAAATATGCAATTTACCTGTTACACTCTTTAAGTAAATTAGCATTGAAATTAGAATAAAATTCAAAACATTGAACCTGACCTATAAGAGCCTGTATAACAGGGCCCTGGCTTACCCTAACTTCATCCTGAATCATTCCCCTTCATTCAGAATACTCTAACCACCTTGGATTCCTTTCAGATTTTTTAATATGGCATGCTTTTTCTAGCCTTGGAACACAGTTTCCTCTGCCTATTTCACTCTTCCCCTATATTTCACTTCCTCAGAGATGCCTCCGTGACTCTACTGGACAAGGGAAATGTTGTCCCTGTTAGACGCTTCTTTAGCAATCTTTATTTCTATGCAAGTAAATAATTGACTGTGTAAATAGTGGCTTAATCTTTACTTCCCTTTCTAATCTATGAGCTTTGTGAGGATAGGGCACTAAGTCTATCCTATTTACCACTGTATCACCAGTGTCTATCACAATACTTTATGCACAATAGCAAATTAATAACCAGTTATTGAATAAATGAGCACATCTGTGAATGAATTAGTAGGTCACTTTGTAGTTCTTGGATCATACCAGGGGTTGGATTTCAGGATGTCCAAGTTCATTCTAACTTTAAAATTACATGTTTTTATGATTGTATTTCCACCTCAGTAAGGATCATTTATCATAAACTTAGCCCATAAATATAACAGTGCAAATTCTGACCCATGTAAAGTTTATATTGTGAAGATGTTCTCACTGGTATTTGCCTTTCCAGATGCTTAGTTGATGCTATGACTGCAAATACAGTAGGAGATTGAATGCACAATTGAGAGGCTCAGACAAGGCAATGTGGTAATGAAGATCCAAAGGAGAGGGTGACCTCAATCATGGTCCTCTTGCTATTGGGAAGCATTGATTGTTTGATTGTCCAAGGTATAAAATATTTTAGGCTCTTGTTCATCACAATAAACTGAACATATAAAATAGTGCCTGAAATAGAGTAGTTGTTCAAAAAATATTTGATGAATGAATGAATAATTGAGCGGTCTCTTGCTAATAAGCATGCACATGGAGCCCATTCAAATATGTTTGTAACCAAGCAGGGCATGGTGGTGCATGCCTGTAGTCTCAGCTACTCAGGAAGCCAAGGTGGGAGGATTGCTTGAGCACAGGAGTTTGAGTCCAGCCTGGGGCAACATAATGAGAACTGTCTAAAAAAAACAAAAAACAAACAAAAAAAAGTTTGTAACCAATCAACCTCATCCTACCTACCACTAAGGGGGTGTGATCCATGGGTCTCTCAAAACTAATTTTAGATGCCCTGCTTCAGGTGAAACTGCTTTAAGGAAAATGTACTGACCCAATTGAAAAAGGATTCAATTGAAATTTCAGTTAAGGACTTTGGCAGAATTGCCAGCCATCAAGCTGAAAGGGACCCAAGGTGTTTAGGTGTAATATTTGTACCTGGTAAACTTCAGAAGTAGGATCTCTAATGCTGGGCTTTTCAAAATGGGTCACTAACTGCTACAAGAGAATCAAAGTGGAGCAGCACAAATAGGGAAGACGCTGGGAGATTAAATAGCCTAGCATGTCCTCAAATTCTGTCATTTGAAAATGGTCTTAATTGGAGTCTCTTTTTAAAGTGTAATTCCTAAGTGGAGTAATAATACTCTCTGAGTAGCCAGTAGGGAGTGAGCTGGCAATGGGCATTTTTTTCACACAGCTCAAGTAACTAGAGGGACCAAGCGCAAATTCTAACACTCACAATATTACATGGACCATGGCCAATTTTTCATGGATTCGATTCCATAAAAATGAGTTTTGGCAGTTCAGGACAGTAAAATATTGTTTCCTTGTTCTTAAAGGAGATTAATTCTGGGGAAAACTTCTTTTCTTCTCCCACCAGCCTCCTTAAATTTCAACCTCTCACATGCCCAATGAAGAAATGCTTATATAGATTTGTGCTGAACCTCAGGGGTCAGAGTTCCCTTAATTTCATTATTCTAATGGGGTGACAATGAGCAACCTTGTTCTTGAGTGAAAAGTTCAGGTTTTCTGAGATTTGCTGATCCATGATAATAATTACCTAGCATCCCAGACAGAGCTGGTGCCAGAAATTGGATAAATTCCAGAAGGCTGCTTGGAGGCTTTCTAATCCTAGTCCTAGCCTCAGTGGGCACCTATGGGCTCTAAGAATGAAGGCAAGCAAAGAAGTCCAACTGCTCTTCCTGGAGAAAAGAGAAATGTTTCCATAGGAGAGAAGCTGAGGTCCTAGGACACAGGCTACATGGATATGAACAAAACAAAGAGATCCCAAATACTAAAAAGGAAGCAAAAAGGGAAAGGATAAGTAATACTCAAGTCAAATTTCTCTGAAATAGAGCACCAGAAAAAAAAGAGTGTGGTGATTCCCCAAGGATCTAGAACCAGCAATACCATTTGACCCAGCAATCCCATTACTGGGCATATACCCAAAGGATTATAAATCATTCTACTATAAAGGCACATCCACACATATGTTTATTGCAGCACTATTTACAATAGCAAAGACTTGGAACCAACCCAAATGCCCATCAACGATAGACTGGATAAAGAAAATGTGGCACAGATACACCATGGAATACTACGCAGCCATGAAAAAGAATAAGTTCATGTCCTTTGCAGGGACATGGATGAAGCTGGAAGCCATCATTCTCAGCAAAATAACACAAAAACAGAAAACCAAACACTGCATGTTCTCACTCGTAAACGGGAGTCGAACAATGAGAACACATGGACACAGGGAGGGGAACATCACACACTGGGGCCTGTTGAGGGGGTGGGGGACTAGGCCAGGGAGAGCATTAGGACAAATACCTAATGCATGTAGGACTTAAAACCTAGATGATGGGTTGATAAGTGCAGCAAACCACCATGGCACATGTATACCTATGTAACAAACCTGCACGTTCTGCACATGTATCCCAAAACTTAAAGTAAAATTAAAAAAAAAAAAGAAAAGAAAAGAAAAAGGACAGATGGCCCAAGTGTAACTGGATGAAAAAAAAAGTTACTGGGATCCAGAAAAGTCTCTCAGAGAAAGAGGCATTTTCTCACAGGCAGTGAAATGATTCCTCCAGGGAGGGACAGAATCCAGGAAACTATTGTAATTCCAAGCCACAAGTAGCAAGCTCATAGTAAAAACAAGCAGAAAATTGCCCGATGAATGCTAGGAGAGCTGTATTAAGTATACAACAACAACAAAAAAAAAATCAGGCCGGGCACGGTGGCTCACACCTGTAATCCCAGCACTTTGAGAGGCTGAGGCGGGCGAAGCACCTGAGGTCGGGAGTTGAAAACCAGCCTGACCAACATGGAGAAACCCCGTCTCTACTAAAAATACAAAATTACCCGGGCATGTTGGTGCATGCCTGTAATCCCAGCTACTTGGGAGGCTGAGGCAGGAGAATCGCTTGAACCCGGGAGGCAGAGGTTGCGGTGAGCTGAGATTGTGCCATTGCACTACGCCAGCCTAGGCAACAAGAGTGAAACTCATCTCAAAAAAAAAAAAAAAAAAAAAAAGAGAAAATCTGGACAGATTTGAGAAGGGAAGGCCGGGAAAACCAGTGAAGAATACTTAAAGTATGATTTGTGAGTTTCGAGGCATACAATCATTGTAAGAGCTAAAAGTATTGCCTAGACTCTAAGGAGACCTGCCCTAGAAAGGCATGGAATTGGGCTCCAAGGAAAGCACATTGGAGATGAGCCACAGTGAAGGGGTACCAGGAAGAATAATAATAAGTCAACCTAGACCTGGGTTCAATGCCTGTCTCATGGTCAGAAGAGTATCTCCTGTCACTCCTGTACTCAGAGGCCTCCTAAAGCTCTCATTTCACTTAGAGTAGAAGTCAACTCCTCAGATCAGACCACACCCTCTTAGACCTGTCCCACCCCTTCGCTCTCTGCTTTATCTCCTACCACTCTCTTCCCTTGCACACTCCACTCCTACCATACCAGTCTCCTTGTGCTCCGGCACATTCTCCTTGCAGGGTTGGGCTCTTTTTGTGCCCCGCTTCCTGGAATACTCTTCCCTAGATGTGTGCAAAGCTCTTCCTTATTTCCTGGAGACCTCTTCTTCTATGCTTCCTTTTCAGCCAGGCCTTCCCTGACCACCCTATTTTGAAGTGTGACAGGCCCACCCATCCCCTAGGCACTTCCTCCATACCTCTCTGCTTTTACTTTTCTTCCTGGCACTTTTCATGATCTGATAGACATATGCTTTAGCAATGTGTGTTTCTTGTCCGTCTCCCTCCAGTGGAATGGATGCTCTTTGAGGGCAGGGTTATTTGCCTCTTTGCTCTGTAAATTATCCAGGGCAAAAAAAATGCTGGCACTTAGTAGATGCTCAAAATATACTTGTCAAATATATTGAAAGATTTTTTTAATAATGAAAGCTTTTAGCAAGCCTGGGACTGATTCATGCCATAGCTTTCTATATGGGAGACACCATCTAACAAAATCTAAAGACTTTTACTAGAAAAACAAACAAATGTGTGGGACTAAATGCAAAGCACAAGTAAAAGCAAGAAAACTGTTCTCTCCCAGCCCATAGCTCTAGCCCTGTATGTATTGGAGAAGAAAAAGGATTAGCTGTTAGAACCTCAACTAAGCTTTGCCAGAGGAAGAGGGAAACAGCAGATGGGAAGAAAATATTGGAGGCATACTCCAGTGTTGCAGAGAAAGACGCAATAGAAAGAAAGCCTCCTCGAGATCTGAAATATTCAAACCTCGAGGAAAACAAAAGGATGCATGAGTTACTAATCATTGAAACCATGTTATCGGTAGATGAGGAATGTATTATATTAATCTGCCTACTTTTATATATATTTGAAATTTTCCATTAAAAATGAGTTTTTAAAAAAAGTAGAGGAGGGTAGTGCCCTGAGAAGCACCTGGCAGAGAGGTACTGGGAGTCACCAACCTCCCACGGACATAATCTCCAGGAGCAAGGACAACAGCTCCAATTCATGAATCTGCTGAGGATGATTCTCCAGCTGAACAAATGTGGGCACAGAGACACCTTTCATCTAAAAAATCCCCACGAAGCAGCCAGGGTGGCTCAAAGGAGAGAATGGATGCCATGTTGCTACTCATGGACCTCAGTAGATAGTGCTGATCTAGGGTGCCAGAAACTGGATCTCAAAGGAAGCTGATAGACAAAAAGATTGGAACATTGCTTAAGACAACAACAAAAGCAAAAACAAAGCACACCTCACATAAGATATGCTGCCTGGGGCTAGTTTCTAAACTTTGTAAAGAGTCATTATGTCTCAAAGGCTACTCTCTGAGAGAAGAGACAATGCTCATTGGTAAAAGACCCTTTGCTCCATATAGTCCTTGCTCTCTTAGGAGAGAGTCCCTTATATGAAATGGATCATGGATTCTGGACAACTGACATAGTCTAACTGCCTCTGAAGGAACTGAAACCATGTTTTTTTTGTTTGTTTGTTTGTTTTTGTTTCTCCAGCAACATTCCTTCTCTTAGACGGCCATTGGTACTTGGCTCTAGCAACATAATTCTACCTGGAATAACTGATAAGGGCTAGGAATTACTTTGTTTCCTGAATATGGTGGGTATGAGGCCCCTACTGTGATTAACTTGCCTGTCTTTGAATTCTTTTCATAGGAGAGCAATTTACAGAATTGGCATTGAACTGGGTCAGATTCATAGGTCCTAAAGGAACTCTGCCCACTGCAGGGAGAGATACTCAGCCCAGGCGGCATCTGCTGAAAGAATTCCAGCTGCCCCTGTCCACTCTGCAAAGAAGAGCCCCTCGACAGCAGAATAAAAAATCAGACAAGGGTGAGTTTTAGACTTAAATTGCTTTTAACTAATCAGGGCAAGATCATTTGATGTTGCTCTTAATTCCATTAGACTTGAAAGTTTGGGGTCTTTACCTTGAAAAAAGAATTAATTTGAGGGCCTTCATTATTTCCAGGCCAATTGATAATAAGAGCTTTTAAAATTCAAGCTTAGAATGCTTCTATTGTACTGGCATTTTATTACTAACGTGTATTTATGCATTTTAATATTGAAGCGTCTTAATGTTTCACTTATCCTGTGGCAGAATCTCTAATTGTCTATATTTTACACATGGCTGGATATAAGTTGGGATTGGAATAGGTAATATGTTTTTGGCCTTAAGGACAATGTGGCATCAAAGTGTATTTTCGTAATGCTCTGTTCTGACTCATCTCAGAGCTTTCTGAGGTAAAAATCCTCACTGCTTTCTAGATGTCCCTCAAAGGAAGGGTGTGGCCTCTCATGGGTAAGAAGGACTAACTTGATCAACTACCTGACTCCTCTCTCAAAGGGAAAGCCACACTCCTATCTTAATCATACACTCAATAGGCAAACTCAATGGATAAAGGGAATTAAAACCTGGGGAACCATGGAGGGAAAAGCCCATTTCCCCCCTTTTATTTCAATGAAAAGGGATTTCTCTAGTCATTCCTGGCCTCCCTTCTCCTCCTCCCCATGGAGATGGTGTGAAATACCTGGCCAGTGACACCCAGTCAGTAGCCACAGCTATCATTCCACAATTCTTCACCAGTGGAGCTCATCTCCCAAAGGTCTAAACACAGGAAATTTTCTCTCTTTCTCCTTCTCTCCGTTCCAGGGGAGGCAATAACCTGGCTAACAGTGTTTGCTCTGCAGATTCAAACTTTCCTTCCGATAGGTTTTTCCAAGGTCTAGATAGTAAATTAGAAAGACTGTTTATGATCCTAAGCTACATCCACTAACATAGCCTTTATCAGTAATAAGGGTCCTTGTTTATTACTCTTTTTATTTCTCTAGTGGTTAAAATCTCAGGCAGAGAAGGGTGTGTTACATCAGCACTCAGAGTTCTTTGAGAATTAGCTTGAAATAATTCATATAAAGCTCTTATATTGGTGTCTGGGTACAATATGAGTGCTCAAACACTCTGGCAATGCCGCCAATGACCTCCCATGTAGTAGGTTTCCATGTGGCATGGGCCCTCAGCCTTCATGTGTTACTTTACTACTTCTTGCTTTGTTTTCCAGTTATCTGTATTTGTGTCATTAGGGGTTATAACTGCCGAGGTCAGAGATCACATCTTCATCATCTTTGCATTATCTGAAGCACCAACCATAATGCCTTGTATGAAGAGCATGCTCAATAAATAATTACTGTAAAACTAGATGATCAGAGGGCAGTCCAATGTTTACTAACTATTCACCCTAGAATTCCATATTTAAATAACCTCATAAAATAGGTCAACCATTCTTTTGAATCCAACTGGAGTTTGTTCTTAGACAAATTCTCAACAAGAGAAAAATATGCAGCTTATCACATGGGTCACCTAATCACAGAAAATAAAATCAAGATTCTGTGGAACTGACATAGTTGTTTTCTCCAGGGAAGCTTAAAGCACTTTACAGTCTGCACAACATCTAGACTCAGAGCAGTCCTGGGAGTAGCTGGATGATCCCTCACAGCTACCTAAACACTGTGTATACAATGCATTTCCCCCTTTGAAATCCTTTTTTTGGTGCTAGAAACTATGTAGATGCTTAATAAATATTATTATGAAAAACAATAATATTTATTTGAGGTCCCATGGTGAAGCTAAGAAACTGAGCCCAGCTAAGGGTCATATCAGAATCCACAGTCTCCCTCAGCAAAGCAGGAGAACTTTGTGACTACACACCTACTATGCCAGGCAGTCAACAAGATTTTTTAAGTGTTACTCAGACAGGTAAGCCTCTACCACAAACCAAAGAATAAATAAATACATAAAATACTGAGGCAGATACGATTCTTGGCCTTAAGTTGCTCTCTATCGAAAGGAAACAAACTCTTCCAAAAATAACACCATATACCACCAAATATGTACAGGTGTATAAAGCCACTTGGTTGTATATAGCTACAAGATTACATAATGAAGAGAGTTCCCAGGGCCAAAACAGATGTGTTTAATCTTCACTTTGCTTTTATTTGTCTGATTAAATTGTTGTCTGATTAAATTGTTGTCTGATTAAGTTGTTTCCATGGTAGTTGTTCCATTTACAGCTATGTAGTCTGGGGTTTACTCTCTTTTGGCCTTGGTGTTACTATCTGGAAAATGAGATTTTAAAAAGTACTAATTTGATAACATTATGAGAATTAAATAAAATAGTTTATATAAAATGCTCAGCACAGTATTTGTTATATAGGAAGCTCTCAAAATTACTATTACTATTGTCTATCTTCTTGCATGTGTCATAAGACTAAATTTGTGTACCCTAGTTTATTTTAGTTTTTGCATTCTGATTATAAAAGTCTTACATAGTCACTGCAGAAATCTTAATAAATGCAGAAAAATATAGTTGGGAAAATAAATCTCATCCATAATTCTAACACCCACAGGTAAAAACTATTAGCATCGCAATAAATTTCTATTTTCTAAAGGCAGGGATCATATTGGTTTCATCTGTGTAAAGTACCTGGCATGTAGTAGGTACTCACTGAGTGGATGTTGAAAGATCTCATAGTCAGGAACAAGTGTATGACAATAAAGCTATATTTATATACTGTATAAGTAAAAGGGAAACATTCTAAAGGATAATCCCTGGGCTCCTTTCAAAGTAAAAAATCAGAATTAATGGAAAATAAAAAGACAGATTCCCTAGGTTATACATAGGATACCCACTAAGCCCCACAACCCAAATGTTGGTAAGCATAATGCAATACTTGCTTGCTCTGCATAAACTGCACTAATTTGCTGTCCTCTGTGTGATGATTCTTATTATGTTCCTATTTTTTCCTTTTGGTCCTAAATTCTATTACACTGATAGATTGAAAACTACATAAGAGCAGGCATTTGTGGCCTTCTCATCCTCTTGGATTCCCCATTATCTCCTAGTCCCAGACTCTGCACTCAGTGGTCACACCCTACATTTTATGGACTGATAAGCTAAGTTAGCATCTATTCCGGATCACTGACTTATCCCGACCAGGTAGGGACAATTTTATCTAAATCTCTCAGACCGTAGGGACAGCCCAGTTGGTCATTAGTTGTTCCTACTTAGTCTCTTGCATCATATCAAAGGCATTTATTGAGAAACTGGGCCACTCAGCACCTCAGGTTGAGTTCCCAAAACTCTTCTTTGCTGGTCCCAAGTGATTCTTCTATAGCAACCTCCTTCATGATCAAGGTAGCATAGAAAGAATGTGACTTTCAGAGTCCCACTGCCTCGGTTCAAGTCCAGCATCCACTGCCTACTACCCTATGTTGAGCAAAATATTTTACCCTCTGAGCCTGTTTTCTCATACGTCTGGCACATGGCAAGCATTAAATAAATATAAATTACCAATATTAGCAATAGTAGAAGTAGTAATCAAATGAAACCTACTGACTAGTAACCTAGCAATATCCCAGTCTGAGTACTGCCATGAATCAAAGGTTGCATGCATGCAATCCAAACCTCTACAGGTCACATTTCTTTCTTTTTTTTTTTCTTTCTTTAAAGAATTTCTCCAGGATATTTATTTTTATCTGTAGATTTTGTAACTTCTTGACGGCCCTGATTTTCTTTAAGAATCATCTTCTTGTCTCTGAAAAACTCTTAAATCCTTTTTTTTTTTTAGTTTTTTTAAATTATTATTATACTTTAAGTTCTAGGGTACATGTGCACAACGTGCAGTTTTGTTACATAGGTATACATGTGCCATGTTGGTTTGCTGCACCCATTAACTCGTCATTTACATTAGGTATTTCTCCTAATGATATCCCTCCACCAGCCCCCTACCACATGACAGGCCCCAGTGTACGATGCTCCACTCCCTGTGCCCAAGTGTTCTCATTGTTCAATTCCCACCTATGAGTTATAACAAGCAGTATTTGGTTTTCTGTCCTTGTGATAGTTTGCTCAGAATGATCGTTTCCAGCTTCATCCATGTACCTGCAAAGGATGTGAACTCATCCTTTTTATGGCTGCATAGTATTCCATGGTATACAGGTGCCACATTTTCTTAATCCAGTCTGTCATTGATGGACATTTGGTTTGGTTCCAAGTCTTTGCTATGGTGAATAGTGCCACAATAAACATAAATGTGCATGTGTCTTTATAGTAGCATGATTTATAATCCTTTGGGTATATACCCAGTAATGGGATCGATGGGTCAAATGGTATTTCTAGTTCTAGATCCTTGAGGAATCATCACGCTGTCTTCCACAATAGGTGAACTAATTTATACTCCCACCAACAGTGTAAAAGTGTTCCTATTTCTCCATGTCCTCTCCAGCATCTGTTGTTTCCTGACTTTTTAATGATTGCCATTCTAACTGGTGTGAGATGGTATCTCATTGTGGTTTTGATTTGCATTTCTCTGATGACCAGTGGTGATGAGCATTTTTTCATGTGTCTGTTGGCTGCATAAATGTCTTCTTTCGAGAAGTGTCTGTTCATATCCATTGTCCACTTTTTGATGGGGTTGTTTTTTTCTTGAAAATTTGTTTAAGTTCTTTGTAGATTCTGGATATTAGCCCTTTGTTAGATGGGTAGATTGCAGAAATTTTCTCCCGTTCTGTAGGTTGCCTGCTCACTCTGATGGTAGTTTCTTTTGCTGTGCAGAAGCTCTTTAGTTTAATTAGATCCCATTTGTCTATTTTGGCTTTTGTTGCCATTGTTTTTGGTGTTTTAGTCATGAAGTCCTTGCCCATGCCCATGTCCTGAATGGTATTGCCCAGGTTTCCTTCTAGGGTTCTTATGGTTTCAGGTCTAACATTTAAGTCTTTAATCCATCTTGAATTAATTTTTGTATTAGGTGTAAGGAAAGGACCCAGTTTCAGCTTCCCACATATGGCTAGCCAGTTTTCCCAGCACCATTTATTAAATAGGGAATCCTTTCCCTATTGCTTGTTTTTGTCAGGTTTATCAAAGATCAGATGGTTGTAGATGTGTGGTGTTATTTCTGAGGCCTCTGTTTTGTTCCATTGGTCTATATTTCTGTTTTGGTACCAGTACCATGCTGTTTTGGTTACTGTAGCCTTGTAGTATAGTTTGAAGTCAGGTAGCGTGATGCCTCCAGCTTTGTTCTTTTTGCTTAGGACTATCTTGGCAATGCGGGCTCTTTTTTGGGTCCATATGAACTTTAAAGTAGTTTTTTCCAATTCTGTGAAGAAAGTCAGTGGTAGCTTAACACGGATGGCATTGAATCCATAAATTACCTTGGGCAATATGGCCATTTTCATGATATTGATTCTTCCTATCCATGAGCATGGAATGTTCTTCCATTTGTTTGTGTCCTCTTTCATTTCGCTGCGCAGTGGTTTGTAGTTCTCCTTGAAGAGGTCCTTCACATCCCTTGTAAGTTGGATTCCTAGGTATTTTATTCTCTTTGAAGCAATTGTGAATGGGAGTTCACTCATGATTTGGCTCTGTTTGTCTGTTATTGGTGTATAAGAATGCTTGTGATTTTTGCACATTGATTTTGTATCCTGAGACTTTGCTGAAGTTGCTTATCAGCTTAAGGAGATTTTGGGCTAAGATGATGGGGTTTTCTAGATATACAATCATGTCATCTGCAAACAGGGACAATTTGACTTCCTCTTTTCCTAATTGAATACGCTTTATTTCTTTCTCCTGTCTGATTGCCCTGGCCAGAACTTCCAACACTATGTTGAATAGGAGTGGTGAGAGAAGTCATCCCTGTCTTGTGCCAGTTTTCAAAGGGAATGCTTCCAGTTTTTACCCATTCAGTATGATATTGGCTCTGGGTTTGTCATAAAAAGCTCTTATTATTTTGAGATACGTTCCATCAATACCTAGTTTATTGGGAGTTTTTAGCACGAAGGCTGTTGAATTTTGACAAAGGCCTTTTCTGCATCTATTGAGATAATCATGTGGTTTCTGTCGTTGGTTGTGTTTATGTGATGGATTACGTTTATTGATTTTTGTATGTTGAACCAGCCTTGCATCCCAGGGATGAAGCTGACTTGATCATGGTGGATAAGCTTTTTGATGTGCTGCTGGATTTGGCTTGCCAGTATTTTACTGAGGATTTTCGCATCGATGTTCATCAAGGATATTGGCCTAAAAATCTCTTCTTTTTGTTGTGTCTCTGCCAGGCTTTGGTATCATATGATTCTGACTTCATAAAGTGAGTTAGGGATGATTCCCTCTTTTTCTATTGATTGGAATAGTTTCAGAAGGTACAGTAGCAGCTCCTCTTTGTACCTCTGGTAGAAGTCGGTTGTGAATCCATCTGGTCCTGGACTTCTATTGGTTGGTATGCTATTAATTATTGCCTCAATTTCAGAGCCTGTTATTGGTCTATTCAGAGATTCCACTTCCTCCTGGTTTAGTCTTGGGATGGTGTATATGTCCAGGAATTCATCCATTTCTTCTAGATTTTCTAGTTTATTTGCATAGAGGTGTTTATAATATTCCCTGATGGTAGTTTGTATTTCTGTGGGATCAATTGTGATATCCCCTTTATCATTTTTTATTGCATCTATTTGATTCTTCTCTTTTTTCTTCTTTATTAGTCTTGATAGCGGTCTATCAATTTTGTTGATCTTTTCAAAAAACCAGCTCCTGGATTCATTGATTTTTGAAGGGTTTTGTGTCTCTATCTCCTTCAGTTCTGCTCTGATCTTAGTTATTTCTTGTCTTCTGCTAGCTTTTCAATGTCTTTGCTCTTGCTTCTCTAGTTCGTTTAATCGTGATGCTAGGGTGTCGATTTTAGATCTTTCCTGCTTTCTCTTGTGGGCATTTAGTGCTATAAATTTCCCTCTACACACTACTTTAAATGTGTCCCAGAGATTCTGGTACATTGTGTCTTTGTTCTCATTGGTTTCAAAGAACATCTTTATTTCTGCCTTCATTTCGTTAGTATACCCAGTAGTCATTCAGGAGCAGGTTGTTCAGTTTCCATTTAGTTGTGCAATTTTCAGTGAGTTTCTTAGCCCTGAGTTCTAATTTGATTGCACTGTGGTCTCAGAGACACTTTGCTGTGATTTCTGTTCTTTTACATTTGCTGAGGAGTGCTTTACTTCCAACTATGTGGTCAATTTTGGAATAAGTGAGATGTGGTGCTGAGAAGAAGGTATATTCAGTTGATTTGGGGTGGAGGGTTCTGTAGATGTCTATTAGGTCCGCTTTGTGCAGAGCTGAGTTTACCTCCTGGATATTCTTGTTAACCTTCTGTCTCATTGATCTGTCTAATATTGACAGTGGGGTGTTAAAGTCTCCCATTATTATTGTGTGGGAGTCTAAGTCTCTTTGTAGGTCTCTAAGGACTTGCTTTATGAATCTGGGTGGTCCTGTATTGGGTGCATATATATTTAGGAAAGTTAGCTCTTCCGGTTGAATTGACCCCTTTACCATTACGTAATGGGGCCTTCTTTGTCTCTTTTGATCTTCGTTGGTTTAAAGTCTGTTTTATCAGAGACTAGGATTGCAATCCCTGCTTTCTTTTGCTTTCCATTTGCTTGGTAGATCTTCCTCCATCCCTTTGTTTTGAGCCTATGTGTGTTTCTGCAGGTGAAATGGGTGTCCTGAATATAGCACCCTGATGGGTCTTGACTCTATATCATGTTTGCCAGTCTGTGTCTTTTAATTGGGACATTGAGCCCATTTACATTTAAGGTTAATGTTGTTATGTGTTAATTTGATCCTGTCATTATGATGTTAGCTGGTTATTTTGCCCATTAATTGATGCAGTTTCTTCATAGCATCGATGGTCTTTACCATCTGACATGTTTTTTCAGTGGCTGGTACCAGTTGTTCCTTTCCATGTTTAGTACTTCCTTCAGGAGCTCTTGTAAGGCAGGCCTGGTGGTGACAAAATCTCTCCGTATTTACTTGTCTGTAAAGTATTTTATTTCTCCTTCACTTATGAAGCTTAGTTTGGCTGGATATGAAATTCTGGGTTGAAAATTCTTTTCTTTAAGAATGTTGAATATTGGCCCGCACTCTCTTCTGGCTTGTAGAGTTTCTGCCAAGAGATCCGCTATTAGTCTGATGGGCTTCCCTTTCTGAGTAACCCAACCTTTCTCTCTGGCTGCCCTTAACATTTTTTCCTTCATTTCAACCTTGGTGAATCTGACAATTATGTGTCTTGGGGTTGCTCTTCTCAAGGAGTACCTTTGTGGTGTTCTCTGTGTTTCCTGAATTTGAACGTTGGTCTGCCTTGCTAGGTTGGGGAAGTTCTCCTGGATAATATCCTGAAGAGTGTTTTCCAACTTGGTTCCATTCTCCCCATCACTTTCAGGTACACCAATCAGATGCAGATTTGGTCTTTTCACATAGTCCCATATTTCTTGGAGGCTTTGTTCATTTCTTTTTACTCTTTTTTCTCTAAATTTCTCTTTTCAATTTATTTCATTAATTTGATCTTCAATCACTGATACCCTTTCCTCCACTTGATTGAATCGGGTATTGAAGCTTGTGCATGCATCATGAAGTTCTTGTGCCATGGTTTTCAGCTCCATTAGGTCATTGAAGGTCTTTTCTACACTGTTTGTTCTAGTTGGCCACTCATCTAATCTTTTTTCAAGGTTTTTAGCTTCCTTGTGATGGGTTTGAACATCCTCCTTTAGCTCGGAGAAGTTTGTTATTACCAACCTTCTGAAGCCTATTTCTGTCAACTTGTCAAAGTCATTCTCCGTCCAGCTTTGTTTCATTGCTGGTGAGGAGCTGTGATCCTTTGGAGAAGAGGAGACACTCTGGTTTTTGGAATTTTCAGGTTTTCTGCTCTGGTTTCTCCCCATCTTTGTGGTTTTATCTACCTTTGGTCTTTGATGTTGGTGACCTACAGATGGGGTTTTGGTGTGGATGTTCTTTTTGTCGATGTTAATGCTATCCCTTTCTGTTTGTTAGTTTTCCTTCTAACAGTCAGGTCTTTCAGCTGCAGGTCTGTTGGAGTTTGCTGGAGGTCCAGTCCAGACCCTGTTTGCCTGGGTATTACCAGTGGAGGCTTCAGAACAGCAAATATTGCAGAACTGAAAATATTGCTGCCTGATCCTTCCTTTGGAAACTTTGTCCTAGAGGGGCACCCGCGTGTATGAGGTGTCAGTCGGCCCCTACTGGCAGGTGTCTCCCAGTTAGGCTACACCTGGGTCAGGGACCCACTTAAGGAGGCAGTCTGTTTGTTCTCAGAGCTCAAACACCGTGCTAGAAGAACCACTGCTCTCTTCAGAGCTGTCAGACAGGGACATTTAAGTCTGCAGAAGATTCTGCTACCTTTTGTTCAGCTATGCCCTGCCCCCAGAGGTGGAGTCTATAGAGGCAGCAAGCCTTGCAGCACTGCAGTGGGCTCCACCCAGTTTGAGCTTCCAGGCTGCTTTGTTTACCTACTCAAGCCTCAGCAATGGCGGACACCCCTCTCCCTGCTGGGCTGCTGCCTGGCAGATGGATCTCAGACTGCTGCGCTAGCAGTAAACAAGGCTCTGTGGGCATGGGACCCACCCAGCCAGGCACAGGATATAATCTCCTGGTGTGCTGTTTGCTAAGACTGTTGGAAAAGCACAGTATTTGAGCAGGAGTTTCCCGTTTTTCCAGGTACAGTCTGTCATGGCTTCCCTTGTCTAGGAAAGGGAAATCCCCTGACCCCTTGCTCTTCCGCCTCACCCTGCTTCAGCTCGCCCTTTGTGGGCTGCACCCACTGTCCAACCAGTCCCAATGAGATGAACCAGGTACCTCAGTTGGAAATGCAGCAATCACCCATCTTCTGCATGGATCATGCTGGGAGCTGCAGACTGGAGCTATTCCTATTCTGCCATCTTGGAACAGATCCCTACAGGTCACATTTCTAATTGTTCATTCATTTAGTCATTGACAAATATTTTAAAAAGCAGTTATGTTCAGATCACCATGTTAAGAACTACAGGGAACAAAAGAAGAATAAAACATACATCTTGCTTTAATGGTTTCATAATGCAGCAATAGAAGGCTCAAAGACTCAAAGTCTCGGATTGCATTTGATGTCTTTGTGAACAGTATGTGGCACTATTACTTCCATATGACAAGATGCATAAAACACAATCTAAAGACTAAAGTAATCAGGAAAATGGGCTCCCTTTCATCCCTGCAGATAGTGGTCAATTTTGAAATTATTCATGTCATAAAGTTGTTCCTCACAAAACTGAATACCCAAAGTGTTAAAAGCATACGTGTGCTATAAAGTGATATTATTAACATTGTTATTAGTGCCTTAAGAACAGACAGAGTTCAGCACTGCCACATCAAAGAGGAGTTTCAGGGTTTTTTTTTTCTCTCAGTGGGAAGGAAAGATAAACTAGGAACATATAGCCAGGCAAAAATACATACTTAGATATAAAATGCAGAAACATAGACTCAATGCCATATAACCACATGCTGAGGGCCTTATAAAAACATTAGGCTCTGATCTCTCCGTGGCTTAGGGCTTGACGAGGAATATCAGAAGAGAGTCTCTGGGTCATCCCAACCCAGCTTACAGCAGGATAGGCTACTAGAGTTCGATTATACATGGGATAATACTTAGGGAAATGTAATTTATCCAAAAACCAGGCAGATAAGGTGCCCACTGTGCCCACTGCCCATTATGAGAGATTCTCTGTGCATAGGTCACCATGTAGAAGTTCACAGCTGGCTGGGCCAAGAATGATTACCTCACCCAAAGGCTGCTCTGTAGGCTGGCCATAGCCTATGAAGTGGTCTAACACTGTCCAGTGTGAGTATCTTCCCCTGGCTGGTGACTAGTTCCTGCCTCTCAGGGAGCATGAGTGCCTGACACAGAGAAACACAGACATTAGGGAGGAAAAGATGATAGAGACAAGTCAGTAAACAAAATGCATTCGACAGCAGTCATCATGGGACTGTAAAAGCTAGGAGTAAGCAAACATTATACCATAGAAAGGAAAGTGAATAAAATGTACATAGTAGGCTCCAGGAAAGTTGAAGAGGTGATGTGGAGTAACTGAGCCCCAATAATGTTAGACTACTGAATAAGGTAGTTTAACTGCCTTCTGTGGGGACCATTGGTGAAGCTGTTGTAAGCCCACTTGAGTTACAGTTGCATATGGCTAACATTTTGGTTCTCTGAGGCCTGGCTACAACTTTTTTTTCTACTCTGACTTCCTTATGTATTCTTATTGCACTAACTCTTCATTAACTAAGATAGCTAGGGAGTCTGCTCCTTGCAATATGAAAGACCCAAGCTAATTAGAATTACAGGTGGTAATTCTAATTATTTAAATTACATGCCACTTGATGGCATACTGAGATCCTGTGTAGCTTAGTGGTTACGAACATAGGCTTTGAAGTTAGATTGACATGCTTTCAAATTCTAATCCTATCACTCAGAAACTGCTTGAACTAATACAAATTCCTAAAATTAACTGAGCTTCAGTTTCTTCCACTAGAAAACAGAAACAAGCCCACTCTAAAGTGAAGTTGTGGAGATTGCATAAGACCAGGGGTATGTATGTAAAGTGCCTAAAGTTAGTACATAGCACACAGTAAGCACTCAATAAGAGGTAGCTATTATAATGACTACTTTATCATTAATGGTCATTTTCAAGCATTGCCTCCAGGATTACCACATACTGTATGTATGGCATCCTTGGGTCAAAGCAGGCATGCTTGAGGGCTTCCTTTTGGGCAAACGAGCAGCAATTTCACCAAAGTGCTATGTGCTTGAGTCTCTATTGCTGTCTCTAATGATCACCTAGTCTCTTCAGATTTTGATTTGGTTTCATTTCTGGACTTCACAGTGTGTCATCTTTCCTTGCTGTGAATACTCCTCTTCTACCTGCTTGCAAATCAGCTTCTTAGATTCCTAATTAACCCTGAGGTTAACGCTAACTCTTTATGCCTGTAATGACTCAGTTCCTGCACGGATTCTCTCTCTGTCCCATACTCTCTGCCCTGTGTCTTGGGAGACATGGAAGTTTCTGGTGGGATCCATGTTCCTTTCGGGCTGTAAATCCCTACACCTTGAGGACCAGTGTTTCTGTATTCTTGAATACATCTTTACCACAAGTTTACATCTGCATCTAGACCTGCTAAAGCAGTTGTATGCCCTTTTTCAAGCCCTCTTCCTTCATCTCTCTGCACTCAGGGCCCCACAACACAAAGCGGAAGGAAGTGGTGAAGGGAGAAACAAAGCCTAATTGGCGACTGCTGCTTAGACCAATAGACTCACACTGTTTGCTTTGGAAGGGAAATGGCCTAAATGCTTTCCCCTCTGTTGGCATGAACCTACAAAGCATCTGATCCATCCAATTACATCCCATAGTAGGGGCTGATGGGTATTTAAAATTACATGGGTCAGGGCTCAAATGCAAGTGTAGTTCTCCCGGCTTGAGTTAAATCAAGTATTTACTTTGAGACCAAAAGTACAAATTGTGGGCTGTTGAATCAGCTGGAGTTCTCAAAATAGAATTTGACCTGAATAGAGATAATTCCGTGAAAACACTACTGGAAACCAAAATGCTTATCTAATCTGTAAGTCTGGCAACATGTACAACATTACTGATCCCTGGTACTGGCGAGTCTTAATTTTTATGTCTAGAGGAAATTAAGCCAAGAAAAAGCGTACCATTTCATTCAGAGGAAAGATGTTCATACATTTTACATTTCAAATGATTCCATTTGAGCACTTGGAAAATTAAAGGGCTTTCAGCCAAAAACAGTTCTATGTCACTCGGCTATGTGGAGCTTAACTAAAGCTTGGCCTTATCTAACTTCTCAGAAATACACTAACCAGAGACTCTTTAAGAGTTCCAGAACTAGCATATGCCTACAAGGGATTAGAGAGAAGCCAAAGTCGAGGAAAGCAATTTACTCATAATGGAGAGTATAATGGTTATAGATACCAAGTATGAGAAGGGTCATTCCAGACTGTCAAAATGAGCTTCTCACTCACCATCACTAAAAGACCGTTCCCAGTATGGGCAGGAAAGAGCTCTGGTAATTCCTAATAATAGCAAGAAATAGGATTCCTCTCGGGATCTTTAAAACCCCACCTTTTCTAACAGTTAAAGGCACACAGTTCCAATGAGGAGGAGAAACAGCTGTTACTTTTCACAGAACTATGTATATTCTTAGCCTTTATTAACAGAGTACTCAAATATAATGTTATCAGGGAGGGCTTTTGAAACAGTCAACAAGCTGGGAAGTATGACTTCAAGAATACCTAGAATGCCTTCCCACTCTGCTCATCCTATGGTCTTAGTCCATTTGGGCTGCTATAAGAAATAGCATAAACTGGGTAGCTTACAAACAAGAGAAATTTATTTCTTGAAATTCTGGAGGCTGAAAGTCCAAGATCGAGGTGCTGGTAAATGCAGTGTCTGGTGAGGACCTGCTTCTTAGTTCATAAGCAATGCCTTCTCCCTGTATGCTCACATGGTGGAAAGGATGAATGGGTTCCCTTGATCCTATTTCACAAGAGCATTAATCCCATACATGAGGACTCCGCCATCATAGTCTAATCACCTCCCCAAAGGCCCCACTTCCTAACCTTAGGGGTTGGGATTTCAACATACAAACTTTGGAAGGACACAGACATTCAGGCCATAGCATACTATCTGTATACGTACACTTATACTAGGTGAAGAGTACACACACACACACACACACACACACACACACACACACACCACGTGTTGTCATTGGAAGGAAAAGCTGGAGTTAGGGTAATTGTGCACTTAAGCTCAGACATTTAACTATGAGTTCGAAACAGAAAGGGGCATAAAAAGCAGTGACTGATGGCTGAAAAACCAGCATGGCAACCGGGCGTGGTGGCTCACTCCTGCAATCCTGGCACTTTGGGAGGCCAAGGTGGGTGGATCACAAGGTCAAGAGATGGAGACCATCCTACCCAACATGGTGAAACCCCATCTCTACTAAAAATATAAAAAATAGCCGGGCGTGGTGGTGGGCGCCTGTAGTCCCAGCTACTCGGGAGGCTGAGGCAGGAGAATTGCTTGAACCCGGGAGGCGGAGGTTGCAGTGAGCCAAGATTGTGCCACTGCACTC
Organism: Homo sapiens; assembly: GCF_000001405.40. Classification (NCBI taxonomy): domain Eukaryota; kingdom Metazoa; phylum Chordata; class Mammalia; order Primates; family Hominidae; genus Homo; species Homo sapiens. The sequence goes on from NC_000008.11 coordinate 95,938,272, forward strand.
CAGCCTGGGTGACAGAGAGAGACTCCGTCTCAGGAAAAACAAACGAACAAACAAAAAAATGGCCTTCTGAATAATGCTGACACAAGCTACCCTTTTGCATAGCAGTTAAAGTTTAGACAAAAAAAATCCCATAATTCAGAAAAACCTGCAAATATCTAAACTACAAAGAAAATGTGAGCGATTCTTATGTCAATTTGTCAGACATTGTTTTTCCCATTGAGATGACATTTAGTTTTATTATACAATATGTATATCATTACATAAATTTGAGCTCCAGCCTCTTCTGCAGTCACCATGACATATAAAAAGATATACATATATATACCATATATACACACATATATAATATATGAACTATATACATAATTCTTTTCACAGAACTATGTACATTCTTAGCCTTTATTAACAGAGCACTCAAATATAATGTTATCAGGGAGGGCTTTTTAGACAGTCAGCAAGCTGGGAAGTATGACTTCAAGAATACCTAGAATGCCTTCCCACTATCCTCATCCTGTGGTCTTAGTCCATTCTTGCTACTATAAGAAATAGCATAAACTGGGTAGCTTAAAGTTGCAAAAATAATACAGTACACATATGTGCACATATGCATATATGGACATATATAGACATGTACAGACAATCCTCATTATTTGTAGAATCTGTATTTGTGAATTTACCTACTCACTAAAATTTATTTGTAATCTTAAAGTCAATACTTACAGTTCTTTCATGGTCATTTGTGGACATGTGCAGAGCAGCAGATGCCTGATGAATACAGGCAATTTGAGTTGCTTGATGAATAGAGTCTCAACTGAGTTAAAACAAGGCAACAGTCTGCCTTATTGTAGAATATCAGCTCCCATACTGTCATACTGTAAACATGTCCTTTTGGTGGTTTATTTAGTGCCATATTGTTCACATTTTTGTGCTTTTGTTTGTGGTTTCATTGTTTAAAATGGGCCCATGCACAGTATTGAAGAGCTGTCCAGTGTTCCTAAATTTTAGAAGGCTGTGATGTGCCTTACACAGAAAATACATGTATTAGATAAGCTTCATTGAGGCATGAGTTATAGTGCTGCTGCCTGTGAGTTCAGTGTTAATAAATCAATAACAGATATTAAATAGATGTTAAATATTTAAACAGAAACACGCAGAAAACAAGGTTATATATTGATCAGTTGACAAAAATGTTGTGGCCAAAGGCTTGCTGCAGGAATCTAGCCCTGTACATCTCCTAGGAGCAATGGTTCAGTATTCATTAATTCAGTGTTCATAGAGACTTCAGAGATCATAGCTAACACAAATAATAAGAGTTGGCTATCTATACCTTTTTATTTGGAAATAATTTAAGACTCACACTCACAAGAAGTTGCAAAAATAGTATGGTGTCTGTATATATTTTGCTCAGCTACCTCCAATGAAAAAATCTTATTTTCAAAACTCAGAAATTGACGTTGGTACAGTATTATTAACTTCAGTACAGACCTTAATTAGATGTCACCAGTTTTTAATGTATATACAGTTCTATAAATTGTATCACATGTACAGATTCACGTAAAGATCACCACAGTTGGCATACAGAACTATTCCATCACCACAAGAAAAATTCCACACTACCACCTAATAGCCATACCCTCCCACAACCCTATCCCTAAACAACCCTGCCAACCACTGATCGATTCTCTATCACTATAATTTTGTGCCTTTGAAAAGTTCTATAAGTGGAATTATACACTTCAGCATACTTATCAGCTTATCAGGAAGACTTACTGCATGGTGGGGTCAAGTTCCTTTGCCACTCCTGACAGAATAAGGGGAGCAGTGGAATAACATGGGGGAAAAGATTCGTGAAGAGCTTGCCAACCCCTGGGAAGAGAAGTGGCTCCCTCTATTCTTCTCCTACGTCTATCCTCTTCCCTTGTGCCCATTCCTAAGTCAGTCCTATTCAGCAAATAGCTGCTGAGCACTTACTTGCTGCTGGGCTGCAGGTGAAGGATACAAATATGAAAGCACATGGCCCTGTCCTCAAAATGCTCCAGTGGAGTGTCAGGGAAAGATAGGAAAAAAGACAAATCATTTTAAAATGGTGCTTTTCCAGAGACAGAGCACAGCTGAAAGTTAGACTGCAGGTATTTAAGCCTACAGAAATGTAAGCAGAAAGATAATGTGATCTACTTTGTGAGAGGCAAACTCCTTGGCTGTAATGTTGAAGGGAATGAACTCAGATGAGGCTAGAAAGCAAATGCAATAATTCAGATTAGAGATGGTAACAGTCTTTTTCAACGCAGAGTTCAAGAAGATGGAGATGAGAGGCAAAACACAGATGAGAGCAGTCTCAACAGGGTTTGGTGACCGACTACAATGTGGTAAGTAAAAGAGGAAATGAAACAGAGAGCAAGGTTCCCAGCCTGGGAGGCAGGGTGCACGTGTTCTGTTAGCTAGATGGCCAAACAGGAGAAAGAACAGATTTGGAGGTGCATCTAACAGGGATGGGCAGGAAAATAATACATATTTATCGTTTTCCCCCTCTGATGTAAAATATGTCTTTGGATACACAGGAGATTCAGAATGCAGCCTTAAATCTGATGGACACATATTAGGCACTCAATAAATGTTATCTGAATGAAATACATTTTGGAACTCAGAAGAGGGTTGAACATGTAACAGGAAATCAGGGTTGGAAATGTAACCTATTGTCACCTAAGAAGCATTCTGTTCCAAAATGACATCTCAGTCCTTCCCTTCTTCCTCTCCATGCCCCCCATAAAAAAATTTCTCTTCCCTTTGTCTTATTAGGAAAATATTTGATAATGCTACCTAAAATGCTTAGAAATCACCCAAGCATCTGCAACTTAACTGCATGTATTATTTTTATATAACTGTACATCTCTGCTTTCTACTATTATATTTTTAAAATATTATATTAAAAAGATAGATTTTAAACTTTTATTCTAATCATATTCTCTCTTGATAGAGTCATTTTTTATATTAAAAATTCTCTAACACACAACAGCAGGATTTTCTCCAGCTATGGGAGAAAAACCTTTAATTTTATGTGTCCTGTCAGGAGACCTAGTCTTTTGTCACCTTTGTTTTAATGAGTCTTGGAATTAGCAATTTATAATTCTTCTTTCACCTCACTCTTTTTTAGATAAATCAGATATACCTAAATAGGGATATGGGATAAAGTTTACAGTTCCGAAACAAAATAAAAACAAGAAAAACTATTCACAGCTCTGTTACTCAATTAACAGAGTCAACAATAAAAGGCATTTCACATGGTTATACATTAACCAGACGTTTTCAGATTCTTCCAAATCATATTTTGGAAGTATCTGGAAGACTTCTTTGCCTATAGTTTAACCAAATCCTCTTTTATTACTAGTCTTACTTTTTTTTTTTTTTTTTGAGACAGAGTTTCGCTCTGTCACCCAGTCTAGAGTGCAGTGGTGTGATCTCGGCTCACTGCAACCTCCACCTCCTGGGTTCAAGCAATTCTCCTGCCTCAGCCTCCCAAGTAGCTGGTACTACAGACACGAGCCACCACACCAGGCTAATTTTTGTGTTTTTCAGTAGAAACGGGGTTTTACCATGTTGGCCAGGCTGGTCTTGAACTCCTGACTTCAAGTGATCCACCCGCCTCGTCCTCTCAAAATGCTAGAATTACAGGAGTGAGCCACCGCACCCAGCCTCCATTCTTACATTTTCTATGCATGTCTAGAATGGCTTCTGTGTTAGTGAATAACTCACATGCACCGGTTAATCCTTGCCAAGGGCTCTACCTGAATGGAACTTTCTTTCACAGTATTTCTGGCAGCTGTGAAGGAATCACTCTGAGCAAGCAGAAGTCCCCACACTCTTACCCTCTGCCTCTTCTGTGGAGAGAAGCGCTGTGGGCCCACCTCCATCCCAGCTGAAGAAGTGGACTAGCTCCTGGTGGAAGAAGAAAAGAGCCATGTCTACTTCAGAAGGTCTGAGGTGACTCTGCCTCCAGGTGTCCCCAGCAGGAGAGATGTGCTGTCCACGGGCCCAGGGTCTCTATGCCTGTCTCTCACCTTCAGACTGGAAATCAACCAACAGTAATCTGGAATGTTGGTGGCTACGTGGCCTGATCTAATAGGGGGGAAAGAACGGTGGCTGACTCCTGCCTTGTCTTGGGGAAAGTCAAGCCAGGAACCACAAACTTTTTTTCTTCCCTTTTTATAAGCTCACTGTTTACCCAAGTTAGCTCCAGAAATGCTTACTTTCACTCTAGAAAAGGAGCACCGTATTTTTCCACAGATCATTCACTGAGCCACTCACCTATGCCTCTTTCTTGCAAAACAACAATGGTGACACACTCCTTATTAAACTCATTGTAAGTTTTATTCGATTACAACTCAAATTTTTTTCACTTCTGTGTAGTCTCCACTGTTTGCTATTTATATAAGAAAATGTGGCCAGGTACAGTGGCTCACACCTGTAATCCCTGCACTTTAGGAGGCCGAGGCGGGCAGATCCCTTGAGGTCAGGAGTTCGAGACCAGCCTGGTGAATATGGTGAAATTCTTTCTCTAGTAAGAGTACAAAAATTAGCCAGATGTGGTGGTGGGCACCTGTAATCCTAAGTACTCAGGAGGCTGAGGCAGGAGAGTCACTTGAACAAGGGAGGTGGAGGTTACAGTGAGCCAAGATTGCACCACTGAACTCCAGCCTGGATGACAGAGTGAGACTCTGTCTCAAAAAAGAAAAAAAAAATTAAAATTGAAAGTTATATGCATACTAGGGAAACAATTAATTTTAAAGTAAAGCAGAGGTGGGGGAAAGTGCATAAAAAATGTTAATAAAACCTGCTGAACTCCGAGTGGTAGCTGTCTTTGGGGAGGGGCAGGTAGACTTCAAGTCATTTTTCCCCCTTCTTGCTGTGTTTCTCCATTTTTCACTTTTTCTTTAATAAGCATGTGTTTCCAAAGTTCTACCTCCCATTTGCTCAGTAAATAATGACATGCATGTGCCCTTTTGACTCTCTTGCAATTTTTTGGAATCACCCCAGTTTCTTCCAAAGTCTTGTTCATTGTTCTTGGATCGTGTGGGAAGGCTGTGATTTGGATAAGTGTCTGACTATATGTTTTGGATGCTTCTGTAGTTAAGAACTAAGATGGGTGGGAGAATGAGTAACACGGTGACTGAAAAATTAGAAAAGTGATTCATAAAATGTACCCAGATATCTTGTCTTGCTCAGTTCTCTAAATGTCTTTCTACATTTTAGCCTCAGTTAACAGCATTGTGCTTTTCCCTGAAGGGATAGGACTGCTGAGGTCAATGCTGTGCATTCCAAATCCTCGAAACAAGCTGCCTTATGTCTTTAGTCCAAGAGTGTATACAGTTCCTTAACAGAATCCAGAAGCCTTTGGGGTCCAAATACATTTGCTTTATTGCCCATTTTCTGCCACTCCCATTGCCTTGGTTCTCTCACTAAAGAACACATTTCTACCACATATTTCCAAGAAAAGAAAAACTCAGAAAGATATGGACAAGGGCTCTAAGGTCAGCTTTAATAATTAATTGGTGCATGCATTGTGTTATTGCACAGAACTAGGCATAAGAGTCCAAGAGACAGCTCATGTCTTCAATGAGATCAAGATCTAATGAGGCAGAATGACGAAAAGCAATTATAATATTCTCTGCAAAGTGAAATATGGGTCAACATAGAGGCTTTAAGAATACATAGGAGACTTCACTCAGCTGAAGTTAAGGATATGGCCAGAGAAGGCTTCCCAAAAAAGGCAGAGCCCAGAAGGAAAAATAGGAGATACGGGTGGGGAGAGAAGGGTGGGCATTGCAAGCAGAGGGAATGTTGTGTTCAAAGACTGGACCAAGAGAGACTCACTGTGAGTACTTCACAATGGGTTGGGCACAGAATACGAGGAAAAGAGAAAGAGAAGATACAGCTGGAGAGGACAGTGGGGACCTAGCATGCTATGCTAGGTGAAGTTAGTAGGCAAAGTATTATATTGCTTTTAAACAAATGAAAGATATGATCAGATATTATACAGTTTTAGAGCTAGAAAGGATCTTAGAAATAATTTGGTGTGTCATCTTGCAATTGAGAACACTGAGACCCAGAGAAGCGAAGTGACTTGTACAATGTCATGCAGCCTGCTAAGGGTAGTGTTGAATCAAGAACTATTTGGGACACTTTCCAATCCATCACGTCATTTCCCAATAGGGCTGATTGCAATCCTATGAGTGGAGCCACATCCTCCAGAGTTTTGCATGAGACTTTACATTCAGGAATACAGGCTTATGTTCTCACGAGGCAGTTGCAAGTTTGGCCTCCTTCAATGTGAAAAGAGGCTTCACCACCAACAAGGATTTTCCAAGCATTTCTGAAACCAGGGCAATGTTCAAGATTAAAAGAAATAGAAGAACTTAAAAGAAAATGAAAAAGTGGGTTCAGCAGAGCAGAAGCCCTGTTCTTTCAGCATCTTCTGTTCCACTGCTTTTCATTCAAATAACCTCAACCTCCTTCCCCTCACTTTTTTCATGTCCCTTGTTTTATTCTGGCCTCTGTTTTTATCCTTTCCTTCCCATTACTCTCAATTCCTCCTTTCCTATCCCTAAATGGCAGGCAGACATGGTCAGAATAAGGACTGAGTGAGAAGGATGTTAGGATCGTGAGAAGCGAGCTCAAAATGACCTAAGTTTCTTTCTTTTCCCAATTCCAGCTTCCAGCCCAATATTAACCTTCTTCTCCTAACCTATTGGCAGGCTGCTGTCACACAGTGGGAACCCCAGCCATGCCAGTAAAACCCACGATCAGTGCCGCTGTATCCTCAAGGCTGAGCCATTGAGCCACTGACTCCCCTGATCCTCCCACCAGAGATGAAAAGTGACCCAAACACTAAGCCAACCAGCATTCCAGCTTCTTCTGCGCCGCCTAGGTGGAGCAACCGGAGGGAAGCAAGGCACTTGGAGGTCAGCCATTCCTGGCTGGCCAGGCCTGGCTGCTGGGCCCTGGCAAGCACACCAGAGAGGCTGGAGCCGCTGCCCCCACCTGAAGCCAGGCTGGGCTCTGGGGCCTGGACCTAGTTGGATGAGTGGGAGAAGAGAGGAACATCTCTTATCCTCTGCTCTTTTGAACTTTTTTGGCTGCTAGCGGGAAGACCTTCAGGGACTGGGGCACTGCGAGAAGGGAGAAGATGACGCTCCTCGGGAGGGAGTCGCCAGGCCTCTGCATGATATATCGGCCCTCGGAAGCCAATCTTACTTGCAGATAAAGCGCATTTGTTTTGTCCGGCTTGGAGCTGACAGGAGGAGGTTTGCTGGCGGGATGGCTTCCGGCCTGTTCATCCCTCTTCTGGTAAAACTACCTCTTAGGGGAAGGCGTCTAAGTTGTTTCCTCTCCTCTGTGGCTCCTAAGCACCTGCTGGGTGTAGAGGCTTCTGCTGGCTCCAAACAGCCTCCACCCCACAGGGACTTCTTGCTGCAGCCACCTGAGCCACACAGGCTTCTAGCAGCAGGCTTGTTGACAGGGAACAAATGACTGATGAGACTAGAGGATCTCACCCCCTTCCCAGGAAGAAGATGAAAGCAGCAATGGGCTCAAATCCAGCAGAGGCGATTCCTGCTTTGCCTGGCAGCACTGGCTGGGCCTGATGGAGCATTGGAAAGGAATGTGCCCATGAGACGAGTGCGGGCAGAGGCTCTGCTCTTGTCCTTGCCATCAGTCTGGCAACCTAGAAAGTCCTGGAGTCTATGGGAAAATTGGCTCTAGCCTTTTTATGTTCTGATTTAAGTTTAACACATTACATATTAGGTGCTTCCTGCATTTGCATTTAACAAAATAGCCCAATTATAAACACATCGTTCTTTTCCATACCATGTGGTTCCGCTTCTCTTTTGTAAGTTCACATTGGAATATAATTTATCGGGTCATTCAGTGATTCTGTAAATATCACTGAGTGCCTACACTACCTTGCAGTGATAATGCAGAAACCTCACAACTTTTCTCCTTGTCTTCACTTTTACTCACTTCCAATCCTTGCCCGATGACAATACCACAGACACCTTTCTAAAGTGCAACTCTGACCACGCTAAAAATTATGCAACAGAAGACATTCTCAAATCAGTCTGGTAGACACAATCTACCTTTGAAATCTCACCACTAGGCACACCGATGCAGGTCATGCTGAGCTACTAATTTTTCCTGAATATGACAATAATAGCTGTGATGGTTAATACTGAGTGTCAACTTGATTGGCTCAAGGATGCAAAGTATTGTTCCTGGGTAAGTCTGTGAGGGTGTTGCCAAAGGAGGTTAACATTTGAGTCAATGGACTGGGAAAAGCAAACCCACCCTTAATCTCGGTGGGCACCATCTAATCAGCTGCCAGAGTGGCCAGAATAAAAGCAGGCAGAAGAACGTGAAAAGGCTAGACTGGCTTAACCTCCCAGCCTACATCTTTCTCCCATGCTGGATGCTTCCTGCTCTCAAACATCGGCGGACTCTAGTTTCTTCAGCTTTGAGACTTGGACTGGCTTCCTTGCTCCTGAGCCTATTGTGGGAGCTTGTGATCGTGTGAGTTATTACTTCTTAATAAATTCCTCTTTATACAGACATCTATCCTATTAGTTCTGTCCCTCTAGAGAACGCTGAAATACAATGGCTAATGCAGGGAGAGTTTACTGTGTACTGGTGACTCATTCAATTGTCATAAACAGCTTTTTTTTTTTTGTAAGCAAAACTATAATCCCAAGGATTCTCACAAAACATATTACAAATGACAGCATGAAAACAAATTTTTGCATAGTAACTCAAAGTTCACTTCTACAAAATACCCTTAAACTGGCAGGACATTGGTATTTTGAAATCTCAAATTTCCTAGTGAAGAATGTTACAAACAGGCATGTCTTCATATATAGCAATTACATAAGGAACTTATGACCTAAAGTAAAGGTAAACTTACTTGAAATTTAACAGATTCTATACCAACTTGGCAACCTCTCCCAGGGTGAAAACCAGTTGGATTTCTCAAAAACCTCTAATTTAGTTTGATGTTGCAGCTTTTCTTTTTATCCATTGGCTTGTGTTCCACAGCAACTTTTACCACTTGCTTAACTATAGCTGCATACTATATCACAGCTATGGAAAAAAAGTAAATCTTAGTTCCACTTTTGCCAGTTTTGTTTCTGTATTTTTTAAAAAATTACATTTCTACTAGGCAGAATTTAGAGGTTTATTATCAGTCTATGCATAACTAAAGTTCAAAGCAAATTCGATTTTGCTTAAGGGAACATCATAAAGTAGCAATTCTTGGTGTTACATGCTTCACAGAATCTATTTCAAACCACAGAGAATTGCACCTTTGTGTGTCACTGTTCCCAAAGGCAAACAAATTTGAAAAGTTAAAACATATTTAAAATGTACCATGCTTATGAAGTCTCAAACAAAACTTGAGTTTTCTGCACATACTCTCGTCAAATGAAGTTATTTCCTGCATACAACTTCTCTTGCAAACTGGTCTTCTATTTCCTTTCATTCAACTTAAACTGACTGAGACCTAGAGAAGGATCGGGACGGCTTGTGATTTCTCTCCCAAGACAGTGATCTCTGTGTTTTCTCCTATCTCTAGAAAAGAAGATACTCCCCCTGTGAGAGAAGCTTTTCCTTCTTGGACATCTGCGGAGAGGTGGAGGACTCCTACGATGATCATCTCGAGGGTGACAGTCCCAAGAGATAGGTGGGCCATCATTTCTACTCACAGGGCAGCTACACAGCGATCTTCCATCTAGCTCTCATACAGCTTCAGCCGCATCTTGGGTTCAAATTCAAAAAAAGCTAAGTCGGGAGGATTTCTAGCAACCTACACACTTCAGAGTGGTCCTTAGTAGCGAAAGCCCATTCCAATTAAGTTTTGTTGCCATTTTTCCAAGATAACCTAGATAAACTTTACCATCCACTGAACAGAAATCATGATGCATTTCAAGAGCTAGGGTAAAAAGTGCTGAGGCTCAAATCTGCATGCTCCAAAGGACCTTCCTGCTTCCCTCCTGCCCAACTCCCACTGATGCTGTTGCTTACCAGGCATTCAGGAAACAGCAGATAAACAGCTCTTTGAGGGTAGATGCTATTATGATCCTTATTTTGCAAAAAAAAAGAAAAAAAAGAAAAAGCAATGAAGGCACTGAAAGAGGAAGTAACTTACCTCTGGTGCTATAACTGGTAAGTGGCTGAGCTGGCATTTCAACCAAGCAATCTGTCACAGCATCTGTGTTCTTAAGCACTACACTATTGTCTTGTGACTTTGCCCATCCTGTTCCCCCTGCTCTTCCTCACCCTGTCAGTCCAGCACAAACATATTCATGCTTCAATACCCAGATCAACTACCACATCCCTATAAAGCCTTTGTCCCTCCCACAGAGAGATACTTTGATGTCACACATCTTTATTCTTTCACTCAAGTTGAATTCTACTGCCCTATTAAGATATAGATTACACTGGCTCAGATCCCCAGTTTTTCAGACAGTGGGAATCCAAAACCCTTCCCCAGTATTTCTATGCATTCCTGGGAAGACTTTGAATGTGATGGGTAATTTTATGTGTCGACTTGACTGGACCACAAAATGCCCAGACATTTGGCCAGAGGATGTTCTGGGTGTGTCAGTGAGGATGTTCCTGAATGAGATTTACATTTGAATCAGCCAGGAGGGTGGCTCATACCTGTAATCCTATCACTTTGGGAGGCTAAGGTGAGAGGATTGCTTGAGCCCAGGGATCTGAGACCAGCCTGGGCAACATAGTGAGAACTTGACTCTACAAAAAAATAAAATTAACTGGGCATAGTGGTGCATGCTTGTAGTCCCAGCTACTTGGGAAGCTACAGTGGGAGGATCACTTGAGTCCAAGAGGTTGAGGCTTCAAAGAGCCGAGGTTGCGCCACTGCATTCTAGCCTGGGTGGCAGAGCAAGACTCTGTCTCAAAAAAAAAAAAAAAAACCGAAATTGAATTAGTAGATTGGGTAAAGCAGATTGTGGCCCCTAAAATGGGTGGGCCTCACCTAATTGACTGAAGTCCTGAATAGAACAAAAAGACTGAGCAAGAGGAAACCCACTCTATTTGACTGCTTGAACTAAGACACTGGCTTTTTCCTTGCCTTCAGACTCGGACAGAAAGCATTGGCAGGCTTCAGCCTTCAGACTAGAACTTATGCCATTGGCTCCCTTGGGTCTGCAGCTTGCTGACTGCAGATCTGGGGACTTCTCAGCTTCATAATAAATCTTTGTATACATACACACACGCACGCATGCACACATACACACATCCTATTGGTTTTGTTCCTCTGAAAACTCTAATACAATAATAAATATTTATCGTGTAGTAAATAACAAATAATACTATGGGTGAGTTTTCGTATTGATTTAAATTACTCAATGATTATAAGTGTATTTAGGTTGTTAATCTATCTTGATTGAGTTTTGGTCATTCATGTTTTAGAAAAAATTGTCCTTAAAATTACCAAATTTATTGGCATAAACTTCCCTTATGGCTTTTAAGATCTCTAGTCTTCTATAATTTTAGTGCTTATTTATTCCTAATATTGTTTATTTGTATATTTCTCCTTTTTTCTTGATTAATTTTGTCAATAGTTTGTCGTTGTATTAAGATTTTCAAACTGGTGTTGGTTTTCTATTTCATGACTTTTTACCCTTTTCAAAAATTATTTTCTTAATTTACTTTCTTTGGATTTTTTCTATTGTTCTTTTTCTAAATTTTGAGTTGAATGTTTAGCTCATTGATTTTCAGTCTTTTTTTTTTTTTTAGACGGAGTTTCACTCTTATCACCCAGGCTGGAGTGCAGTGGTGTAATCTCAGCTCACTGAAACCTCCACCTCCTAGATTCCAGTGATTTTCCTGCCTTAGCCTCCTGAGCAGCTAGGATTACAGGCGTGAGCCACCGCGCCCAGCCTGTCTTTTTTTTTTTTTTTAAACTACTTTATAGTATCAATTTTCCTCTAAGCACAAGTTTTTATTTGTAGAATTTTCTTGTTACATGTTCAGTTCTAAATAATTAATATTTTTCTTTAAGATTTCTTATTTGACCAATGAATTATTCTGAAGTCTAATTTTTCATTTCTATTTCTATGGGGTTTTCTTCACTTTTTTTTTTTGAGATAGAGTTTCCCTCTTGTTGCCCAAGCTGGAGTGCAATGGCATGATCTCAGCTCACTGCAACCTCTGCCTCCCAGGTTCAAGTGATTCTCCTGCCTCAGCCTCCCAAAGTGCTGGGAGTAGCTGGGATTACAGGCACAGGCCACCACACCCAGCTAATTTTTTATAATTTTTTTTTTTTTTAGGAGAAACAGGATTTCACCATGTTAGCCAGGTTGGTCTCGAACTCCTGATCTCAGGTGATCCACCCACCTCAGCCTCCCAAAGTGCTGGGATTACAAGCACGAGCCACTGCACCTGGCCTCTTCACTATTTTTATATTGATTTCTAATTTTATTACATCATAGTAAAAAAATATTGTTTTTACTAAATTAATTATTTAATAGTTGATGAGGTTAACTTTGTGGCCTAGTATGAGAACAATTTTTAAACATTGTTACATGTGTTTTAAGATATGTGTCCAGTTTTCTGTATGTGTCCATTGGAACTGACAATGTAATTATATTTTTTGAATCTTCTATATACTTACTACATTTTTATACGTTTATTACTTTTTGAGAGAACTATAGTAATCTTCCTTTATAATTGTGGAGTAGTCAGTTCTCCTTATAATTTTTTTCCACATTGAAGCTAAATGTTTAGATATACACAGATTCAGAATTTAACATACTATTAGTAAACTGTTCCTTTATTATTAAATAATAACTTCATCTCTCGTATTTTTTGCCTTAAATTTCACTTTAATATCAATATTTGCAATATTAAAGATATTAATATTGCAATATTAATATTTTGAGGGGTCATTAATGGCCTGACATACACATTTTCCATCCCTTTATTTTCTTATGTTTTGCCCCATACTTTCTTTATATCTCTTTTTATTTCTTCTCTTTTTCTTTCTTCTGCTTTTAAATTTGTTTTTATTTTACTAGATTCTTTAGCTGAATACATGTTCACTCTTCTTCTTCTTCATAGTGGACCTTTTACTTCTGTTGGTCAAGCTACTCTCCCTTCTCACATAAAGAATACCCACTTTCTTAAGTGCTCCACCCCCTCTCTAACACATGTTCTGAATAGGAGGTAGATTACACCTGCCTCTCTGGCCCAGTGATTGGTATTGGTCAAGAGGTAGGAATCTGATTATGTTAGGCCAATCAGAGTTCTGCTCCAGGATTATTCAAACTGGAGCTGAAAGAAATGGGGAGAGGGAGTGGAGGGACCTTTTCCTCTGTGATGGTATAAATAAGAACCTTGATGCCACTCCATGGAGAAATTCAGTCTGCAATAGGAGAGAGTGCACCTGACACATAGATGGAAGCAGGAACAGGAGGAGAGAGAAAGAACCCTGGGATAACTGAGCAGCAGCAACGTCCATCCATACTTCCCATTGGTGAACCAATAGGTGTTCCTTTTTGTTCCAACTGATTAAGGTTGGATTTGCTTCCATCCATAAGATTCCTGAATAATATTTGTTTTAATGATGAAAAATAGGAGGGAATGACAGGAGGTATGAATGCAGCTTTCACTGCATCCTTTAAATTTTGCTATAAACTGTTCACATTACTGTTAATTTGTAAATTGACCAAGAGTATTTAGGAGAGTATTTTTTTTCAAATGTGTAGGATTTCCTCTGTTTATGTTGTTTAAATTTATTCTATTAGTTTCTAGTTTGGCTGCCTTATAGACAAAGAATATAACTCAACCCCAAGCTGTTTTTATTTTTGGTATGTATCAGGATTTTCATTACGGCCTGTTTTGAGCTCAGTTATGAGATCCACTTTTGTAAATAATCCATAGATGTCAAAAAGAAAGGTATGTTTTCGATGGCATGTTATCAATGAGTAATTCTTAATACTATTAGTAATAAAAACATTAATGTTTTATTAAAAAGGTAACCTTAGTAACATTTAATGTCCTTTATTTTTAGTTTACTTAAACCATCAAATACTAAAAGTGGCATATTAAATTCATCCACTATTATTGTCTTTCTGGTGATGTCTACTAGTATATATAAGCTTATTGTTATTTGATTTACTTTGATGTATTAGTTTTGTTATATTTCAATATTGTTATTAAGTGCAAAACTTCTTCATGACTATGACACCTGTCTTGTTTATTTTACAGCTTATCAACAACATAAAATAACTTGCATTCATTTGATGTTTTGCAGCTAATTAATATTGTCTAAAGTAGATATTGTCTAAAGTAGATATTGTCAAATCAGTTTTTGGTTTGTTATTGCCCAATAAATATTTCCCCTTCTGTTACATTTAATTGTTCTCTGTCATTTTGCTTTTAGGTGTGTGTGATCATCAATTTTATGTGTCAACTTGGCCGGGCCATGACGCCCAGATATTTAGTCAAACATTATTCTGGATGTTTCTGTAAGGGTATTTTTTCAATGAGTTTAACATTTAAATTGGTTTACTTTGAATACAGCAGACTGCCCTCCATAAAGTGAGTGGGCCTCATCCAATCAATTGAAGGCCTTAATAAAATAAGACTGAATTCCTCTGAGCAAGACAGAACTCTACTAGCAGCCTTCAGACTTGAACTACAACATCAAGAGAGAGTGCAAGAGAGAAAAGAGATATAGATGTTGATACACACACACACACACACACACATCCTGTTGGTCTTGTTTTCTTGGAGAACTCTGACTGATACAGTGTGTTTCTTAAAAACAGCATGAAATACAGTTTTGCATATTGATCTAAAATGATCACCTTTGTTTATTAACATAAATATCAGCAAATTTAAGTAAAAGCTGTTATGTTTGGTCATCTGTAATCTCATGTTATCTCTTTTTAATTATCCCTGTGCTTTCCTTTCTTTCCCATATTTTAGTGTAAGTGCTGTGTAGTTTTATTTATTTGCTTGGTTGGTTTCAGTTTTTTAATGAATTGGAAAAAAAATGCAATTTTTAATTATTTTGATGGTTACTTTTATATTTTTAAAATACATTCAGCCTATATTTTTCTAAGTATTAATAATTAATACTTATAGATTGAAATAGAAACTTGCCTTTCCCAGAAAATCCTCCATGAGTCCTATCCCAATCACAGTCCCTACCCTTACCCTAAAAAAAGAACTCTGTCCAGACTTTCCTCATAATCCCTTCCTGCATGCCTTTAGGTTTTGTTTTATCCCCGAGTGTGCATCCTTTAGTCTTGCCTATCACTTATCTTTTAAGTCTTTTTTGGCCTTCACTTTCCCTCTATTCCTTTCTTTTCCTTGTAAATCAAGCATTGAAGAACCAAAGATTTTAACCTGTAGAGTTTCCTATGGCCTGTTTTTGCACAGCACATGCTCTTGGTGCAGTTCAACACGTTTTTGGTCCCTTGAGTTTCCTGCAAATGGACAGCTGGATCCAGAGACATTAAGTGCCTCCTATTATTTTGCCACTCCCATTACCCCACTGGCAAGATAATAGGAGGCATATTATGTATGATTTCTCTGTTTTCATAATGTTATAGCCATTGGTGATCAGAATTGTAGGTTGAAGCATGGTAACATTAAATTCTATCATTTTGTTTTCATTTATTAGTGAAATAATTTTGTAAGATGTTTCCTCTCATCTACCATTTGGTTACACCATGGTACAGATCATACACAAAAGAGCAGGATTCTTTTGTTTATTCACCCAGTTTTCAAGTTAACATATTAATTCCCTGTTATCTTCAGAAAATGACCAATTGGTTTGTTTTAAAATATCCCATGGATTTAAGACTATTAGATGAGTTTTGATCTATTCCAATTTTTATCTTTAATGAAACTCAAAATATTCTATCTTTGACTAGTGGGATCCTCTTCCAATTGGTTACGAGGGTTTTGTTTTTTGCTTTTGATGTGATCCTAATAATCTTTTATAGCTTGCTTTCTTTTTTAATATATTTTATAATATATAAAATAATTTTATATTTAATGATATATATTTATCCATTTATTAAAATAAAATACTTTGTAAGTTTACACTGCTATTTACTGATATTTTCCATTCAAATTTAGAACTGCAGCATTTTTGCTTAACCTCTTCTATATTATATCTGTATCCCTTTTATTCCACTCTGAGAATCCTGGCTCTCAAATACACAAGAGATGATAGAAATAGAATACCTCATATTTACTTGCTTGCTTTATCCACTCTTCACATACAACTGTCTTAGAATGACAACTTAATATTGCTACCACCAATTATAATTACTAGAAACAGTTCTAATTTCAATTTGCTCTTGTTCTTTTCATTCTTCCTCACAATTTTATGGTTGGGTTGTATCTATATTTTCAGATCTTTTAGCCATTACATATTATAACCACTTCCTTTTAAACCTCATACGGTCTTATTTCTGCAAATAATTATATGTTGAATACTTACCACGTGTCTTTAGGTTGCTGTCTTACCCATCATTTTGCTCGCCTAAAGCCTGTTTTTTCAGTAGATTGTTTATTAAATCTCATGGGAACAATATTTCTTGAGTTCTTAAAAGTTTACAACAGTTTATATTTATATTTGAAAGAAAATTTTATTGGACATAAAATTCTTGGCTCATGTTTTTTTCCTCGACTATCTTAAATATGTTACCTCATTTTCTTCTTATGCAAACGTTAATGTCAAAAGTCTGAGGATAACTTATATTTTCTTGTAAGTTATTGCTTATTTTTGCCAGACATCAAAAACATGTTTTTCTTTAATGTCCAGTAATCTTGCTAGACTATATCTTGGCATTGGTCATTCTTCTTAGATATACCATGTACTCTTTCAGTATGGTATTTCAAATATTATTTTATTTCAGTGAAGTATCCTTGAATTACAGTTCTCATTAGTCATTCTGTTCATTTGCTTCCCCTATTCTGTGGTGGCTCCTATTATCAATATTTTGGATCTCCTTTTTCTGTCTTCAATGTTTGTCACTTTCTGTCAATCCCTTTTTTGTCTTTTTCTTCTCTTGATTCTGATGTTTTCTCGTTTACGTGTTCTATTTCACTTCAGGTATTTGTCATGTTTATTCATTCTTGCTTTTCTTCTAGTTTAGTCATTTCTAAAATGTTTTTTTTTGCATGTTTAATTATTTATTGAGTTATGTCATCTCATTTCTTAGGTTTTCTAATTCTGATTCATGTCCTTTCACACATAGTATAATTTTCTTAATCTTTTCCATTGGTTTTGGAATGATCTATTACAGTTTCATCTATTACAGGTTTATGAACATGTCTTTCTGGCATGATTTCATTGTCTGCAAGGATGTTATTCTACTTCTTAATCTCTTTTTTCCTATAATACCTCTGCAAGAGATTTGGCCTCAGTAATTTTCTGTTGCTTATTTTTATGTGAATTTAGCTTTTCTTAACTTTTAGAAAGAGGCTTGGCTCAGAGATCTCTTTTAACTTTACATTAGACAACCTCTTACATTGTTTTTGTATAGTATTTTAAAATATAGTGGCTTATTTTCAAAAATTCCTGGCTCTGCTGCCTCTATACTTCTCCCAGAAGTTTCTTTGGTATGATGTCCTGGTGGGTCAGTTGTGAGATTTCATGGAGGTATACTGTTTCAGCCACTTTAGGCCTTACAGGGAGTCCCATGCACTCACAAACTACTATAAAGTCAAAAGTTTGCTCAGATCTATCAACTTTCTCAAATCAGCTGACTATGATCCCCAGGAAATAACTTGGGCTATGCATTCCCTCACTCATAGGTCCTTCTGCTTTCTCCAGCACTGATGGAACACACAAACTTGTGGCTATGGTGATTTGTCACTTTTCATTTACATTTGGTTTGTGGAGATACCTTATCACCTAGTTTTTAAAATGATATCCAGGAATTTTGTTTTGCTATCTACATGCTCTGTTTTTTTAATATGGGGATTCAGGAATGTCCCAGAGCTATGCAGTCACCACCAAAGCCGTCTTTCCTAATTCTTAAGATGTTATTAACTTATAGTCTCCAGACTAGCTGAAGTGCAGCTAATTAGTGTTTTCAGCTGTTTGTTTATTCCAGGAACATACATAAATGATCTATTTCCTGAGCTCTTTCTTATCCTGAAATTTCTTTCATTTGAAAATTTACTGAGTATAGAACTCTTGAATCTCAACCATTTCCTTTAAAGTTCTGTACAGAGTATTCCTTGGTTCCCTAGTTCTCAGTATTGCAAAAAAGAAATTCTGTATCAGGTTTCTTCATTTATTTATTTAAGGTATTTTTGTGTTGTTATTGTTTATAAGTCTTGTTCATTTGATGATCTTTGTATAATTTTTTATTTGTATAATTTTAAAGTTTCATCAGAATATATCTAAATCAGCTTTGCCAAAACTGAATCCTGCAACAGTGATCTTCAAACTGACATACACATAGTCCTGGTGGTATAGAAAGACTTTCAAATTGGATGTGGGCATAGATATAAAGGAATTAATTTCCAGATTCTCAGCTTCTATACATAAGTTTTCATAAAATTGATCTGCCTAGCAAAAGACATGCTATCAAGACATCAAAAGTTTCTTCTTTTGTACTTCCCCTTTCACAAGTACCCTTCTGCTACTGTTATAGTTTAGATATTTGGCCTTCCAAACAACATGTTGAAATTCTATCTCCAATGTTGGAGATGGGGCCTGATAGGAGGCGTTTGGATTGTGGGGACAGAACCTTCATGAATGGCTTAGTGCCACTGTCACAGGAGTGAGTGAGTTCTCAGTCTTAGTTCCTATGAAAACCGGTTGTTGAAAACAGCATGGCTCCTCCTCCTCCTCCTCCTCCTCCTCCTCCTCCTCCTCCTTCTCTCTCTCTCTCTCTCTTTCTCTCTCCTTCTCCCTGCTTACACCATGGGTTGGGCTTCCCTTTGCCTTCCACCATGAGTGGAAGCAGCTTAAGGCCCTCACCAGATGCAGACGTCAGCACCATGTTCCTAGTACAGTCTGCAGAACCGTGAGCCAAATAAACTTCTTTTCTGTATAAATTACTCAGCCTTGAGTATTCCTTTATACCAACACAAATGAACTAAGACAGCCACTTTAGAAAAGAACTCTCTCACTCTGTCTAAATCTTAATAAGGTGCTGTAGTGGTTTTTAAAAAGTGGCTGCTAGGCCTTTGACATTTCTTCCATCAAAAAGTGGAGTCCCCTTAGATTTGGGCTAGATTATAGCTGTTTTAACCAATAGAGTACAGTAGAAGAGATGCTAAATGACTTCCAAGAGTAAGTCATAAAAGGCAATGCAGTTTCTGTTTTGCTTACTGGAAAACTTGTACTGGAGCTCTGAACCCCCTACGAAGTCTGACTATACCAAGGCTGCAGTGGTGTAGCTCAAGCCACATGGAAAGGTTATGTGTGGGCCTTTGGACGGACAGTTTCAGCTAAGTCCAGACTTCAAGTAATTTCAGTCCAGATACAGGGCATTTGAATGATAGTGTCCCCTTCAAAATTCATATGTTAAAATTTAATCAACAATGTAGTAGTATTAAGAGGTGAAACCTTAAGAGGTGATTAAGTCATAAGGGCTGAGCCCTCATAGATTGGATTAGGGCTCCTATAAAAGGGTGAGAGGGAGTGAGTTTGCTATCTTCTATGCTTTCACCATGTGAGGACACAGAAAGAAGGCCCCCACAAGACATACAATCTGCTGGCACCTTGATCTTAGACTTTCCAGCCTCTACGACCATGAGAAATAAATTTCTGTGCTTCATACCCAGTCTGTGGTGTTTTGTTATAGCAGCACAAATAGACTAAGATAAGAAGCGTCTAGATAATTCTGGTCCCCAGCTTAGGGTCACACAAGCCTTTGATTTTTCTCAGCTGAGTCCCCACACATCAAGGAGAGGAGATAAGCATCCTCACTACAACCTGACCAATTCTTAACCACAGAATCTGTAAATAAAACAAAATGGTTGTTTGCCTCTGAGTCTGGGGATGGTTTCTTACATAACAACAGGTGCATTGGCCCAGGGTTTAAAAACTTCCAGGGCACCAAACAAAGGAATCATTTGGAATATTGGAACAGATGTTGATAAAAATGAAGGACTCGAATGACTGGCTAGCACACATTATTACATGACGTGGCTTCTAATCCTTTCCTTTCAACAAAATTATAATAAGACTTTATAGATTTATTAGCTGTTAGATAATTAAAATAATTTTTGATGTTTGGTAGCTATGTGAATTTTGGTATATAAATCATAAACAATTCAAAGAATATATAATAGCTATAATACAAATCTTTCTAGTCCTATTTATGTAAACAAAATATCATTGCATTTTCATTCATAAAAATAAAAAATAAGAATAGAGTGGATGCGAGATCATGTTTCATTCTAATAGTAATATTCGCTCAGGATCATGTGAACTGACCAAAAGATAAACAGACCTAAACATCTCATTAAGAACAGCATTTCCAATAAAAATCATACTTCTTATGGTTAACAATTATTTATCAAAATGTGTGATAGCCAGGTGCAGTGGCTCATGCCTATAATCCCAGCACTTTGGGAGGACGAGGTGGGTGGATCACTTGAGCTCAGGAGTTTGAGACAAGCCTGGGAAACACAGCAAAACCCCATCTCTACTAAAACCATGAAAATTAGCCAAGTGTGTACACCTGTAGTCCCAGCTACTCGGGAGGATGAAGTGGTGGGATCACTTGAGTCCAGGTCAATGCTACAGTGAGCCTTGATTGTGCCACTTTACTCCAGCTTGGGTCAGAGCAAGACCCTGTCTCAAAAAAAAAAAAAAAAAGGTGATGTAGCTACATCAGTTTAATCAGTTGATAACAATTGTAATTATATCTCAAACTAGAAAAAAATTATTTAACACTTAGAGCCTATGGTTACAGAAAAAATATTTTCTATCTTTATTGAGGTATAACTAGCAAAAATTACATATATTTAGGGTGTACAACATGTTTTTAACATATGTATGTATTGTGAAATGATTACCCCAGTAAAACTAATTAACATATTCATCACTTCACATAATTTGGGAGCTTTGGCATGGGGAAAAGAGGAGATAATGGTCAAAGGGTACAAATCTTCAGCTCTAAGATGAATAATTACTGGAGATATAATGTATAACATGGTGACTGTAGTTAATAATAATATACTGTATACTTGAAATCTTCTAAGAGGGAAGATCTCAAGTTTTGTCACAGAAAACTTTTTCAAGTTTAAATTTTTAAATGTATCAATTTTAAATTTAAATGTATATCATATTTCTGCTGTTGAAAATACGATAATCAATATTTTAAAAATCCATGCTTAAAATATACCCTACAGGGAAAGGAAAATCAAACTGAAAATCTGAAAAACTATTTTAAATTTTCAACTGTTAAAGACGAGCTTGTTCATGTACTTTTTAAAGTAGATAATGGTCATTATAAAAATAATTAAAGTATTTAGATTACACTGGACACATTTTAAGTAGTGATCATATATTTTTGTCTTGAAATATTAATGTTCATAATACACTAGAAAGATCCTTTGCAACTATTTAAACTTATGATCTCAACTTTAAAAGGTATGAAGCAGCCAGGCGCAGTGGCTCACACCTGTAATCCCAGCACTTTGGGAGGCCAAGGTGGGAGGATCACTTGAGCCCAGGAATTCGAGTGCAGCCTGGGCAACATAGTGATACCGTCTCTACAAAAAACATGAAAAATTAGCCAGGTGTGGTGTCACGCACCCGTAGTCCCAGCTATTCAGCGGGTGCGGGGAGCCTGAGGTGGGAGGATTGCTAAGCCCAGGAGGTTGAGGCTGCTGTGAATTGTGATTGCGCTACTGTACTCCAGCTTAAGTAACAGAGAGTGAGACCCTGTCTCAAAAACAAACAAACAAACAAAAGGTATGAAGCATTTACATTTTTTCGTTACCTTTCTTTGTTTGCCTCATTGAGCCTTTTTAATCTCTTCCTACTCCCTAAACAACTTACTTTTAATCTTAGTCTATTGTCTCATCACCTTCTCTTTCCTCTTATTTGATAAAGGACATGTTTTGAGAATTTTATCGAGAACACAAAACAGATGCTTTCAAAGATTTATTTTGTATTCTTTCAGTTAACTTTTTTCTAACACAAGTTTTCCTTGGTATCTTACATGAGCTCTTTGTTCTTTCTTATATTTCCTAATATTTTCACAAGCCGTTTGTTGATTTTTTTTCCCTTGTTGGTTCATGTGCTCTGATTGTCTATCTCCTCCTCAGATGTGTGATTTTATTACTGTATGTAAACAATGGAGGTGTTGGACAACCCCAGCTGCATTTCTTCCTAATCTTGCTATATCTTTTAGGATTCTATACGTGACTGGGTTGATGCAAATTGTCTCTACAGATTACAAAACCCTTGACTGGTACTCCTGTTGATGTTATTGAAATCTTGCATTTTTTTCAGTGATTTTCATAATAAAGCCAGTAGGGAATTATTAACCAGTCATCCTGATAATCTATAAGTTAGGGATGAGAAGCTTTCAAATGTTTATATCAATATATCAATCTTTTTTTTTATAGAGTCATAAGGGGAATGGAGTATTTTGAGAATGCCTCAAGTGGCAGGAAGAGGTGTGTGGCAATGAATCCCAGCTCACAGTTCACTGAAAATCAGCATGCTGTAAGATGCTGATCTTTGATTCAAGCATTTCCTTAGCCCAGCTGCTGCCTAAGAGCCTTTAATTAGAAGAAACACAATACTTTTCAAACTATGATGTTGGCTAGCATCCATTTGTATTTGGTTCTTACAAAGGCCAATATTTAATGCCATCAGAGCTCACTCTGGGGAGAGTTCGCGCCTAACCTCCCAGAGCCAAAAATATCCCCCAGACACAAACACAAACGTAGGTTCCATTCTACGCTAAGTTGAAGCAACATATTATTTTTCTATAATCAGCAAAGTTGTAAGGAAAACAAGTGTGCAAAAGGCATTTCTCTGAATAGTGCTGAACTATGCAGATGACACCTATGGCATTTTCCTCTCAGTCCCTCCTCAATCCACAATAGTTAACACGTGGAACTCCATGTGAGCATGGTATGACCCCCACCCTCCACTCAGCTGATCGACCCAGAGCTGGGCACCAGATCCAAGCTAGACCAATCCAGTGTCCCATCTCTCCAGCTACAGCTGACTGTTCCAGGGGTCAGCACCTATCTGAAGTCGTGCCAGTAAGTTCCACACTGAACACTTGGACTTGGGACTGAATTATATCAGTCTTTTCTCAGTGGTGAAGGGAGAAACTCAAGTCATATTTTCTACCATGTGGAGAAAGCCAGATGACACTAGGAAAGTGTTCCAGTTAAAATGGAGGCTCAAGGCCAGGTGCAGTGGCTCACGCCTGTAATCCCAGCACTTTGGGAGGCCAAGATGGGTGGATCACATGTTCAGCAGATCAAGAGCATCCTGGCCAACATGGTGAAACCCCATCTCTACTAAAAACATAAAAATTAGCTGGGTGTCGTAGCACGCACTTGTAATCCCAGCTACTCAGGAGACTGAGGCAGGAGAATGGTTTGAACCCAGGAAGCAGAAGTTGCAGCGAGCCAGAGATCAACCCACTGCACTCTAGCCTGGCGACAGAGCAAGACTTCATATAAAAAAAAAAAAAAAAAGTAGACTCATCTGCAACCCTGCTACTTCTTGTTTTTGTTGTTGTTGTTGCTGTTTGTTTGAAATGGAGTCTTGCTCTGTCGCCAGGCTGGAGTGCAGTGGCGTGATCTCGGCTCACTGCAACCTCTGCCTCCCGTGTTCAAGCAATTCTCCTGCCTCAGCCTCCCAAGTAGCTGGGATTACAGGCACCTGCCATCACGCCCAGGTAACTTTTGTATTTTTAGTAGACATGGGGTTTCACCGTGTTAGCCAGGATGGTCTCGATCTCATGACCACATGATCCGCCCTCCTAGGCTTCCCAAAATGCTGGGATTACAGGTGTGAGCCACTGCGCCCAGCCAACCCTGCTACTTCTATAGCTAACGTCTTTAACTCTTCCTTGGATTTCCCTTGAGGATCAAGAATCTTGAGAACAAATTCCCATTCTTGGTTAAAATGGTTTGAGTTTGATATCTAGATTTGCAAACAATCAATTTCTGACTTATAAAATCAGGTTTATCAGGTCTGACTACAAATTAGTTACCAGTCTTTATTTTTATGAAACAGAAAGCTATATTATTTCTCTTGGTCATTGAGTCTTTTCTGTCATCTATTTCTTATAGTTTTCTTTTTTACTCTACTTGGGGTTAAAAAAATCCTTCTTTCAAAATGGCCTCTTACAAACAGCGATTGCTCTGAGAGTTTATCTACATAGGACTGTTCCCACATGCACAATGCTTGATAACTGCAGTAAAATATCCAGCGGTTGTGCCTTCTACTGCCAAAATTCTCTTAGAAATGGAAACCAGAACAGCCTTTTTTTTTTAGATAGGCCATATTCCAAGATTTTGTTCATTTAAGAAAAAATATAGGAAGCAAAACAAATGAAAGAAAAACAAGTCATGACCCAAGAAAAATTGTGCACATCATTCCACAGCTGCTACACGCACAGTGGGCACATGTGCATAAGGAGCTACCACATAGCATAAGGAGGGCTCACCAAAAAGCTGGGAAATCACTGTTCCTGCCTCAAAGGCAGAAGCCATGAGCGTGAGTGTCCCCGTGATCAGAAAGGGAGATGGGGTGAGATGGGATGGAATGGATGTGTGCGCATGTGCATGCACGCGCATTCATGGTTTCAGTATCTCAAGCAATTAGGATTGTGAATAAAAACAAATTTTCTCAGGAGACACACAAGAAACTGGCAGAAACTAATGAAGGCAGTAGGAAGAAGGAGTGGTGGTCTCACTATTATTCATGATTAGCTGCATACCAGCTTTGGCATAGCCACTCTTCACCATCCCTATCTTGTCTTTCCAGCCTCCATTCTCAATTGCATTTCAATGTCACCCTCAAGCATCCAGGCTACAGGAAAGAAGTCCTCTCCAGTGGATTCTTTCACAGTCAAAGTAACTCCTGCTGGAAATGAAATTCTCTCAAAAGGCATACACATGAACCAAATAGGGGTGGCTCTTTGTTCCCCTTCTGAAACATAGCAAGTGCTGATTTCCATCTCCATCTCCCATTTAAAAGTAGATGTAATTAAAATTTTCTTCCTGCTCTTCCATACACAGGCACCACTCTTTGAGAGCTGCTTGCACAAAACCTAGAAATGAACATCAGTCCCTGTTTACACAGCAAAAAGCTTATGAACCAAGATCTCAGACCCCTTCTTCATCCTTTTCTTTTAATTTCTTCTGTTCATCCAGAAGCTGCTGCTGCTCTTGCTGCAGACGTTGACTGCAATTTCTAGCACATGGAGTTAATTAATTGCCAATTTGGTCAAAACAATCAGTCTTGCTGTATTTGTTTTAGCGTCTTCTCCTTTCTAGTTATATACAGAAGAGGAAACCATGGAATTAGGTATTGAGGCATGGTCATTCCACAAAAATGGAGAGTCACAGCAACACATAGGACACAAACAGAAGTCCATCGCCAATTACAAAACTTGAACTCAGGAGCCAAGCCCTGTTGCCCACTATCTGTTTGAGATAAGGTAGCAGAGCACATCCAGGAATCAGGCTGGGAAGATATTCCCTGAAGTTTGTTGGTTGCTTCCTCTGTCCAGAAAGTTCTTATGTATAAGACCCACAACAAGAAGCCACAGATGACAGACAAGGGCAGTTCTTTTTTTTTTTTTTTGAGATGGAGTCTCACTCTGTCACCCAGACTGGAGTGCAATGGCGTGGTCTCAGCTTACTGCAACCTCCGCCACCTCCCCCTCCCAGGTTCAAGCAATTCTCCCCCCTCAGTCTCCCAAGTAGCTGGGATTACAGGCATGCGCCACCACACCCAGCTAATTTTTGTATTTTTAGTAGAGATGGGGTTTCACATATTGGCCAGGCTGGTCTCGAATTCCTGACTTCAGGTGATCCACCCACCTCGGCCTCCCAAAGTGCTGGGATTACAGTCATGAGCCACTGCACCCGGCCACAAGGGCAATTCTTACAGGATCTCTTCTTTTGCCAGGTTCTTCAGCTCTGGTTGTTAAGTAAAGACAAGTAGGGCTGCATGGGTTGTGGCCTCTAGAGTCTCCAGCAGAGCTGGAGCTGTGGTCATGTTCCTAAGTTAGCATTGCCACATAGTGTACAATTGAAGACAGGCAGTAAGAAACAAGCCCAGGTTAGGCTGAGGCTCAAGAAAGTGCTTGGTCCGTTATTATTTAAAAATTCAGCTAATATGGAACATACTGGCTTGAATGCAGTACGGAACATACTGGCTTGAATGCAGTTCATTTTGAACAGTTAGAATCTTCTAGGAGTGAAGTCTGTTAACCCTATCAGCCAGTACTGCAAACGTGTGGGGGTCCACATTGGCACATCAAAATTCAGTTCCAAGAACTTCTGTTACAAAGGAAAAGGACAATCCATATGTGACATGTTCTCTGCAGCAGAGGCTGCCCACAGGTCCTAACTGCAGGTGTGCGAGCCAGCAGCTAACCCTGGGAAACCCACACTGCCTTCAGGAAAAACAATGTGCCTGCGGGGGGGTCAGTCACAGCACACAAGGCCTCAGCCATGTGGCCTGGAGCGCATCATTGACTCCTCCCATACTGTTTCCTCAAACATAAGAGATTGAATTAAATGATCTCTAAGGGCCATGTCTGGGAGGAAAAGCCATGATTATTCTGTGATTACTTAGTGGATTTCAGGGAACTCAGTGGCATATAAGGGTTTTTTTGTTGTTGTTAATTACTGCTGTGATAAATGACATACTTGGAACATTATTAGTGCAATAATCAGGTGCTAGACAGCACACAACATACTCCTAATATTTTCTCTCGGGTCTTACAAAGTACAGACTGACATAGCAGAGATGATCAGTGTGTGAAGTAAGTCCCTTAATGAGAATTAGCTCTTTTTATGACAAGCCACATTTTGGTCACATCTCTTCATTGGCTCTCAGCCAGAGGGAAAAATTATTTGAGCTCAAGATAGGAAACATTACAAAAATTAATAAAATATTACAGCAGCTTTAATGGATGTTATTACCTTAGGGGTTGGGGGATGGGTGGTTAAATACACAGTGTGACCCCTGAATCATCTGCGCATAAGAGAACTACATGAGTGCATATTGCAAGCAGTTTCCTGCATGTGTTTGCCAACCAAAATACGAGTGCTAAGTTCACACTAAGCTCCGGCTTTTGAAAGAAATTCAAGGCTGATGAAAGAAAGAAAGAGAGAAAGACAGACAGAGAGACAGGGGTGGAAGGGGAAGGGAGGGAGGGACGGAGGAAGGAAGGAAGGAAGGAAGGAAGGAAGGGAAGGAAGGAAGGAAGGAAGGATAATGGTTATTTAATGGTTATTTAAAAGTGGACAAAATTATAGACATGACATGTATTTCAAATTAGAAGACTGTACTAATTAGGTTAAACAGCTAAAGGCAAAGTTGTGGAGACATTAGGGAGACAAAAAGAAAACTTCAATAAAAACTACTAAAAGACTTACAGAAAACAGAGAAGCTATTAGATTCATGGAAAAAGAACAAGGTGCTATACAAAAAGAACATTAAAGAGAACAACAAATACTCTTGGAAATTAAAATATGAGAGCAGAAATTACACACACTCAGTAAAAGTTTTGAAAATGAAAGTTGAGGAAATCTTGCAGAAATTGGAACAAAAAGACAAAGAGATAGGAAATGGGGGGAGAATAAAATTAGAAAACAGTCCTAGGCATGAAATAAGAGAGGGAGAAGGAGGAAGGGAGAGAGAGAAAAAAAAGAGAGAGCAGATACATCATCAAAAAAATAATTTAAGAACATTTTTCAGAACTTAAGAACACAGGTGTTCAACCTAAACAGGCTGACAACTGAGAACAATGAAACAGGCCCACCAACGCAAATCATCAAGAAATTTCAGAAGACTAAAGAGAAGATTATATAAGCTTGAGAGAGGAATAAATCCATTTCACACAAAGGGTCAAGAAGAGAATGACACTGCACTTCTCAGCAATAACAGCTGAAGGTAGAAGACACAGGAGTATGGCCAGAAACATTCTCTAAGCAAAAATAACATACAATCTAGAATCCCATGCCCCAATCACACTGAGAGGTAAAATGTTCAAGCATGAAACTATCAAAACAAAACCAAAATGAAACACTCCCACAATGCACTCTTCCTCAGGAAGCTGTTGGAGAATATCCCTGTGAGGGTTACTGAGCAAATGTCTCCTAGCTTTAACTTCCCCTTCCTCCTTCCTCGGATGCTGGGCTGGACTCTACAACCATTATTTCTCCTTTTGCAGTGGGCTCCATGCCAGTCTCTGCCAACAGGGGGCACCAGCAAGAGAGGCTGCAAGGCTGGAGGAGGAAGAAGGGATGTGTTCCTGTTGGCTTCTTGTTTCTGTAAGTTTCATCCCAACTTAATGGTTCTCACCTGGGTAGCAACAGTTAGTTCCAGTTGGCAGGTTTTATAAATTATCCTTTCAGAGATAAAAGCTTTAATCGGTGCCCACTCCTCAGAGGTATGAATCCCAGCAAGGTCTCCCCTCTAAGCTCCAGAGCCACCAATATTGGCTGAACAATGCTCCTTTCCCCAGGGTTCTGGATCTCAGCTTGGCAGGAACCCCTCTCTGAGCCTTCCTAATTGTTCCTTTATTTTCTCAGTCCTATTAGTAGCATCTGTTTCCTGTACTCCCTTTCTCTGTGATACCTTACGTTTTGCCTTTTTTAGTTTACTTAAAATTCACTATATGAGATCTTCCCTGTTAAAATAATTTGGTGTGCTTTCTGCCTCTTGACTGGAGCATGACTGATACAATGCTTCCCTAGAATGATGGAGCAAGTCGTGAAGGAGGAAGGCATGGGATCCAGGAATGAGATCCATACAAAAGTGGAAATATTTAAGAGGATGAAGAGAAACACCATGACAATAGCCATGCAGCTGACCTAGAGACCAACTTGTCCATTTTAGAGCAAAACAGAGGGCTCTCAGAAAGATTTCTTCAAGAAGATGAAAATCACAAAATACTTCATATGCTTAAATATACTGAGAAGAGATTTATGTTGCTGAAGGAAAGTTTGGGATTGAATAATCAGAACGTAAAGACTAAACAAAGAAAAACAAATGAAGAAAGAAGGTACTTACAATGCCAGGGAAAAACGAATGCTAGGCAGCTAAGGATGAGTTGTCCTCACTGTCCCTGTCTCTGCTATGAATAGCTTTTTCATGGACATAATAATGTAACTACTTATGATTGATCTCATTTGAATTTTACTACATATACATAGGGAGGTTTGGAAAATGTAAAATGTGTGTTTGCATGTAAAAGAGGTCACATTTGCATGTGAAAGAAAGCAAAATCCTCATTTTTCAAAGGGGGAAAGTCAGTATATAAGGACTAAACTGAAAAAAAGTAAAATTAAGAAGCTCACTTGTACAATGATAGGAATAATAATAATAATTGAGTCTGCCTTCACGGTTGTCAACATCAAATGAATTAATACATATATAGCATTTAGAACAGTGCCTGACCAATGGTAAGAGCCATGCAAGTGTTTGTTGAGTGAATGAGCCATATGAATAATATAGGTAAACTTTTCTTTAGGTCTCACCGAAGGAACTTAAAACTGCATTTCTATTGCATTTCACCCATAGCTCAAAACAAGCAAGTACCTGAAAATTGTTTATTTTCTTGCTCCTCTTCTAGAAATCACCAGTGGTGAAAAAAGATGATGCAATGAATCAAGTTTTTTCAGAATTTTAAGGGAGAATTAAGAAACATCAGGAATGGTACCTGGAGTTAGCCAAACTGCCAGGTGAAGGGCATGATCCTCCAGACTGCCAGTGCTGCCCAAGACTTCTGACCCCAAAGATGAAGAATTAGGGTCCAATGACAAAGTTAGAGGGAAGAGCCCACATAAGACCACCCTCACTCTGACACCAAGTTCAAGAGTTTTCCGAAACCACCCTGAGTTTCAATGACTCAGTAGAAGACTCACAAACTCCATGAAATCCATTATATTCACGGTTACATTGACTATAGGGAAAAGATGCATTAAAGTCAGCCAAAGGAAGAGATGTATAAGGTAGAGTCTAGCAAAATCCCCCAGAGTTCTGCCATCCCAGGAGGCTCACCTGAGCTTCTGTGTCCAGAATTTTACTGAGGCTTCGTTACATAGGCATGATTAATTGATTGGTCTATTGATTGTCCACATGAATGAACTCAGTCTCTAGGTCATCTGATACCATGTTAGCCAGAGCTATTGCCCTAAATTCATACTTTCTTTTGTAGTCAGCCCCCACCCTAAGACTATTGGGTGTGGTCATCCAAAGGAGGAAAAAAACAAGAGGGAGAGGACTTAAAGATGAGGGGAGACAAGGAGACGAAGGGACAGGGCAGGAAGTTTTCCTCTGAAAAGAAAAGAGATTAATTCCCCAAGTTCATGACCACAACTCAGTAATAACTGCCATTTGCTTCTCCCTCCACATTAGCCAGAGCGTTTGTGTTTCATAAATTTCACAACTACTCTATGAAGTGTTTAGAGTTTTACAAATGAGAAAACTGAAACTCCAGAAGACCCTATATCCCCCACGCCAGAAAAAGGACACAGTGCGGCTGGAAACCAGGTCTTCTGACCCCACATTCCTGTTCTTTCCAATACAGTCTACAGTGTCTGTTTTCCACACTTAAGTCAGCCTTCTTTGTTTGTTTCAATCCTGCAAATTTTCAACTTTTTAAGTACTCATAACAGTCTCGTCTCTTCTCTATTTGTTAACTTTTTAAGCATCTCATAAAATTTTGTGAATTAAAAAGACACAAATCCAGCAAAGTTGTAACCCGGGAACAATAATCTTGGGCCAAAATTTATTGTCAAAGGAATACAAAAATTTTTGCTTTGTTCTGGAATTTTGTCACAATAAAGCATTGTCATTTGTCTCTTAGATTCTTTCCTTCCCAGCTCCTCCACCACCACCACTCCCTATTGGTGAAATTGGCACATGTCAAAGAGCTAACAAAGGGATCTTCCTAAAAGGCGTCATTGTGTGCCCAAAGGGTTTCTGGACTTGGACATCATGGTGGACTGGTAAGAGGCAGGGAGGGCCAAGCGCAAGATATTTTGACCCCGATGTTTAGACTGTCCTATATCCAATTCCTGTGATTGTTCTTTTTGCCATTGCATTGATAAAAATTTCCCAATCACCAGCTGTTTATCTAATTCTTACTGAGTGTTACTGGAAGAAATAATCAACATAGATCATTAAATGCTGGTGAAACTAACACTGGCTAAAATTGTAGGTGGTAAAATTTGGTATAGATGAAAACCTGAAAAATTAAAAGTGGGAAACAGACTTGGTTGAAATAAATTTTTAAAACAAAATCTATAGTATATAAAATTGCACGATTTAAAATGTTTTTTAGTTAAAAGTGCATCAAATCTTTATATATTTATATAATTTGACCTGAGAAATGAATTGGTAGAAATAATTTCTGCAAAAGAAAACTCATAATCATAGAATGCATAACTAGGTAAAAGTTGAGTCAAAATAAATAAATCACATTAGAAAATAATTGATCCTGATAATAATTAATGTTAAAGTAATGCTTTTATAAAAATGGTTTAACTTTTTGAAAATGTTATCAAATGATTGAATTAACAAAGATTCATTCTTAAAAAGTATTAATTTTGGTGTAATTCTTATTAAAATATTTGTATATATAAACACAGAGATAAAATATTTATGGAATCAATAAGGAAGTCCAAAACAGTGGGGTCAAAACAGTAGGGTCAAAATATTATTTATTCTTTTGCTCCTTTCTGTGAAATGGATGTAAGATTATAAAACCACTAATGTGACCAAATGCAAGGAGTTGCTATTGAAAATAAGATCAATACCTACATAAAGGTTGCCAATGTAAATAATTTGGATTTGGTTCATGTATCACCTGAAATGTAGCAAACGAAGTCAAATTTTATCTTGTGGTTCCCGCTTGGGCTTGTCTTGGACCTGGGACATAGAAGCAGAGAAGGGCAGATGGTGACTTAAATTGCTGGAGCCTTCCTTGCCTTGAAAGTTCTCACAGTGACCTACATGGCCCCACTTGATCTAGATCCCCTTCTACTGTGACCTTATTTTCTTCCACTGACCCCCCGCCCCCGCTCCAAAACCTTTTCCATCCACATCTATGGTAGAGGAGGGTAGAGAGGGGGATAAAAGGGAAACGAGAAGTGCTTTAAGTAGTTCTGATCTAATTCGTAGATGAGTCAGCATCAGTTTATCTGATTTTTAGACACCATTTAACAGTTGGGCATCTGCCAGCTGTTAGAACTAAGTTCCCACTCTGAAACTCAAAGAAATCTACTCTTCATCCTGTTACCCCAGCACCACACCATGAGTATCCCCTCCTACCTCAAACCAACTTTGAACACACAATGATTAGAATCCTGCCCTGAAACTTTAGTCTCCCACTTGGGTAAGCCACCCGCTACCAGACTAACCTGAGGCGACCCTCAAAGGGCTGGCAGTCATGAGGCTGCCCCTGCCTGAGGAAGACCTTACTTTTCTTCTGATCATCTCTGTTTGCCTGAACTATCACCAGAATGTCTGAGGAATGTGTTTAGTCCACAGTATTAACTACATTTCTGTTACCCACTTTTGGGTCTGCCTCAACCCAAGGCCCCTGTCTCAAACCAGTGACATGTCTGATTTGAAGTCCACACCCGCTCTGTCTGCCAATTCGTGTTTTTTTTCAGTCCAAGTATAACAAGATGAGCCATGGGCTGGCCTCCTTCTCCAAATAGCCTTCACTGTCAAGCCATTCTAATCAGGCAGACAGCATCCCAGCAGGCCCAGATGGATACATGGTGATCTATAAACGGCTGTCATGTCCTTTACAGGGATCTCTGAATTAAGTTTAGGACACAGGGAAACTATAGATTACACGTGCTGAAAAAGAGTCAAATTCTTACCAAACACTTACTAGGTCCAGACAAGGCCTCGGCCCAAAATATTTCTTCTTGAAAACAAAATAAAACTACTCTCCTCTGACCTCCTGACTGCTACCCCCATCTCCTCCTCTCATCCTTCCAGTCAGATTCACTACAATTGGTTTCTCACTAAATTCCATTTTACTCTCTTGGTTCCAATTCACCTGGCAGTTCTAAACCCACAAGTTGTTCTGTAGAGCTAGCTTTCCAAAGGAGTCATGAGTTTCACAATCAATAGATATATTACAAAACAAAAATAAAATGAACGTCACACTGGGTTGAAGCCATCTTGTAGATTTTTTTTTTTTTTTAACCAGAAGTGGGGATTTGTGATATAAGCAGCTGCTACAAAACCAAACAAATGACAGCACTCAACTCAGAGTTTGAGCCTATCCAGGGGCTGAATTATGTTTGCTTTGAGGTTTTGTGAAAGGTCATGAGGCCTAACAAAGTTCGGATGAAACTTGGCTGTTTCTCCGTTAGGCTCTGGCTCAAAACTTGTGGCGTTTCATGTGGTTTGGAGTTTTCAAACACAGTGCTTTGCACAGCGCTAATAAATGATTCTCTCTCAGCATGGAAAGCAATTAAATGTATGGCCTCTTGGGCTTTGGTCTTAGAATCAGTATTTATTTATTAGGAGCTGGGAGAAGGACTAAATGGCCTAGAAGAGGGATCACACATAATGAGGTGAGTGAATTTGCTGAAGACACCACATTTTAGATGACTGGAGGCCTGAAAAGCAAGAGAGGAACTCCTGAGGAACCAATAAAATTAGGCCATTGGGAAACTTGCTAATGAACGGAATTTAGCATCAGCCTACAAGAAACAAATTGGAACTGCTTGCAAAGCCTCAGGGAAGACCACATGAAAGGACCCCAGCACCATCTGTCTTCAGCCTTCACTGGCCACTCTGAAGGGCCCCTGTGAGTTTCCAGTACACACAGCTCTTGGAGCTTCCTCCATGGGCATGCCTCTCCTGGCAGGCAGCTTGGAATCACCCTCTACGCATGCTGGGATGGGGCTGGGGGAGTCCATTCTAAAAAGTCTTCCTCTGGCTGTTCTCTTTTAACTAAGGGAGTGCATTAGTTTTCTAAAACTTCATAACAAAGCACCACAGACTGGGTGACATAAACAACGGAAATCTATTTCCTCTCAGTTCTGGAGTTTGGAAGTTGAAGATCAAGGTGTTAGCAAGGCTGGTTTCTTGAAGCCTCGCCCCTTGATTTGTAGGTGGTCATCTTCCTTTGTGTCTTCACAAGGTCTTTCTTCTGTGTATGTCCGTGTCCTAATCACCTTTTCTTATAAAGACACCAATCGTACTGGGTTAGGGCCTACCTATATTATCTCATTTAACCTTAATACTTCTTTAAAGGCAAATCTTTCTCCATATGCAGTTACATTCAAGGCACTAGGGGTTAGGACTATAATATGAATTTTGGAGGCACACAATTCATATTCCCATAAGGAGAGGCATTGTACTCTTCAGTTCAGTGCTATATCTGTTCAAGCTATACATCTGAGCCAACTCCCTAACCCTTATTGGAGAGTGATGAGGTAAGAGAAGGCCGTGATTGAGGAAAGGCTCATCTTCTTGTATTTCATGCCTCCAACTGAGCATTAAGTTAATCAAACCTGAAAGAGAAAGCAAAACAGCAGTGCAGCCTTCCTAGAGTACAGAAGGAAACCATATTCATGCTTGTTTATTTTCAGGTACAATTGTCTGCTTATACAGACTTGCTGGAGCATAATAGTTCCACAAAGACCATTCTCCAAATAGTGAACCCAGAAGCCTTCACTTATGACTTCAATAAAAATTCACCAATGGAACAGAATAGATAGCCCAGAAATAATGCCACACACCTACAACCATCTGATCTTCCACAAAATCAACAAAAACAAGCAATGGGGAAAGGACTCCCTATTCAATGATTGGTGCTGGAATAACTGGCTAGCCATATGCAGAAGATTGAAACTGGACCCCTTCCTTACACCATATACATGAATCAACCTAAGATGGATCAAAGACTTAAATGTAAAGCCTAAAACTATAAAAACTCTCGAGGATAACATAGAAAATACCATTCTGGATATAGGACCTGGCAAATATTTCATGATGAAGACACCAAAACCAACTGCAACAAAAACAAAAATTGACAAATGGGACTGGATTAAAGAAAGAACTTCTGCACAGCAAAAGAAACTCTCAACAGTGTAAACAGACAACCTGCAGAATGGGAGAAAATTTTTGCAAACTATGCATCCAACAAAGGCCCTCTAATATCCAGAATCTATGAGGAACTTAAACAAATTTACAACCGAGAAACAAACAACCTCATTAAAAAGTGGGCAAAGGACATGAACAGACACTTTTCAAAAAAAGCATACATCCAGCCAACAAGCATATGAAAAAATGCTCATCATTAGAGAAATGCAAATCAAAACCACAATGAGATATCATCTCACACCAGTCAGAATGGCTATTATTAAAGAGTCAAAAAACAACAGATGCTGGTTAGGTCATGTAGAAAGGGAATACTTATACACTGCTGGTAGGAATGTAAATTAGTTCAGCCATTGGGGAAAGCAGTTTGGCAATTTCTCAAAGAACTTAAAACAGAATTTCTATTTGACCCAGCAATCACATTGTTGGGTATATACCAAAGAAATATAAATCTTTCTACCACAAAGACACATGCACACATATGTTAATCACAGCACCATTCACAATAGCAAAGATGTGGAATCAACCTAAATGTCCATCACTGGTAGACTGGATAAAGAAAATGTGGTACATATTCACTGCATAGCATTCCACAGTTTTTACAATGTTTGGTTAAAGGGCCCTTTTACAATATTTGGACTAGGTTAAGGTAAGTCAACAAGGGATGATCAAGCTCCCCAGGACTAGCAACAACCAGGAGTGTTACCCTTCCTAGGCCTGGGGGCCATGGGAAGGAAGAGTTACTGAGAAATGGTGAGAGCTTTGACTATAGGAAGGCACCACCCTGAAGAAGCCATTGTAAAAAGGCCTTTTAATTACTTCTTTAAGAGTGCCATCTGTTTCTTGCTGGGACCTTCCAACACATGACTTTTTCCAACCTTACTGATCACTCACTACTCTTCTTACCAGACCCCACATTCCAGCCACAGTTTCATCCCCTTTCATGTTCTAATACCGTTGTTTCTATTGTACCTTTTTCTCTTTTCTTTGAATGCCTTTCCCCTTCCTTGGCCAGACTCTCACACAAGCTAAAAATCTGAACTCAAATGTCACCTTCTCCAGGAAGACCTCTCTGACTTTTGCCCTGCCATCACATAATTACCCACACAGAGTTAGGTGCTCCTCCTATATGCTGCCATCACAGCCCAAATCCTAGTGTTTAATTATCATCTATGACTATGTCTGCATCTCCATGGTGAGCAGAATGATGGCCTCCCAAAGATGTTAGATCCTAATCCCCAGAACCTGTGGATTTGTTGGACTACATGGTAAGGGTAATCAAGGTTGCTAATCAGCTGACTTTAAGATGAGGGGATGATCTTGGATTACCCAGGTGAGCTCAGTGTAATCATGAGGGTACTTAGACATGTAAGGGGGAAGCAGAAAAGTAAGAACTAAGGATATGGCCATTGGAGAAAGACTTTACTGGCTAGTGGCTAGTGCTGCCTTTGGAGATGGAGGAGGGGGCCCCAAGCCAAGGAATGTGGACAGCCTTTAGAAGCAAGAAAAGGCAAGAAGCAGATTCTCCCTGAAAGAGTCTAGAAGGAAGACAACCCTGCCTGCATCTTCACTGTAGACCAGTGATACCCATTTGGACTTCAGACCTCCAGAATTCTAAGATAAAAAACTGCGTCATTTAAGTCACTACATTTGTGGTAATTTGTTAACAGCAGCAATAGAAAATGAATAAAATCCCCCAGTAGACAGTCAGATTCTTGAGTGCAGGAATCATGTCTTTGTGTCTTCCAAGCTCCTCTAGCAAAACTTGTCTTACAGTGGTTCTCAAATATATTTCTCGAAGAAAAGATAGGATGCAAAATTATCTGGCTCACCCATGTTTTCTGAATCCTTCTGGGTCTATGGTCCATGTAGCAATAGTTTATCTGTAGGAAGAGATCTGCATTTGCTTATAAAATTTTTAAAAATAGCTTTCACTTATCAATCTACCATATAATCATTGAGAAAAATTACTTAACTAGTTTCCAAGGAGAACAAGGATACAGGAATGTGAAGGCACTCATGATGTCCTCCATCTCAGGAAAGCAGCTGTAGTATCAGTGTCCTGCCTCAGGACATGCCCAGCTCCCCGGATAGGCAGGAAAAAAAGAAAGTGTTCCTTCCTCCAGAGCAGCTGGCCCTGGTTTTGGCTGAATCTGGATCCCTGGGCCTCACGGGCACTGCTTGCTACAGTTCGGCAGGGGCCTCCAGCCCTGGCATTTCCAGAGGTCTGTGCTGTTACTAGTCTGGAGCAGATACCTCCTATCATCACCATAATCTTGTTCTTATGGCAGCATCAACAACAGATGATCTGCAAATCCCACAGCCTGTTCATGAAACGAAAGCTAGTGCCTTGATTTAGAGCCCCTTTGACTTTGCTCAGAGCCCTGAGCCAAGAGCCCTGAGGTGTAGTCTGGCTCTGCTTCCAACCTCCTATGTGACCTTGATTGATTTCCTTACCTAGCAAGTGAAAGGGGTAAACTTCTGTGGTCACTGTGAGCTCCTGCATTCTAAGAGTTTATAACAATTATACAATCCCCAAACACATTGATGCTTAGAAAATGCCAGTGACAAACTGTCCCCTCTAAAAAGGGCATTTCACTGGGACAGAAAATAAAAGCTAGAACCTGAGAAAGGAAGAAAAGAAAGGAGAGAGAGAAGGATGGAGGGAAGGCAGCTGGGAAGAGGTAGGAAGAAAGGAGAATTTATTGAGCACCTTTCACCTGTCTCAGCCTCTTTCACTTGTCTACCAGCCCCTTTCACCTGTCTCAGCTCATCAACATTCCAGACCAGAGCCTCACAAAATTTTCCACCAAAGTACCTCTGACCTTGAAAGAGAGTGATACAAACCTCTGGGAATCAAGCCTATAAAGTAGGAAATCTGAAGTCTCATTTTATCTTAAAAATAATGTGAATTTTCTGTTCTACGCCATAAACAGGGGTTTTATTTCTTCTATAGAATAAAGCTCTTGCTACAGGAAAATGCAGCATGTTAACCCTGTGTTATGCAAACCCCAGCCCACTTTCGTTTCTCTCTGAGATAGAACATTCTAGTTTTGGAGGTAGGAACCTGAAGTTGAAAGGCAAGATTTATTCCTCTAGCCCACCAAGGTCATGAGAAAACTGGGATGTTACCTGATTTATTACAGCCAGAGAAACCAAGCAAAAAAATAAAATTCAACTAGCCTAAAAATGTTGTCTTTGGAAAACAAGAATGCTCATTTTACTGGGGCAGTTCTACCTGCCCAGCAGTCTGTGCCAGGAGAGAGGCCGTGTCTGCTTTTAACTCTGTTTCCAGCAGTGAGGCACATTAATACCCTATTTGCAGCAGTGTCAGCAACTTGGAAAGGCAGATTTGGGAGTGTTTATTTTCAAAAGCAGTAGAAATCAGAAAGAAAGGAAGCAAAAGTGCTAGGAAATAGAGACCACATGCTCAGGGGTTATGCAGGAGGGCCTAGCCAGAGAGAAGGACTTAGATGCTACCAGAGGAAAAGATGGGACTTGGCCATGGACCCCGTAAAGTAAGGAGGCAGCACCACATGAGACTCCTGGAAAGCCAACCAGGGCCAAGTCTAGATGTAAAGGAGTTGTTGTTATGAGTGGAGAAAGCCCCATACACTATCCTCAGGACAGCTGGGAGGTGAAAATGAACTTGTAAATACCTGCCTTATGATTAGTGCAAGTGTTTGCTAGTATTATTATTATTATTATCATCATCACCACCATCATATGTCAGGAGTGAGGTCACCTTCTTTTGTAGCAAAATCAACCTTCAGGAGCAGACTTCAAAACTGGGCAGAAGATAGGAGACAGAAACGGAAGCTGTATTTGCAAAACTACAGGGGTCTTGAGGAAAAGCTTGAAAATTATTGAAGCCACTGAAAGGAGACTGGGAAGGGGTCTTTTCTTCTAGGTAGGAGTTAAGACTCGGAGGATTCAAAATGATGCTGAGTTACAAAGAGATGGAACATCATGAAACTAGAATTGGCAAGAAGAGCAAGTAACAGGGAAGAGGGAAGGGCAACATGACCTAGGACTTAAGCTCATGGATATAGGTTTGACTCTTGACTAGCACATCTGGTTATGTGACTTTTGGCAAGCCAGGTAACCTCTCTGAGCCTGTTTCTTCCTGTTTACAAATGAGAATAATTAGAGTACCAGTGTTAGCTTTTCTTACTATCAGCTGTTAGGTAGCTATTGCAAAGTAAGTAAATGGTGCTTTGTCTATATTAAGATTCTGAGATTGGGTATGAAAAAACTTTGCCAGGAAAAAAAAAATCCCTTATCAGAGATTTTATTTTGGAGCAGTCAAGAGTTGGAAAGAATAAAGAAGAATAAAAAAGAAGAAAGAAGGGGAGGAAAGGGAGGAGGGAAAAAGAGGAAGAGGAAAAAGAAAAAGTGGTGGAGGAAATGATGACAGGAAGAGGAGAATAGGGAGAGAGAAAAAGGCAAGGAAGAATGGTCCTGATAATTATAAACAAGGTAATTAACATGAGAATATTCCAAAACATATCTTCCATTAACGCCTTCTTCTCAGCTTCCTTCACTCTTCAGATCAATCCTTATATGTGAAAGTTCTTTCGGGGCCTGGCTCTGGCCCTATTTTTCTCTCAATTTACAAGATCCTCTTGGGCAATGTCATCCTGCCCACGGCTTCACTTTCTGCTCATTCATTAATCCTGAAGCATTTATTTCCAGCCTGGATACCTTTCTTGAGCTTCAAATTTGACCTGAATAGATCAAAGTCAACACAAAACAAATCTTGCATCTCTCCATAAAAATATCTTGCTGTTTCTCCTTTATGCTTTATTGAGGTTCCCGGCAGCCCCTCCCCTCAAATCAGAAATTTGGGACTTATGCCCAGCCCTCTGACACTTTGTCTGCCTTAATTTTCTTCAAAACTGGCTTTAACTATCCATTCTTATTTTTACTGCCTCAATTCAAATCCTCAGCCCTCAACCAGACCCTGGTAAGAGTTTGCCAATTGGTCTTCCTGATACCAGGTCTATACCCACCCAATTTATCCTCTATAATCAGACAGAGATGATGCAATACATGAAATTCCCTGAAAAATATTTCAAGAACTTGTCTTCTAGCATACAGGACAAAAATATAAATTTCTTAACATACAAAACCCTTCACCTGACATCTGCCTATTTTTCTAGCTTCATCTATCTTCCCCTTCCTTATTCCCTAACCCACATTCAAGTGGTCTTGACTGAACAGCTTATTTGAAGACATTCTTCACTCTGCCTGGAGAATTTATGATTATCCTATCAGCCTGGCAAACCCCTGGCCAGCCTGCAAGACTCTACTCCCATGTTACCTCCTATGGGAAGCCTTGTCTGACTTTGCTATGAGCACAATTAAGCATTCCTGCACCAGTTATTTTTCTGTAACTCTTTTACAGTACATATCATATTCTATGATTATTTGTCTAAAATATGGTCTTTCCAACTGAACTGAGAACCCCTGATGGGCAGGGACTGTGCACTATTCATGGTTGTATTCCCAGGATCTCATAATGTGCCTGGAACATAGTGGTAATCAATTTGTTACATAAATAATTGAATAAATGGGCCTGGCATGGTGGCTCACGCCTGTAATCCCAGCAATTTGGGAGGCTGAGGCAGGCAGATCACCCAAGGTCAGGAGTTCCAGACCAGCCTGGCCAACATGGCAAAACCCAGTCTCTACTAAAAAAACAAAAAAAACAAAAAAAACAAAAAATTATCTTGGTGTAGTGGCTCATTCCTGAACTCGCAACTACTCGGGAGGCTGGGCACGAGAATCACTTGAACCCAGGAAGCAGAGGTTACAGTGAGTCAAGATCATGCCACTCTACTCCAGCTTGGGCAAGTGAGCGAGACTCTGTCTCAAAAATAATAATAATTGAATAAATGGATAAGTAAAGAACATTTAGAAGAACATGAATATAGCTATACCTATGAACCAAATCCCAACTAACCATAATCTCAACAGATTTAAAACAAACTAACATTTAACTCTCTTACATTTACAGCGAAGGAGATACAGAGCTCATCTAGAGACGCTTGTATCTACTCAAGTCCTGCCACCTTGGAGGTCTACTAGGACCATGTAGGGTCACCATAGATGCTGTCTACTAGTGTTATGCACAACATAACTGCCCAAAACTTTAATTGCCAGTATTCTATAGTCAGAATTATCTCAGCAGGAGAATCTATGGAGAAAACAAGATTATAATGAGAAAATGTCCTTGATAAACACGCAATTAGAGGAAGAGGAGTCGGCTTAACTTACTCATCCATCCAACCACTCAGCACTCTCTCTATATCCTTCCTGAGTTGATGGAAATGGCCCCAAAGACTAGCCAGGGTGCCATCTTCTCTAGACAGTGATAGAGATGCTCTGAAAAATTGTATTTCTTTAGCTTCTCATTTTCTAGACTTTATGCAGACAATCCCCTTGTGTTCACTTGGAAGACACAACTGACCAGGTCTCAACGTTAGACATGTTAATATAGTCATATACATTCTTTTTTTAACTTTTACTTTAGGTTCAGGGGTACATGTACACATATGTTATATAGACAAATTAAGCATCATGAGGGTTTGGTGTACAGATTATTTTGTTACTCAGGCAATAAGCATTGTGCCCGAGAGGTAGTTTTTCCATCGTTACCCTCCTCCCGCCCTCCACCCTTGGTGTCTATCATTCCCTTCTTTGTGTCCATATGTACTCGGTGTACTCTCACTTATAAACGAGAACACGTGGTATTTGGTTTTCTGTTCCTGTGTTAATTTGCTTAGAATAATGGCCTCTAGCTCCATCCATCTTGCTGCAAAGGACATGATCTCGTTCTTTTTTATGGCTGCACAGCATTCCATGGTGTATATATACCACATCTTCTTTATCCAATCTACCACTGACAGACATTTAGGTTGATTTCATGTCTTTGCTATTGTGAATAGTTCTGTGAGGAACATACGGTTGCATGTGTCTTTATGGTAAAACAATTTATATTCCTCTAGGTCTATACCCAATAATGAGATTGCTGGGTCGCATAGAAATTCTCTTTTAAGTTCTTTAAGAAATCACCGAACTGCTTTCCACAGTGGTGGAACTAATTTACATTCCCACCAGCATTGTAAGCATTCCCTTTCTATACAACCTTGCCAACATCTGTTGTTTTTTGACTTTTTAATAATAGCCATTCTGACTGGTGTGAGATGGTATCTCATTGTGGTTTTGATTTGCATTTCTCTAATGATTAATGATGTTGAGCATTTTTTATGTGCTTGTTGGTCAAGTCATTTGCATTCTTAACACTACACTTGGGTTAATTAAATATCTCAGCCACTATGTTCAAATTATTGCTTAGGAAAAGTTAGTTTTCTCAGGAAATTGATCTCACCCAAAACAAGTTTTCCTAAGCCTTGAGGGGAGCCTTATTGTTGTGCCTTTGTGCAGAATTCACTATTTTTGGGAGATATAAACATTCTAGAGTATTAAAGCTTCACTCTAGTGGGAAGCATTTAACACAGATGAGGCTAAATAGAAAAATACACTAAATAGGTAATAGTAATAATATAAATTGAGCTGGTGTCTTTCTTTTTTAATTGTTGGGGACTCAGTTATAGAATGGGAGGATCACAAAGCTTCTGAAAGGAAGAACCCATCCATGTAGGCCAGGATTCATCAATCTCTCCATCCCAAGATGTCTGTCTTCCCCTCAGCATCACAGGACACTGGTTCAGGCCCTGGGGTGGAGGAGATAGCTGGCGTGGGCTAGAGAGGGGGAACCACCTCCCACCAGAGGAACTGGAGGGCTGAGTGGTGGGCTGAGGGCCACTGGGAAAGGGAAAGCCCCTTGGCTGACACACCTGTGAGTGTTAAACATGCACAGATGGGAAGCCTGTGTTTACCTATGATTTGGACACAGGATTAGAAGGTCACATTCAAAAAATGCCTCCTAAGAACCCCCTGGAGGGAACAGACTTTGGGTTAAAGCATTTTCTGAAGAGACTCAAAGCAAGTTCTTCTCTTGTTGAGAGATAAGATAAATGAGGACCCTCACTCTTGGCCTTTTTCCCCCTACTTATAGTTTCTACAGATGCTTGGAGTCATATGATCTACTCTAAGCAAATTCTGACTGAGGTACGACAGGAGGGATCCAGGTTCTGTGAGGCCTGAAAACAATACGGTTATTGTAAGGATTAAGAGAGACAATATATGTAATCTTTGGCTTGATGCTTTGCACAATGTAAGGACTCAATAAACAACAGTTACCTAAGGGATAGGTCATGAAGCAAGGAGTCCAGTGAGGATATTCCCTCAACAGTGTGGGCCAGAGATGAGAAAGCTTACACTGGCACTGTTGTTTGGCAGCAAAGATGGAGATGGAGAAGGTGGAACAGTGCTGGAAGAAATTAAGAGGACAGGAATAGTAGGGTGTGCTTGATGATTGGATTCAGAGGATGATTTGAGAAGTGGGAAGAGGGAAGTGCCAGCCAAAAAACTGAGGAAGAACAAACAGAGCACCAAGCATCAAGTAGTGATCACTGAATGACTCAATACTGCCCAGCATGGACACACCTAGGAAATGTTAGCCAAAGAAATGTTATAATTGTCTAAGTGTATAAATGTCAAAT
This sequence comes from Homo sapiens, assembly GCF_000001405.40. NCBI lineage: Eukaryota > Metazoa > Chordata > Mammalia > Primates > Hominidae > Homo > Homo sapiens. The sequence continues at coordinate 95,982,249 of NC_000008.11, forward strand.
GAAGGGGGCAATGTATAAATTTTATTTTAAAAATAAATATTTTTATTCATAGTTATAGTCTCATATGAATTAAAGTACTGAAAAATGACTTAATTACCCAAAAGTGTCATCATTGTGTAATAAAAATAAACTAGAAAAGAACGTTACGATGGCTAGTAAATTATTAGAAATATAGACAAAAGACAGAATTAAATCACCACTTTATATTTTTTTCAGGAAAAAAACATTTTTTCAAGTAGAGAATCTCATATGCTTACCTGTTAATAAACAACAATCCAGTTGGGAAAGGATATTTGATTGGAAGTCAGTGTACTAGTCTCAGTTCCTTAACTTACCCTATGACCGCTAGGGAATTACTTACTCAGTTTCATGCTATGTTGAAATTCTAACACTAGTTACGCTGATGCATATAGCAGAGGCAACAAGGAGTCAAGCAGATAGGTCATCAGGAAAAGAGAAGACACCTGGTATGAAATATACTCATCATTAGCACAGAATAAATCAAGATAGGCAAGTAGGCTCTGATTTCCCATGTTATGCTAATAGAGACATTAATAAATCACAGCATCCTTTCCCACTGAACCCAAACATACACTTCACAGTTCAATGCTCTAAGTAGCCATTGGCAATCAAGAGTTGACATCACAGAAAAAATCTATCCATCATCTTAGTTTTTCAATCAGTATAGTGTAGGTGATGCTTCAGTAATAAATAACTCCAAATTCTCAGTAGCTGAAAACAACAGAGATTCATCTTTTGTTTAGATTACACATCCTTTAACAGCTGGCTAGGGACTTTGCTCCACATCATGATCATGCTCACTTCAAGGCCCTAGCTAATGGAGTACACTTATCTGGAACACTGCCAATCAGAGAGGCAAAGGAGATGTGTGGAAACACAAACTAGCTCTGAAGGCCCCATACTTCTGCTCACCTCCCATCGATCAAAGGAAATCATACAGCACAGCCATACCTAACATCTAGTGGACAGGGAGATACAATCCCATCATTGGCCTGGAAGGAAACAGCCCGAACACTAGACCAGCCCTGATGACTGTCACACTGGTATAGACCCAGAGGAATCTGGCCCAGCTGCAAAGCCCAGCTCCAATGGTACAGTCAGATCAGTAAGCCCCACGCTTATTGGTAGTCTAGTCTATAGTTAGTTCTTAGGAGCTTAAAGTCTATTTTAGAGGGGCTTTAGAGGGAGAATAATGTTCAAGAAAACAGGCAATTATAATACAGAAGAATGAAGAGCTACCATGGGGTTATCGGATGCAGTACGAGAACATACAAAGGGCACTGAACCCACACCAGAGGGATCAGAAAGGGACAATATCTAAGCAAAGACCTAGAGAATTGGTAGTAGTATGCTGAATATAATGAGGGGAAGGAAGGAGAAAGAGCAGCTCATCTGCAGGCAACAGTGTGTGCATGACCAAGGAGCAAGAGTGAACACAGCCAGCTGCAGGAATGGCCTGAGGCAGGTATGACCAAGACTGCCAGGGAGAGGGAATGGAGGGGAGGGGGACTCAATCACAAAGGGCCTTGGTAGCCATGCAGCGGACTGTGGGGAATCAGGAGGCAGGACCAGGGTTATGTAGAGGAACCCTATAACCAGACTTACATTTTAGACTTACCCAGGGTCACAAAGCAAGAAGCTAGCAGAAATTCTGCTTAAAACTAAGTCTGCACAGAGTTATTTTGTTGAGAACATTTTGTGGCAAAACTTACGGAAGAGACTGCATATGTGGTCACTTGAAAATGAAGGAAACGATGTCTTTTTCAGTGAGATGTATTTAAAAATAACTTCCAAATATGTCTTGTTTTTCCTTGGCCTTATTTAGGAAAATATCTTTAAAAGCAGAACAACATGCCCAGTGCAAAGCATTGACTCCCTCATCAAGAACTAATGAGAGGGTCAAATTAGATCAAGACCCAAGTTGGCCACAGACACAAGCCTGTAAGATGCTTCTGGCCTTCACACACAGCAGGGGCATCTGCTGGTGGGACTTGAGAGACAGGCTCCAGTTCTCTGAAGGGCTTCCCCAGAACTGGAGAATGAGGAATTCCATGTGTGCTCACATATGCATTCTGCATCTTCATCTGCCGCATGAACTGAATCCTGAAAGGAACATCTGCCTAGCAGGGAGTGCAGATGGCCAGATCTCACTGAGTCAGCAAACAGAGCCCTTGCAAGGGGTCGGTCCTCAGGTACAGATGGCCTCCAGGGGAGCCTCCCACCTCGGAGGAAAGCTGCTAGCATCCTGGAGTTCCTAAGCATGAGAGAGCCAGGTAGTCCAAAATATCTACAGGAAGAGGATTCCACCTGTGCCATCTCAGAAGCCAGGTCTTCTTGGAAGATCTATGCTGTTTCAAAGGCTTTCCCACAACCCAGAACATCACTAAAGAGAATGAAATTCATTTCAGACTTCTGTTTCCTGAAGTTAATCATACGGTTCCATATAGTGGCTCCCTATCGGTTCTAAGCAATATGCCCTTTGAGGGTCTTTTCAATTCACTTGTGACCTGCTTTCGATCCATTTTGCATAGGCCTCCAATTGCTAGGCATTTTCATATGAAACTCAGTATAAGACAGATTTTCAGTTCTTTCCTTGTCTCTGTCAGAAGCAGAATGGCAAGCAGAAATGTATACTGGGTTTCTTTTCTTGAATGGTTTTCATTTTCACTCTTCACAGCAGTGGGATTCTTTGTGGCAAGGATTACCCAAAAAACATGAACCCTTCTTCCTGAGGTTTGCCCAACTCCACAAACTTCAAATTTGAGAACTCTGAATTCTTACTGCATCATTATGTGCACAGAATCATGCATTTTTATAGGCTTAGATATATGCATTATGATTTTTTTTAATCTAAGGATTTTGATTTCAAAAGTAAGCTCTGTTACAAAACTGTAGTCTTTTCTTTGAGAAAAAGATTCATATTATAGTCCATGTACAAAAAAAAACTCAACAAAAATTATGCTATAATGTAGCATAAAACATATTTTCAAAATACAGACATTTACATATTTCTTTCAAAATGAAACTACTCTACACCAACTGGAAGAGATGATCTCATGAGAAATGGCAACATCAATTGTTCATACTAGCTGCAAATTTTACAAATTTGTCCTGGGTTTATAGCTACTTCCAAGGCAGTATCACTCTACAGCATCAAGAGGGCAAACTTAAATTAGAAAAAATACATTCTTCATACGAATCCACTGGGATCCCAGCCAAAACACTTGCAGGTTAACATAAGAATGGGTTCGGGCAAAGAAAGAAATGTGGTTTCACTTTAAGTTAATTCAATATCAGTCTAGTTGGGCTGAATTTCTGATTAGTTTAAGGTAAATGATCTTTATTTTCTTATTTTGGGAGGACAAGCAGCTGCTTCCCTTCCTTTCTTACATTGAATTATTCATTCTTTCCCTCTTGTGCCCCTACAAAGCATGACAATCCATGCATTTTCTAACTGGCTTAGTAAAAGGTTACTTTCTGCTCAACCCTTTTACTGTTGGTCAAAGAAGTAGTTGTCACTCACAAGATAGAGGGCATTATGTTGAGCAACTCATTAAAATGGCCAAAGCCACCCAAGTCTGCAACTGGCTGACAAGGAACCTCAATATTAAAATTTCTAAAACAACAGGCAATTCAGAACATGAGCTTTAGAGAGCTAAAAATGCAGTGATACTGTTACTGTCTTGATTGTCTGAACAACCTATTTGAGGCTGCACAGCATCCTCTACTTGGGAGAAAGGCAGAAAGTGTTGACTACTAGACTCAGCTGTCTCTTTTGGAGCCAAGGCATGAAGCAGTCTTGATTTACCACCAGATCACAAATATCCACCTCAACATATTTTTAAATGTGGGTTTTATTACTATTCAGGTGTGAAAAGGCCAACAGTTCAAGAGACAGTGGCCATTGAAAAGATAGTACATTCTTTTCAAAAGGAACTATTACGGTACATTGTGTCTTACAATTTTTTAAGTCAATCATGTATTGTGAATACTTCCCCATGGTATTAAATAATATTTTACCACATATTTTTAATAGTTTCAAAGTATTTAACAAATAAATGTGGGGTATTTATGATTCAATTTCCTATTGTTGGGCCAAGTTTGGTACTAGCATGATGCTACAATGAACATTCCCATAGCAATACCTTTGTCTGCTTTTATAATCTCCTAGAATTAGAATTGCTGGATTAAGAGTATTCATGTGCTTAACACTTTTCGTACTCATTTGTCTTAGTCCATTGAGGTTGCTATAACAAAATACCATAGACTAAGTGACTTATAAAGAATAAAAAATTGTCCCTCTCAGTTCTGGAGTCTGGAAAATCCAAAATAAAGGTGCTGGCAGATTCGGTGTATCATGAAGGCCTATTTCTTTGTTCCTAGACAATGTCTTCTCGCTGTGTCCTCACATGATGAAAAGTAAGAATGCTGGTCTCTTCGGACTGTTTTAAGAGCACTAATCCGATTCATGGGTGCTCCGCCCTCACAACCTAATCATCTCCCACAGGCCTTACCCAAAACCATCACAGTGGGAATCAGGTTTCAACATATGAATTTTGGAGCATGGTGACACATGCCTGTAATCCCAGCTACTCCACAAACTGAGGTGTGAGAAATGCTTGGGCCCAGGAGTTTGAGTCCAGCCTGGACAACACAGCAAGGCCCCATCTCTAAAAAAGCAAAGTAATAATAATGTAAATAAATAAATAAGATAAAACATATGAAATTTGGGGGGGCACACAAATATTCAGTCCATAACATCATTCATTTGCTCAACAAATATTTATTGAGATAAATGGTATCCTGGGCATGCTGAACTACTCAGACCAGGCTTTGGTCCACATGCAGCTTACACTTGTGGATGAGGCAGACAATTCACAATGAAAAAGTAAATTCATGATGTGATTGCAGAGAGTTATGAGTGCTTCAGACAAAAGTAAAGTGATGGGGCCTCGATATTTTGCAGAGCATGGTTAGAGAGTCTGTCTGAGAGCATGACTTGTGAGCAGAGACCATCTCTGTGGGTGTTCCAGGCAGAGAGAAAAAAACAGGAAAAACTCGAGCTTGGCCCAATTGAGGACTTGTCAGGCCAAGGTGGCTGGAGTGGAATGGGCCAGAGGAGGAATATGGGGAAGGTCAGCAGGAGCTAGACCACAAGGTTCTAACCACAGTGGGAAGCTCTTTGCACAGGAGAGTGATATGATTGGCATTCCACACTAAGAACACCATTCTGGTTGCTGGGTGGAGAATGGATGATGGAAGCTGAAGTTCAGTTAGGTGTGTGTTGCAATAGTTCAGACAAGGATAAAAGCGTTTGCCCTGGGGCAAGGAGATAGCGGGGACATTTCTGAATGTGTATTTCAAGACAAAGACCACAGACTTGCAGATGGACCAGGTACGAAGCATGAGGGAAAGATGGTCAATTGAAGATGCCCTCTAGAAAAGCCGTGGCACTCAGCACCATAGACCCTCCTTCCCCACAATCTCACCAGCACTATCGTTTTCCTCTTTGCCAAATTGATAAGGAAAATATTTTTAATTGTTTTCAGTTTCTTATTATTGAGGTTAGGCATGTTTTGGGTTTATGTGTTTATGTGTGTTTCTTTGATTGTAAAAATAATATTTTTAGCTAAAATTGGTTGTTGTTGTTGTTTGAGATGGAGTTTCACTCTTGTCACCCAGGCTGGAGTGCAATAGCATGATCTTGGCTCACTGCAACCTCTGCCTCCCAGGTTCAAGCGATTCTCCAGCCGCAGCCTCCCAAGTAGCTGGGATTTCAGGTGCCTGCTACCATGCCCGGCTAATTTTTGTATTTTTAGTAGAGATGGGGTTTCACCATGTTGACCAGGCTGGTCTCGAACTCCTGACCTCAGGTGATCCACCTGCCTCCGCCTCCCAAAGTGCTGGGATTACAGGCGTGAGCCACTGTGCCTGGCTCCGCTAAAATTATTTATCTGAGAAACAGTAAAGATCGAGGTATGTCTTCCTCAATCGGATGTGAGTTTCACAAAAGCAAAGGACAAAATAACCTTGTTTGTTTTAGTCACTGCTCTATGTCTGGCACCTAAAACAGTGCCTACCACACAGCGATGATAAAAAATGCTAACACTTAGAAACCTTAATTTGTGCCAGGCACTCTTCTAAGTGCTTCTCATGCAATGACTCCTATATTACAACCCATTACAGATGAAGAAACTGAGCCACAGAAAGGTTAAGTAATTTGCCTAAAGACACACAGCTGGTAGGTGGTGGAGCTGGGGTCTGACTTTAGAGTTCAACTCTTAACCACTGTGTTCTACTGCCTTTCAATAGTAAGTACCAAGAACCATCTGAGCATAAATTAATTTTCCAATCGTGAAAGGTGAATAGTAGTATCTATTTAATCTTAAGTGTTTGGAAGAGAAGCATGAGAGTACTTCAATAACTAAACAAAACTAAATAACCCAACACACTACAGAAATCCAGGATATAGTTATTAGAAAAGAGAAATTATTTAAAACACATATGGGAATAAGAAAAGGCTTAGTACATTTGAACTCTAGGATTATGCTTCAAATTCTCATCAATGAACTCTGTCTGTGGTTAAAGACCTGGAGGTGTTAAATGAGACTCTAGAATAAACATTAGTCTTCCGCTCCTTCCCTACACTTGAAAAAGCTCAAATCCATCCCATACTCTCTGCTAATTAGTCCTCCCAAAACATTGCTGAACACACGTCCTCATCATCTTCTCAACAGCCTCTCCCCATTATGGAACACTTTGTTTGTTGAAAGAAGTGTGGCATACAAGGGAAACAGCTCGCATTAGCTCCAGGGAGTGCTGAGTTTGAATCTCAGCTTTCCTAGTGACTAGCAGAGTGACCACGAAAGGACCATTTAGTTGACCATCCTCCATGTCTCAGCTGTAAAATAGCAATCATAGGCAATTGTCAGGATTGAGTAAGATGAGGTGTGTACAGTGGTTAATTTTGTGTCTGGGCCACAAGGTACCCAGACATTTGGCTAAACATTATTCTAGGCAAGTCCGTGTGGGTGTTTTTGGCTAATATTAATATCAGAATTGGTCAAAAAGTAAAGCAGATTGTACCCCGGTTTTGTGGGTGGGCCTCATCCAGTCTAAGGCCTGAATAGAACAGAAAGGCGGACCCTCTGAGTGAGAGAGAATTCTTCCTGCCCAATAACCTTCTAACTGGGACACTGCCTCTTTTTTTATGACTTCAGACTCAAACTGAAACATCAACTTCAGTTCCCAACAATTCCTGGGCCTTCAGGACCCATCAGTTCCTGGGTCTTGAGCTTAACAGCCTTTGGACAGGAACTGCACCATCAGCTCTCCTAGTTTTCAAGCCTTCAGACCCAGACTGGAGACAGACCATTGGCTCTCCTCGGTCTCTAGCTTGCTGATTCAACCTCCAGATCTGAAACTTGCCAGCCTCCATGATTGTGTGAGCCAATTCCATATATATATATATATATACACACACACACACACAAGCACACACACACGTATATATACACATACATACGTATATATGTATATATACACATACGTATATATATACATATATACGTGTGTGTGTGTGTGTATATATATATATAGAGAGAGAGAAAGGATAGAGATGATACAGATATTGATTCTGTTGACATTGTTTCTCGGGAGAACCCACACTTGAAACAGGATGCTATCTCTCCCCCAGTACATGCAGTAGCTACTCAGCGGATGTGCATCACAGCCAGACATTTCTGGATTTCATTTCTGCTCTGCCATTGTTAGGTGTATAATCAGGGCAAGGCAAGTTAAAGTCATCTGTGCATGCTATAATTTCCTTATCTTTAAAACAGAGGCAATACATTGTTTTTAAACCTGTTAAGATGATTAAATAAATAAGTTACGTAAATAATCCATAACAATGATAAGCTCTCAGGAAGAAGCCTGGGAATGTTTTGTTCCTTTAATACATCACTTAGTCCATTCACATTCAGAGATAAAGGCTGTTGAAATATTGGCCTTTTTCCATTCAATAACTTTCATCCCACATATTTTTCCTATACATGTCAGTCATAAGTCTTAGTGTGCTTTGCTTTAGAATGGCACCTTAAATTATATTCTTTGACATAGACACATTAAATAGGCAGTGTTGTATCTCTACCTAGTAATCACTACTTCATTTCCTCCCAGCTTCACCTGTACCTGGGGCCCTCGACCATTTGTTTCACCCCAGCCTCCTCCTCAGTGGTCATCTCTACATGGAGTCCACTTCATTGCCACCACAGCAGCAAGTATTACAAAAGCACAAACCCTCTTACCAGTATATTTCTTATTGCCTTAGTGAACTGAATGTTTTCTGGGCCCTGCCAGGAACATAATCAGGTAGAGTTCACAGGTCTTAAGTGGTCAATGCATTTCTTTTCCTTTTCATTTCTCTTTCTTTCCTTTCTTTCTTTCTTTCTTTTTTTTTTTTTTTTTTTTTTTTGATGGATTTCACTCTGTCACCCAGGCTGGAGTGCAGTGGTGCCATCATGGCTCACTGCAGCCTTGACCTCCCGGACTCAAGCAATCCTCCCACCTCAGCCTCCCAAGTAGCTGGGACTACAGTCATGTGCCACCATGACTGGCTATTTTTTTTTTTTTTTGTAGAGACGGAGTCTCACTATGTTGCCCAGATTGGTCTCAAACTCCTGGCTCAAGTGATCCTCCTACCTTGGCCTGCCAAAGTCCTGAAATTACAGGTGTGAGCCACCACTCCTTGCTGCTGCATTTTTTAACAGCTTTACTGAGATATAATGCACAAACCAGCAGATGTTTAATAGATATTTGTTTTAGCAAATGTTACTGAATATGTTCAATATGTCATTGCTAATTGAATTAGCAAATGTTATTGAAGTTATCTAAAAGAATCAATCTGCATGGCTATAATGTCTTCAAAAGAAAATAAAGCATATAATTTTTTTGCCATAATAATACAGTTGTTTGGTTCCAAAGTGGATAACACCCAGCCTAATTTTTTCAGTTAACCTAGTATTTCTATCTTGTAGGTGCCAGTCTGTAAAATAGTGGTTCTCAATCAGAATCACCAGGGAAATTTGTTAAGGCACAGATGGTTAGACTCCACCCTGAGAGTCTGTCATTCAGTAGGTTTGAGGCAGGGCTCAGGAATCCACATTTATAATAGAACAGATGGACATATAAAGGAGAACAAAACACACTGAGGCCTTTCAGAGGGTGGAGGGTGGGAGGAGCAGGGAGGATGAAATAATCTGTACAACAAACCCCCATGACACAAGTTGACCTACGTAACAAACCTGTACTTGTACCCCTGAACTTAAAATAAAAGTTAAGAAAAATTAACCACCAACAAAAGAGAACCTGCATGTCTAACAATTTCTCAGATGAGGCTGATGCAGCAAGTCTAGCTAGCACAGCTGAAAAAATCCCCTTGAAGAATCTCTCTATATAATGATAGGGCTTTGGCCCTCCCAAAGGGCTCTTGCTGAAATTTGTTACCTGAGAGGACTTCAGCCTTCTGCAGTGCCTCATCATGTGTCAAGAGGAAGCCTGAACGAATGCAAGTTAGGCAATTCTGGGCTTTGAGTCTTGCCTCCCTGGAGACCTCTTAAGAAGCAGCCCATTTCACTGTCTAGCTCTGAGAATTGAGGCTCTCAGCTGGCATGCCAAGCCTGACCCCTTCCTGGAGCTTTCCAGCAACGGTGGTCAGAGTTCACGGAGTTTAGCCTGCTGCTAGAAGAGGACTGGCTTGCACTGGCTGTCCTGCATGTCTTGATTGTTGTCAGATAGGAAGCACACCCCTGTCTCCGTTTAGAATGTTTACTGTAGGTACCCTTCTAAATAAACCATGCTCTGCCAATAGTCACACTTTTTTTCTCTAAGTTCTTTGATTAGTATCAGTAAACTGCAAATCCAGGATCTTTATGGTAGCTGAAGGGATGGGGACTGTACGGAGTCTAATTGTGAAGGTGGCATGTTGCACCTGTTATATTCCTGGTAGGAGGAACCCAGACTTTGACACGAATGCTTAGAAAGTATAACTTGGAAAGATTGCTGAAAGAGAACAACACTGGAATCAAAATATCACTTTCCCACAAGTCACAGTTCGTATGTGCTTAAATTTTCTGCATCCTCAGAAACAAACAAATAAAAGAAGGAGGGAAGAGTATTAAAAGTATTTTTTTTTTTTTTTTTTTTGAGACGGAGTCTCGCTCTGTCGCCCAGGCTGGAGTGCAGTGGCGGGATCTCGGCTCACTGCAAGCTCCGCCTCCCGGGTTCACGCCATTCTCCTGCCTCAGCCTCCCAAGTAGCTGGGACTACAGGCGCCCGCCACTACGCCCGGCTAATTTTTTGTATTTTTAGTAGAGACGGGGTTTCACCGTTTTAGCCGGGATGGTCTCGATATCCTGACCTCGTGATCCGCCCGCCTCGGCCTCCCAAAGTGCTGGGATTACAGGCGTGAGCCACCGCGCCCGGCCAAAAGTATTTTTAAAATAAAATTTTCTAACTCAAAAGTAAAAGAACAAAGCTTTAAAAAGAAGCAAGGTCAACGTCTGCTCTGATACAAATCCCAAGGAGTTACACTTAAAGATTTGTAAATACGTATACATTCTTGGGGGCTCAACGCATATAATTATTATTAAGACCAAAAGAATACCAGAAAACAGAAGGATATGGAAGATGAAGAACAGAAATCCAAAATGCAAACTATAAAAGTACCTGAAGGGGGCCGGGCGCGGTTGCTCACGCTTGTAATCCCAGCACTTTGGGAGGCCTATGCGGGCGGATCACGAGGTCAGGAGATAGAGTCCACGGTGAAAGCCCGTCTCTACTAAAAACACAAAAAATTAGCCGGGCGTGGTGGCGGGCGCCTGTAGTCCCAGGTACTCGGAGAGGCTGAGGCAAGAAAATGGCGTGAACCCAGAAGGCAGAGCTTGCAGTGAGCGGAGATTGCGCCACCGCACTCCAGCCTGGTTGACAGAGAGACTCCGCCTCAAAAAAAAAAAAAAAAAAGTACCTGAAGGGCAAAATTAAAATTAATAATCAAGATATAATTTTTTAAGATCCAGAATTTAAAAAAAATTATTAAAAGAACTATAAATTAATTTTAAAAAATCACTGCCTCATGTTCAATAAATAAACAGAAACTAACTCTGGAAAGTAACTATTAAAATGCTTCAACTTTGAGAATAAAGATTTCACCATTTTAAGCCAAAATTAGAATGTCTTCAGGTTGCTTTACTGCTATCCCAAGATAATAGAATTAGAGCTTCAGAATTTTTAAGGAAAAAAGTCAGATCTAAGAACGATATACACAGCCAAGCTATGAGTTGTAGGAAAGACAAAAATGTTCAAATGGTCTATCTTTTAGAAAACCTCCAGAACATCTTCTCTGCAGAGATCACATGGAGTGTTAACCAGCTCACCAAACCCTGGGACAGGAGCATAAGAAGGAGTCTTTGGAGGGGAAAGCTGATGTAGAAACGCACCCTGGTATCCAGTAAAGTCAAGTTTCCTTTTTTTCTTTTAAAAATAAGCAAATGTTAGTAGAAAAAGATAGTGAGTTGATATTAACGGAATAAGAGCAAATCGAAGAAAAAAGGAGATTGATATTGCTGAAACATTTAAGTAATGGGAGTAATAATTTAAATAAAAGTCGGACAAAATAAATAAAAAATAATGAAGGCATAAGTGCCTCATATTAAGAAAATAATGAACAGAAGAAAGGGGGAGCCACAAAGCACAAAAATGTCTTATCCTCCATAGACAAGATATCACAGTAATTGTGTTTAAATGTATAGACGTAAAGTAATATTAGACTAGAAAATATGTGCCAAAAGTGATTGTGGCTAATTGTTTTTTGGTTTTTTTTGAGATGGAGTCTTGCTCTGTCGCCAGGCTGGAGTGCAGTGGCGTGATCTCACCTCACTGAAACCTCCGCCTCCCGGGTTCAAGTGATTCCCCTGCCTCAGCCTCCCGAGTAGCTGGGACTACAGGCGAGCGCCACCACGCCCAGCTAATTTTTTGTATTTTAGTAGAGATGGGGTTTCGCTGTGTTGGCCAGGATGGTCTCGATCAATTGTGGCTAATTTTATAGTAATACATTAATGACTACTCCAATTAAGGATGCTTATGGACTCTTTAAAATTAGTCATAAGTAATGGTAAGTGTAGGACATTAAACTTTCAAATTATTCTAATGTGAAAAAGAAAACAGTACAGTCCATTAACATTCATAATATAAATGAAAAAACATAGAAGTTCAACTTTAAAAAACATAAAATAGGAAGATAGAGAATTAACAAAGAACATAAAATTATGTAGAAAACTCATCAAGATATCCTATTTAATTATTTAAATCCTTGCATGAACTTAGAGATGCACATAAAGCACAAAGAGAGTCAATAGTCTAAAATGTAATGTGGGCAAATATTATTAATGAGCTTTTGCATGTAAGAGAAGGAGATCATTATGTTGTGATGGCAGATATAAGTTATTTATAAAAACATAACACTTTTTGGAAAAAAATGATTTGAATGCACCTTAAAATCAATAATAAAAAAATACAGACAGCAAAAAAATGTTAAAAACGGAAGAATAAACAAAAAGTCATATTGTATTTGGATATTTTTATTTTTATAAATACACAAAAATCTCTAACTTTTAATTAATATTTAAACTGAAATATAATCAGCATTCAAAAGAACATCATAACCAACTACTTATTATTTCAGAAATAGAATTATGATTTAATATTTTAAGATCTAATAAAAATACCCACATCAAAAATCTGTACAATCAAATTTATTTGTTCAGCAGATGCTGTAATTAATTGATTTTATTCTCAATGGTGTACTAATTAAACTCAAAAGCAAAACAAAGAAGCCTACGCTATCCTTTTTATTTTAAAATGTATTAGAGATTTTTTTTTTTTTTTTTTTGAGACGGAGTTTCACCCTTGTTGCCCAGGCTGGAGTGCAGTGGCGTGACCTCGGCTCACCGCAACCTCTGCCTCCCAGGTTCAAGCGATTCTCCTGCCTTAGCCTCCCAAGTAGCTGGGACTGCAGGCGCCTGCCACCAGGACTGGCTAATTTTATGTATTTTTAGTAGAGAGGGGTTTCACGAGGTTTCATTATGCTGGCCAGGCTGCTGGTCTCGAACTCCTGACCTCTTGATCCGCCCGCCTCGGCCTCCCAAAGTGCTGGGATTACAGGCATGAGCCACCACGCCCAGCTAGAGATTTTTAATAATGCAAAATTTTAGGACAAATAAGAAAAATATGTATTAGAAAGAGACAAATTAATAACTGAAGATGACATGATTTTGTATACCTGAAAAAAAATCCAAAAGAATCATGTGAAAACCACCTAAAGTCATAAAATAATTTATGTAGAATAGTTGAAGTTCAAGATAAATTCTGAAAAATCAGTACCACTTCTTTGTGCCGGCAATAACTATTTAAATTATATATCATTTCTAAAAAAAGATAGATCCAGATTTCATTTACCATAGGAAGGAAACAATACAACAAGTAAATTTAATGAAAGAAATTTAGAAAGTGTATTTTGAAAGTCTAAATATTACTGTATTTTTAAAATTTTAAATATATAAGGAGATTTATCATCTAGGTTTACAGTATTCTTAAAAATTAGAAAACTTAATTTTTCCATCCATATTATTTTTCAGTTGAACACAGTATCAATATAGTTATGGAATTTAGGAAACACTGATAGTTCACAAGGAAAAATCTACATGTGAGGATGACAAAAAAACTGAAAAAATGCACAGTAAGGATATTTCCTTCTATTAGTTACTAAAACTTATCATAAAGAAATAATAATTCAAACAGAGAGGTGTTAAAGGAAAACAAAAACTATTCAATGAAACAAGAGTCCAGAAATAGACCCTGTTATCTATAAAAACTCAACAGTTGATAAAGTAAGCTTTCTAAAATAATCATAAAATAATTTTTAATAAATGATTTAAAATTCAGATATATATATATACATTTTAGAGGAAAATATATTAGCAATATGTCTTACAGCATATACCAGAATAAATTGCAAATAGAATTAAAGAGTTAAGTAGAAAATGATGAACTGAGTCCACACAAAAGTGTTAATAGAGCTCACTGCCACCACCACCACCACCACCACAACCAGGATAACGAGACTTAAAAGTTATAGACAAGATAAATGTTTATATAACAAAATGTGCTAGATTGTAAAAATGGCCACAGTTTTTTGCAGTTCTTCTCATCAACAAGTGGAGTCTATTTCTCCACTACTTGAATCTGGACTTACTTTGAAACTTTCTTTGATCAGTAGAATGCCATGGAAGTCATATTGTGCAAGTTCTAAGCTTGGGCCTCATGATGCCTTAAATGCATGCTTCTTCTTTTTCTCTTGAAACCTCTGTTACTGTTGCCATATGAGCAAGTACAGACTTGGCCTGCTGGATGGTAGGACATCACGTAGGGCAGAGACAAGCCATTCCAGCTGAACCATCTCAGACCAGACAACCCCAGCTAACCAGGCAGCTGCCAGCAAATGTTTGAGTGAGTTTAGTCAGCCATAATTGGCCCAGCCACCCAGCTAAGCCAGCCCAAACTGCTGACCCATGAACTAAGTAAGTGTTAAGGCTCTAAGCTACTAAGTGTTGAGCCGGTCTGTTACACAACAATAAATAACATATTCTGAGTACTCAAACATAAGAGAGAAAACTATCAGTGCAGTATCCTTGAGAAACAGATGGGATTTATTATACAGAGAAAAGATCACTCAGAATATGTGCAAGAATTCTCAGAAGAGGATTATATTAAATGATGAGAAGAACATGATAGCTCACATCCGAGGAGAAAGCTGAGATTAGGAAGAAGCATGGGGCAAATGAGTATTGAATTCATTGGGATACAGACATGACTATAGGAAGGCTAAATGACCTCTGCATATTTTCCCCCAATCCCAGAAGCTAGTTAGTATAAAAAGAATGAATGTCTCCTGTGATAGTAGTCATGTTTAGGGCAGAGGGATTGAGCAATACCTCACATGGCTAGTTTTGTCTGAAAGTAACAGAGGGTATCCAAGACCAAAAGAGATGCAAAGTATGCTCTCTGACTACAATGGAATTAAATGAGAAATCAATAACAGAAAGATAGCTGGAAGATACCAAAATAATTGAAGATTAAACAACACACTTCTATATAACA
The DNA here is from genome assembly GCF_000001405.40 of Homo sapiens. Classification (NCBI taxonomy): domain Eukaryota; kingdom Metazoa; phylum Chordata; class Mammalia; order Primates; family Hominidae; genus Homo; species Homo sapiens. Next base: position 95,997,483 of record NC_000008.11, read on the forward strand.
CAGGGGCCAAAGAGCAAGTCCTAAGAGGAATTTGAGAATATTTGGAACTAAATAAAAATAAAAGTGCTAATCATAAAAATTTGGTGGATGCAAAAAAAAGCAATGTTTAAAGTGAAATTTGTAGCACTGAATGCATATATTATAAAAGAATAAAGATCTAAAATCAATAATCTAAATGTCCACCTTATGAAACTAGAACAGGAAAAGCAAACCAAATCCAAAGTAAACAGATGAAAAGAAATAAAAATTACAGCAGAAAGCAATGGAATTTAAAATAGGAGATCAATAGAGGAAATCAATGAAGCCAAAAGCTGATTCTTTGAAAGGATCAATAAAATTGATAAACCTCTAGCCAGTCTAACTAAGGAAGAAAAGAGAAAACATTAATTAATAATATAAGAAATAAAAAAGATCCTCATTACTGATCGTATGGACATTGAAAGGACAGTAAAGGAATATTATGAATAACTCTATGCCCCCAAATTTGATAACTTAGTTGAAATTGGTCAATTCCTTATAATACACAATCTACCAAAACTCAGACAAGGACAAATAGATAACCTGGATAGATAAACTAGATATCTACATATCTATATCTATATACATATACATATAGGAAGAGGTTAAAAAAAAAATTTACAACCATTGACCCAGTAATTCTTCTTTGGAAAATTAATATTTTAGGAAGAAATTCAACATAATACAATATAATATAATATAAACTTATGTGGTTACTTCTATGTCCAGACAAGATGCAGCAACAAAGGATAGATTTCTTCTATCTTAAGTGAGCATACAACTGGACAAAATATATGAAAAACAATTTTCAGACATAGGACCACAGCCAGTGCAGTAATTCTGAAAAAAAAAAAAACAAAAAAAAAACAACAAAAAAAAAACCAGTATGCCTTACAATTATACCAACTTACAGCCCAGAGACAGTCTCCAGGACACAGTACCAAAATGGGTACTCTGAACAGAGCTTAATGTTTTTGCTAAGCTGGGAAGAGAAAGATTGGACTTTTGGGAGGGCAAGGACAAGTTAGAATTTGTAGGACAGAATGCTGGAGAAAAGAGAGATTTTTCAAAAAGAGAGCATTCCAAAGATATAAAAGCAGGTCCACTTGAGTCTTTGACTCACCTGGTCTGTCTTTGTGTGACAGAAAACTAAATGAGGCAGGAAAATATAACCTGTAACCAGGAAAAAAACTCAATCATAGAAACATACAAAGAAATTAAAGAGATGATGGAATTAACCAATGAGGGCCTCAAAACAGAATACATTGTTAAATGACCATAATAAAAAATAATGGAATATATAAAAAAGAGTTTCTAGAGATAAAAATTACAATATCTGGAGCTAAAAATACATTGGATAAAAAACACTACAGAATAAAAATTCAATGTGCTTGAATACATAGTAATAGAAATTATTTTTTAAATGTAAAGAGAGAAATAAACAATGAAAAAGTAAACAGAACACCGATATCCTTGGGGATATTATCAAGTTATCTAAGATACACATAATCGAAGCCCAAAAGGGGAAAGAAACAGAAATATTTTTAAAGAACAGCTAAAATTATTCCAAATTTGATTAAAATTATAGTCTCACAGATCTAAGAAGTTAAAGAAAAACCCAAGCAAAAGAAACAAAGAAACCACACCAAGGCACATTATAATCAAATCAGTAAAAGTAAATTAAGGAGAATATCTTAAAAGCAGCTGGTAGAAAAGAAGACACAAAGATAAGAATGACAGACAACTTCTCATCAGAAACTATGCAATATAGACCACGATTAAAATGATTAACATCTTTAGATGTTAATCTGGACTCTAAAAATGATTACCATCTTTAGGGTCCAAAAAGAAAAAATAGTTAGCCTAGAATTCTTTACTCAGTGAAAATATCTTTCAAAAGTGAAGACAAAGTAAAAACTTCTCAGACAAGAAACAGCAAAGAGAATTAATCACTATCAGACCGAAACTACAAAAAATATCAAAGGAAATTCTTCAGGCAAAAACAAAAGGAAAATAATACCAGAAGGAAATATAGGACTATACAAAGAAATGAATAATTGAATACTAACAAAAGATTAATATGTGCGCATATATATATATAACAATTTTTCTCATTTTTCGTCTTCTTAATTGACTGTTACTATACTACTGAAGAAAACAATCACATACTCAAAAGTGTAGCTAACAAGCAAATATTAGATATAACATAAAAGCTTAAAACAAGCTTAATCTAAAGGAGGCAGGAAAAGAGAGGGGAGACAACAAAGAACAAAAGGATAAACAGAAAAGCAAAAGCAGGGTGGTAGATTTAAACCTAACCAATCAATGATTATCTTAAACAAATTAAGTCTAATTGACCCATTTAAAAACCATAGATTGTTAGATTGGATTAAAAAGCAAGAGCACTTTAAATTTTAAAACACAGATCAAAAGTGAAAAGATCTGTGGTCCATTTGGGGTTAATTTTTGTGTATGGTGTCAGGTAAAAGTATGTGGTTTGTTTGCTTGTTTCTTGCATGTGGATATCCAACATTGTTGAAAAGACTATCCATTCCTCACTTTGAAGGCTTTGGAAACTTTGTTGAAAGAAATCAATCGATCATAAAGTTAAGAGTTTATTTTTGGACTCCGTTCTGTTCCATTGACTTACATGTTTTTCCTTGGGCCAATGTTGTACTTTGCTGTGGCTTTCTAGGTGGTCTTGGAGTTGGATAGCATAAGTCCTCCACCTCTGTTCTTTCCAAAATTGTTTAGCTAATCTGGGTCCCTTGCATTCTCATGTAAATTTTTGAATCAATTTGTCAGCTTCTTCAAAGGAATCTGCTAAGATTTTAATAAGAGTTGTGTTAAATATGTAAATCAATTTGAGGAAAATTGCTGTCTTCACAGTATCAAGGCTTCCAATTCATGAACATGAAATGTATCTCCATTTATTTAAATCTTCATTGTTTTCTCAGCAATATTTTGTAGTTTTCAATTGCTAGTCATGTACTTCTTTTATTAAAGTTATTTCTAAGTATTTTATTCTCTTTGACAATATAATGAATGAAATAATATTCTTAAATTCATTTTCAGATTGTTCATTCCTCACATATAAAAACATAATTGAATTTTGTATCTTAAGCAATCTCTCTGTATTCGCTTATTAGTTCTATTGGGGGCTTTTGTTGTTGCTGCTGCTGTTATTGTTGTCAACTACATTCAAAACCACGTCATCTGCAAATAGTTTCACTGTTTTTCAAAAAAAAAAAAACTGGAGGAAGAGATATCATGCAAACACTAAGCTAGAGTGACTATATTGATATCAGACAAAGTAGACTTTAAGACAAAAAAAGTCTTACAATGGGAAAGATGGATATTTTATAATGATAAAAACAAGACTATATGGTAACATTAAATGAGTAAACCTAATTATAGAACTTCAAAATTTATTAATTAAAATCTAATAGAGTTGAAAGTAGAAGTAGACAAGTCCTTAATTGTAGCTGGAAATTTAAACAATTTTCTCCCAGTAATTGATAAAACAGGTAGACAGAAAATCAGTAAGGACATATAAGATGTAAAAATTGTTATCAAACAACTCAACCTAATTGATATTTATAGAACATTTCATCCAATAACAGCTTAAAACACATTTTTGAGTGTGCAGGAAATATTTACTAAAATAGATCATATTCTGTACTACAAAGCAGACATCAGTAAAGTTAAAATACTTGAAATTATAAAATGCATATTCTCTGACCACAGAGAAATAAAACAAGAAATCAATAACAGAAAGGTATATGAAAAATCCCCAAATATTTGGATCTTAATAACACACTTCTAAATAACTGATGGGTTAAAGAAGAAAGCACAAGATAAATTATTTTGAAATGAGTCAAAATGAAAACACATCAAAGTTTGTGGGATAAAGTAAGACAGTCCTTGGAAGGGCAATTTATAATATTTAGTGCTTATCTTAGAAAAGAAAAATCTTAAATCAATGATCTCAACTTCTACCTTATGAAAGTAGAAGAAAAGCCAGTGAAATCTAAAATAAGCTAAATAAAGATAAGAACAGAAATTAATGAAATAGAAAACAGAGAAACAATAAAGAAATATTAATGTAACCAAAATCCACCTCTTTGAAAAGACTAATAATTGATAAAACTCTAGACAGATTGACCAGAAAAAGAGGGACTCATAGATATCATTCAGATATTTAAAGAAATATTGTGAACTTTATGCCAATTAACTCAACAATTGGGTAAAATAGATTTATTGAATGACACTGATTACCAAAACTGACACAAAAAGAAATAAAAAATCTGAAGAGTCCTCTATAATTTAAATGATTGGATTTGTTATTTAAAAGCCTTCCCAGAATGATACCTTCAAGCCCAAATAGCTTCACTGGCAAATTCTACCACACATTTGGAACTAGTAATATCAGTTACATTAATTCTTTCAGAGAATAGAAAAGGAAAGAATATTCTCCAACTCCTTTTATGAGGCCAGCATTACCCTGATAGCAAAAAATAAAAACATTACAATGAAAGAAAATTATATACCAACATGCCTTATGAAAATAAACACAAAGTTACTGAATAGGAACGGGAGTCAGTGCATGACTTAGGCTGAAACAACAGGATGCTGCCCTCCAGGACTTTGATTCTGACAAGAGTTGACATAATAAAGCAGGGATAATTAGAAGATATTTGTCCAACTACAGAGAAGTGACAGAGGCAACAAATGCCCAACCACAGTGCTGGTGAGTACTCCCGAGTCAGACTCTTCCTGGAAGAAGGCATTGGCTGCTCTCTGTGGCCACGTTTCTCTTGATCCTTGCCCATTGTCTAGTTTAGTGTTTTAACTTTTGATTAATTTTGTGGACTATCCAAAGGCCTTTCCGTAAATGCACTTCTGCTAAATTTAGCAACTAAAAACCTGAACAGTAAATCAAGTTCTGCTAAAACTTTTACAACTAAGAACCTGGACTAGTATAGAAATTGGTAGCAAAGAGTGACTTACACAGGCCCCCACAGAAATGGAGGGACTTTAGGATTGGAAAACTGACCTTATTGGGATGAAGGCTGTGAAAATTTAATTAGTATTCTGGGATAATAATCTAGCATAACAGTTCATTAAATTATCACCTATGGTCATCAGAAAAGAAGAGTTCATTCAATCTAAGGCGTTGTTCAAAAAATATTTTCAGGGCTCCCCCTCTCCAATTTCTCAGATTCCCTCTGCATTGGCCTTATTATTAGAATCTATCCATGTATATTTACAGATAGCTATAATCAGCTGTAGATTTACAGGCTTTGAAGTCACAATATCTGAAAGAAAGAGACCTCTCTCCTCTCTCACTATAAACATTTATGCAAATCTTTTTAAAAAAGACTCCAGTCATGCGTGGAATCTATGGCCACCTGGGCTTCACCATGGTGTCCATAGATATAGGATGCACTTACTGTCCAGCCTGTATCATGTGCCAAATCCTGTGGCAGAGAAGACAGAGTCTTTTGATTGACAGCCCCACCTTATTAATATGCAGTGGAGGAGAAATGTTCCCAAAATCAAAGAATGTTGGACAAACAAAAAGCAATCATTGACCGCTACCGAGAGAAAAGGCAAAGATGAAGAAAAGACATGAAGTGATCTATGGATAAGAGTCCCCTTTGAGAAAGTTGGAGGGGATGGACTCAAGAGTCCAGGTGGAGGGACTGACTTCAGATCAGAAGGGGACGTGTCCTTTCTCTACTGTATATATGTACTAAGCTGCCTCAAATTCTTAACTAATTAAAAGTAATAGTATCTGTGACATAATTGACAGTGCAAGGCCATTGTGTCCTTAAACATAAACCAGTTTAAGCAACTAGCACTTTAGCTATTTGCACCCTTGCTGATCAACCGTTAATATGACAATATTTACATTACTAATAAAATTTCTGTTACGTTAAAATATGAACCATAGGATACCCATTTGGCATATTTGTTTACCATTTTTAGTAGTCCTATGTGCTAGATTATAAAAACAATGAAATTTATAGGTTGACTATAGAGGCCAAATGTATAATGGTCAAGAGTGCAGATTTGGAAACAAGCAGAACTGAGTTTGAATACTGGCTACACCGCTTGTCACTTATGTGACCCTAGGAAAGTTACTTAATGTTGAAGTCATGTAAAATGTTCTGCAGAGGTCCTAGAACCCATTAAGTTCTTAGTAATATGTGTTATCTATGGTTATTTATCATGACTGTAAAACATGAAAGCCCATTCATTTAATGTATCACCCTCAACTTCTCATCATTCAGATTCTTTTCTAATTCAGTCAGAATCAGTAAGGTTTGACTGTACATATATAAAATAATGTATAAATATTGAAATACAGGGTCACATAAGCAACTGATCATTGTGCTTTTTATTTCATCTTTTTTTTTTTTTTAAGAAAAAAATCCTCTAGATTTTCCTCACCCAGAAATTCTTCCTAGACAGCCCCTTTAAGAACTGTAGCTCTTTCAGGATTCTTCATTATACTGAAAGAATTTAACCTTATTTATGTTGTCCAGTCAAAAACTTGGTAGTTCACTTTTAAGAGCATGTTTTCTAAACATCTCTGGTAAATGGAAATTTTGACTTTATGCCCGGGACACCCTGAGAGCTGCTCCTACAGAAAAAAAGCTAATAGGATAATAAATCCCAAGTCCTTTTTTAATTTTTTTTTCTCTCTGAACAAGAGTTGTTTTAGTTAAACTTGCATTCGCTTTTCTCTGAACGCTGCCCCCGCTCTCCTCGGACCATTGTGTTTAGTACAGGACTTTTGACTTAGCCATCATTACTCACACTTTACTGATTTTACTTTAAACACTGTTGGCTAAAACGACAATTTATCAAGACTGTTTTGCCTAGCAGTTGGGGATAATTTATTTTCCCGTTGAAGGGTTTGATATTTATTAGCGCGGCAGCGGGCCGGTCAGCAGAGATCCACACTCCAGGGGACAGGCTCTGAGACCAGCTTCATGGCCTCTGCTCCGCCCTCTCCCGCTCCCACGCTCCTAAGGCAATTCCGAGCTGGTGCCTGAGGATGCTGAGGGGAGAGACAACTGTGGGGCTCTTTCTTTTGGGAAAGGGAAGCTCAGGGTGTTCTGCTTCCCTCCGCTAGGAAGCTGGACCCACAGCTGTGAAGATGCATAGCCAGCAATCCCAGGGGGAGAGGTGAGCCCCCAAATCCTCTCCTCATCGGTAGATTCTCCGAGATCCCTGGTGTGCAGATGAGAACTCATCACAGAAATATGTGTATCTGTACAGAGAACTCGCTCAACTTCAGAAGCCAAACAGCATCTGGTTACAAGAGATTACTCAGGTAAGTTGGGGGCTCTTTGAGAAGTGGAGAATCCCAGACCTCTAATGCCAACGGGAAACACTGCATCTTTGTAGTGCAGTCAGAGTGCCTGGCAAAGGTAGGCTTTTAGTAATAATTTACTGTTGAGGCAAATGAATAACTGAAAGAAAGGAATTTGGGTTTACTGTGTGCCTGGCACGGTACTAGATTTACATACATCATTTTTGTTTCATCCTTCCAATAACCCCAAGGATGAGTATTGGTTTCCAATGGGCTCTGGGAATTTCTGTAAATTGCCTATATTTGACAGCGAATAAGTGGGAGAACCTGGGAACAAACCCAGATCTGTCTGAAACCATGCCCTTCCGATGCTTCATACCACTTCCCTACCAAAGGAAGGCCGTGGAAAGCTGGCCCGGACATACAAATGTGGTGCCTGGAGTTCCCTCCACTGGAGTCATTCCTTCAATTAGGGCATTATCTGTAACAGAAATATGTTATCTAAGTAATCCATTAGCAGTCAGGCCACATTAGCAGGAAGGGATTTTAAATTTTTTGCTTTTCCAGAATAGAAGGAACGGGACATGGCACAGCTAAATTTTGATGTTTCAAGTTCACACACTTGTGGTGTTGAGAGTGTAAGGAGGAACCGACTTAGAAAATGCCGTTGTGTGTGGGTCTGCCATACACAAGAGTGATAGCATATGAAAACACACACCTGCAGGAGGATGAAGGGAAGGAGAAGGTAGATGGGCTTTCATGCCCCCATCACAGCTGATGCACCAAGCTTCAGGTGCTGGGAGATCCGAGGTCTTAGAAGTTTCCAAATATTTGTGGTAGGCCCACTATGTGCTAGGCATTGTGCTGAAACTAAGGTTATAAAACTAGATCAGATAGAGTCCCCGTGCCTGAGGAGTTTATATTTGCCCCTGAGAAGTTGGGGAAATCTGTAGCTTGTCAGGGGAAGGAAAAACTCATGGAAGCAACTTGGGAAAAAAAGAGGAAGCAGGTTAGGAAAGGAGGTGAGGGGAATTGAAGGTGGAATTCAGCTCCTCCCAGGGCTCTGTGGAGGCACCACAGCAGTGGCATCTGCCCAGGCAAAGGTAAAGCCCACCCACTTCAGAGCAGCTTTGTCTTTAGAAAGGAGGCCTCCAGGCTCAGCCAGTCCTCAGAACCTACTGGCTGGTAGAACCTTCTTATTCCCTAGGAGATCACTTGAGGGGATGAAGGATGGGTGAGGGAAAGGGATTGCACTCCCCTTCTTCCCAGCACAGAGGAATTTGACGTTGGCACTAACCCAGAGGGAACTGCCCCTTTGTCTATCAACTCTACTTTCTCCTTTGCTATCCCTACAGAGTAGCCCTTCCTGTGTGCTCTTCACTCACCCACCTCACTCCTCAGCCTGGACTGTGTAACACTGACATAAAGAAATGAGGTGGGGAACATGCCTCCACTGTAGAGTGAACTGCTCAGAAAACAAATTAACTGAGGGCTAGATTCCACTTTGAGAACTTCAGGGGAGGCTTATTTAGGACTTGCAGGGATGGAGGATTGACAGCAGCCTGAAGGACAAGCAACAGATGGTGCCTAAGTTCCACCGCGGTTGCGTCACCATGGAAAGCGGTTGCAACACCCAAATTGACCAGCAGTTCATCAGGGCCCTGGCCCCCAGGCCTCCTGCTGTGGCCAATCAGCTCATTGTTTGAAGGACCCAGTTCATTGTTTTGTTGAGTCCACCATGAAACAAAATTCTTTCCAGAGCCTTGATTAGCCTTATTAGAGCTCATAAAACTTTTTCAGTCTGTCCAAATGTCTCCATTTTCTTCTAGATATTTGTGGTTGGGGGTATCTTTGCTGTCCGTTTTCAATTAGTAAAGAAATGCAGCAAAAGAATAAAAAGAAGAGCAAATTAGAATCTGGACGCATTGCTTCTTAATACCATGTGAAAACTTGTGACAGAGGAAGGGGGTGAGATATAGAAAATACCTTCCTCTTTTTCACATTCCAAGACCAAGTCAACCGCTGGCTTATGGAATGCGTGTCATGCCGTTCCATGACATAATATGAGCCTTTTTATTTTTATCACAAACTGAAAATCTTGCTGATAAATGCCAATATATATTAGGATTCTTCCTATTTCCTGGCCTGTGTGTGGTCATGGGCTGTATGCTATCCATTAATGATAGAACATTGACCTTGGCTGTACTCTAGGTTCACTGAACATTTCCTTAGGGCCCGGCAGAGCACAAGACATTTTTGCCAAAGCTGTCTCTGCAACTCTTCTTCACCCTCTTAATTTAAAAACCCGTGTGTATTTTAACAAAAATATCATCCATCTGTTTCTGATTCATTTACACGTAACTGACCAAATCTCCTCTTCTCAAGGCTATCGTGTCCCACAGGCTCTGCATTGGTGTATAATACCATGTTGAACCTTTCTTCCCTGAATATTAAGAAGCCTTGTTTAGCCAAGAGATTACATGCTCCACTCCCCAGGATTGAAGGGGTGTAGTGGGAGGGTCCAAATTCCAAATCCCTTGGTGCGTCAGTCCACTATGGGCTTGGCAAAATGTCTCCACTCGTCCACAGTGCTGACTTGATTGAGCTGTTATTGCTATGATGTATGAGTGTGAGTGTGTTTGTTTATGAGTGTATGTGTGTGTGCACTGACTGGTGGTGATTAAACATATTTCGTGACATTAACTCAGACTAGGGGTAGGCTTCACTTCTCTGTAGTCAGATCAACTGGCTGACTTAGTGTGAGACTGAATTGAATTCCTCCTATGACTTCCGCTGTGCTGGGTTTTATCCACCTGTCAACCAGGAGCAGAAAAATGAGAAGCAAGGCTTCTCAAAAACAGGAGGAAGAACTCAAGTTCTGGGAGTTCTCCCAGCATTCTTCACTTCAGGCAGCTTTATTCTCAGTTGGGAAGAGGGTATACAGGAGACCACTAGGTCAAGTCCACTCTCAGCATGGACAAGTGAGAGAAATCGTTGCTATTACTTCAGCTGTGTTGGATACTGGCATCATGCCAATCCACCAAGAGCTTCTCCCAAACTGGAAGCCACAAAAAAAGACCTGGGCCACCTAAGGCTGCCCTCACAGCCCAGACAAGAGTTGGCATGTCAAATGATGAATGTTTTTTCTACCTGTTCCACAAGAGCTAGATAGGGCCATCTACATCTAAACTCTATCAAACCCAAAACTTGCTTTTAAAAAAGTTCATTGAAACCTTAGTTATTCAGCATTCTGCTACTTCTGACAATATTCACCATGATGAAATCAATTGCTTCTTCCAATCCAGTTTTCTTTAATAAATCTTATTTTTATAGACTCAGATTAACCTATTTCTTCATTATTTTTATTAAGTTGTGAGCCACATAGAAAATTTAACACAAAGTTACATTTGTGGAGTGACATGAAATATTTGGGCTTACAAGTTGAGTGTGGAAAAAAATGATTTCTCAAAATCAAGCTCAACACTATCTCCTAACTTAGTAAACAGACACTGGGTTAAATAAGGAAAATAAACTTTATTCTGGAAGTACAAGAGGTCTGAGTCTACTTGAATGTTGTGGGATATGTTGCAATTGATCTGTAGTTAATAATAGTTAAAGTACTAAAGTTTGTGAATAATTCACTTTTAAGTAAAACTTAGTGGTAGCTTCAAGGTAAGCCCTATAATAATGCCACTTGAAACCACCACATTCTCTGATATGCTTTACTGAGTTGGAGCGAAAGGGTTCATGTTACTTCAAGGACCCCTAGGATAGTGCATAGGGATGCAATGGGAATGCGTCCTGCATGTGAACATCATCCATCACTCATGTTATGGCAGAAACAGTTGGGAACCTCTACACTCAAGGTCTCAGTACATGTCATAGTTGGAATTGTGAGGCTCTTTCTCACTTTTTAATGTAGAGGGATTTGATTTTTAGCCATTATTATTATATAAAGCAAGCTCACACTCAGAAAAGGATATTTAAGGGTTTTACTGGCCAAAGTGGCATTCCTGTGCAGTGTGATCTTGTAGTAAGGCAGAATTAGGAAACAGTGCTGGCATTAATAAATTCTCCTTCTCTCTCCCTCCCTGCTTCTGTGTGTGTGTGTGTGTGTGTCTGTGTGTGTGTGTGTGTGTGTGTTCATGTGTACAGTTGATTAATTGGTTGGTTGTTTAGTGTAGAAAGTGAGTTACTGGTTCTGTGAACCATGGGCACAGCTGTGTCTAAGATAAGATTAGGAAAAGCATCAGCCACTCTGCAAATGGCACTAGATGGAATGCTAATGAGGCCAACGTCATGACTTCATGTTCAATCTGTGTACTGAGACTACTTAATTTATACTATAGGCATGACCTGTGGGTTCCCTAAACCCCATCTCCATACCAGCCACCAGCCAGTATCTCCTAAATACATGCTATGGTCACAGTCTGGACCAAAAGATCAAATGTGACAATTGTTATGGATCGCTGAGAACCTCGGTTCTCCTCAAACTCCTACTTAGAATCAAAAACACTTACTGCCAAGGATATAAATAATAGCTCCCTGCAGTGGCATTTTAAAACTTTCCAGTCTCTGGATAGCTGTGTAAATCTGCCTTGCAGACTGAGGGTATACAACGCATTCAGATGAGGAAAGAGACCACACAATTTTTCCAGGCCAATGGGCAGGGCCATTTTATCTGTTTTTTCTTCCAGCATGCACTCATCACCTCTGTTCTTTACTACCATCTGACATTGATACAGAGGCTGTGCTTTTAAATTTTGACAAATCTTTACCATAATCCACTGGGCAAAAGAAACCTTGACAGCTGCCATTCCTCCTTTTACCTGCAACCATTAATAAACAAAAATACAGGGTAAGGTTGAGTATGAGTCCCAAATGTCCCAACCAGCTGTTTCAGGTAAATTTTGCCTTTTCTTTCACTTCCCCAGTCTTCCTTCTTATACCTATACTTCACCTTAACTACTACCACTTTCTTCTCTCTCTCATGTTATTGCCAGTTCTAGAGTTTATCAGTCCAAAAGGTTTTAACTGCTAGTAGCAGAAATCCAATTCAAACTAGCTAAAATATCAAGGAATTATATTGGCTAAATAGCTGGAAGTTCAGAGGTAGAGAGGTTATTCTCATGGTCAATTCAGGCCTCCATTTCTCTGTAAGTCTCTGCTCTCTTCCATTAATTTGTTTTATCTAAATCTGACTTCCCTTCTGGCCATAAGATGGCAGCCAACAGCAAGAGGTAGGGAATCACCCGCCTTATTCACATCCTTTGAAAGAAGAAGCTGACTTCTGTTCTACTCTCCTAAGGACAAGGAAGAACTTGCCTGAAGTCTCCAGTAACCCATTCTTAGACCAGAATTGGGTCATATGCCCATTCCTGAAGCATTCACTAACAAGTGGATTAGATTCTTTAGCTGGTTTCAATTAATTGAGTCTTACCACTGAAGTCAGAGATGGGGTAACTTCCCCTAAATCCTACGAACAAAACTGAGATGTCACGGTGAAGAAAGGAGAGAATGGATGCTGGATAGGCCATTGACACTGTCCAACAGATTGGGTATGTGCCCTTTAACTATTTAGATTATACATTGGTATAATCCATGAATAAGAAATAACTAATTTTGAAGCTCCATTCCATTGCCTTTTTGGGTTGTGGAGGCTTCAGAGAGCTTTGTTTGACCTAGGGGGACCACATCTGCTCCTATGGGCTCATTCCCTTCCCATGAGGCAGCAGTTACACAATGAGGTAAAAACCAGGCCTGAAAACTTCTCTAAACTTAGCTCCCTTCCTGGAGAATTGGCCAACTCTACATTCTCATGTCACAAACCATTCAAGCCCCTGCGTGCAAACGCCTCACTCCTAGTATTTCAAAGGGCAGACCATTCCTCAGATGGGGAAGGCAACTGGGCAGGGCACAGGCACATGGCTCACATTTTCCTGCTCACGATATTTTTTCCATTGACTCAAGCCACAGCTGCTTCTTGGAGGGCCATGTTTGCTGATGATGACACAAACTGTTTCCGATCTCTGAAGTACTCATCTTCAGATTGCCCAGTGTGATATAACCTCTTTGGAATCAAACTTCTGTTGCCCTAAATGCCCTTATGATTCTAAAACAAGACCTGGGGTTGCAGAACCATACACTAGCATGTAGACATAGCAGTTTCTTCCAAGCAAAAGAAGAAAGAAACCAAGATTGTTATCACTGATCCCTTGGCATTGGCTGGTCCAGAGTTGCCCTTACCCAACTAATTCATTCCTTATGCTCATATCCTGTAAGATTCCAGAACCTCTCCCACCCTTACCTCATCTACACCCAAGAACCCCTATACAAGCCCAAGTCTATCCTCACAAACTATGACCTAGAAAGCCTTCCTGCCTTGTTCACAGCCCTACCCTGACTGCCCTGATCTATTACTGTAGTCAACACCAGCCCTCCATCCTTTACTCTGCCAAGAAAAAGTATTTCAATGCTACTATTCTTGGATTCCTGAATTTCGCTTGAGCAAATCTAGCTCCAGTTCTGTATTTCAATCTAAAATTCCATTCAGAGTACATTGGTTTGCATAATTGAAAATACCACACAGAGTGGATGTAAATGTGGCTCCATCAATTGCTAACTATGTGAACCTAAGTGCATTACTGTTACTCCTCATCATGTTGTCAACATGCATTTATTAAGGGCCAACTATGTGTCAGACAGTGTGCTAAGCTCTAAGACTAAGCTCCTTCATCTATCAAAAGGAATTAATAAAACATCTCATATGGTTGTTGTAAGAATTAAATGAGATAATACATGTCAAATTCCTGGCACAATGCGAAATGCATGGGAAACATCCATAATTGGTGGCTTGAGTAGCTGTTATAATTACTGAGAAAGCACCTGGTCCATCTGCTTCCCCCTACAATGTGATCCATCTGAGGGCTTCAGGAGTTCCTCAATCCCTTCTTCTGCTTTCATTTCAATCTGTCATGCTTCCCAGATATCTTACAGATATGGATTGGGCAGCTGCTTAAAATGGGTCCACTGGTGATGTCAACACAATCATGTCCCCACACACAGAGCTTGGTGCAGGCGCAGGGCTTAGCCAACCACAGGCTCAAGTCCCAAGTGCCATGTCCCCGGTTTGCCCTGGAGTGTGAGTGTGCTGTGCCTGTGTAAGAAGTGCACATGTCTTTAGCCATAAATGTTGCATGGCTGTTATAAACCATGAGGTCTGGTAATACCAGCAGCAGCTTATCAGGTTTCAAATGTACCACTTTCTTCTAGGTTTCCAGATGCTCTTTATTCATTCTGTCTCTCTCCCCGCCACCACCAACTCTCCTCTCCTTTTCCTCATTCTAAAATGCCCCATATTGTTTACTTTAATCTAACAATTTGTAATTAAGTTGAATATAACTTCAAGAGTGGGGAAAAACCGCTAGAAGTGTCTATTTAAAGGAGAAACAGGAGTGGAAATTTACCACATGCCTCACTGTGCCAGACCATTCATTGGTCACAGGCAGACTAAATGAAGGTGACTCAAGGCTCTTCAACTTAGAGGAAAGAAATGGATGAGAGGATCTGATTTAATATCATTACAAATTTACAACTCATTTTCAACATATTTCTCAGTGTATAAGATCTAGTGCCTTAACAAAAGGAAAGACCTCTATTAAGGGGGCCTGCTTACTAGAAACCACACATGGTCTCTCTACTGCAAGGGAAAATCCCTTCTCCTAAGACAAAGTCTATTTTTGCAAAAACAGCAATGGTTGAAGAGTTACTACTAAGAGAGATAATCTAGGTAAGTGGCTCTTTCTTTCTTGACTTATCTCTTCCTTTGTAAAATGGAAATTAAAACACAGCACCACCTCTGTTCTTTAAAGGACCTCAAGGGGGCTACTGATACTATCTTCCCCTCTAGCCCATCCTGGTGTTTAAGAGACTGTGCTTACTAAGAAAAGTCTTAAGATGATGTCTGTGTTAAGGCAACACGACCCTTGGAAGGAATATCATAGAGAAGTCATCCCACTGGGAAGTTATTCATCCCATTAAGTGATTGCTACTCCATGGCAAAGGGCCAATGAGTGATGAAATCAGACACAGGGCAAGGAAGCCAGGAGCCCGAGCACCTCTGCCTGGAATGGTGATGTCACACTCAGAGTGCCAGCAGACAGAGTTGTGAAGAGCATTATAAGATGCTAGGGGAAGAGCAGCAGACAGGGGAGTTGTGTTAAAAGGATGGGAGGACACGATTTGCAGAATTCCATTGGGCTTTTCTGATTCTTATGACACATGAAAGCCACCCAGGAAGAACTTAAGCCACCAAGTTTGTGGCACTTTGTTACTACAGCCCTGGAAAACTAACACAGATTTTGGTACTGGAAGTGGGGTGGCTTAAAACTACAGAAAAATATTGCCTCACAGTTCTGGAGAATGGAAGTCTGAAATTAAGGTGTCTGGAGGGCCATCCTCTCTCTGAAACATGCATCCTCTTTCTAGCTTCTCATGGTGGCCATCAATCCTTGGCATTTCTTGCAGCTACATCACTCTAATCTCAGCCTCTGTCATCACATAACATTCTCTTTGTGTGTCTTTGTCCAAATTTCTCTCTTCCTGTGAGGATACAAGTCACATTGATTACAGCCCACCCTAATAGCCTCATCTTAGCTTGATTACATCTTCAAAGATCCAAATACTATTTTCAAATAAGGTTATATTCATAGGTCCTGAAAGTTAGGACTTCAACAAATGTTGTTGGTTTTTTGGCAGGGGGACACAATGCAACCTCCAATCAACCCCCCAGTAGACCATGTCATAGGTCCTCAGTTGACTGCAGTTAGTAAGTGGCCATTGAGAGTGTACTTGATTGAACTTCCAAAGACTAATTTGTGAGTGTAAATGCCACATCAGGCAATGAAAATTGATGCTGGACATGGAAGGCCTCCAGGAGTTGGGCAAGTTCCTCTCGATTTACTAACAGCTTTCCAGGCTCTCATGGAAGTTTGGGGAGCTGTAAGAGAAACCAGGGACCTTTGGCTGCTAGTGACATGAAAGTTGTGAAAGTGGTGCAAGGTATCAAATGGTTTCATAGGATGCTGAATACTTTATTCCCAGCAGGCAGTTTGATCTTCTCTGGAACTCAAACCACTGAATTTCCCAAGACACTAGAGAGAAATAATCACAACTTTCTGATGTACAAATCATTCTGGCAATAAATTTTCCAAAGAGCAAAGGATCCAGGATTCTTTTTTGCTGAAGCAAATCTAAGTGATGACACAGAGAAGCACCAGGACATTTGTGTGTCTGTCATGGAAGAGGATTACGTTTCTACATCTTCTGGTTCAAGGTTTTCAGGTGCAATCATTGCTCTCAGTTTGACTATTTCGTCTCCACATACAGGGGGCTATTCAGAGACTCCTTTGGCATCTGGCAACATGGGTTTCATGACCACAAAGTAAAAACGAAATAATGCACATACCAAAACATAAACACATTGTAAAGTGCACTCAGCCTCAGATTCCAAACTCAGCGACCCTGCATGATTTAACAAAGGGGGAAGCCAGACTCCTGTCCCGCGGGGGGAGAAACAAGGCCTCCAAACTGACAGCTACTATCATTCCAAAACAAGTCATTGTTTATAAATGAATATTCTTTGTGATAAATTATTGAATTACATGAAGATTCTATGATTGCCTGCTGCTGCCAGATTTGGTTTTGGTCTCAAAAGCCAGCATGGAATGTACTAGAGACAGACAGCAAAATTAAAAACTGCTGTCCTTTCTCACAAAATTCTCCAAATTCTCAGTCTCCCCCAAACTTGTAATATGAGTTCTAGATTTGGACACCCACAAGACCCTTCAGAACACTTATAACATATATGGTTTTAGATTAGAGACACTTTGGGTCATTCTGAGAAAAACGTAGGCACGAATCACAGCCCATGATTTACTTTATGATAGGTAGTACTCAAAATCGAAAAGTAAAGAGAGCCATGGCTTTTCATAAATATTCACTATGTAGCAGGCATTGTCCTGGCTGCTTTACACAGTTATCTCATTTAATCCTCATAGTATCCCTAAGAGTTCATTATTAGACCCATTTAGCAGGTGAAAACAACTGATGCATGCAAAGGTTACATGATTCGCCTAAGTTCACACAGCAGTAAATTGAGAATGCCAATTGAGAATGGCAGCTGGCATTTGATTCCAAAACTCATACTCTTTCCTCGATAGCACACTTGCTCCCACCACAGCTTAACAGATAACTACATCTGGTACTAGTATTCAAAGAAAAATACTGTGCCATTTTCTAAACTCTTACATTGACTCTTTACATACTATTTTTCAAATAGGCCTATTTTAGAAAAAAAAACACTGAAGATGAAAAAATTATTATCGTTTTTGATTTGTCTTTTCCTTTGGAATAGATTTTTCCTCCTCCTCCTTCTTCTCCTGCTCCTCCTCCTCCTATTTTTCTTCTTCCAAATTAACTGGAAAATGAGTTAATTCCCTTGAAATTAGCAGAAATAAGAAACAACAGCACTGGCTTTTAATCTCAGTTTTGCTCCTCATTCACTCGGTATAAATCTAAATCTCAGCTCCTCTCTTACACAAAGGGGATGACAAAAACCATGTTGCCTATTTCACAGGTTGTTGCAATAATTAAGTGATATAATATCAGGAAAAGCATTTTGTAACCCATTAACCTCAAATTCTGTATATAATTATTGTACCCTAGAATGTTCTCTGATAGTTCAATGAGAAAGAAAAAAAATTTAGGATAATAGTCCAGTGTTAGCCAGTGGTCTGTGGATAAGCAGGATCTCTGATAAAAACAACAACAACAACTGATTTTTAGCAGTTGCCAATTCCCATGGTGTAAATACTCCCAACAAGAAGTTGGTAGCTTTGGTAGTACTATAAGCCAAACGAACTTCTTTTCTTTATATTAGAGTAAATTACCCACCCTCAGATATTCCTTTATAGCAACACAAAACAGACTAAGACATCAACCCAACAAATCTTTCTATTTGCTGCTTTGACCCCTGTCTGAAGAGTGAGTGACTGTCTCATATAAAGCTGGTATGTTGCCCAAGGAAAAAAAAATGTGCTCCAGGGAAATGTCATTACTGCAGTCAGACACTGGGTGCCAAGAACCAGAACTCAATCCACCCACTCTTTCCTTGTTCACAGTGTAACAGTTAACATTTGATTTGGCTACATATAATACAGACACAGTGGCTTAAACAAGATTATTTTTCTCTCTTATAAGAGAAAATGGGAAATGGGTCAACCAGAACCAACCTACATCAAGGACCTAGGCTTCTTTCAGTTGCCCCTTCCACTGTCGTCATGGTCCAAAATGTTTGCTGGCACTTTATCCATACCATACGAGCTCTAGGTACTAGAATGGAAAAAGAAATGAAAATAAAAGCACATTATCTTACTTTTAAGGATGCTTCCTAGAAGTCCCACACAGTACGTTGCTTATATCTTGCTGGCTAGAAACTAATCAGGGGCCATACCTAGCAACATAAGAGGCTTGAAAATATAGCCTTTTATCTTAGGGCAATGTGTCTAGCTTTCTTAGTCCATTTTTGTGTTGCTATAGAGGAATACCTCCTGAGAAGGGGTAATTTACAAAGAAAAGAGGTTTATTTGGCACATAGTTCTGACGTCTGGAAAAGTTCAGGATTGGGCATCTGCATCTGGTGAGGGCCACAGGCTCCTTCCACTCATGGCAGAAGGTGAAGGGGGGCTGGCCTGTGCAGAGATCAAATGGAGAGAGAGAAAGTAGGGGATGGGGGAAGGTACCAGACTTCTTTTAGCAACCAGTTCTCCCAGGAACTAGTAGAGTAAGAAATCACTCACCCCCAATCTCCAGGGAGGGCACTAATCTATTCATGGGGGATCCATCCCCATGACCAAACACCTCCCATTAGGCCCCACCTCTGACACCGGGGATCAAATTTCAACATGAGGTTTGAGGGACAAACCTTCAAACTACAAAACTAGCTATCAGGCTCTTTTATAAGGAGGAAGGGAGAATAGATATTGGGATAAGCAACTAGCTGTCTCTGGTATACGTTTGCTCTTGTTTATACACTAAGTCATCAGACGGTAAAGAAAGGAAGGAAAGAAATGCTTTTTTTTCTTCTACCTGAAGCTCTGCAGTCTCTTCTCCCCATTCATCTACTCTGTGTCACATGAGAAGTTAGCAGTCTACAGATAATTTAAATTGCATGTATACTGAGGGCAAAATAAAGAGGAACTACATTTCTGGGATGTGTGTGCAAAACATATTATAACGTCCTGATCACCATGATCTGGAAGATAGCAATAATGATAGATGATCATTATTAATATTATGGTAGGTAGAAGTAGATGGAAGCTCTTTTCTCTCTAGATGCACTTGTCTAAATGCAGCTATATCAGTTACCCACTTTGATAAAAGTAAGATATAGGCTGGGTGCAGTGGCTCACACCTGTAATCCCAGCACTTTGGGAGGCGGAGGTGGGTGGATCACGAGGTCAGGAGACTGAGACCATCCTGGCTAACACTGTGAAACTCCATCTCTCCTAAAAATACAAAAAATTAGCTGGGCGTGGTGGCGGGCGCCTGTAATCCCAGCTGCTGGGGAGGCTGAGGCAGGAGAATGGTGTGAATCCAGGGGGCGGAGCTTGCAGTGAGCCGAGATCGCGCCACTGCACTCCAGCCTGGGTGACAGAGTGAGATTCCATCTCAAAAAAAAAAAAAAAAAAAGAAGTAAGATATATATCTGACTATAGCTGATACTGACAAAAATGGGGGAGAATCCTCCTACTTTCCAAATATCACCCATCTAGACTTTTTGTGGCATGGAAGTTGGAAATCTGTTTATTATATGAATTCTATTCAGAAAGTCTTGTTTAAGCATGCAAATGCCTGCCTCCAGCCCTATGCCTATATCCTCCATCTCTTCTTCCTATTAGAGCTAGTAAGTAGCTACCCAGTCATCAAGAACATTGGTCCCCACTTCTCAAAGGAAGAAGTCTCAGCCAGCTAAGCAAGGCTCTTCATCTCTATTTTTTCCAAAGTAGCATGTGTGCAGAACCAGAGACACATTAATCCATAGGGAATTTTTCCAGTGACAAATGCAAGAGCAGCACAAACATGCAAACATACATAAAAACATAGACAGGTACCCTGCTGAGACTAAAAGTATTTGTAGATTGTCAAACCACATCCAGGGATGAGTTATATCCTGGCAACTCTATTCCATTTTATACCACAAAAAAGTGCCATTGGACATATTGGGATAAGCAACTAGCTGTCTCTGGTATATGTTTGCTCTTGTTTATATGCTAAGATCACTTCATACAGCCTGGCAGGGCTATGAGTCCTGAGGCAATATCAGCCTCGGGCCACTCACATCTCTTCCCAGACTGAGCATTTCTCACTCTAATCACTGTTGCTCCGTGAAACACTAGCTGGGATGACCCTGTCTGTCAGATCCTTCTGGATGGAGTATTGGAATTTTTTTTGATATTTCTCCTTCAAGTTATTTAGGTACATCACCTCTTGATGTGTTTGAGTCTAAGAAAAACCTATAAGCTTTCCCTGAGAGGGACAGTGGGCTACAAGGAAGCAGGCTGGATTCCTGTTGGAGGATCAAGGGGTACATGGTGTGGATTTTCCAGACGAGGCTGCATAATATGGGCAGCGGAGAGTTTCAGTTCTCACTCAGATAAAGAAGTGAAGTGGAGAAGTTGAGTATAGCTTTTAGCCTTAACTGATCAATAGATAAGAACCTTACCGCCATAAAGAAGGGATTTTGCTTACATTACACACAGAGAGTATCTTTAGACCAGGAAGTAAATACTGCTCAGTTAATACCAAAGAGAGAAAATACAGTGTGTGCCACATAATGGCATTCTGGTCAACAATTGACCCCATATATGACAATGGTCCTTTAGATTAGAATTGAGCTGAAAAATTCTTATTGCCTAGTGACATTGTAGCTATTGTAACATTGTAGCACAATGCATTACTCACACAAATTTATGGTGAGAAAAATAAATCACCATGGATATATTCCTGAAAAGAGTGATACCTTCTCAAGGAGAGCCTCAGGAAGGTCCTTCAGAAGGGATTCCACAGGAAGGCACTGTTGTCACAGGAGATGACAACTCCAGGCATGTTACTCTCCCTGAAGACTTTCCAGTGGGACAAGATGTGGAGGTGGAAGACAATGATACCGATGATCCTGACCCTTTTTTTGCTAAGGTGTGTATTTATGTCTTGGTTTTTAACAAAAAAGTATTAAAAGTAGGAAAAATGTTAAAAACTTTAAAAATAGAAAAAAGCTTATAGAGTATGGATATAAAGAAAGGAAATATTTTGTACAGCTGTACAATGTGATGTGTTTGTGTTTGTTTGTTTGTTTGTTGTTTGTTTGTTTGTTTGAGACCGGGTCTCACTCTGTTGCCCAGGCTGGAGTGCAGTGGTGTGATCTTGGCTCACTGCAACCTCTGCCTCCCGGGTTCAAGTGATTCTCGTGCCTCAGCCTCCCGAGTAGCTGGGACTACAGGTGTGAGCCACCATGCCTAACTAATTTTTGTATTTTTAGTAGAGACGGGTTTTCACCATTATGGTCAGTCTGGTCTCAAACTCCTAACCTCAGGTGATCCACCTGCCTCAGCCTCCCAAATTCTGGGATAACAGGTGTGAGCCACGTGCCCAGCGATGTTTGTGTTTTAAGCAGTTATTACAAAGGGTTAAAAAGTTAAAAAAGTAAAAAGTTTATAAAGTTAAAAAGTCACGGTAAGCTAAGGTTGATTTATTATTGAAGAAAGAAAAACATGTTTTCCTAAATTGAGTGTAGCCTGAGTGTAGCCTAAGTGTACTGTGTTTATAAAATCCGTAGTAGTGTACAGTAAAGTCCTAGGCCTTCACATTCACTCACCACTCACTCACTGACTCACCCAGAGCAACTTCCAGTCCTGCAAGCTTTGTTCATGGTAAGTGCCCTGTACAGGTGTACCATTTTATATCTTTTATACCATAATTTTACTGTACCTTTTCTATATTTAGATATGTTTCAATACACAAATACTTACCACTGTATTACAATTGCTTACAATATTCAGTACAGTAACATGCTGTACAGGTTTGTAGCCTTGGAGCAATAGACTATATCTTATAGCCTAGGTATGTAGTGGGCTACACCATGTAGGTTTGGGTAGTACCCACTATGATGTTCACACAACAGAATTACGTAATGATATATTTCTTAGAACATATCCCCGTCATTAAGCAACTCATAACTGTGTGGGTAATCTCCACTGGTCCAATTCTGCCCCCCACCCCAAAAAAATGTAGCAGAAACCACAACGTGATACACACCATACTAGAGGCATAGCCCCAGATATGTGTTCCCACTTCAAATTTTCCACATAGGTTGGCTAAAACCAGGTCCTGGAATGTTAATTAGGACCTGATCGCAACTAATGGACCAGAAATTATGAAATGCTTCATGTTACCAGTCATTTAAACTAGATAGTTAAGAATCCAGTTATGGTTAGGTTCAAACTGAGGCTTAAATCTAATATATTTATTGCAAGTAACACTGAACACTCAAGTACCCTTGTTTTGAATCTAAACGACACCACGTATTGTATCCATTTCCTGCATCTTTGAACCATGCAGCAGCCAAATCTGTCATCTTTCTTTCTCATTTGGAAGTATTCAAAGTGACATCTCCTACTATGTCACCATACCTGAGAGAAAACGGGAGTTCGGTTCCCATGCACTGTTTTACATTAGACGAATTTAGTCTGAGAATGTAAGGCAAAGCTGGTAACCCTGCTGCCTGGGTTATGAGTAGGGTGGTATACCAGGGTCAGAGTTGCTCCCATTTTTTCATTTTTGGCCTGTTTGCTTCACAAAAACATTTTCCTTGCCTTAGTCTATCATTATGCCACTTTTTCTTCTTTTTCCTAGAAATATCCACCAGGAATGTGCACTATACGTGGAAATACAAACACAAACCGGAGCTGAGAAGGGCCTGGGTCCCCTGACATCAAGGTTTTTATAAAGAAAAATACACAAAGGCAGCCACGCCTCACTCTGGCTTCCTAGTAACCCCAGAAAAAAATTCCAGAAATGTGTTTTAATTCTTTAGCCTGAGTGACAAAAAGGTTAAAATGTTTCCCAAAGTCCACTTAAGAATAATTCCGACCTTGGGAAAATGGATTTTGTTAGCCCCAAAGCTTATTAAGATTAATGGCAAGAGGGGCTCGTTATTCTGCCAGAAAAATCTACTTACAAATCTAAGAGGGGGATTTTATTCTGTCCATTTCTAAAAGCAGGGGACTTAGAGTGCCTGACAAGTACCCCCTAGGAAGAGGGTGTGCCATATACAGACAGCAGGGGTGCATGACTGGGATGCTCACTTGGAGAGGTATTGGCTAGGCCAGGAAAAAGGGTTCCTTTATGGGACTTCCTATATAGAGAGGTCACCCTGCTCTCACTTCTGAAACCTACCACCCTGGCCACACAACTAGGTTTTATGGAGCCCAGAAAGATATTCAGAAACTGGAGCCTTATTCAGCGTGTAAAAAGCTCTCATGCCTGTTGGCCTTGTTGCTGCTCCACAACAGGGGACTGTGGCTTATTCAAGTGCTCAGCCATCACAATGACCCCACCACCTCTTTCACGACAACCCCACCACCTCTTGGCCCTGCAGCCCCAGCTTCAGACACTGCTGACCAACTGACTCTTCCCATGCCTTGAATGGAAACTCACAGGCAGGATCCCGGCAATTTGCTTATGCACCACGAAGTGCCAGGTATCTCTGTGGGGCGGCACCCGTGGGCTGGCTGCTTTTCAGGTGCAAGATGGATGGCAGAATTTTGGCAAAGTGCTCAGCCCTGGCTATCTTGGCAAGGCAGAGCACAGAAGCCTGTTGCTGAGAGACCGGAATTCCCAGACTCAGAGATGACTAGACAAGGACTCTGGCTTTGATTATCAGCTCATGGAATTGGTGGAAGGCAAATAGACAGGAAGCCTTCAGGTTTTTAAGGAATTTGGTTCAGTCCAAGAAACCCAAGCCTGGCTGACAACAGCCTGTGATTCTTCAATCCCTGAGGTAATTTCCAGGCCCCTCAAATTTGCACCAAAAAGTAATGGGCTTCAAAGAAGTACAGATCCCAAAAAGGGCATATGTGCCAATATCTATCTCAGATGGGCTAAGAGGACAACGGACAAGGGAGACGTTTCCAGACAGCACATCTAGGATTTGTCAGATTGGCTAACCAAGGAACTCACTGCATTACCAAGGCAAGAACACTTCACTGTTCCTGTCAAGCAGGGAAAAATACATACAGTGAATCAGAGACCACTGTGTACTGTTTTCTCATTGTCTATTTCTTCCAATAAAAGTTTTCCTTGAAGCTATCCTCCACCATTTTATATTTACTGGGTTATCATAGAAAGGAAAACAGGCTTAGCTGTTGCAACGAAGAGACCTAAAACTACAGTGGCTCAAAGAAGACAGAAAGAAATTTATTTCTTAAGTGCTAGAGCGGCACTGTCTAATAGAAATATAAGGCAAGTCTCATTTGTAATTTGAAATTCTCTAGTAGCCACACTGGAAAAAATAAGCAGTGAAATTAATTTTTGATAATATATTTCTTTTAACTAATATATCCAAAATATTTTCATTTCAGCATGTAATTGATATAAAATACTATTGATATATTTTGCATTCTTTTTTGGGAGGGACTAAATTATAGCCCATGTCAATTCAGACTAGTCCCATTTCGGGAGCTCAAACGCCACATGTAGCTGGTGGCTACCATATTGGGCAGTGCAGAGTAGAGATCAGAGAGAGTCCCTAAACAGTTCTTTCCAGGGTTAGCCAGGAACTCACAATGCTTCGATTTCATTATTCCACTTTCCTTAGAGCAGGATTTCTCAAGCTCAGCAATATTGACTTTTGAGGCCTGATAAAGCTGTGCTGTTGGGACTATCTAGTGCATAGTAGGATGTTTAGAGTGAGCCTGTTCCATACCTGCTAGATGGAAGTAGCAGTACCTTCCTGTCCCTCCACATTGTGACAATCAAAAATACTGCCAAATGTTGGAGGGTATAGGGCCAAAAATCACCCCAACAGTGGTTCTCAAACTTCTGTGTGTATGCCCTGGAGAGCTTATTAAGACAGAAGTTTCTGGGCCCCACTGCCATAATTCCTGACTCACCAGTTCTGGAGTAGGACCTGAAAATATGCCTTTCCAGTGAGCTCCCTGGACTGCTGGTCCAGGACCCTTTTCAAAAACCACTGGCCTGGGTTGTTATGCTCTTTAGCCCACCTTGCTCACCACCACATGGCATTCTCATTCCCAGGAAGGGGAACAGACAAGAGAGGACAAATGATATGTTTTAAGGCTATAAAGGAGAAGTGGCACGTTTGACTTTTGTTCATATCCCTTTGTTGTGAATTTGGATTCATGGCCACATCTAATGTCAAGAAGTCTAGGAAATGTGGTGTCTAGCTGGGTGGCCATGTGCTTGGTTGAAAATCAGGAGTTCTGTTACTAAAGGGAGGATTGGGAGATTAGATAATGAGGGGAAAATTGCAGGTTTTTCCACAGGAGTGGGTAACATTATTTAGCTATATCAGACTATGAAAAACTCCATCCAGAAACTGACCTAGAAGAAGACACATCAGCTGCAAATCCAGAATCTGGAACTCAAAATGAGAGCTGCTTGTGATTCCAGTAGGCATGAACTTTTGAAGATGTACATAAGGAAAGAAAGGAGTGTGAGACATGGGAAGAAGACAGAGGAGTGGATTTGTCAGTGGAATGTCTTCCCCCCATTCCTTCCCCCATTCCTAATAAGACAAGAAACTCCCCAGATTCGTGATTTTCGCAATTTTAACTCCACTTCTCCAGCTCCAGAGATTGGCCCTGATTGGTCTAAGCCAATCAAGGAATCAGATTTCCCTAGTCACACTGATAGGTTCAGGGATGAACCCATGACTTAAACTAGTCCAACCAGAGGGAAGATCATAATTACCATTTGGTGTTTGGGACAACAGAAACTATTTTTCTCCTTGGATATTAATGAGGAAACTAGTCCTGGAGCAGCTGGCAGCCATGTGACATGAAAGAAGCCAACCCAAGATTAAGCCAAAATATGAAACTGGGCAAAACCAAGAGTATTCCAGGAAAACGGGCATACAGCCCTGGTGATATGCAGAACCTCTGGACCAAACCATGCCTGATGCTGCACCTCTGGAATTTTCAACTAAATGAGCTAAGAAATTTCTTACATTGTTTCAATCCATTTGGTTTAAGCTTCTGTCACTTGTAACCAAAAGTATTCCCAGTAACAGTTGAGCTGAATATGTTTCTTCTTGATACCTAAAAATTCCTCATAAAGGCAAGGCAGGTTTATCTCCTGAACACCTAGCATAAGCATCTCATTGTGTGAGCCCTTGGCATACACTAGCTCATGTCAGTCTCACAATAACCCTGGAGGTAACTATAAATCAGGAAATTGAGGCTCAAAAAGATTAGCTAATGTTCCCAATGTCACTCTGAGAATAAGTGGCTGGCCTGATAATTGAGCTCGTCTGACTCTAAGTCCAGTGCTCTTTGTACATCTTTGGCCTCATATGTTATTTTTTGAAACATGTATATAAATAACAAAGGTTTATATGTTTACTCAAATTCCACGTGGAAAACCGTTCTGACTTTTGAAAATCTGATTCATTGATCAAAAACACATGTAGAATATTAGTTAGAAGGTGGTGTAGACTGTAGTAGGGTTTTATAGGCATCTTGGGCAGGTCCTTCAGAGTAATTGGGATGTGGAATGTGGAAGTCATTTTTATGGGAGAGTTGGGACGTGGCCTCCTGTAGGCAGCCTCAGGCAAAAGAGTGAGTATATCAAGAACAAAAATCACATTGAACCTGGTGATAAGGTTCATGAGGATGTTAATTAAAAGAAATCTCATATTTCAAGGCTGTATTGGTGATATAATTTCAAGCAATGGCATATGACTAACACACAACAGAACCTATAAGGTTTTGCCCCAAGATGTCAGTATTCTTTTGAAAATGGTACATATGGTTTATAAATTGTCCATAGAATTCCTCTCTAGTTCACCTACATTATTACAATGCTTGCTCTGCTTCTCCTCAAATACTCTGCTTCAGCCACAAGAAGTAGAAAGATGACTATATTACATTTTGCTTGATGATGATAAAGTTTGGCTAACTGCACTATTTTAGCCAAATCAAAGGCCCTTTTTTGTGTGTTATTCAAAATAATTACAGGCATACCTCATTTTATTGTGCTTCACTTTACTGTGCTTCACAGATACTACATTTTTTTTACAAATTGAAAGTTTGTGGCAACCTGGCCTTCAGCAAGTCTGTCAGCACCATTTTTCCCAACAGCATGCACTCAGTTTGTGTACTATGTCACATTTGAGTAATTCTTACAATATTTCAAACTTTTTCATTATTATTATATCTGTTATGATGACCTGTGATCAGTGATCTTTGATGTTACTATTTTAATTGTTTGGGGGTGCCACAAACCCTACCCATATAAGATGATGAACTTAACCAATCTGTGGTGTGTGTGTTCTCACTGCTTCACTGACCAGGTGTTCCTTTGTCTCTCTCCCTCTTCTTGGGCCTCTCTATTCCCTGAGACACAATAGTATTGAAATTAAGCCAATTAATAACTCTACAGTGACCTCTAAGTGTTCAAGTGAAAGGAAGAGTCACTTTAAAGGTCTCTCACTTTAAATCAAAAGCTACAAAAGGATTAAACTTAGTGAGGAAGGCATGTAGAAAGCTGAGACAGGCTGAAAGCTAGCCGTCTTGTGCCAAACAGTTAGAGCCAAGTTGTGAATGCAAAGGAAAAATTCTTGAAGGAAATTAAAAGTGCTACTCCAGAGAATACACAAATGATAAGAAGGTGAAACAGCTTTATTGCTGATATGGAGAAAGTTTGAGTGGTCTGGATAGAAGATTAAAGCAGCCACAACATTCCCTTAAGTCAAAGCCTAATCTAGAGTAAGGCCTAAGTCTCTTCAATTCTATGAAGGCCGACAGAGGTAAGGAAGCTGCAGAAGAAAAGTGTAAGCTAGCCAAACTTGGTTCATGAGGTTTACGAAAAGAAGCCATCTCCATAATATAAAAATACAAGGTGAAGCAGCAAGTGCTGATGAAGAGGCTGCAGCAAG
Source organism: Homo sapiens (assembly GCF_000001405.40). Taxonomy (NCBI): domain Eukaryota; kingdom Metazoa; phylum Chordata; class Mammalia; order Primates; family Hominidae; genus Homo; species Homo sapiens. The sequence goes on from NC_000008.11 coordinate 96,026,057, forward strand.
TTATCCAGAAGATCTTGCTAAGATCATTGATAAAGGTAACTATTCTAAATAATAGATTTTCAACATAGGCAAAACAGCCCTCTATTGGAAGAAGGTGCAAACTAAGACTTTTCGTGGCTAGAGAGGAGAATTCAATGCCTGGCTTTAAAGCTTCCAAGGACAGGCTGACTTTCTTGTTAGGGGCTAATGCTGGTGACTTTAAGTTGAAGCCAATGCTCTTTGGACCATTCCAAAAATCTTAGGTCTCCTAAGAATGATGCTACATTTACTCTGTCTGTGCTCTATAAATGAAAGAACAAAACCTGGATCACAACACATCTGTTTACAGTATGGTTTGCTGAATATTTTAAGCTTACTCTTGAGACCTACTTCTCAGAAAAAAAGATTCCCTTCAAATGTTTATTGACAATTCACATAGTCACCCAAGAGCTCTCATGGAGATTAATGTTGTAGATGGAGATTAATGACGTGCAAGGAGGTTAATATTGTTTTCATGCTTGCTACACATGTCCATTCTGCAACCCATGGATCAAGGAGTAATTCTGATTTTCAAATGTTACTATTTAAAAAATGCGTTCTATAAGGCTATAGCAGCTATAGAGTCATTCCTCTGATGGATCTCAGCAAAGTACATTAAAAGCCTCTAGAAAGGATTCACCATTTTACATGCCATTAAGAACATTCATAATTCATGGGAGGAGGTCAAAATATTCTCATTAACAAAAGCTTGGAAGAAGTTGATTCCAACCCTCATGGATGACTTTGAGGGATTCAAGATTTCAGTAGAGGAAATCATTTCAGATGTGGTGGAGAAAGCAAAAGAACTAAAATTAGAAGTAGAACTTGAAGATGTGTTCAGATTTCTGCAATCTCGTGAGAAAACTTGAAGGGATGAGAGTTGCTTCTTATGAATGAGCAAAGAAAGTGTCTTCTTGAGATGGACTCTACTCCTGGTGAAGATGCCGTGAGCATTGTTGAGATGACAACAAAGGATTTAAACTAAGTTGACAAAGTAGTGGCAGAGTTTGAGAGGATTTATTCCAATATTGTAGGAAGCTGTACTGTGGGTAAAATGGCATCAAACAGCATCACATACTAGAGAGAAATATTTCAATCATCGAAGAGTCAATTGATGTGACCAACTTCATTGTTATTGTATTTTAAGAAACAAGGCTAGGCACGGTGGCTCACGCCTGTTATCCCAGCACTTTGGGAGGCCGAGGCGGGCAGATCACTTGAGGTCAAGAGTTCGAGACCAGCCTGGCCAACGTGGTGAAACCCCATCTCTACCGAAATTACAAAAATCAGCTGGGCATAATGGCGTGCACCTATAATCGCAGCTACTTGGGAGGATAAGGCAGGAGAATCACTTGCACCTGGGAGGCGGAGGTTACAGTGAGCCAAGATCGCACCACTGCAATCCAGCCTGGGCAACAGAGCAAGCCTCTGTCTCAAAAAAAAAGAGAGACTGTCACAGCCACTCCACCCTTCAGCAACCACCACCCACAGTCAGCAGCCATGAACATCAAGGCAAGATCCTCCAACCAACAAAAAGATTATTACTCAATGAAGGCTCACATGATTGTTAGCGTTTTTAAGCAATAAGGTACTTTTCAATTAAGGTATGTACATTGTTGTTTTAAGTATAATGCTATTGTAAACTTAATAGACTATAGTACAGTGTAAACATAATTTTATATGCATCGAGAAATCCAAAAATTCAGCTGGGTGTGATGGCTCACGACTTAATCCCAGCACTTTGGGAGGCCAAAGCAGGAGGATCACTTGAGGGCAGTAGTTTGAGACCAGCCTAGGCAACATAGCAAGACCATATCTCGACCCCCCCGCTGCCAACATTTTTTCAATTAGCCAGGTGTAGTGGCATTCACCTGTAGTCCCAGCTACTTGGGAGGCTGAGGGAGGAGGATCTCTTGAGCCCAGGAGTTTGAAGCTGCAGTGAGCTATGATTGCGCCACTATACTCCAAATTGGGCAACAGAATGAGACCTTGTTTCAAAATAAAATAAAATAAAATAATCTAAAAAAGAAACAAAAAATTCAAGTGACTCACTTTGTTGTAACACTCACTTTATTGTGATCTAGAACCAAACCACAATATATGCAAGGTATGTCTGTATTCTCTTGGCGGGATGAGAAATAAGAAGTTCATTTTTATATCCACAGTAACTCATACACTGGGATTGCTCTTGAAATTTATTCTTTAAATTGAAATAAATACCTGCTCTATCTCCTAAAAAGCAGAAAAAAAACACATGCGCTTACCCTCACTCCATATTTTTCCAACTGTCAGTCCCATTTTCCTTCAGAAAGTTTATGTCAAAAATGTTCTCAAAGCCCCCAAATTCAGCTTGAGAAAATACAGCTTCACCAATGTTAGTCTAATGATAAAAGTAGTTGAGAACTCAGCTTGGTCCAGAAGCCCATTTGCAAGAAGCTGCTTTTACCACCTAAACATGAATGTAATTATGTCTATAAATAAATACTAAAATGTCAATAAAAGAGGTTTGCTGGGATCCTCTAATATCAGGTACTAGCTATCAAGTATATTTAATGCCCTTACCATTTAATTTGTATTCTTAATTTGTCTCTTATGAAGTAAAAAGTATCTTTTAAAAAATCTTCACCCAGATTTTAACATTCTGTTTAAAAAGTTTCCTATGTAATTATGTTATTTTCCTCCATGGAAGGGATTATTGAAAATTTAGATGTTCACTAGACCCAGTTCCCCTTCATGGATACTCAGCTAAACCACATTTTCCATCTCCCTTGCATCAAAGTGATGCCACATGGCCAATCTTCACCACAGGTATATGAGTCCGAGTAGTGTGCCCCTACTAGATGGAGGCAACTGGGGTCAGACAGTCCTTCCCTGCACACTCTTTTTTCATTTGTTGGCCAATCAGATGCAGAATACCCAGCAGAGGACTCTGAGGCGTAAGTGGCCAAAGGGGCCACTAAAAACAAAAAGATCCGGGTCCCTGGATGACAACGTGGAGCAAAACACCCCACCCACTCCAACCCCAGCTGATCCACATTGGACTGGGACATAAACAAGAAGTGTACCTTTGTCAGATTAAGTCACTGAAATCTGGGCACTGTTTGTTACAGTATTACCTAAATAGACCGATTCGTTGCCCTGTGAAATAGTGGTTAAATATTGTCTAGTGTCTTTGGAAGGCCAAAAACTTGCACAGCACCAAGTAACTGAGCAAATCCATGGCTCTAATAGTCTGAACCCTTGTTCAGACTGACAAGTCTGACACTTAGCCCTTGAGTTCATCCTGCTTTGCATTAGCTCCTCATCTCAACTGCAAGCACCAGGGAAACAAAGTTCTTATTTTACCTTCAATTTTACACTGCCTACTGCAACTAGTACATTTTGAATAGTTAATCATAGTGATTAATTAATGAAATGTTTTAAGAGCCTGCTTATTTTTGGTTAGAAAGGATCTGGGATGGAAAAATGAAAGTAGCATTTGCTGAAACTCTATTGAATGCTTGGTGCCTTGTAAGTTCTAACCCAGATGTCTCTGGATATTGTCACCTTAAGCCTCGCATGCCACACCAGGGGAAGTCCAAAGCCTTCTCTGTAAATTTCTAGGGAAACTAACCCTCCCATGATCATCTGTAGCTCCGATTTCCATGCCCTGCTGCATCTATTCAGTTTGTGGATCATCCTTCTATATCATACATCCTCCATCTGGCCCACCTCCTGACAACTCAAGCATGAAGTTCAACCTCTCCAGTTTCTACCACACACATGCATATGTATAGACACACATGCTTGCTCTCTCACTCTCTTTCTCTCTCTCTCTCAAATGCTATTCATGTGTGTGATACACTTGACCAAGGATTTAGCCAAAGGAGAGATGGTTGCATCCTAGCAAATCATCTAATTTAAATATTATCCTTCCTATTCTTCAAGGCTCTGTGGCTCTGGCCATCAGACATTTTTCGGGGGTCCTTCTTACAACTTCAGCTTCAGGTCACCTCAGTAACTTCTTTCACACACTTTCCTCTTATCTTCCTTCTCATCCCTTTCCTTCCAGGTAGCCCCAATGCACCCCCAATTCATATTCTTTTCACTCCATTATAGAAAGGGTCCAGCTTACCCTGGATCCTACTGCCTAAGGCTCTAGGCACACACTTGCATATATTAACAGAGACCCAGCTGACCCAAAAAAACTTCCCTTCAATGAAAAGCAGGCTTCCTAGAAAGTCACTGTGGCTTAATTTTTTTTCTTCCTCCATTACACACACAGATGCATACAATAATAAAACATTCGCCTCCACATTGCTAAATCCAATGGTCAATATTCAGATCTCATCCTACTTGACTTCTCAATAGCATTTGACTCTAGTGGGTCACTCCCTCCCCTCTGAACACTTTCTTCATTGGACTTCCAGGATAACATACCCACCTGGTTTTCCTCCTACCTTCCTGGCTGCCAGACTTCTTTGCTGGCATCCCCTACCATCCCAACCTCTACTAAATGTCGGTTTTGGGATCTAATCTGTTTCTAAATCTACATTTACCAAAATTAGACAAGATGTTACTCCATCCAGTCTCACAGCTTTAAATATCATCCCTTTGCAGACAATTCCCAAACATATATCTTCATTACAGATCCCTCTCCTAAACTTTGGATTTATTTATCTAACTGCCATTGTATGTCTTTACTTGGCATCTTAAATTTAGGAAGTCCAGAAACAAAGTCCTGATTTCCACTCCATGTGACAGACTGACTTCTCCCCAAACCTTCCCCCTCTCAGTAAACGGCAACTCCATCCTTCCTGTTGTTCACTCACCTTTGAGTCCTCTTTCTTTAATACCCCACATCCACGCCAGTAGCAAATCAGCTTTACCTTGAAAATACGTAAAGAACCCAACCATTCCTCTCCACTTTCACTAATACCACCCTGGCTCAAACACTAGACTTTCTTATCTAACTGGTCTCCCTAGTTCTTCCCTGATTAAGATTAATCATTCTATTCTGAACACAGCAGCCACAGTGGTCCTGTTAAAATGCATGTCACTTATCTATCTAAAACTCTCCTCAACTCAGACTAAAGGTCCTTACAGTGACCCATAAAACCCTACATGATCTTATCACTGTCACCAAACCTCATTGATTGCTACCCTCCACCCCTACCCCTTCTCTCCAGCCAGCTAGACTAATCTACTCTATTTCTCAAACATGCCACGCATATTCCTGCTTCAGGGCCTTGGCTCTTACCTTCCATCTGCCTAAAATGTTCTCACACATTCTTCATTTCTTCCTGTCACTATCATTTTCTTCATGTAAATATCAATTGCATACTTCCTACCCTCATTTCTGCTGCATTTTTTCTTACACTTATTACCATCTAACATATATTTTACTTACTTGCTTTGTTTATTTTCTGTCTTTCCTACCAAAATATGGGCATCTACTTTTATTGATGTTGTTCACTGCTGTATTTCCAGTGGTTACAACAGTGCCTGGCATGCAGAAGGTACTCCATAAATATTTGAATGAATATCAACAACAGCTCTGGAAGCGATTTTTGTCCCATGCTTCATATGAGGAAACAGGTCAGAGAGGTGACAATAATTTGTTCAGTTCGTAAGTGAAGTTGGGGTTCAAATTCCATTCCAGAACAACTCTAAACACTATATTAGTATCATAACACAATATTATCTTCCAGAGGGACTCAGCGCTTCACAACCACAAGAGATCTCTGCTACACTTCTGAAGTCTGTGAAACCAACCGAAATCAACTAAACACTAGCAATTGTCAAATAAATTGTATACATTATCTCGTTCATTCATTTAGTCAACAAATATTGATAATCTACTGTGTGACAGGATATGTGCCAGCACTAAGAATTCAAAGATAACAAAAACAGACAAGGTTCCAATCTTCCCAAACATGAACCAAAAACCACACAGATCAATGGAAAATTGCACCTATGATAAGTGCAATGAGGAAGATGTGTACAAAGGTCAGCCGATCTACAAGTCAGGGAAGGCTTTTCTGGAGTAGGAACATGTAAGCTGAGTTCTAAAAGGTGGGTAGGAGGGAAAAGAGGGACGTTCCAGACAGAGGGAGCAGCACGTGCAAAGGCCCTGTGGTGAGAGGGTGCATGGTGAATGGGAGGGATGGAAAGAAGGCCAGTGTGTCTGGAGCCAAGGGCTTTGGTGATTCATGCTGCAGGGGAAGGCTGAAAGGTAGAGGCTGGACTTCACAGGGAGTTGCAGCCCAGTTAAGATAAAGTGCCCTTTATCCCAGAGCAATGGGAGCCACTGAAAGCTTTGATTTCAATCGAGGCTTAACCAATTTTTCTTAAGCATCCATCATTTGTCAAACAAAACTTCCAAATCCCTTAGGAAGATATTACTAGCCCATTTCCTGGGAGAGGAAATTGATTCTTTTAAGAGTTAAGTGACAAGCCCAAGGTCACATGGTTGGCAAGTGGCAGAACCAGAATCTAGAAGCAGACTAGATCAACTTTGAAGCCAATGTTCTCTCATCTGGTAAATGAGAAAAGGACAGAAATGCTGAGAAACCAGCATTTGCCCCTCACCAGGGGCAAGATGAGGGCAAAAATTCCCAATCACCTTCAACATATCTGCAAGAACCTGTGTTTCATCCTTCTCTATCCACCTGCCCTGAGGAAGGAGGCCTGTTCCTCAGCTCTCTGGGCCCTCAAGGCTGCTCTTCCAATTCATCTGGGCCCAGGCCAAAGAGCAGGTGCCAAAAGACATTAACAGTCATTGGTGTGATTGAAAAGTGACTGAAAAGTAGAGGGTCAAAGAATACCAACAGGTCATATAGTCCCAAGAATTATAGGAATAGAGTGACTCAGCTCTACATTTCACTTGGCTTTCTTAAAAAGGTAGTATTAATTATTGTTATTGTTATTTTATTATTTTGGCAAAAGCTTGAGACAGTTGCAAAAGGACTGGATTAGAGGCAGAAAGGCCTGTTTTCCTCTTTTTTGTTTTTTTAATGAAAACTTCCCAAGGACCCCTTTTCCTCTCTATCTGCTTAAAATAATTTCTTTTTTTATTTTTATTTTATTTTATTATAATTTAAGTTCTAGGGTACATGTGTACAATGTGCAGGTTTGTTACATATGTATACATGTGCCATGTTGGTGAGTTGCACCCATTAACTCGTCATTTACATTAGGTATATCTCCTAATGCTATCCCTCCCCGCTCCTCCAACCCCATGACAGGCCCCAGTGTGTGATGTTCCCCATCCTGTGTCCAAGTGTTCTCATTGTTCAGTTCCCACCTGTAAGTGAGAACATGCGTTGTTTGGTTTTCTGTCCTTGCAATAGTTTGCTGAGAATGATGGTTTCTAGCTTCATCCATGTCCCTACAAAGGACATGAACTCATCATTTTTTATGGCTGCATAATACTCCATGGTGTATATGGGCCACATTTTCTTAATCCAGTCTATCATTGATGGACTGGATTTGGGTTGGTTCCAAGTTTTTGCTATTGTGAATAGTGCCACAATAAATATACGTGTGCATATGTCTTTATAGTAGCATCATTTATAATCCTTTGGGTATATAACCAGTAATGGGACGGCTGGGTCAAATAGTATTTCTAGCTCTAGATCCTTGAGGAATCGCCACACTGTCTTCCACAATGGTTGAACTAGTTTACAGTCCCACCAACAGAGTAAAAGTGTTCCTATTTCTCCACATCCTCTCCAGCACCTGTTCTTTCCTGACTTAACTGGTGTGAGATAGTATCTCACTGTGGTTTTTATTTGCATTTCTCTGATGACCAGTGATGATGAGCACCTTTTCATGTGTCTCTTGGCTGCATAAATGTCTTCTTTTGAGATGTGTCTATTCATGTCCTTTGCCCACTTTTTGGTGGGGTTGTTTGATTTTTTCTTGAAAATTTGTTTAAGTTCTTTGTAGACTCTGGATATTAGCCCTTTATAAGATGGGTATATTGCAAAAATGTTCTCCCATTCTGTAGGTTGCATGTTCACTCTGATGGTAGTTTCTTTTGCTGTGTAGAAGCTCTTTAGTTTAATTAGATCCCATTTGTCAATTTTGGCTTTTGTTGCTGTTGCTTTTGGTGTTCTAGACATAAAGTCCTTGCCCATGCCTATGTCCTGAATAGTATTGCCTAGGTTTTCTTCTAGGGTTTTTATGGTTTTAGTTCTAACATTTAAGTATTTAATCCATCTTGAATTAATTTTTGTATAAAGGTAAGGAAGAGTTCCAGTTTCAGCTTTCTACGTAAGGCTAGCCAGTTTTGCCAACACCATTTATTAAATAGGGACTCCTTTCCCCATTTCTTGTTTTTGTCAGGTTTGTCAAAGATCAGATGGTTGTAGATGTGTGGTATTATTTCTGAGGGCTCTGTTCTGTTGCCTTGGTCTATACCTCTGTTTTGGTACCAGTACCATGCTGTTTTGATTACTGTAGCCTTGTAGTATAGTTTGCAGTCAGGTAGCGTGATGCCTCCAGCTTTATTCTTTTGGCTTAGGATTGACTTGGCAATGCGGGCTCTTTTTTGGTTCCATATGAACTTTAAAGTAGTTTTTTCCAATTCTGTGAAGAAAGTCATTGGTAGCTTGATGGGGATGGCATTGAATCCATAAATTACCTTGGGCAGTATGGCCATTTTCACAATATTGATTCTTCCTATCCATGAGCATGGAATGTTCCTCCACTTGTTTGTGTCCTCTTTTATTTCATTGAGCAGTGGTTTGTAGTTCTCCTTGAAGAGGTCCTTCACATCCCTTGTAAGTTGGATTCCTAGATATTTTATTCTGTTTGAAGCAATTGTGAATGGGAGTTCACTCATGATTTGGTTCTCTGTTTGTCTGCTATTGGTGTATAGGAATGCTTGTGATTTTTGCACATTGATTTTGTATCCTGAGACTTTGCTGAAGTTGCTTATCAGCTTAAGGAGATCTAGGGCTGAGACGATGGGGTTTTCTAAATATACAATCATGTCATCTGCAAACAGGGACAATTTGACTTCCTTTTTTCCTAATTGAATACCCTTTATTTCTTTCTCCTGCCTGATTGCCCTTGCTAGAACTTTCAACACTATGTTGAATAGGAGTGGTGAGAGAGGGCATCCCTGTCTTGTGCCAGTTTTCAAAGGGAATGCTTCCAGTTTTTGCCCATTCAGTATGATATTGGCTGTGGGTTTGTCATAATAGCTCTTATTATTTTGAAATACAGCCCATCAATACCTGGCTTATTTAGAGTTTTTAGCATGAAGGGCTGTTGAATTTTGTTGAAGGCCTTTTCTGCATCTATTGAGATAATCATGTGGTTTTTGTCTTTGGTTCTGTTTATATGATGGATTACATTTATTGATTTTCGTATGTTGAACCAGCCTTGCATCCCAGGGATGAAGCCTACTTGATTGTGGTAGATAAGCTTTTTGATGTGCTGCTGGATTTGGTTTGCCAGTATTTTATTGAGGATTTCTGCATCAATGTTCATCAGGGATATTGGTCTACTCTTTTTTCATTGTGTCTCTACCAGGCTTTGGTATCAGGATGATGCTGGCCTCATAAAATGAGTTAGGGAGGATTTTCTCTTTTTATATTGATTGGAATACTTTCAGAAGGAATGGTACCAGCTCCTCTTTGTACCTCTGGTAGAATTCGGCTGTGAATCCATCTGGTCCTGGACTTTTTTTTGGTTGGTAGGCTATTAACTATTGCCCCAATTTCAGAGCCTGTTATTGGTCTATTCAGGGATTCAACTTCTCCCTGGTGTAGTCTTGGGAGGGTGTATGTGTCCAGGAATTTATCCACTTCTTCTAGATTTTCTAATTTATTCGCATAGAGGTATTTATAATATGCTCTGATGGTAGTTTGTATTTCTGTGGGATCGGTGGTGATATCCCCTTTATCATTTTTTATTGCATCCATTTGATTCTTCTCTCTTTTCCTCTTTATTAGTCTTGCTAGCAGTCTATCAATTTTGTTGCTCTTTTCAAAAAGCCAGCTCCTGGATTCACTGATTTTTTGAAGGGTTTTTTGTGTCTCTATCTCCTTCAGTTCTGCTCTGATCTTAGTTATTGCCTGCCTTCTGCTAGCTTTTGAATGTGTTTGCTCTTGCTTCTCTAGTTCTTTTAATTGTGATGTTAGGGTGTCAATTTTAGATCTTTCCTGCTTTCTCTGGTGGGCATTTAGTGCTATAAATTTCCCTCTACACACTGCCTTAAATGTGTCCCAGAGGTTCTGGTATGTTGTGCCTTTGTTCTCATTGGTTTCCAAGAACATCTTTATTTCTGCCTTCATTTCATTATGTACCCAGTAGTCATTCAGAAGCAGGTTGTTCAGTTTCCGTTTAGTTGTGCAGTTTTGAGTGAAGTTCTTAGTCCTGAGTTCTAATTTGATTGCACCGAGGTCTGAGAAACAGTTTGCTGTGATTTCTGTTCTTTTACATTTACTGAGGAGTGCTTTACTTCCAACTATGTGGTGAATTTTGGAATAAGTGTGATGTGGTGCTGAGAAGGATGTATATTCTATTGATTTGGGGTGGAGAGTTCTATAGATGTCTATTAGGTCTGCTTGGTGCTGAGCTGAGTTCAAGTCCTGGATATCTTTGTTAACTTTCTGTCTCATTGATCTGTCTAATGTTGACAGTGGGGTGTTAAAGTCTCCCATTATTATTGTGTGGGAGTCTAAGTCTCTTGTAGGTCTCTAAGGACTTGCTTTATCAATCTGGGTGGTCCTGTATTGGGTGCATATATATTTAGGATAGTTAGCTCTTCTTGTTGAATTGATCCCTTTACCATTATGTAATGGCCTTCTTTGTCTCTTTTGATCTTTGTTGGCTTAAAGTCTGTTTTATCAGAGACTAGGATTGCAACCCCTGCTTTCTTTTGCTTTCCATTTGCTTGGTTCCTCCATCCCTTTATTTTGAGCTTATGTGTGTCTCTGCATGTCAGATGGGTCTCTTGAATACAGCACACGGATGGGTCTTGACTCTTTACCCAATTTGCCAGTCTGTCTTTTAATTGGGGCATTTAGCCCATTTACATTTAAGGTTAATATTGTTATGTATAAATTTGATACTGTCATTATGATGTTAGCTGGTTATTTTGCCCATTAATGGATGCTGTTTCTTCATAGCATCAATGGTTTTTACCATTTGGCATGTTTTTGCAGTGGCTAGTGCCAGTTGTTCCTTTCCATGTTTAGTGCTTGTGTCAGGAGCTCCTGTAAGACAGGCCTGGTGGTGACAAAATCTCTCAGCATTTGCTTGTCTGTAAAGGATTTTATTTCTCCTTCACTTATGAAGCTTAGTTTGGCTGGATATTAAATTCTGGGTTGAAGATTCTTTTCTTTAACAATGTTGAATATTGGCCTCCACTCTCTTCTGGCTTGTAGAGTTTCTGCCAAGAGATCTTCTGTCAGTCAGTCTGATGGGCTTCCCTTTGTGGGTAACCCAACCTTTCTCTCTGGCTGCCCTTAACATTTTTTCCTTCATTTCAACTTTGGTAAATCTGACCATTATATATCTTGGAGTTGCTCTTCTTGAGGAGTATCTTTGTGGTGTTCTCTGTATTTCCTGAATTTGAATGCTGGCCTGCCTTGCTAGGCTGGGGAAATTCTCCTGGATATCATGAAGAGTGTTTTCCAGCTTGGTTCCATTCTCCCCATCACTTTCAGGTACACCAATCAAACATAGATTTGGTCTTTTCACATAGTCCCATATTTCTTGGAGGCTTTGATCGTTTCATTTTACTTTTTTCTCTAAACTTCTCTTCTCACTTCATTTCATTCATTTGATCTTCAATTACTGATACCCTTTCTTCTGCTTGATCGAATCGGCTACTGAAGCTTGTGCATGCGTCGCGTAGTTCTCATGCCATGGTTTTCAGCTCCATCAGGTCATTTAAGGTCTTCTCTACACTGTTTATTGTAGTTAGCCATTAGTCTAATCTTTTTTCAAGGTTTTTAGCTTCTTTGCGATGGGTTCGAACATCCTCCTTCAGCTTGGAGAAGTTTGTTATTACCGACCTTCTGAAGCCTACTTCTATCAACTTGTCAAAGTCATTCTCCATCCAGCTTTGTTCCGTTGCTGGCTAGGAGCTGTGATCCTTTAGTGGAGAAGAGGCATTCTGATTTGTAGAATTTTCAGCTTTTCTGCTTTGGTTTCTCCCCATCTTTGTGGTTTTATCTACCTTTGGTCTTTGATGATGGTGACCTACAGATGGGGTTTTGGTCTGGATGTCCTTTTTTGTTGATGCTGATGCTATTCCTTTCTGTTTGTTAGTTTTCCTTCTAACAGTCAGGTCCCTCAGCTACAGGTCTGTTGGAGTTTGCTGGAGGTCCACTCCAGACCCTATTTGCCTGGGTATCACCAGTTGAGGCTGCAGAACAGCAAATATTGCTGCCTGATCCTTCCTCTGGAAGCGTTGTCTCAGAGGGGCACCTGGCTGTATGAGGTGTCAGTCGGCCCCTACTGGGAGATGTCTCCCAGTTAGGCTACATGGGGGTCAGGGACCCACTTGAGGAGGCAGTCTGTCTGTTCTCAGAGCTCAAAAACCATGCTGGGAGAATGACTGCTCTCTTCAGGGCTGTCAGACAGGGACATTTAAGTCTGCAGAAGTTTCTGCTGCCTTTTGTTCAGCTATGCTCTGTCCGCAGAGGTGGAGTCTAGACAGGCAAGCAGGCCTCGTTGAACTGCGGTGTGCTCCACCCAGTTTGAGCTTCCAGGATGCTTTGTTTACCTACTCAAGCCTCAGCAATGGTGGATGCCTCTCCCCCAGCCAGGCTTCCACCTTGCAACTCAGTCTCGGACTGCTGCACTCACAGTGAGCAAGGCTCCGTGGGCATGGGACCCACTGAGCCAGGCGCAGGATATAATCTCCTGGTGTGCTGTTTGCTAAGACTATTGGAAAAGCACAGTATTTGGGTGGCAGAGTCCTGATTTTCAGCTACAGTCTGTCATGGCTTCCCTTGGCTAGGAAAGGGAAATCCCCCCACTCCTTGTGCTTCCCAGGTGAGGCGATGCCCCACCCTGCTTTGACTCACCCTCTGTGGGCTGCACCCTCTGTCCAACAAGTCCCAGTGAGATGAACCAGGTACCTCAGTTGGAAATGCAGAAATCATCCATCTTTTGCGTCAATCATGCTGGGAGCTGCAGACCAGAGCTGTTTCTATTCGGCCATCTTGGAACCCTACCCGCTAAAGATCACAATACTTACCATATGTATTAGAGTATCATGATGGCCAACCTCTAAGATCACCCCCAGTGATTCCCATCTCCTCAAATTCACCACTTTCTGTGGTCTCTTTCCACACTGTACCAAGGCTGAGTTGTGTAACCAATAGAGTAGAGAAGAAGTGATGGTATGTCACTTCTGAGACTAGCTTAAAAGACACAGCTTCCATCTCACTCTTTCTCTTTCCCTCTTGGGTAACTCATTCTAGGGAAACCAGATGCCACTGTGTGAGCAATACCATGGAGAGACCCACAGGCTGAAGAATCAAAGCCTCCTGCCAGTAGCCATGCAAATGAGCTTGAAAGTGGGTCCGCCATCCCAGCCAAGCCTTGAGATGACTGCAGCCCCAGCCAACATCTTGACTGCAACCTCATGAAAAACTCTGAGCTGCAATTACCAGCCCAGGCACTCCTGAATTCCTGACCCTCAGAAACTGTCTTAGATAACAAGCATCTGTTTGTTTAAGGTGCTAAGTTTTGGTGCAATATGTTACTTAGCAAAAAGATTGATTGACTGATTGATTATTTAAATTTACACATATAATCTATAAATTTAAATACATATTATTTTACATATTCATTTTCTGTCTTCCCCACTGAAAGATCTAACACATTCACTCTTGTATTATCAGTGCTTAGAACTCTGCCTAACACACAGCAGGCACTCAATAGATATTTGCAGAAGAAACAATTAAAATGTGTTACTGCTTTTAGTAACACATTTTAACATCAATAAAACATTTATCACTGTACAGCCTAAAAATACCTGCATTGTCTCAGTGAATCCTATGTCTAACAGTAAACTAGATATGCCTTCCATTTCATAATGGAAAACCAGCAGTTCCAAGACCTCTGGTGATTTGTTTATGGCCACCCTACCACTGTATTATAGAGCTAGTGTTCCAAACCCCAGCTTCTGATTTCAACCCCGGGAATTTTTCTCCTACACACATTGACTCTTATCAGTCATCCACAGAAGATGAGCTCTGTCATTCCGACATTCATGTTTCTGCACAAAGCATCCAGCATGTTCGTGTTCTGGGGCAGCTACCTCTTGTCCATCCATCTTGTGGCTTGACTTATCAGGCTCACTTGACCCAATGTCAACACTGGGTGGAAAAATTCCTGTGTGGGAGCACAGCATTGTTAATTTCTCTTTTAAGTGGTAATGTAATACCATTTAATACCCAATACATTACATGGGTTTTCTTTCCTCTACCAAAACTATAAAAGGAAGCAAAAACATGCTTAACAGTCCCCAGGACTCGATTTTAAATATACTACCAAGCTCAAACTCTCCAAAGACTTCTAAATGTGGATCATTTCTTCAATCCCTACACAAACATTTTTTTGAATGATAGCAAGTTCTGAAGTATCTGTGGTGTTTCACCACTGAGCAGATTATCTAAGAATCCTCCTTTCTCCTGCCCAATTAAGTCCCAGTTTGGTACAGGTGAGGAAGAGCATGTGTTTAGTTGAAATCAAGACAAAGTAATCCAGAAAAGGCTTCACAACTAAGTTAGAACGTGTTTCTTTGTGCCATTCTTAAACCAAATATAATCTGATTTCCAGGGATGAAAAAGATATCAGATGCATATGTTAAATTAATTTGCCTTAAAAATCGAGTTTTTGAAATGTTTTTGGTATCACATTCACTGATAATTACCATTATCATTTCTCACGTTTCTGTAAGAAAATCCTGACCCAAGATAGAATTATTAAATTTTAATCAAATTAGGATCCCAGATTTGTTTCAAAGGCATTCTTGGGTTTGTTGACTCTGATTTATATATAAAATGGAGATAATAAGACCCCCACCTCATAGATTTGTTGTTGTGAGGATTAAATAAGTGGTTAGAAGAGCGCCTGGTACGTAGTGATCATTATGTAACTGTTGGTTATTAACATTGTAGTTGTTACCATTTTATTGTTATTATTTTATCATTATTATTAAATTGTTCATGTCTTTGCTTCCCTCTAATAGCATAAATACTTAAAAGTTTATTTTCTGAGCCAGGCGAGGTGGCTCACGCCTATGGTTCCAACTACTCAGGAGGCTGAGGTGGGAGGATTGCTTGAGCCCAGGAATTTGAGGTTGCAGTGAACTATGATCGCAGCACTGCACTCCAGCCTGGGTGACGGGATGAGACCCTTTCTCTAAAAAAATAAAATAAAAATAAATATAAATGTGTTTTCTGCCTGTGGGGTCTGCAAGACATATAAACACATGTACCTCCTCCCAGTTGTTTTCTCCTTTGAGGCTACTTAAATAAGTCATTCCTATACCTTCAATCATTCATGCCCTAAACAAAAACATTATTTAAGAAAGATCTTGGAGAATGTCCCACATACTATTTCTAGTTGCAACACTGCCTTCCTATGTCATTTTGCTCAAATAAGTTCTAATCTGCCGCCAGAAAATTTTATGATCCCTGGCAGTGGAGTAAGAAGTTGCCAGTGATTACAGGACTGAATAACTGTCAAATAATTTAGGTTTTTGTTTGAGAGGCACTGGGTATAAGACTTTGTATTATTCTTATTCTGTGTCCTGAGGGTAAAAAGGAGTAAGGGAGATAAGCATTCTTTGCCCAGATGTCTCCAATCAGGATTAGGTTCCCCGAGTCATTTCCAAGATAAAATCTAGATTGCCTTATCTCACACACCTTGAGCTAAGAGGGAATACCTGTAAAACAATAGAAATTTTGGAGCTAGTTCCCTAAAATGTTCCTTCACATGATAAAATTTTTTCTCACCATCAGTATTTTTCTTCCCATGATTTTCTACTAGGAAAGCAACAATTTCAATTGTTCCAGGTAGATTAGATTTGATAGATACACTGATAAAGTCTCATTAAAGGAACATTAGTACTACATGATACAGTAAACTCACTTCATCCTTAATAGAAATCAAGCACTTTTCTTTGCCTAACAAAAGGAAGGTTTTTTTTAGAAGTTTTGTTTATGTTTGTCGACATATGACAGTATGTCTATATACTTCCAACAGAAATGATTTAACATAACCATAATGAAGACAGTTCCAAAAGAGAAGCAAAATGCTTTTTTTTTTTTTGTATCTTACCAGAGCAGTATTTTACCTCAAATAGTCTATCTCCAGAAGCTGCATTTTTTAACTCTAAGCGACACTGTGTGCCATCCTGGTAGACTCCAAATACTATCTCTTTGTTAATGACTTAAAATTTTCTGCTCTAACTCGTTCTCTTTCTTGAGCCCTTAACTGCCTACAGGGCATTTGTACTTGGTCATCTAATAGAATAGCTCAAACTTAACTAATCAATCACTCTTGCCTCAATGTTTACACAACACTTTGGATAGACTCCAGCATGGTCCCTATCATATACTACAATGTAATGATCTACGTATATGTATCAATCTCATTTTCTAGAACATGAGAACCCAGAATGCAGAGATCTTTTGAAAATCTATGTTTTTAGTTTTAGCATATGACAGGCATTTGACAAATGTATGTTGAACAAATATCTGTTGTAGCAACTACATTTATGACTCATGTTAACAAGAACATAGGACTAACAAGCAGACAGAATGGAGTCAGGCTGGCTGACTGGGTGAGGATAGGAAAGAGGAATAAATAGTCACAAAAGGTCAGGGGATAGAAGAGTCATGATTACAGGTCTCCAACCTACCTTTACCACATACCTGATACTTGGGGTTGAAATCACAGGAAGCTCCAAACTGTCATCACTGCCTAGGCCTCTTTTATGACGGTTCTCTTGGCAATAGATTTTTGCCAGAGTGTGAAAGAATTTCATGTTCAAAGCCTCAGAGAAAGCTGATAGTTCTTCCTTTTTCAATAGGCCAAACATCAAGCAACTAACACAGAGTATTAAAAAATAAATAAATAAAATAAACTTATTTAATTTAATTTAATTTAATTTAAAAAGCAACGAACGGAAAGTGGTTTAGATTCATAAAAACTGCACCAAGATGGTTTGACCCCTTGGAGCCAAAACGCTGAAGTCAAAAACATCCTAGCATGTTGAGGCAACCAAAGATGTCATCTCCCAAAGCTGTAAAATTTGACTCTCCCACAGCTATAAGGTGTTTCTGCAGAACTTCACAGCAAAAGGATTCGTTTTGGTTGAGAAAAGGTCCATTCCAAACATAAAAGAATCTCCCGTATTTAGAAGGGCGGATAGGTTCTCATCCTCAAACATGGGTTTGTAAAAGGTGCTATATATAAACTAACTATATAATTTATTTTCCAACTTGAGACACTTTTGAAATGGAACACAAATAATACACTGAGACAACAGCATAAGTCAGAACTTTCCTAGGCACACCAGGGCAGGAGGTGATTCAAACTGCAGAGGAAAGGAATGAGGGATTTAGGAATGTGTGTACAACTCTGTCCTCATATAATCCCATGGTGAATAAACACAGAAAGTCCTCAACAAATTGGACCCTACTAACTCAGAGTTTGTGCTAAATGCAGACACTTTAGATGATTTTCATACTTAATTTGATTACTTCATCCACCAAGAGTTTGGAATATCCGGGGACAGGGGCATGATGGATTTTGACCAGTCTATATAAATCCTTTCTATCCATTCTATTCATTCAGTCTTTCAGCAAACTTTTGTTGAGCATCAAGTACAATTTGGGAACTAATTAGAGCTCTGGGCAGGGCAATTACAAAAATGAATGACACATACCTTCCCTCAAAGCGTAGGCATGCTAATAGATGACATACATGAAACCAAATAATTGCAGTGCAATATATTTAAATGCCAAAAGCACATATTTCCCAAGAGAGCATACATGACTAGCTAAAATTCTTGAGGCTGCTGGCATCCCTCTTTACACAATGGCATCGTATTTTGTGATGTGAAACCCAGGTAAATTGTCATTCTTCCTTGCCTCACTTTTCTTACTGAGGTCTATTTGTATCTTAGTTCACAACATGTACTTAAGATTTATAAAATTACATCTATTTAAATATCTTCCATAATTCAGGTTGTTAAACTAAAAAAGAACTCTCTTCTTTCCTCTCTTTCTTCTAGCTTTAAATTACATGGTTCTGTGATTTTCCTTTGCCTTTTATTCCACATGAGTAAAGGTTTGCTTTGCAGGAATGCTTATTAAGAAAGGATGGCCATCTCAGCCAAATTGCAAAATACACCACACAGTTTTAAGTGGGAAGGCAGATGAATGAACAATCTGAAATTCCCCTTCACTTCAATACTACTGAAATGCCTCAGCTGTGAGGTGACATTTCCATGAACTTCTCTTTTTAAGAATTTAGAATTCTATTCTGTAGACCAGATCGATTCCCTTCTGAAAGTCGTTACATGGGCTCCTATTTTCCTTACTGGTTTTAGAAGTAATCAACACCTCCGTTTTTCACATTTACTCAGTCATTTAAGCAATTGCAAGACATATCACATACATTGGCTCATTTATCTAGCTTTATTTCCTTTCAAATCAAGAAAGCTTTCCAAGTGGGTCTGTTTATTTGAGAAAGGTAGACAGTGAAATTAGCTCATGCATTGATGTATCTGATGTATTATTTCTCCCATTTTGCACGTGGTAAAGTAAAATTTGATGGACGTCTGTGAAACCGTCTGCCAAGCAACCCTTCCATGTTTGCCTGAGATCTAACCCCTTGCTCCCTTCTCCCTTAAGCCTAGCCCCCATGGCTACTCTGGGAGTCACGTAGTCTTCCCTGACCCTAGCCCTGGCCATTATTGGTGATTCCAGAGTAGACACTGACCTACTCAACCAATCATATCATCCTGCTGTCTGTTCAGCCATAAGCCTCACCAAAGCCAAATGGTTTGGGGTAGACTGCCCAGTCTTGGGCCAATTAAGTCCTTCAGGATGATTGAAAAGTGCTAAAATGGTTATTCCTCTCTCACAAAAGAAGTCATAACATGAAAAATTGATATAGATTTATACTCAGAGCACTTGAGAACTCCACATCCTTGCTCCAATTATTCATTGTATTATTGAAAAGATTATTTATCTTATTTTTTTGCTCTTCTTTTTTGCAAAAGATGACTTTTATTGTTATTTTAATTTGCACTTCCTGAATTTGCACCCTAAGGAGGGTTTCACTTCACGTTTATTGGCCATTTGATTTTCTTTTTCTATGAATTCTTTGCTCATATCTTTTGTACATTTTATGTTGGGATGTTGGTCTTTTCCCTATTGACTCATAGAAGTTCTTAATAGTTTACAAATATTAGCCTTTTACAGCTTCACATGTTAATTTTCTCCAGTTAAAAATAGAGACTTTTGGCCAGTGTGATGTCTCACACCTGTCATCCCAGCACTTTGGGAGGCTGAGGTGGGTGGATTGCTTCAGGTCAGAAGTTCAAGACTAGCCTGACAAACATGGTGAAACCCCATCTCTAATAAAAATACAAAAATTAGCCAGGCGTGGTGGCAGGTGCCTGTAATCCCAGCTACTTGGGAGGCTGAGGCAGGAGAATCACTTGAATCCAGGAGGCAGAGGTTGCAGTGAGCCAAGATTATGCCACTGCACTCCAGTCTGAGTAACAGAGCAACACTCTGTCTCAAAAAAAAGAGAGAGACGTTTATAGTTATAATTTAGCTAAATATTATTTAGAAGAGACACAATTAAGCCAAGTAACAGAGAAAGGTTTAAAATATAAAGATATAAATGTGTGCCAAAAAAATGCTAACAATAACAAAACAGATTTGACAAAATAAAACTCATTCAATCTGTACAGATGAAAATACATTGAGGCTGAATGTGATGGCTCATGCCTGTAATCCGGTACTTTGGGAAGATGAAGTAGGAGGACAGCTTTAGGCCAGGAGTTTGAGACCAACCTGGACAAAACAGTGAGATCCTATTTCTACAAAAAAAGAAAATAAGAGAGATCAGAACAAGGATCACCGAGGAAAGAAAGAAAAAAAAATAAGAGAAGATACACTGGGAAAAAATCAAAAATAAAAATAAGTAAATAAAGTTCATTAAAAATAGAATTTGAAACAATAAAAATAAACAGGCAAAAAGATTATTTTGGTTTTTAATAAAAGGAATCCACAGAGAAAATGTAAGGGTAAAATGTTGATGGCATGCACTTAATGGTATAGTTTTGAAAAATAAATAACATAAATTAAGGAAATGCAAAACATAATCCACAGGGAGATTTTAAAACACTGTCTCTGAAATTAACAAACCATTCAGAGGTTCTGAATACAAACTATTGTGCTGGTTCTAATGGATACCTATAAAGTTTTACACACAACAAAGGAAGAAAATATTTTTCAAACACCCATGACGTAGTTATTGAAAAAAATCATCAAGCCAAAAGACAAAGTCTTATTAAATTTTATAAACAACAATGTATATTGAGTGCAGATTCTCTGCATAGTAAAATGAAAATAACAATAATGTCAAAACAATGAATAAAATAATATCTATGCTTTTGGAAATTTTAAAACTCTTTTTCAAATAATTGTTGGATGAAAAAAGAAATCAAAATGGAAACTACAGATTACTTATAAATGTATGACAGAGAACAATGCATTATATAATCTTTGAGCTGCAGCTCAAGTGCTTTTTATACACTAAATGTACTCATTAAAAAAGAAAGACAAAAAATAAACATAAAATTCTAAGCATTCAAAGTTTTGACAATGCTTTAGACAAATTTCTCCAAAGTATGCATAAATTAAGCTGAGAGAAAAAAATAATAAAGAGAAAGAAAAATAATACATAAAAGGAAAATCAAAGCTTTCTTTAAAAGGCCAAAGTAGGAGATCAATTTTTGTAAGCAAAAAATAAAAAAGATTCAAACGTCATTAGAAATGAAAAGACATCCACTATACATATATAAATTTAAAAATATAAATTAAAAGGATGATTTTTCTAGGAAGATATAAATTATCAAAATTAAATAAAAGAAAAGTTAGGAAACTTGAATAAATCAATCTCCACCGAAGGGAAAATTTAGTCAACAGACCCTAAACTTTATACCAAGCCTGAGAGATTTTTATGCACAAATTTTACAAAATATCTAATGAAGAGACTCTATTATATAAATTCTTCCAAAGCATAGAAAATAAAAGGTAGAAATCTCCTGAATTTATTTGATAAGACAAGTATCCTGCTATAAAAACCGAACAATTATTATACAAAACAGAAAACTATATTCTCCTTTATGAGCAAAAATACTAAATAAAACAGTATCAACTCAAAATCAGCAGTGAATAAAAAACATTATGCATCACGACCAATGACAGTTTATTCCAGGAACACAAGGATTACTACACATTCATTTAAATCTGAATTCATAGAGAACTAAGGAGAAAAATGACATATACATTGAAGTATTAGTATGCATCGAGCACCCTTCTAGGCAATGAGGATGCAGTCATGAACAAAACAGAAGAAATCCCTGCCCTTATGGAGCTTACATTTTAGTGGGGGAAGATAGACAACACACAAATAAACAAAATGTACAATATGTCAGATGCTCATAGGAGCTGTAGAGAAAAACTAAACAGGAAAATAGGAGAGGAAGAAGTAGGTGTTGTGAAAATTTAGTGGAGTGGTGAGGGAAGAATTTATAGAAAAGCTGACATTTTAGCAGAAACTTTAAATTGATGAGAGAGTAAGTGAGAGTAAGGGTAAAAGAACATGAGTCAAAGAGATAGTGAGGAAGGCTGACCATATAGAGTCTTAGATGACACTGTCAGAATTCTGGCTTTTGCTCTCAGTTAGCTGGGAAATGGAGGAATTTGAGCAAAGATATAATCTGAGTTACAAATTTAAAGAATCTTTCTGGTTCCTATGTTGAGGATAGATGACCAAGGCAGAATTAAGAAGACCAGACAGGAGGCTAATGCAATAATCCACCAAGAGGTGATGATTGATTGAATCAACATGGAAGTGGTAGAAGTGATGGAGGTAGTGAAATGATTCTGCAGGTCTTTGGAAAGTACAGCCAACAGGATTTTCATTTGTATGATAAAATTTGAGAGCAAGTCTAGTGTCATGAATGATGCCCATGACTTCTATCCAAAAGAACTAGCAGTTTAGAGGTGTCATTTCTATGATGGGGAAAGTTGCAAGAGGAGCATGTTGGAGAGGAGGGCTGTGGGATATGCACAACAAGCTATACATATCGCAATCAAACGTGTGAAGCAGCCCCAACAGTAAAGGAGAAGAAAAGAATACTCCTAATTGTGGTAGTTAATTCAACATTGCTCTCAATCTCCTAACTACTGTGTGGATACTATGTGTGTGTGTGTATACATACATACACACACACATACATATACATGGACTATGAAAATTTTCTTCATTTTGAAAACAAAGATATTATTGGCATTATTTGAAGAGATCGTAACTATCCAGAAAATCAGAAATAATAAAGACAAAGATTTAGAAAGTTCAGCAAGGTAAATGGATATTAGATCAACATGAAAATATCAATAGCTTTCTTATACTCCAACAATAATCAATTATAATATTTAATTGAAAAAAGATACTCTTTGTAGGCCAGGTACGGTGGCTCACGACTGTAACCCCAGCACTTTGGGAGGCTGAGGTGGGTGGATTGCTTGAGCTCAGGAGTTCAAGACCAACTTGGGCAACATGGCGAAATCCCATCTCTACAAAAAATTATCCAGGTGTGGTGGTGCACACCTGTAAGCCCAGCTACTCGGTGGGCAGGGGGGTGCTAAGGAAGGAGGATTGCCTAAGCCCAGGAGGTTGAGGCTGCAGTGAGCCCTTATCATGCCACAGTACTCCAGCCTGGGCAACAGAGTGAGACCCTGTCTCAAAAAAAAAATAAACAAACAAAAAAGACTATTTGTAATAGCATCAAAAACTGTAAAATATCTAAGAATAATCTAACAAAAAGTAAACAAAGCCCATACAGGCTAAAAAATATTAAAGAATAGCTAGAGAGAAAACTTAATATCAAAAAAGTCAATTATTTTCCATGTGGATCTATAAATTCATTGAAATCCCCCTTCAAAATCCTACCAGTGAAACAGAATAGAGAACCCAGAAATAAATCCACATTTTTATAGCCAACTGATCTTCAACAAAGCTGACGAGAACATACACTGGGGAAAGGACACCACCTTCAATAAATGGTGCTGGGAAAACTGGGTAACTATACACAGAAGAATGAAACTGGACTCCATATCTCTCACCAGATGCAAAAATCAACTCAAGATGGAAAAAGACTTAAACCTAAAACCCAAAACTGTAAAAACTACTAGAAGAAATCTTAGGGAAAACTTTTCAGGACATTGGTCTAGGCAAAGATATTATGGCTAAGGCCTTAAGAGCATAGACAACAAAAGCAAAAATAGACAGATGGGACTATTAAACTAAAAATCTTCTGCACAGCAAAAGTAACAATCAACAGAGTGAAGAGACAATCTGTTGAATGGGAGTAAATATTTGCAAACTACTCATCCAGCAGGGTACTAATAGCCAGAATATACAAGGAACTCAGACAACTCAACGGTAAAACAAAACAAAACAAAAACAAAAACAAAACAAAACAAAACAAAAACAAATAATCCCATTAAAAATGGGCAAAGACGATGAATAGACATTTCTCAAAATAAGATGGACAACAGAAAAAAAATGCTTAGCATCATTAATCATCAGGATCACGGAAATGCAAATGAAAACCACCATGAGATATCATCTTACCCCAGGCAGAATGGCTAATATCAAAAAGACAAAAAAATAACATATTGGCAAGGATGTGGAGAAAAGGAAACTATTATACACTGTTGGAGTGAATGTGAATTAGTAAAGCCATTATGGAACAGTATGGAGATTTCTCAAAAAATTAAAAATAAAACTGCCAAGAGATCCAGCACTCCTATTACTGGGTATTTACCCAAAGGAAAACAAATCTATATATCAAGGGAAAACATGTACTCCCATGTTTATTGCAGCACTATTCACAATAGCAAACATGTAAAATCAACCTACAAGTCCATCAGTGAATGAATGGATAAAGAAAATGTATTTATACACATTGTAATACTATTCAGCCATGAAAAAGAATGAAATTATGTCATTTGCAGCAACATAGATAGAATTAGAGGTCATTGTGTTCAGTGAAATAAGCCAGGCACAGAAAGACAAATATTGCATGTTCTCAGTCATATGTGGGAGTGAAAAAAGTTGATCACATGAGAGTATGATAATACTAAAGAGAATGATAAATACTAGAAACTGGGAAGGACATATGGGTGGGGGTGGGGAGATAAAGAGAGGTTGGTGAATGGGTACAAACATATAGTTAGATAAAAGAAATACAAGCTGGGCATGGTGGCTCACGCCTATAACCCCAGCACTTTGGGAGGCTGAGGCAGATGGATCACTTGAGGTCAGGAGTTCAAGACCAGCCTGGCCATCATGGCAAAACCCATCTCTACTAAAAATACAAACATTAGCTGAGCGTGATGGCATGTGACTGTGATCCCAGCTACTTGGGGCTGAGGCACAAGAATCGTTTGAACGCAGGAGGCAGAGATTGAAGTAAGCCAAGATCGTGCCACTTCACTCCAGACTGGGTGACAGAGTGAGACTCTGTCTCAATAAATAAATAAATAAATGTTCTAATGTTTGATAGCAGAGTAGGGTGAGTATAGTTAAGAGCAATGTATTGTACTTTTAAAATAGCTAGAAAAGAGGACTCAAAATGTACCCAATACATAGAAATGATAAATACTTGGGTGATGGATACCCTAAAACTCTGACTTTATCATCACATATTCTATGCATGTAATAAGATACACATGTACCCCATAAATATGTACAAATATAAGTATAAAAAAATTTAAGTATTACTTAGATCACATCAAATTGTGTGATAATAATAATAGCAAAAAAAACTTAACAGAACAACTTCATGAAACTTGGCAAGCCAATTCTAAACTTCACCTAGAAAAGAAAATATGCAAAAAGAGGCAACAAAATTCTGAAAAAGAAGAAAAATAACAGGAAATGTCTTATCAACTTGATAAAGAGTAATTTAAAACATGCTGTATTGGCTCAAGGATGGACGAATGGATCAATGAAAGAAATTATGGTTCAGAACAGATTTATATATACATGGGAATTTGTAATATGACAGAAGTAACTTTTCAAATTATGAGGAATAATAAAGACTGGTCAAGAAATAATGTCAGGATAATTGGACATTCGTATAGGAAAAATCTCTAATCCACAATGAACATAAAAACAAATTTCAGACAGGTCAAAGATATATCTTTGTTGTTCAAATATGTAGCCACTATCCAAAGGTGACTAATAAAACTTAAAATTAATAAAATTAAAATGTTAATGGGGAAAAGAATCATTTCTTCAATAAATAGTACAGAGAAAATTAGATTTCCACGTGCAAAACAATGAGATCAGATCCTTATCTCACACCAGACCAAAAAATCAACTCAAAATGTATAAAAGACCAAAATGTAAGACTAAAACCATAAAACTCTTGGAAAACAACATAGGGAAAAACTCCTCGGCAGTGATTTTTTTGGATCCCATACCAAAATCTCATTCTACAGAAGCAAAAATAAATAAATAAATAAGACTACATCAAACTAAAAAGCTTCTGCAAAGCAAAGGAAACAACAAAATGAAAAGGCAATCTGTGGACCGGGAAAACATATTTGCAAGCCACATACCTGAAAAAGAATTAATAATTAAAATTTATTTTTTAAAAAACTCTCAAAATTAAATCACAATAAATAAATAAATAAATACATAAATAAATAAAATAAAAGAATGAAGGACCTGAAAAGACTTTCTCTAAAGAAGATATAAAAATAGTCAACAAGCATATGAAAATGTGCTCAACATCACTAATTATCAGGGTAAAGCAAATTAAAAACACTGTAAGATATCACCTCACACCCATTAAGGTGGCTATTATCAAAAAGATGAGAGATAACAAATGTTGGCCAGGATGTGGAGAAAAGAGAACCGTTATATGCTGTTGGTGGGAAGGTAGACTGGTTTAGCCATTATGAAAAATAGTATGGAGGTTCCTAAAGAATTTAAAAATGGAAATCTCATGTGACCCAGTGTATTAGTCCATTTTCATGCTGCTGATAAACACATACTGAAGACTAGAAAGAGAAAGGGGTTTAATTGGACTTACAGTTCCCCATGGCTGGGGAGGCCTGAGAATCATGGCTGGAGGCAAAAAGCACTTCTTACACGGTGGCAGCAGGAGAAAATGGGAAGGATGCAAACGCAGAAACCCCTGATAAAACCATCAGATCTCATGAGACTTATTCACTACCACGAGAACAGTATGGGGGAAACTGCCCCCATGATTCAAAGTATCTCCCACCAGGTCCCTCCCACAACACATAGGAATTATGGGAGTACAATTCATGATGAGATTTGGGTGGGGACACAGAGACAAACCATATCACCCAGCAATCCCTCTTCTGGTATCGGAGATGAAATCACCACCTTGTAAAGATACCTGCACTTCTATGTTTGTTGCAACATTATGCACAATAGAGAAGATATGGAAACAACATAAGTATCCATCAATGGATAAAATATATAAATAACACACACATGAAATATTATTAAGCCTTTTAAAAAAAAAAGGAGATCCTGCTATTTGCTACAACATGGATGGACCTGGAGGACATTATGCTGAGTGAAATAAGCCAGGCACAGAAAGAAAAATATCACATGATCTCACATGTGGAATTTTTTTTAAAAAGAAGGGTCAAATATATAGATAGAAAATAAAACTGTGGTTACAGGGAATGGGGGAGGCAGGTGGAGGAAATGAAAAGATGCAGGCCAAAGGATACAAAGTAGCAAATAAGCTTATTTTCTCACAGTAGTAGATATGTAGCATAAACAAGTCTAGGAATCTAAAGCACAACATAAGGACTATAGTTAATAAATCATATTATATTTGGGATTTTTGTTTACTAAGTAGATATTAGCTGTTCTTGTCATAAAAATAGTAACTATATGAGATTTGCTTCAGTATGGTATCCATTTTACTATCTATATTTACCCCATAACATCATGTTGTAAACCTTGAGTGTACACTATAAAATTTATTAACAATAAAATTAAATTAAAGTGAATTAGGCTGGGCACAGTGCTAAGGATTATGCCTGTAATCCTAGCACTTTAGGAGGCCAAGGCAAGAGGGTTGTTTGAGGTCAGGAGTTCGAGACCAGCCTGGCTAACACGGTGAAACCCCGTCTCTACTAAAAATACAAAAATTAGCTGGGCATGGTGGCGCGTGCCTGTAGTCCCAGCTACACAGGAGGCTGAGGCAGGAGAATGGCGTGAACCCGGGAGGCGGAGCTTGCAGTGAGTCGAGATCGCGCCACTGCACTCCAGCCTGGGCGACAGAGCGAAACTCTATCTCAAAAAAAAAAAAAAAAAAAAAAAAATTATAGGACAAGTAACAGAATGAAAATATTTGCAACATGTGTAATACAAAAGGAATGTGAGAAAAAGACCAAAAGCCCAATAGGAACACAGGTAAATGATATGAACAGGCAATGTACAGAAAAATAAAAAGATGAAAAGATGTTCTGCAACTTCACCAATGTAAAGAAAAATACAAATTAAAACACTAATCAAGTGGCAAAATTTGCTTATCAGACAAGGCCCTCTTGGAATATCAATGGTAATTTAAAGTGGCTGAGAAATCTGTAAGCTAACTTCAATTTATTTAACTCAATATGTCTCAAATTTATTTATCAAATTCTCCCTCGCCACAACTGTTTAGGAAATACAGCTGTAGTGTAAAAAAGACGGCCATGCAGAGGTCCATAGTAGTTCTATCTTAATGAAATAGAATTCTTTCTCTGTATTTACCAATACACTTGTAAATGATTGAGGCTTTAATATTTTTACTCTGGTCAGCTACTTAGTAAGTCTTTTCCTTCACAAATAACTCAGAGATAAACCCTAACTCTTCAAAAAATTATTATAAATTCCAACTACGTGTGATTCAAATAAAAAAGTATTTCTATATATCTACTAACGAAAGTCTTGTTGGTTAAGACCAGTGGTTACCTTCCCTTCTTGGGTCTCAGCTGAGGAGGAGGTTATTACTACTCACCATGTACCAGTAGGACAAATCAAAATTTGGCGGGGAAAGGGTAGCAGGGTGCCTCAGAGGACTTGTAATTTAAAAGAGCCTCTAGGAAGTTGTACTTACCTTTATGGGAACATACCTCCATCGCTAGCGAAGAACCACTGGTTAAAAGGATCTACTTTCAGCCAAAACAAATTTTTGTCTTCTATTTTCTACTTACTAACCCAAAGTCTCTCACTAGCTTACTATGTCATTTACATGGCAGTCTGAAGTTTTAAACTTGCGATTTCTGTATTCCTCATACATGTACTCCAAAGTAGTAAAAAGCAGTCTTATCCGAAATATAGCCTATCAGCAAACATGTCTTCACAAAAATCTAATTCTTAGCTATCAAAAATTATGTTTTCTAGTTTCCAGAACTATTTTCAAAGTTTCCATTCAAACATTCTCCAAATATCATTTTTGCAAAGTAAGTTGACAATGTGGATATTTTAAACTCCATCTGCCTTTCCTCAGAATTAAAGCTGCAAACACCCTTCTAACTTTGATTGTAAAACTGATTGACAATTTGTACCTTCAGTAGCAATAAAATATATCATTTATTTGAAGATTTCATCATAGAATTACAAAAGAGCATTCTGATATATTAATACTGTACTTATTTAATATTTGTTAGGTAGAATTGGATGTATTTATGAATGAAAATTTCAATGTGCTTAATTTTATTTTCCATACCTTAGAATCCTGTTCACTAATCTTTTGAAAAATGACTATTTCATGTACTGGAAGTCAGTGAACTGTACACTTTTAAGTGGTTAAAATGGCAGGCTTTACGTCGCGTGAATTTTATCTCCATTTTTATTTTAAAATTTACCTCATTATCAGTCAAATCTTTTAAAATTAGCTAAAGATGCTGAGGACAAATCATCCCTCCCTAATAATGGGCTTTTGAACAACAGACGATTCCTTTGAAGTACCAAGCTCAGCCCCATAAGCCTCATTCTCCGTAATTCTGTAAATTACAGGCTATTTATTTTGCATCATACTCTTCCCACAAACTTCGTATTTTGGATACACGGTACTATAAAACAAGCATTCTTCACCGCTGATGGCAAAACCACTGTCCTAATCTGCCGTTCAGTTTAAAATCTGATAATAATGGTTACTTTACCTCAAGAGAAATCCTACAGGCAAACATGTCATGAGTGGCCCAGTTTGACTGAGAACAGATCCAGGCCACTGGTCATAAAGGGTAAACACTTAAGACATTTAACCCAGCCCAACAGTACTAAATGGAAGGGGATGGTCATCTGGATTATGAATCACCTAATTGACATGTCAGAAAATAAGCATTTTATTGACAGAAGGTGATTATAGGGGAGAGTCATTTTTCATGTAAATAGCCAGATACCTTCCCTCCCTCTCTTTGTATTCATAGTTCTGGGGGAAGGGGGAGCAATCCTCTGCTACACTTTAGTATCACATGATACACTCGTTTATTTCTTGCTTTGGTTTTTGTTTCAACAGCTCTCCAGAAATCCGTAATTGTTCACAGTTTCTAAACAAATCTCAATTGTTTATAAGAGATCTTTAGCTTTCTCTGTACATCCTATCAGTAGTTTAATGAAGAATTTTACAAGGAAGATTGGTATTAGCTCCTTGTCCAACTCTTTCTCAGTTGGACACTTCTCAGTGGTTAGTATGCCAGTGGCATGGTAAACATGCACACACACCACACACACACCGCCGCCACCACCCACACACCACATATATTTCTCTCCGAGACTGGGACTGAACTAAGTACAAATGGCTTAATCTGTAAGATACTTGAGGTTAGGAGCCTGCTGTTACCTGTGTTTATACCTCCTCCTAACTCTGCTCTACCTCACTTGTGTTTAAAACAGTTGCTTTTATGTAGTAGGTACTCAGTAAATATTTGTTAATTTTGATTTGTTAATTAAATGTTTGTAACTTTAATTTTAATTTGTCAAGATGTATAGATGCCAGAAAATGTTATCAGGTATCTTCATGGTAGGATTAATACATTTGAATTGAAAAAATAATAATAATTTTTAAATTAAGACAAAGCATTGCACCGATTTCTCAGTTTTAAAATCGCATTTTATTTTAATTCTAGTATATGCAACAGGCATTCAATAAGTGTTTTGGAAGTCACCTCAATTGAATTATCTTGTGGTCAGGTTTTCCAACTAACTCTCTGAATTCTATAAAGTATCTCATTCTCTACTGCACGTTTACATATTTCCCACCTTTAAAATCCTTCTGTGGGACGATAACACCTTTAATCTAATTTATTTCTTTAGTAATGAGATTTTGGCTGAACAGGAGCTTTAATATATTCCATTTTACCTTGTAGAAATAATAGCCCTTGGCATTCTTGAGTCAATAAGTCAGAATCAAAGCCTAAACTGCAGACCTCACACACAGCTGATAATATAAAAGGAAGAGGCCCACTGTGTAAACATAAAAAAAAAAATAAGGAAATATATATATAGAAATAAGAGATAAGTGTTGTACTTCTAGGGAAAACTACCTACAGTTTTAAATTATTAAGATGTCGATTGCTATTGCATTTTCACAACAATTACATTTTCTTCCTATTTCTTTTATAATTTATAAAAATTGTAGGATTATTGATTTGTCTGTCCTCACCCCCTCAAACCCACCCACCAAGCTAGGGTGCCCAGTGGTTTCTACTCTTTTGTTTGCTGTGGAGGGGGCTATAATATATACACATACCAAAAACTCTAGGTCTGTTCAGAATTGGCAACTAATAGTCCCCAACAATGTTTGACAGTCTCCAATCCTGCCTTTCTTTTGTTAAAAAAACGAGATTCAAGAATAACTCTCTTAAAGCAGGTCTTCTTTAAAAAATAAATCAATCCTGGCCAGGCGCCGTGGCTCATGCTTGTAATCCCAACACTTTGGGAGGCCAAGGCAGGTGGATCACCTGAGCTCAGGGGTTGGAGACTAGCTTGGGCAACATGGCCAAATTCCGTATCTACAAAAAATACAAAAATTAGCCGGGTGTGGTGGCGTGAGCCTATAATCCCAGCTACTCAGGAGGCTGAGGTGAGAGAATCGCTTGAACCCCGGAGGCAGAGGTTGCAATGAACCAAGATTGCTCCACTGCACTCCAGCCTGGGCAACAGAACACAAGACCCCGAAAAGAAAAACAAAAAAACAAGAAAGAAAGAGAGAGAGAGAAAGAGAGGAAAGAGGGAGAGAGGAAGAGAGAAAGAGAGGGAGAGAGGGAGAGAGGGAGAGAGGGAGAGAGGAAGAGAGGAAGGAAGGAAGGAAGGAAGGAAGGAAGGAAGGAAGGAAGGAAGGAAGGAAGGAAGGAAGGGAGGGAGGGAGGGAGAAATCAATCCTCATTCTATCAAGGGAAAATGCAATGAGCAATATGTAGTTGAGACATTAGAACCCACTAAGAAGTCAAAGCATAACACAATTTGAGAACCTTGAACAGTTAATACCAAACACTTTTTTTTTTTTTTTTGAGATGCAGTCTAGCTCTGTGACCCAGGCTGGAGTGCAGTGGCGCAATCTCAGCTCACTGCAAGCTCCGCCTCCCGGGTTCATGCTGTTCTCCTGCCTCAGCCTCCCGAGCAGCTGGGACTACAGGTGCCCACCACAGCGCCTGGCTAATTTTTTTTGTATTTTTTAGTAGAGACGGGGTTTCACCGTGTTAGCCAGGATGGTCTCGATCTCCTGACCTTGTGATCCGCCCGCCTTGGCCTCCCAAAGTGCTGGGATTACAGTCATGAGCCACCGCGCCCGGCCCAAACACTTTTTATATTTCATGATTGGTTAGGTTAAAAGGATTGCAAATATCTTACTGTCACAGGTGTTTGTTATAAACTTCAGGAATGACTTCTTGACTCTGGGAGTACCTAGAAGAAGATTCAAACCTACCTGCTCACAGTGGGAGCTAAGGCCCATTTTTCTAAATAACCAAGTTATTTTATAAAAGAAATTTTATAAAGACAGGGACATGTCAGGGATCTCAAGTAAGGCTTTAGTCATCTCTGGGAAGGGATAACGTCTCAAATTTCTTTCTATCCCCAGTGCACAGTTTAGTTTATAAGACTAGTATAATATCAATCAATATTTGGTATTAACGACTTGGAGAGTGGGAGAAGTCAAGGAGGTTTCTCAGATTTGGCAATAGGAAAAGCATATTACTTAAGATGGGAATAAGGAAATGTTGCTTATCCCAGTCACAATGAAAACCCAGAACCTCCAGAGGTAGCATTGAAAGGAAAATCTTCTGGAAGTAGGAAACATCTGGGCCACATGATGCCAATTCTGTTCTCTTGAGATTCATCTTCCCTTTCTGGGCAGAGTTTCTCAATATTAGCATTATGGACATTGTAAGCTGTATCGTCCTCTATTGTGGGGATATTCTGTGCATTGCAGGACTCAGTTTAGCATTATCCCTTGTCTATCCACTAGATGACCATAGCATCCTCTCCACCAGTTAAGACAACCAAAAATGTCTCCAGACGTTGCCAAATGTCCCCTGGGAGGCAAAATTGCCCCCAGATGGAACTACTATTTTAGAGTCTCTCCTTGATTATCTCTGGCCTCAGGACATTCACTCCTTTAAAACTGGCCCAAGTGACAAATAGAAGAGCTAGGGAAATGCCATGTCAAAGAATGTACGGGCCACGGTAAATGACTCTTGGCTTCTTTAGAATGTGTGCGGAGCAGGATAGAAGGGATAACACCCCTGCATTTTTTAAGGGGGTTAAAAACTGGCATGTGAAAGATATAAACCTTGACTCTCAGTGGCAAAAGTAATCGGTAATATATAATCATTAAACAGAATGATAGAAATGTAAAAAAAAACAAAAACAAAAACAAAAAAAAAAAAACAAAACTGCTTGCTCAAGTGTGCCCAAGATTCATTGCTTCTGGGATACAACAAAGGGGAAATAAATTCAGAAAGGATTATGAATCTAACTAATCTTATTTACAAGCTACGGCTGACTGAAGCACAGAGAAATAAATGATATTTTGAGACTTCTTCCTACCTCCTGCTTTGCCTCCTCTAGATAGATGCCAACTTTAAGTCTTTCTTAAAGGAAAATCTTCCCGGACACATGAAACCCTTAAAGACTAGATCACGAGTTCTTTCTGCGCCGACATTGCCAGATCTCCTGTCTCACTTCCTATCTGGGATATTTCTCTTCCCCAGGTAACTGAAACAGGAATTATCTCATTTGGATAACCATATATTAATAAAATAAAATAACCATGACATTTATTCAATAAGAGGAAAGCAACTATAGTTTCAAGGGAGTTCTTTCCTTATGCAAGGTCACATGTTACATTCTAATCTAATTATCGTTAAAGTTACACATGCTCTCACATTTTTCTCACAACATCTACTGCTTCCTACTGATCTCTGAGAGTTCCAGTGAAGGACGTGGTGAACAAGAGAATGAGAAGAATCTGTTTTTGGATGCTCAGTTGGCTGGTGTCTACACAACACATCTGCAAGTTGTGATGGACGTGTTAGATGATCAGAGACCAACATTTCTGCTGTAAAGCCTTTCATTTGCTTTTCATCACAGTGACACACAATTTCCTGCATTCTCTGCCCCCTGGGGTGTTTTCTGCAAAGAGAAAACATTACTTTTGACTTT
The DNA here is from genome assembly GCF_000001405.40 of Homo sapiens. Taxonomy (NCBI): domain Eukaryota; kingdom Metazoa; phylum Chordata; class Mammalia; order Primates; family Hominidae; genus Homo; species Homo sapiens. Next base: position 96,060,053 of record NC_000008.11, read on the forward strand.
TAGCATATCTGCCCTAAATTAGCCTCATGAGTTCTCTGTGTTCTCCAAGACTGAAGGAGAAAAATTAACAGAGCAAAACTGAAAACTAAGTAGAACCAACAAATTCTATATTTTTTGGAGAAAGTCTCAGTAGAAGAACAGTTGTACTGGGCTGAGAGCAATCCTCCAAGCAGAAACCAATGAGTAAGACCAATTCTAACAGGTGTTTGAAAACAAATTCACAGAGAGTTTAGGAACCATCCTGAAGTCTCCAAAAATACTTGGAAGTACACTTGGGCTCAAAAAGATGCATATTCCAAGTGATAAAGAAACCAGAACAAAAAGTTTGTTTATTTTTGAGGAAGCACTTGGGACAGCATCAGCTTAACCATTACCCACGGCTTTGAGTCCTACAGCAGCCACTTATTTGCTGTTTGGTGTTAAACAAGTCATTTAGCCTCTTCTCTTCTCAGTTCCCTCATCTGTAAAGTGAGAGTCTAGATAATTTTTTTGAGTTCTTGGAGCGTATGTGCTTTTTTTTTTAGATTGGAAGTTCTCATAATTATTTTTAATAGAAATGTGTGGAATAAGGATTTTGTCATGCAAACTTTTTTCCAAAATATTCTCTGACCTTAATTCTCTTACCTTCCATTAAATATGATATTCATTGATTTGACACTGTCTACTCTGCCCAAACTGTCTTTCTGAACACTTACTTCTGTTTCACTCACTTGTACTTCCACCATCTTTGCTTGTATGAAGCCTACTCACTTGTTAAGTCTTGCCTCAAGCATTGACCTCTCCTGGCACATATTCCATTTGCTAAACAGCTTTCTGCAACACCCTCTGCATGTATCTATCTGTACTTAACATGATATATTAAAAATGATCTGTTTCAGGAAGTTCTGTAAGTGGAATCATATCTCTTTTATCTTTGTATCTGCAGTGCCTGGCCTAATGACTACTAAATAATAAGCCATTGAAAAAATACATATTTAGTTTCTCTTGTTTAATGTATCTGTGAATACAGTGCCTAGCCTCACAGAAACAGTACTCTAACCAGTGTGTTACTATAAAATGAGGTGATTCTACCCTGTTTTATATTGTATTCTAAAGCAGGACAGAGGACTAAAGGAAAATTCAAAAAGTGAGTGATTATTCAACTTTTAGAAGAAAACTTTAAATAAACATAAATTGCATGGCCAAAGTAAAAGATAAAGTCCTATAAGGGTTTATAAGACCTACACAGTCTGGCTCAACCCCTACCCACTACCTCTATGACCTCAGCCACTTCATTCTCACCCCTCCTCTCCTAGTCCAGTCCAGCCAAAGCCAGTCACATCCAGCCTTGGGGCATTTACATTTAGTATTTTCTGGCCTAAATCTCCACTCTCTGGTTAACCACATGTCTTGATCTTCATCTCCTTTTAGGTCTTTGGTCAGAAGTCACCTTCCTAGTGAAGTCTTCCCTGACCACCCTGTTTAAAATTGCAATAGCCAATCCACTTCACTCCTTAGTCCCCTTCTCTATTTTTCTCTAGATTTTATCAACATTCAACATACTATGTATTTTACTTATTTGTCTTGCTTTATTGTTTGTCTGTCTCCAGTAGAATCAAAGCTCTAAACGTATTAACTATTGTGTATAACCCTATTTACCCTGTGCCTAGCACAATGCCTGGAACACAATAAGTGCTCAGTAAATAATTAATAGCTAAGCAAATACACAGTCAATGTGCATGACCTTGATCAAATTACCTACATATTTCCTAGTGGCTTATGTATCTAACCAAAAACTGAATTCAGTACATGAGTATCAAACTGCCTACCTGACATCTCTACCTGAATGGCTACTATGCAACTCAAGCTTAGCAAGTCTAAAACCGATTGCTTGATCTTTGTCTTAGTCCATTTGGGCCTCCATAACAAAATACCATAGACTGAGTAGCTTATAGACAACAGAAATGTATTTCTTATGGTTTTGGAGGCTGGGAAATCTAAGATCAAGGTACCAGCAGATATCACAAGGCTATCGTAACCATAACAGCATGGTATTGGTATAAAAATCAATACATAGACCAATTTAACAGAAGGGAGAACTCAGAAATAAAGCCATATACTTACAGCCAACTGATCTTTGACAAAACTGACAAAAACTTACATGGGGAAAAGGATGCCCTCTTCAATAAATGGTGCTGGGAAAGTTGGATTAGCCACATGCAAAAGAATGACATGGAACCCCTATGCCCCTATATCTCACTATACATAAAAAATCAACTCAAGATGGATTAAAAACTTAAACATAAGACCTGAAACTCTAAAAATACTTGAAGAAAACATAGGGAAAACTCTCCTGGACTTTGATGTAGGCAAAGAATTTATAACAAAGACCTCAAAAGCACAGGCAACAGAAACAAAAATAGACAAATGGGACTTAATTAAACTAAAATGCTTCTGCAATGCAAAAGAACTAATCAAGAGTGAAGAGACCACCTGTTGAACGGGAGTAAATATTTGACTACTTGCAAACTATTCATCCTACAGGAGACTAATAGCCAGAATATACAAGGAATTCTAATAATTCAACAGTAAAAGAACAAAAAATAAATAATTTCGTTTAAAAGTGGGCAAAGGATAAGAATAGACATTTCTCAAAAGAAGACATACAAATGGCCAACAGGGTTAAGATTTCAACATATGAATTTGGGTGGAATACAAGTGTTTAGACCATAGCAATCTCTTCCCACAAACGTATTCCTCCTCTAGTCTTCCCCAGCTGAGTATGTAGATAGAGCTGACACCATCCAGCCAGTTATTCAAGCCAAAACCAGCCAGTCATTTGGAGCATAGATAATGCTGTGTGTTCACAAACCTATTTCACTTTTTTTTTACCTGAACATACAGCCAGATTACATTTCCCAGCACCCCCTAAAGTAACATAGTTATGTCATTGAGCTCTGGCCAGTGGGATTGTAGGTGAAAGTAATGAACTCCACATCTGGCCTGGCTCCTAAAATGTCCTTTATGATCCTCTATGCTTTCTCTTTATACTCTTTAGAGGCCACCTGTTGAAAATGGAGGCGCCACAAGTTGTGGAGCAGATCTCCCTCACTCTCCTGTAGACCCATATTGGACTGTGACATGAGCAAGAAAATAGTGGGTTAAGTCATTGAGATTTGGAAAGGGATGCTTGTTACAGCAGCTCCTACCCTGCCTAATACATGCTTTTGTTACTTTCATTTTCCTCCCAAGTGCAACCCCTCATCTAAATTCTGAGAATTCTCTCAACACAATATTTCTTCAATTCTTCCTCTCTTCTTCATCTTCATTGCCAACACTCTAGTCAAGGGTCAACCAAGTCTTACTTGGACATCTGCAATAGCCTTTTTATTTTCATTCTTGTAACCCTCACGTTTATTCTCTAAACATCCAGAATGATATTCAATAGTTTCTTGTACACTTATAATTAAATCCTCTACTCTCACATGACCTGTATCTCACCCCTTGCCTACCTCATTCCCCTCTTCATTCACTACACTTCAGCCTTTTTGACCTTTTCTTTACCACCTCAGAGTCCTTACGCATCCTATTGTTCCCTCCCCTGAAGAGTGCTTACAGTGACTTATGGTATGGCCAATCTCCTTTCATCTTTCAGTCTTATCTTAAGCCTCACTTCATCAAGAAGACCAGTTTTGAGTGCTCAGTCTAAAGCAGGTCCCCAGATTATTCTTAGTCTTGACACTCTGCTTTTTCCTTCATATCACTTCACAGTTAGTAATTACATATTTATATTTACCTGCTTAAAGTCCACCGATTATACAGTAAATTCTGAGACTGTCAGGATCTTATCCATTGTGGTCACCTCTGAATATCCAGCACATGCACAATGCCTGGCACATGGTGGGTGCTCAATAAATATTTGCTGAATAGATGAATGGATTGATGTAAATTGATCACTGACTCTGTCTGGAATTCATCATTTCCTTTTTTTCCCAATACTACATGTTCTTTCAAATGTCACCTCATTCATCATTATGGGAGCATCTTTTTTTTTTAATTTGCAGGCTCATGTCCAATTTTACCTTATTTATGTTTACAACAGAAAAACATTTCTAATAAGAGAAAATGATCAACACAATCCCAATAGCACACTACCAGAACTATTTTCATTATTGCTGTTTGTGTTACAGGGAGGACTATGTAGAAGGAAATAGATGTTGAGTATCAGCCATACGAGGGTAAATGAGTCTGTGATTCAAGCAGTCAAAGAGAGTTGGATAACATGCTTCAGTAAAAGACTTCCCTAAGAACCTTTCCAGAAGTTTCCAGAATGTCATAATCTAGGGACAAAGCTGAATTTGGAAAATGGAATTTAGTCAGGAGCAGTTCTTAGTAATACTTAGATTCTACCAAGGGCCTTTCCTGTCATATTTCGGTTTTGTAATTTTTTTTTCTTTTGACCACTTGGGGTCCTTGACCTAAGTCAGTTCTTCCTATTACCTCTCAGTCTTTATCTACACTGTTATATATTTTATATAGTTTAAATAACAAGGTCATGAAATTTATATTTAATTTATATTTTTTATGTTGCTACATAGACTTTCTACCATTGTAAAAGTTGAAAAATGAAGCACCAAGTTGGTATATTATTCCTTTGTGTGCAAGGCAGCCTAGCATAGAGGCTAAAGACCCTGCTTCACAGCCACACTGCCTGGGTTCAAATGCCATCTCTGCCACTTACTAGGACCTTGAAAAATAACATGACCTCTTCGTAAAATAGTTTTCTTCATCAGCAAAATGGGACTAACAATAATACCTGCTTCATAGAGTTACAATGAGGATTCAGTAAGATATCAGATATAAAATATTTAGATCAGTACTATGAAAATATAGCAATTTTTATCGTTGGATATTTATGCTCCTGATTTTTTTAGAAATACCAATAAAACTACAATAAGCAACTTAATGCATAAAGCTATTTTCTTCATTGTTAATCATTTATCTAAAAAGTTCTTTTCCTTTTCATCGTTTATCCAAAAGACTAAACCATATCCCTCTCTTAGTAACTGTATTTCCTTTAAACAACTGACAATTGGAAGTTAGACTATGAACAAGCTTCCATTGGGCCCATGTTAAGTAGCAGGAAAGCATCCATTTATGCTGGGGCTTAAATTCTGAGGTTAGACTCAGAGTAAACAAGCAGGTGAAGAGGTTGGGATGATGAAAGACAATAGACCATTACCCAAGCCTAATGGTGTTGTAAAGGAGATAAATGTCTTTGAAGTAGCACCCTTAAAACCTGTGACCTTTAGATTGACCTTTCCTTTCAGATTATGGTATGCAGGTTGTTGTGGAGTCTGTGCAAAGTCAGCAATTAGAAAGATGGACCTTGAGAGAAACAGGTCTTTGAGGAAGGTGCCTACTCAGAAGTATGACTCTATTTCTTCCACTAGTTACCTATTGGCTTCCAAATTCCCCAATTGCTTTCAAAATGTTGGAGGTCTATGGCTCACTCTCTCACAGGTGCGCTTTCTCCAAGACAGAAAATGCATTGAGTCTCACCCCATTGTTACAGTCCATGCTGTGAGCACAGAAAAAAATCAACACTGGAATTTGGACAAATTGCCCTTTACTTGTGGCGAGTAAAGTAAATGGAACAGATGGTTAATAACACTAAACACTAGTCACCTGCAAAGAAAATGGTATCTAGAAGAATTATTCATTTTGCTAAGGTCATTGAAGAAAATACAGGATTGATGAGTTTGCTAGAAGACACCAGAAACCATACACCTTTGATCAGAATGAATGATTTAGTAGGTAATAAAGCACTATGGAGATTATTTGAAACAACTCATATTTATACAGCATGTTAAAGTCTTCAAAAAACTTTCCCTCATGACAATAGTTCATCTTCATGCAGAGTTATGAGATGTGAAAGAGGATGATTATTATTCTCCCCGTACCCAGAACCCTTAATATTTATAAGTTAAACCCGTGCCATACTGGGCCATACTGGAGCCTAAGACAAAAGAAAAAATTCGGCGATACTGATCCTATTTTTATTTAAAATTTTGATATTGTATTCATTATGAATGTTTTGCATTTATTTTGCAGATTTTAATTTTAAAATATTGCATTAACATATTATTTACTTTGATTACTGAGTTTTTTGATGCTCCCCACCCTCTCCATTAATTGTCTATTAGAATGTCCCTTTTAAATATTATTTTTAAATGTCATTACCCTTACAACCCAACATTATGAGTTAGTAAACTTTGTTAAATGCTATAGAAGTGTGTCAAAATTTTATACCTAGGACATATTCTGCTTTACCTACTACAGCTCAGATGACAGTGAACCATCCCCAAGGAATTGACTATTTTTTCTTATTCTGTTCTTAGTTGAAGTAGAGAGTAATAGGCGACATGACTGATTTCTGTTTAGTTGGTTTCATTTCTTGTTTAAAAATATTTCACCAAAAAATACTTACACAGAGTTTTATCTTAATCAAAACTAAGCAGAGTTTATAACGAAGAATGTCTTCCCTGTCACTTTTTCCTAACGTAATTTCCAAGAGCAATATTTTTTAACTTTTAAAAACCATTTCTTATATTTCTGCCATTATTTTAAATAAGAATTTACCTCTTGATTTATCAAATAGATGCATTATTTACTGCTGTTATGATAGATATCAAATTCTCTAACCCCAATATACCTTTTCCTTTCCTTCACCTTCCCAATACAGTTATCAGAGTTTTTAGTAAAATCAGTAACTGTTGTTTCCATCATCATAACAACATAAAATATTGTTCTCTGCATAGCAAATGCTACAATATAATTATGCTTCTTGTACTTTTTGATTTTTACTGGTATTACTTAATTACCTCCCTTTTATCATAATCATCTATATCTTTTATGAGATAAAAGATACCATATCTATAAACAATATCCTTAGATGTTTCAAACCTCTCCATCATATGCCTATGTTTAAACATACCAGATGATGTATCAATTTTATGTTGTTCCTGGATACCTTCCTCATGAAATTCTCCCTCCAGTTTCCGAATTCTAAACCGGCTGCTCTCTTAAGGATGGCTGTTATTCTGAACTTCGATTTTACAAGATCTTGTCTAGAATTTCCTATATTCTGAAGCTCAAGTTTTTCCCTTCCTTATTTTACTCTCTAATTGTGCTGGAACACATAGTTTTTGCTTCCTCAGTAAAGGTGAGTGAAAGCCAAGTTTTTTAGCATATTATTTAATTCCCATATATTTGAGAATTTTCCAGATTTCCTTATGTCATTGATTTCTAATTAGTTCCATTTCTAAACATATACTTTGTATGACTCGAATTCTTTCAAATTTATTGAAACATATTTTATGGCCTAGAACATGGTCCATCTTGCTAAACTGTGTGTTGATTTGTTTGGTGTGTACTTGGTCCTTGATAAACTTCTTCCCTGTGTACTTGAAAAGAATGTGTATTCTGCTGTTGTTGGGAGGAGCAGTCTATAAGTGTCAACTAGGTCAAATTGGTTGATAGCATTGTTCAAGTTTTCTATATGCTTCCTGACTTTCTGTCTTGTTGTTTCATAAACTGAGAAAAGGGCATTAAAATCTGTGACTAAAATTGTGGATTTGTCTATTTCTCCTTGCAGTTCTATTGGTTTTTGCTTCAAATATTTTGAAGCTATATTATTAGGTGCAGAAATACTTAGGATTGCTGTGTCTTCTTGATTTACTGACTCCTTTATCATTAAGAAATGACCTTCTTTATCCCTGGTCATATTTTTTGCTCTGAAGTTCACTTTGTCTGATACTAACATAGCCAGTGCAGATTTCTATTAATTCATACTAGGATAGTGTATGTGCTTCCATCCTTTTAGTTTTAATCTATTTGTGTCTTTATTTTTACATGGGGTTTCTTGTGGGCCACATATAATTGGGGTCTTGCTTTTATATCCAATCTGATTATATCTGCATTATAATTAGGGTGTTTAGAACATTTCCATTTAGTATGTTTATTGACATCACCGTCATGATATTTGTTTTCTATTTGTCCTAACTGTTCTTTGTTTACTTTTTCATCCTCTTTTTTGTGCCCTTTTGTTTTGTATTGAGTATTTTTTATTATTCCATTATATGTCCTTTGTAAACTAATTAGCTGCAATTCTTTATTTTATTATTTTAGTGGTTACTTTGTGGTTTACAGTATAATCTTTAAGTTATAACAATCTCCCTTCTAGTAATATTTTGCCACTTCTTGTATGGTCTAAGAACCTTACAATAGTTTACTTCTATTTCTCTCTTTCTAGCCTTTGTGCTAATGTTGTAGTTTATTTTACTTCTACATATATTATGTACCCTACGTGACATTGTTATTATTTTTGTTTAAGCAGTAAATTATCTTATAAAGAGATGTAAGCAACTTTTTTAAGTCATGTACTAACCAATGTGGTTACTTTTTTATTTTGTTTTATTTTATTTTTGGCTGAGTACGGGGACTTTATGATGGTACAGTACATGGCAAGGTGGGGCTCCCTAGGCCCCTCTCATTCTTCAGGGTTTCTGGCATGAAAACTGTGTCAAGGGGAGATTCTCAGTGTGGAGGTGAATGACTGTGGCAGGGACTTCCCTGCCACTGAAGGCCCCTCTCCTCCACACATGCTGTCACTGGGGCTGGTGGTCCAGGGAGTTCTTACTCCTTGAAGGCCATGTGGACTATAAGGTCTAACACCCTGTTGATGTAGCCAAATTCATTGTCATACCAGGAAATGAGGTTGACAAAGTAAGTGGTAATTGAGGGCATTTCACCAGCATTGAAGAGAGGAAGAGCAGGTGTCACTGTTAAAGACAGAGGAGACAACCTAGTACTCAGTGTGGCCCAGGATGCCCTTCAGGGGAGCTCTCCAAGGCCTACTTTACTTTACCACCTTATTGATATCATCATATCTGGTAAGTTTCTCCATATGGCAGATCAAGTCCACGACTGATACATTGGCAGTGAGGATATGGAAGACCATGCCAGTGAGCTTCCCATTCAGCTCAGGCATGGCCTTGCCCACACCCTCGGCAGCACCAGTAGATGCAGGAATGATGTTCTGGAGAGCCCTGCCCTCACACCACAGTTTCCCAGAGGGGACATCCACAGTCTTCTGAGTAGCAATGATGGCATGGACTGTGGTCATAAGTCCTCCTCTACAATGCCAAAGTTGTCATGGATGACCTTGGCCAGGGAGGCTAAGCAGTTGTTGGTTCAGGAGGCATTGCTAGGGATCACGAGGTTTTTTTTTTCCACTTCTCATGGTTAATGCCCACCAAAAACATGGGGGCATTAGCAGAGAGGTAAGAGATGATGATCCTTTTGGCTACCCACTCTAAGTGAGCCCCAGCCATCTCCAAGACACTGAAGATACTGGAGGATTCCACAGCATAATCAATGCCAGCATCAACCCATTTGATTTTGGTGGGATCTTGCTCCTGGAAGATGGTGATAGTATTGCCATTGGTGACACACTTTCTGTTCACAGCCTTGACAGTGCCATGGAACTTGCCATGGGTGGAATTATACTGGAACATGTAGACTATGTAGTTGAGATCAATGAAGGAGTCATTGATGGCGACAATATTTACTTTGCCAGAGTTAAAAGCTGGTGCTGCATGAGAAGCTGCAGCTGTATGTCAAACAGGAGGAGCAGAGACTAGTTGCCATTTCTGATGCTCATCATTCCTTTGCATAGGTCCATATTTCTATCTGGTATCATTTCCCTTCTGCCTGAAAGGCTTCCTTTAACATTTCTTATAGTCGGTGGGTGATAGAATCTTTTAAATTTGTATTTCTGAAAATTTATTTAATTCAACTTCAGTTTCTGTTTTGAAAGATATTTTCTCTGGTTATTGGAGTCTAGTTTGAAATTCTCTCTTTCAATACTATTAAAAATGTTGCTCGACTATCTTCTTGCTTACATTGTCATTGTTTCTAATCAGAAATCTAATCCTAATCTTTCTTCCTCTGTCTGAAAGGTATCTTTTTTCCTCTGGCTGCTTTTAACATATTTACTTTTTGCTGGTTTTGAACAATTTGATTATGACATACCTGGGTGTAGGTTTTTTCTTTTTTCTTTTTCTTTGCTTGGATTTGGGTTTGTTGAGCTTCTTGGATCTGTGGGATTATAGTTTTCATCAAATTTGGAAAATTTAGGGCCATTGTTCTTCAAATGTCTTTCCCTCCATCCTCTTTTGGTGCCCCAATTACCCATAATATTAGGCCCCTTGAAATTGTCCCACCACTCACTGCTGTTCTGTTCATTTCTTTTGAGTCTTATTTCTGTTTCATTTTTATCATTTCTATTGCTACATTATCAAATTCATTAATATTTTCTTCTGGAGGGTGGTTCCAAGATGGCTGAATAGGAACAGGTCCAATCTACAGCTCCCAGCCTGAGCAACACAGAAGATGGGTGATTTCTGCATTCCCAACTGAGGTACCGGGTTCATCTCACTGGGACTTGTCAGACAGTGGGTGCAGGACAGTGGGTGCAGCCCACCGAGTGTGAACCGAAGCAAGGCATGGCATCGCCTTCCCTGGGAAGCTCAAGGGGTCAGGGAATTCCCTTTCCTAGCCAAGGGAAGCTATGACAGACAGCAGCTGGAAAATTGGCTCACTCCCACCCTAATACTGTGCTTTTCCAATGGTCTTAGCAAACTGCACACCAGGAGATTATATCCTGTGCCTGGCTTGGAGGGTCCCATGCCCACGGAGCCTCGCTCATTGCTAGCACAGCAGTCTGAGATCAAACTGCAAGGCTGCAGTGAGGCTGGGGGGAGGGGCACCCACCATTGCTGAGGCTTCAGTAGGTAAACAAAGCAGCCAGGAAGCTAGAACTGGGTGGAGCCCACCGCAGCTCAAGGAGGCCTATCTGCCTCTGCAGACTCCACCTCTGGGGGCAGAGCAGAGCTAAACAAAAGGCAGCAGAAACCTCTGCAGACTTAAATGTCCCTGTCTGACAGCTTTGAAGAGAGTAGTGGTTCCCCCAGCACAGAGTTTGAGATCTGAGAACGGACAGACTGCCTCCTCAAGTGGGTCCCTGAACCCAGAGTAGCCTAACTGGGAGGCATCCCCCAGTAGGGGCAGACTGACACCTCACACGGCCGAGCACACCTCTGAGACAAAGCTTCCAGAGGAACGATCAGGCAGCAACATTTGCCGTTCAGCAATATTCACTGTTCTGCAGCCTCCACTGCTGATATTCAGGCAAACAAGGTCTGGAGTGGACCTCCAGCAAATGCCAACAGACCTGCAGCTGGGGGTCCTGACTGTTAGAAGGAAAACTAACAAACAGAAAGGACATCCACACCCAAAACCCATCTGTATGTCACCATCATCAAAGACCAAAGATAGATAAAACCACAAAGATGGGGAAAAAACAGAGCAGAAAAGCTGAAAATTCCAAAAATCAGAGCACCTCTCCCCCTCCAAGAGAACGCAGCTCCTCGCCAGCAGTGGAACAAAGCTGGAAGGAGAAGAACTTTGACAAGTTGAGAGAAGAAGGCTTCAGACGATCAAACTTTTCCGAGCTAAAGGAGGAAGTTCGAACCCATCACAAAGAAGCTAAAAACCTTAAAAAAATATTAGATGAATGGCTAACTACAATAACCAGTGTAGAGAAGTCCTTAAAGGACCTGATGGAGGTGAAACCCATGGACGAGAACTACGTGATGAATGCACAAGCTTCAGTAGCAGATTCTATCAACTGGAAGAAAGGGTATCAGTGATGGAAGATCAAATGAATGAAATGAAGCAAGAAGAGAAGTTTAGAGAAAAAAGAGTAAAAAGAAATGAACAAAGCCTCCAAGAAATATGGGACTATGTGAAAAGACCAAATCTACGTCTGATTGGTGTACCTGAAAGTGACGGGGAGAATGGAACCAAGTTGGAAAACACTCTTCATGATATTATCCAGGAGAATTTCCCCAACCTAGCAAGGCAGGCCAACATTCAAATTCAGGAAATACTGAGAACGCCACAAAGATACTCCTCGAGAAGAGCAACTCCAAGACACATAATTGTCAGATTCACCAAAGCTGAAATGAAGGAAAAAATGTTAAGGGCAGCCAGAGAGAAACGTTGGGTTACCCACAAAGGGAAGCCCATCAGACTAACAGTGCATCTCTCGGCAGAAACCCTACAAGCCAGAAGAGAGTGGGGGCCAATACTCAACATTCTTAAAGAAAAGAATTTTCAACCCAGAATTTAATATCCAGCCAAACTAAGCCTCATAAGTGAAGGAGAAATAAAATCCTTTACAGACAAGCAAATGCTGAGAGATTTTGCCACCACCAGGCCTGCCCTACAAGAGCTCCTGAAGGAAGCACTAAACATAGAAAGGAAAAACTGGTACCAGCCACTGCAAAAACATGCCAAATTATAAAGACCATCAATGCTAGGAAGAAACTGCATCAATTAACAAGGAAAATAACCAGCTAACATCATAATGACAGGATAAAATTCACACATAACAATATTAACCTTAAGTGTAAATGGGCTGGATGCTCCAATTAAAAGACACAGACTGGACAGTTGGATAAAGAGTCAAGACCCATCAGTGTGCTGTATTCAGGAAACCCACCTCACATGCAGAGGCACATATAGGCTCAAAATAAAGGGATGGAGGAAGATCTACCAAGTAAATGGAAAACAAAAAAAGGCACGGGTTGCCATCCTAGTCTCTGATAAAACAGACTTTAAACCAACAAAGATCAAAAGAGACAAAGAAGGCCATTACATATTTAAAGGGATCAATTCAACAAGAAGAGCTAACTATCCTAAATATATATGCACCCAATACAGGACCACCCAGATTGATAAAGCAAGTCCTTAGAGACCTACAAAGAGATTTAGACTCCCACACAATAATAATGGGAGACTTTAACACCCCACTCTCAACATTAGACAGATCAACAAGACAGAAAGTTAACAAGAATATCCAGGAATTGAACTCAGCTCTGCACCAAGCGGACCTAATAGACATCTGCAGAACTCTCCACCCCAAATCAACAGAATATACATTTTTTTCAGCACCACATCACACTTACTCCAAAATTGACCACATAGTTGGAAGTAAAGCACTCCTCAGCAAATGTAAAAGAACAGAAATTATAACAAACTGTCTCTCAGACCACAGTGCAATCAAACTAGAACTCAGGATTAAGAAACTCACTCAAAACCGCTCAACTACATGGAAACTGAACAACCTGCTCCTGAATGACTACTGGATACATAACGAGAAATAAAGGCAGAAATAAAGATGTTCTTTGAAACCAATGAGAACAAAGACACAACATACCAGAATCTCTGGGACACATTTAAAGCAGTGTGTAGAGGGAAATTTATAGCACTAAATGTCCACAAGAGAAAGCAGGAAACATCTAAAATTGACACCCTAACATCATAATTAAAAGAACTAGAGAAGCAAGAGCAAACACATTCAAAAGCTAGCAGAAGACAAGAAATAACTAAGATCAGAGCAGAACTGAAGGAGATAGAGACACAAAAAACCCTTCAAAAAATCAATGAATCCAGGATCTGGTTTTTTGAAAAGATCAACAAAATTGATAGACCGCTATCAAGACTAATGAAGAAAAGAGAGAAGAATCAAATAGACGCAATAAAAAATGATAAAGGGGATATCACCACCTATCCCACAGAAATACAAACTACCATCAAGGAATACTATAAACAGCTCTACGCGAATAAACTAGAAAATCTAGAAGAAATGGATAAATTCCTGGACACATACACCCTCCCAAGACTAAACCAGGAAGAAGCTGAATCCCTGAATAGACCAATAACAGGCTCTAAAATTGAGGCAATAATTAATAGCCTACCAATCAAAAAAACTCCAGGACCAGACAGATTCACAGTCGAATTCTACCAGAGGTACAAGGAAGAGCTGGTACCATTCCTTCTGAAATTATTCCAATCAATAGAAAAAGAGGATACCCTTCCTAACTCATTGTATGAGGCCAGCATCATCCTGATACCAAAGCCTGGAAGAGACACAACAAAAAAAAGAGAATTTTAGACCAATATCCCTAATGAACATCAATGCAAAAATCCTCAATAAAATACTGGCAAACCGAATCCAGCAGCACGTCAAAAATCTTATCCACCATGATCAAGTGGGCTTCATCCCTGGGATGCAAGGCTGGTTCAACATACGAAAATCAATAAACGTAATCCAGCATATAAACAGAACCAAAGACAAAAACCGCATGGTTATCTCAGTAGATGCAGAAAAGGCCTTTGACAAAATGCAACAGCCCTTCATGCTAAAAACTCTCAGTAAATTAGGTATTGATGGGACGTATCTCAAAATAATAAGAGCTATTATGACAAACCCACAGCCAGTATCATACTGAATGGGCAATAACTGGAAGATTTCCCTTTGAAAACTGGCACAAGACAGGGATGCCCTCTCTCACCACTCCTATTCAACATAGTGTTGGAAGTTCTGGCCAGGGCAATCAGACAGGAGAAAAAAATAAAGGGTATTCAATCAGGAAAAGAGGAAGTGAAATTGTCCCTGTTTGCAGATGACATGATTGTATATTTAGAAAACCCCATCGTCTCAGCCCAAAATCTCCTTAAGCTGATAAGCAACTTCAGCAAAGCCTTAGGATACAAAATCAGTGTGCAAAAATCACAAGCATTCTTATACACCAATAACAGACAGACAGAGAGCCAAATCATGAGTGAACTCCCATTCACAATTGCTTCAAAGAGAATAAAATACCTAGGAATCCAACTTACAAGGGATGTGAAGGACCTCTTCAAGGAGAACTACAAACCACTGCTCAATGAAATAAAAGAGGACACAAACAAATGGAGGAACATTCCATGTTCATGGATAGGAAGAATCAATATCGTGAAAATGGCCATACTGCCCAAGGTAATTTATGGATTCAATGCCATCCCCATCAAGCTACCAATGACTTTCTTCACAGAATTGGAAAAAACTACTTTAAAGTTCATATGAAACCAAAAAAGAGCCCGCATCGCCAAGACAATCCTAAGCCTAAAGAACAAAGCTGGAGGCATCACACTATCTGACTTCAAACTATACTACAAGGCTACAGTAACCAAAACAGCATGGTACTGGTACCAAAACAGATATATAGACCAATGGAACAGAACAGAGCCCTCAGAAATAATACCACACATCTACAACCATCTGATCTTTGACAAATCGGACAAAAACAAGAAATGGGGGAAGATTCCCTATTTAATAAATGGTGCTGGGAAAACTGGCTAGCCATATGTAGAAAGCTGAAACTGGATCCCTTCCTTACACCTTATACAAAAATTAATTCAAGATGGATTAAAGATTTAAATGTTAGACTTGAAACCATAAAAACCCTAGAAGAAAACCTAAGCAATACCATTCAGGACATAGGCATGGGCAAGGACTTCATGTCTAAAACACCAAAAGCAATGGCAACAGAAGCCAAAATTGACAAATGGGATCTAATTAAACTAAAGAGCTTCTGCACAGCAAAAGAAACTACCATCAGAGTGAACAGACAACCTACAGAATGGGAGAAAATTTTGCAATCTACTCATCTGACAAAGGGCTAATATCCAGAATCTACAAAGAACTCAAACAAATTTACAAGAAAAAAACAATCACATCAAAAAGCGGGCAAAGGATATGAACAGACACTTCTCAAAAGAAGACATTTATGCAGCCAAGAGACACATGAAAAATTGCTCATCATCACTGGCCATCAGAGAAATACAAATCAAAACCAGTGTGAGATACCATCTCACACCAGTTAGAATGGTGATCATTAAAAAGTCAGGAAACAACAGGTGCTGGAGAGGATGTGGAGAAATAGGAACACTTTTACACTGTTGGTGGGACTGTAAACTAGTTCAACCATGGTGGAAGACAGTGTGGCAATTCCTCAAGGATCTAGAACTAGAAATACCATTTGACCCAGCCATCCCATTACTGGTTATATACCCAAAGATTATAAATCATGCTGCTATAAAGACACATGCACACATATATTTATTGCGGCACTATTCACAATAGCAAAGACTTGGAACCAACCCAAATCCAGTCCATCAATGATAGACTGGATTAAGAAAATGTGGCACATATACACCATGGAATACTATGCAGCCATAAAAAATGATGAGTTCATGTCCTTTGTAGGGACATGGATGAAGCTGGAAACCATCATTCTCAGCCAACTGTCACAAGGACAAAAAAACCAAACACCACATGTTCTCACTCATAGGTGGGAATTGAACAATGAGAACACTTGCACACAGGAAGGGGAACATCACACACCGGGGCCTGTCATGGGGTAGGGGGAAGGGGGAAGGAAAGCATTAAGAGACATACCTAATGTAAATGACGAGTTAATGGGTGCAGCACAAAAACATGGCACAGGTATACATATGTAACAAACCTGCATGTTGTGAACATGTACCCTAGAACTTAAAGTATAATTAAAATATATATATATATATATTTTTTTTTTCTTCTGCAATGTCTAATATGTTGGTAATCCTACCAAGTGGGATTTTGATCCCAAACATCATGGTTTTGATCTCTAGACTGTGTGGAATACAGTTGTAGCCATTGTTTTAATGTCTTTGCCTGATAATTCTAACTATTGTGTCAGTTCTGCATCAATTTTAATTGATTGTATTTTTTTCTCCTCAATATGTGTTGCATTTTCCTTCTTTTTTGTATGTCTAGTCATTTTTGCTTAAATGCTAGACATGATCAATTTTACCTTTTTGGATGCTGGATATTTTTATATCTCTGTAAATATTCTTAAACTATATTCTAGAAATTACCTAAAAATAGTTTGATTTCTTGGGGTGTTGCTATTAATATTTGATAAGCAAGATCAGAACAGCATTTGATTTAGGGATAATTATTTTCCATTCATAAGGAGAGATCCTTCTGATACTCTTCCTAGTGACATTTGCCAGTCTGGATGGTAGAAATAGAAACTATTCCTAGACATATGTGAGCTCAAGGTACTGTTACCTCTAATTATTTTATATGTTTTTTTACCCAGCTTCTGCAGGGATACTGGTCAGTAATTTACTGAATACTTGAGGGGGCCCTTCTGCAGTTCTCTAGAGTTATCTCTCTCTTCTCTCTAGTATTCTGCCCTGTGAGCTCCAGTTGTTTTGACCTCTCCTGACTGTCAGCTTAATCTCCTTAACCCTTAGTTTAATCTCCCTGAATTCAGTTCCATGGCCAGAAAACTCTCTCAACACAGTAAGCTGAGGCATACTTAATTGTTCCCCATCTCTCAGGGATCATTGATTTTTTGTTGCCTAGTATCTGATGTCTTGAAAGCATTGGTTTTCAGTTGTTTTGGATAAGAGGATAAATTCAATCCCTGTTATGACATCTTATATGGAGGCAGAAGTCCCTCCATTGTCTTTTAGTATTTAATGTTGAGGAATCCAAAGCTTTTCTCATTTTTGTTTCTTCATATATAATCAGTTTTAGGGGCTCTTCTTTTTATTACTGGTATTCTGGAAATTCTTGAAATTTCATGATGTGTGTCTATTTTTTTCATTGTACTTGGTTCTCAGTGAGCCTTCTCAGTTTTAAGATTTGTAGTTTTGAGATTTTTGAGGTTTATGTCTTTTTAAGTAATTTTCTTCCTTTGATTTTTTTCTATCTTTTCTTCTGATCTTATAATCAGTTGAATGGTGGACCTATGTGTCATTTTTTCATTTGTTTTTGTTTTTACCCTTTTTTTCTCCAGAAATTGTCTTTACTTTATCTCCCATCCGAGTGATCTCCCTGAGGGATTTTTCAAGGTTTATATAATTTCCTACATTATCTTTGTTTTCTTTGGGTTTCTCTTTTGATTTATTTTTTCATGTTAGACACTTTTCTCCAATGACTATGTTTTGAATAAGGAAATGTCTAAGGGAGCCTGAATCATGTGGCAATTCCAAATAGTAAAGAAGCTATCAATGATTACTAATGTCATGTCAGAAGCGTTCAGTAGCCAAACCCACTGACCAAAAGCACAATTTAAGCTTCAATAAATATAATAATACTAATGCCTTGGATAGAACAAAGTAAATATTTTTAAATCTATGGGTTCATGAAAACTGTGAAGCAAAACAAAACCTAATTGGTCATCACTGGATGATATTAGTGAGCCAATTCATTATTTAGAAAATTGCAAAGAGGAAGAATCAAGTACTAATCATACCTTTCCTATATGTAAGCAAATGTCAAATGAGAGGAATTTCCTTTTTATAGAAACATCCAACTAATAAATGGAAGATGAATAGAATTATAATATCAATATTTTGCATCACCTAATAATGGGTGAGCATCAACAACTGCAAACATCAGACAAAAAGAGAGAGCCAGATATTATATGTCACCAAATAAAAGAACACAGCACCACCTGAAAATATTTCTTCCCCCAAAATTTCAACCTAAATCTGATCTGGCCTTTAGATCTAATTTACAGGAAATGCAGAGAATAAAGATGTTAAACTATTCCACAAAGACGTAACCAGTAAATCTTACCATGCTGTCCTGTAGGGAAACCCTGGTTTCTTTAACAAATTGCAAACAAAAAAGAGAAAAAGATGGAGAGCGCTCCTATAGATGAAAAGAGCTTAAAAGACATTCCAACTAATTTCAAGGGACAAATCTAAGTTGAAGCCTGTTTCAAACAAATTATAAAACAAAATTATGATATTTATAAGACAATTTGGGAAAATTTGAACACTGTGTATTGGATGATATTAACAAATCATTGTTATTTATTTTGGTTCTGATAATAGTAGTGTGGTTATTTTTCCCAAGAGCCAGTCTGTTTTTTTCTTACTTTAGTAATTGTCTATTTATTTTAAGTAGATTAGGAAACAATAACCTGTAAAATAAACCCTGTTTTTCAAGCAGCATTGCTTTGAGAGATGCCCGTGTTTAAAAAGCAAAGCAATTAGGGGGAAGTCTCAGAGAAATAATAGTAGAACTGGCAGGAAGGTATGGCACACATTTGTGTAGATGTCATGATGTCATGCCAATTCCTGACATTTGGAAAGTTCACGGCAGGATTACATTTAGTCATCATGACAACCATAGGAGCCGCTTATTTTGCACCCATTATAAAATGGAAACTGAGGGTTAGAGATTGAAACGACCTGTCTGGGTCACATGACTGCTAGTGGTCAGTGACAAAGTTGGGATTCTATTCTGGCCAACCACCCTTCCACCCCTACCTCATTTGTCTAATATATAGACCCTGGAGTTACCAGTAAGAATATCTCTGGAAAAGTGAAAAATTCTTCCGGTCCACTTCCTGGTGGCTGTGGTCATTCACCAGATCCCTGTTCCTCTCTGTTGGGGCTGGTCTGTTGCAGAGAGCACTCAGGAAATCTGCCAGGCCCTCAGCCTAGGCCTCCAACCTAGCCTCCAGCTCTCGTGTGCAGGCAAGAGGGAAGCAGCCGCATTCAGGTTCCATGGCAGAAAGGCAAGATGGGTCGGGCTGGGTCTCTGCTGCTTTTCCTTCCCCAGTCTCTGGCCTGCAGTCTGCATTCCAGGAAAGCAGTACAGAAAAAGCAACGGGGATGGTGCAGGGGGATGGGATGCTGTCTGAGTACAGGCTAAGAGCCAGCCTTTTTTTAGGAAAACATGAAATAAAACCTAAAATATCTAAGGGTGAAATTATATAATGCCTGGTACTTTCTTCAAAATAATACAGGTGGGAGAAAGTGGGTAAAAGTAGAGATGATTTGAGATTGGCCATGAATTGCTAAGCATTGATGCTGAGCAATGGGTGTGTGAGGGTTTATTATACTCTTCTCTCTACTTTTATATGTTTGAACTTTTCTATAACAAAAGACTTTTAATTAAACTGTTTAGAAATTCTGTGAGTAAGCAAGACTTGTGTATTGGTAGTCTCCACTCTAGTGAAATGGGTCAGCAGCATGCCAGCTAGATTTGGGGAACTCCCAGTTATCAGTAGGTGAAAGTATTTTCTCTGGAGTTTCTCCAAAGAGAAGTTTTCTAGTTTCTTACCTAAGGTTTGCATGCTTGGACTTTTATGTTTTCAGAGATGATAAGAGGGACACATCCTACAGGTCCTACGTTTCATTAGGGTGGTTTTGACTTACTCTTCTGCTTCAGCTCAACACCTTCCCTGCCCCCCTCTCCATCTGATATCCTTGAATGATTCCAAAGAATACATTTTCAGTATTATTCATAGACTAGAATCCCCTGCTCACACAGCATCAGGGAGGACATCCTGGGATCCAATTGTTCCTTTTGCAAAATTTCAGTTCAATAAGTTCCCTGTATTCAGTCCCACATTTCATGCTCACCTTCAGGGTTTGTTGGTGACTCTAAATTCTTAAGTACTACAGAAGGAAGTTTGCAGGAGAGAATGAATTTTCCTGTCATCAATATCATTCTTGGTCCCTCATTAGCATCCCTCTTAATAAGTAATTTATGTTAAAACTTCCTCTATTCTACTATGTCAGGTGCAACTCCTGGTTCTGTTTTCAATCTTCCAAAAATTGGTTCAAATCTCTTATCTTTATCCTTTAATATTTCTTTCTTCTTTTTTGGGCCCCAAGAGGTAAAGGGAGAAGAAAAAAAAAACACATGAAATCAACACATCAATTTAACTAGAAGGCCAGCTAAGACTGATTTAAAATAAAAGCTGCTTCATGAGAGAGACTGTTTAACTTGTTTACCATCACACCTAACACAGTGTCGTGTGCAGAAGTAATTCTGAATAATGCTTATGACAGTCACAAATTTTTTTAATTTATGATGTGTGGCAGGAGGTCAAAGGCACAAGAGCAGAGGAAAACTCTTCTGCTTTACAAAGAAAACAGGAAAATGTCCAGAGCTCAGAAATTGATCGGTGATGTATGTGCCATTATTCTTTTCAAAGCTACATTTGAAATATTTTTGGCTTTAACTTTCCTTCCCTTATACCAATCATTTTAGTTGTTAAGTTTGTTTAGAAAGTAATTTTTAAAAGATTACACTGATAACCCCAAGCCAGTTTGAGGCAGGCTAAGTCTGCGGATGTGGAACACTTAAAATGTCCATTAGTACTCCTCTTTTGTCACTTACCACCCAGGGGGTCACGCCTTTGGTCTGAAAGTTGTTTATAAACTGGTAGCTTTATTTTTAAAAACAGAATGGAAGGGCTGAGGTGGAGCTAGGCAGAAGACTGTATGATTAAAGTTTTGAGATCCGTACACTTTATGAACCCGCCCTGGGTTTGTGAGTATTTTATAACTCAAACATTAACCACTAATCTGTTGGAACCTGATGCAAAAAGTCTCAATCTCTTTCTAAAACCATAAGGTACTGTTGGGAAGCCAATTCTTTCTACATAATCCCTCAACAAAAGGAGATAATAATAACTTCTATTTAGATGACATAATTTCATGAAGCTTATGATTATCTATTTCACAATTATTTTGGCATTATAGAAACCTACTGTGATGTTTTCCACGTTTTGGAAATGTGGTTAAAGAGGCTAAATTGGCCTAATTCAACCAGGCTTCAAAAAATCACACCATCTTTTTTTTTTTTTTCCTGCCTGTCACCCAGGCTGGAGTGCATGGGCGCGATCTTGGCTCACTTCTGCTTGGCAACTCCTGCTTCCTGAGTTCAAGCAATTCTCCCACCTCAGCCTCCCAAATAGCTGGGACCACAAGTGCATACCACCACACCCGGATAATTTTTGTATTTTTAGCTGAGACGGGGTTTCACCCTGGCTCACTTCTGATCTTGGCAACTTCTGCTTCCTGGATTCAAGCAATTCTCCCACCTCAGCCTCCCGAGTAGCTGGGACCAGAGGTGCGTGCCACCACACCCGGATAATTTTTGTATTTTTAGTAGAGACGGGGTTTCACCCTGGCTCACTTCTGATCTTGGCAACTTCTGCTTCCTGGATTCAAGCGATTCTCCCACCTCAGCCTCCCGAGTAGCTGGGACCAGAGGTGCGTGCCACCACACTGGGTTAATTTTTGTATTTTTAGTAGAGATGGGGTTTCACCATGTTGGCCAGGCTGGTCTCCCGACCTCAAGTGATCCCAAAGTGCTGGGATTACAGGCATGAGCCACTGCGCCCAGCCTCACACCGTCTTTTAGATAATACTTCCCTCATGGCTATAGTGATTTGTTTTCCCTCTAAGATTTTCATTTGTGTCACCTCTTCACTTTTACTTAGGCATTATTATAATGTAGTAACAGGTTCTTCTAGAGGATCAGACATTTTGCTTATGCATAATGGAGGGAGAACATTCAATCTTACCCAAGTTGTCTCTATGATTATATACATTAAAAAACAAAAAAAAGAAAAAGAAAAACCTTCCAGTTCTTCTTGCTGAGTTATGTTCAAGAGCAATGTAGAGGATATTTCAAATGACTTGCCTGGAGTTCAAACAACCTTAAACTTCCTGTTACCCTTCCCTGCCTTCCTTCTATTGACTAAATTTTCTACTAGTAAATAGAAAACTCAATTGTAAAAACGTATTGTTGTGGCCTGCATTAGTTGTTTGCTGCTGTAACAAATTACAACAAACTTAGTGGCTTAAAGTAATACAAATTTATTATCTTAAATCCTGGAAGTCAGAAGTGAAAAATGGGTCTCACTGGGCTAAACCCAAAATGTTGGCAGGGCTGCATTCTTTCTGGACACTCAAGGGAAAAATCTGTTTCCTTGCCCTTTCCAGCTTCTAGAGGCTGTCCACATTCTGTGCTCTGTGGCCCTATCTTCCATCTTGAAAGCCAGCAACCTTGGGCTGAGTCCTTCTCCCGCGGCCATCTCTCTGGTTCTCATGATTCTGCTTCTATCTTCCATTTATAAAGACTCTTGCGGCTGGGCGTGGAGGGCGTGGTGGTGGCTCACGCCTGTAATCCCAGCACTTTGGGAGGCCAAGATGGGCGGATCACTTGAGGTCAGGAGTTTGAGACCAGCCCGGCCAACATGGCAAAACCCCATCTCTACTAAAATTACAAAAAAGCTGGGCATGGTGGCGGATGCCGGTAATCCCAGCTGCTCGGGAGGCTGAGGCAGGATAATTGCCTGAACTGGGGAAGTGGAGGCTGCAGTGGGCCGAGATCACGCCACTGCATTCCAGCCTGAGAAACAGAGCAAAATTGGTCTCAAAAAAGAAATAACAAGGCAGGTGATTGGCAAGCTCAATGCTCAATTCCGCTTTGTAATGTAACCTAACATTCACAGGTTCTGGGGATTAGGATGTGGATATGATGGTGGGTGGGTAACTGGGGGTATTATTCTGCCTACCATATGGCCCTAGTAGGCTTGTAGCAAATAAAGATGTCATTTCTCCCCTTCCCTTGGAAGTAATTTGCTTGATTGCTGTGCGAAGGATATCTAAATATTTTACGTGAATTTTTAGAACATCCATGAAGTAGGGGGTTGTATTGAAAGAATGAAGGTTATACATTAGCATACATCAGAAACGTTTGTGTATGAGAAAGTGTGAGCATGCATGCATACAGAAAGTCATCAAGAGATCAAGTTCATTTGTGTGACTCACCCCACAACCGTGGGCCATGGCTCAGCCTCTCCACGTCCGTTTTGGAATGTCATTGTACTTGCCCTCACTTTTGCCACACACAAAATAAATTAAATTTAATTTGAATGTTGCCTTTCCAAATGTAGACTTCAAGGGGATTGGTAATATGACTGCAAACACTTTTTGTTGTGACAGAAAAGCTAACCCAAATCTGCTTAAACAATAAGGGGAAATTTTTATCTTAGAAAATGTGCAGAGTAGATCAGTTTTAAAAAGTAGATTAGTAATCATAGTCCCAGCTCTGTTTTGCCATGATTTTGCTGGTTCTGCTCCCCATCAGGTAGTACCTCAATTCTCAGGTAGAGCTGCCTCATCATGACAAAAATGATTATAAGGCTGGGTACAGTGGCTCAGGCTTGTAATCCCAGCACATTGTAAGGTGGAGGTGGGCGTATCTCCTGAGCCCAGGAGTTCAAGATCAGCCTGGGCAACATGGTAAGACCACATCTCTACAAAAAAATACAAAAATTGGCTGGTCATGGTGGCAGGTGCCCATAGTCCCAGCTACTTGGGAGGCTGAGGTGGGAGGATCACTTGAGCCCAGGGAGGTAGAGGCTGCAGTGAGCTGAGATCATGCCACTAAACTCCAGCCTGGGCAACAGAGTGAGACCCTGTCTCAAAAAATCAAAAACAAAAAGTGACTGTAGCACTGCAAACCCTTTTGTGTGTGTGTGTGGTAAGAACACTTAGTCTACCCTCTTCACAATTTTTTAGTGCACATTACACTATTGTTAACTATGGATGCTATACTGTATAGCAGTTCTCTAGAACTTCTCACCTTGCTTAAATGAAACTGTATACCAATTGAACAGCTCCCTTTTTCCCCTCCCCACAGCCTCTGGTAACCATCATTCTATTCTCTGCTTCTGTGAGTTTGAATAAGTACATATGCTCCTCAGTTTACTGTGGGGAAACATCCTGATAATCCCATCATAAGTTGAAACATCATAAGTCAAAAGTGCATTTAATACATGTAACCTACTGAACACTATACCTTAGCCTAGCCTGCCATAAACATGCTCGGAACACCTGCATTGGCCTACAGTTGGGCAACACCATCTAACACAAAGCCTATTTTATAATAAAATGTCAAATATCTCATGTAAGTTATTGGATACTGTACTGAAAGTGAAAAACAGAATGGTTATATGGGTACTCGAAGTACAGTTTCTACTGAATGCTTATTACTTTCACACCATCATAAAGTCAAGAAATCATTATGCTGAACCATCATAAGTTGGGGACCATCTGTAGTTACCATTGCTATCCACAGTTTACAGATGAGGACACTAAGGCTTAGGCAGTTAAAATGACTTGCCCAATATCTCAAAAACTAATAATATATGGAAGCACTGGGACTTAAACCCAAGTCCCCCTATCTTCAAAATTCAAGTCTTCTATTCTGTGCATACCAAAGAAGTTTGAACCCAACTCTGAACTACATATAATCAAGTTCTGGAAGTTATTTGTGAGTGGTCCTTTCTGAGCTTTATTTGCTTGTTCATTGGGATTTTGTCAGTCATTTTCCTTGTTTGTTTATTTCATTAAGTCCTGATCTTAGTTCGTGCACTGTAAGACTTACCTCTTGATTTGGAAAGTGAACTCCAAGTCGTGGTTATTGGAGTTCTGATTAATTGGGATTTAACTGTACAAATCCAGAATAGCACAGCTTTTTTGCATGCAAACAATATCAGCAGCTTGCAAATGGGGCCTTGGGCAGCCTGAGCATTTGAAGCAGAATTAGCCATTTGCTACACCTTCATGAGAACCACAGTTCCTGCAGGAGGTGGAAAGTAAATACGCTCAACCTAATTCTGTTTTATTGCGTGGTTTTCATGGGTCACCTGACGTGTCTATCAAAGGAGTGGAAGGTAGTTTCCTCAAGAATCTATGAGCCACAATCACCCACAGCCACCTCTCAGTGACTGTCACTTGTGTGAATGAGCTGGGACCCAGGCTCTGGGTCATTCCACTGATATGGCTTGAGAAGCACACAAAATGCTGTCTTTCATTCTTCTGCCAGGACTCCTGGCCCACAGTCAGAATATGGCCTTCTCTGCACTGCAGCCACTGCACTTGCATTGATGATAACAAGGGCTATCCCTCGCAGGGTTCCTTTCATTTGCAGGTACTGGCCTAGGTGCTTTGTATACGTTCTCTTGTCCCCATAATAATACCTTGAAAGAGAGGTATTAGGCTGGGCGCGGTGGCTCACGCCTGTAATCCCAGCACTTTGGGAGGCCGAGGCGGGCGGATCACAAGGTCAGGAGATCGAGACCATCTTGGCTAACACGGTGAAACCCCGTCTCTACTAAAAATACAAAAAATTAGCCGGGCGCGGTGGCGGGCGCCTGTAGTCCCAGCTACTCGGGAGGCTGAGGCAGGAGAATGGCGTGAACCTGGGAGGCGGAGCTTGCAGTGAGCCGAGATTGCGCCACTGCAATCCGGCCTGGGCTAAACAGCGGGACTCCGTCTCAAAAAAAAAAAAAAAAAAAAAAAAAAAAAAAAAAAAAAAAAAAAAAAAAAAAAAAAGAAAGAGAGGTATTATTGCCCCCATTTTGCAGATGAGCAAGCTGAAGCTCAGAAAATTGAAATAACTTTCACTAATTCAGTCCACGAGTACTTATGACTCTGCTAGGCATTTTGCCAGACTCTCAGGATACAGAGATAAAGCACCACCACCCTCAAGGTGCTTGAGGTCTGGTGAGAGTTCCAGACACAGAAACAGATAAATGTATCACAGGAAATTAAATGATAGAACTACGAACAGGGTATTGTGGGAGCAGAGAGGAAGTGCAAGGAATGCGGGGAGAAGAAAGTTCAGAGGAGGCTTCCTGGAGGAGGTGACACACGAACTGAGTCTTCAAGTCTACATAGGACTCAGGTACAGAGATTGAGGGGAGGAAAAGCAATTCCTGGGAGAGAGCAAGGTAAGTAGAGCCAAAAAGACATGAAGCAACTTGATGTGGGAAGGAACCCAGGGGAGTTTAATGAAGCTGCCACCTACAGGGAGAAAAGACAAAGGTGGGAGCTATGGCTGGAGGTGCGAATATAAGTCAGATTTAGGTGGACATCATATCCTGCGGTAGGGATATTTCATCTTCTCCTGGGGTTTTAAAGCATTTTGAACACAGTGTTGACCAGAATACAATGTATCAAATAAAGAAACCTTCATCTTCTAGAAGTTAGATCTCATGGCAAACGTTCTCGCCCCAAGGAAAAATAGAGAAATCTTAGGACTATATTCTTTATACTTTCTGACTCCTTCAAATTTGCAGGGAACCTAAGGGAGAACTTGATTTGGGGGTCTGTTCACAAGTCAGCATGTCCCTTTTGTGAAATAGTCTTCATGCTTGATTTTTTGTGTTTGCTGCTGTCAGAAGCTTGAGTAGAGGGTTGTCCTGGCTCTTGCCAGCACTTCTCAGTTTTGCTTTTTGTTGCTACAACCTTTGCCTCTTTGTACAGCCCCCAGAGAAACCCTAACAGGCACCCAGGCAACATGAGTCCCAAGAAATATACCCAGTTTGATACCTACATTCTTCAAAGAGAAAATAGCTGGAAATAAAATGAATCAGAAAAGGCAAGGCCCCAGCAAGAAATTTTTCTGAATCACCTTAACAGAACAGTGTCAAAAAGATGTCACTGGGGAAAATAACTGCAGCATAAGAAAGTTGATGTTAAGTATCTATGGCTGCAAAACAGCTCATGATAACATAGTCTAGTTACATGGCTGTGCTTTACGAGACCAGAGCACCACTTATTGAGCATCCATATTTACAGAATGAGTTCTGAAAGGACAAGCCATATATCTTAATTTTTTCCTGGTGTCTAATACATGTCTGTAAAGTAGAATAAAACAAATAGTAGCAAGTGAATGAATGAATGAACAAATATTGCAAAGAATGTGGATACAAAAAATTAAATAAACACAATTGTGTAAAATCCAAAGGGATCTTAGAGATAAATTCGTGCAGCCCCCTCTTCACCAGCTTAGGAAATAGAGGTCAACAAAGGGTTTTATTATTCTTATCTATAAAAGTCATCGGCCGGGCGCGGTGGCTCACGCCTGTAATCCTAGCACTTTGGGAGGCTGAGGTGGGCGGATCACTTGAGGTCAGGGTTTAGAGACCAGCCTAGCCAACATGGTGAAACCTCATCTCTACTAAAAATACAAAAATTAGTGGGGTGTGGTGGTGTGCGCCTGTAATCCCAGCTACTTGGGTGGCTGAGGCAGGAGAATCGTTTGAACCCAGGAGGCAGAGGTTGCAGTGAGCCGAGATTGCGCCACTATACTCCAGCCTAGGCAACAGAGTGAGACTCCATCTCAAAAAAAAACAAAAAAAATCATCCCAGGGCCCATAGAAGTCAGCTGAACTACAAAAAGTATACTTGCCAAGCTTCAAAAGAAAAGAGTTCTATAAGCAAAGTGAATCATAACAACCTCTTCTGATTGTGGGAACCTAACAGTGGCAGGTTATAAAAGGAAAATGCAGCATGTTCCCATAAACCACAGGGTAAGTCCTGGAGACAGTGTTAACAGGCTTTAGAGTATTCTCCTCTATCTTATCAATCATGGTACCTATCCATGGGCATTCATAGACTAGTTAATAAGAAAAAATATTGGGAGGCTGAGGTGGGAGGATCACCTGAGGTCAGGAGTTTGAGACCAGCCTGGTCAACATGGGGAAACCCCATCTCTACTAAAAATACAAAAATTAGCCAGGTACGTTGGCATGCACCCATAATCCCAGCTACTCAAGAGGCTGAGGCAGAAGAATTGCTTGAACCCAGGAGGCAGAGGTTGCAGTGAGCTGAGATCACGCCACTGCACTCCAGCCTGGGTGACAGAGTGAGACTCCATCTCAAAAAAAAAAAATATATATATATATATATACGTATATATATACACATATGTATGCGTGTGTATATATATGTATATATATATATATAGCCCTCACAGTGCCTTTAAGTCACTCAGAGAGTCACTTTCAATCAAGAGAAAACTAACAGAATGCAAGCGATGAAAGCGATGAGGGATAAGGCATCCAGGAATAAAAGATAGAGAGACTGTCACTCATGGACAGGCAGGACGCTTTTGCCTGCCTATCAATTGAAGGCTCACTTTGGCTTGTTTTCTCAGTAAAGGTGGTAGGCTACACCAAACAATCATCACTCTCTCATCTCTGTCTTGTGAACACCAGCTCACAAATTTAAAAGAGGCTCCTTGGCCAGTGGTAGAGGTACAGCCCAAAGCCAAGGAAACACTTTTCTTTCTTTGACTCCATTTGTCTTTTTGAGAGATCAAACATAGCCATGGCAAAAATATCACACCCCACCCAACTCACTTCCCAGACTAGGTGAGAAGATAACAATAAAGGTCACACCAACGACCATGAACTTTGACTTGCTTTCTCCTTGCCCAAGCCTGTGCCGGAAAGCACTATCAGGGTTCTACAGGGTTCTAGTAACTATCAGAGGTGTCGTTCCAAAGAATCATTTCTTATCTCATTTGTTTATATGCAGAGTCATCTTCTACTTGTCAGAAATAGCTGTACTCATTCATGCACACTGTTTCGTGCTAGATTTTGTTGTTGTTGCACCCTAGGGAACACATCCACTGTGAATAAGGAAGTCTTGGTCTGAAGACTCACCAGTCTTGCTTTCTAGGAGAATGATCTGTCCTACGGTGTGGGCAAGGGGGACTCAGCATAAGAAGCATCCTGGGGTCCCCACTTCCCTCTGCCCATAGGATTAGGCTCTTAAAAGAGAAATGCCACAGGCCTGGGATGCTATAATTATCTCAGCCATTTAAGGATTATGCTCCTGGGAGACTATAATTATCCAAATATTGTTGCATTTAGGGATATTTTACTTACAAGGAAGTGCCTTCATTTTTACAGGATCTTTCAAGAGGGCCCAAAGGGTGTGTCCTCTCTAATGTGGTTCCTAAATAAAGCTAGAAGTAAACAACTGCATCTGGCATGAGGGTGGGGTCCAGCTGAATCCACCCAACCAAGGACCGGGCCTGGTGGCTCATGCCTGTAATCCCAGCATTTTGGGAGGCCAAGGCGGGCAGATCACCTGAGGTTAGGAGTTCGAGACCAGCCCGGCCAACATGGTGAAACCCTGTCTCTACTAAAAATACAAAAATTAGCCAAGTATGGTGGTGTATGCCTGTAATCCCTGCTACTTGGGAGACTGAGGCAGGAGAATCGCTTGAACCTGGGAGGCAGAGGTTGCAGTGAGCCAAGATTGTGCCATTGCACTCCAGCCTGGGCAACAAGAGCGAAACTCCATCTCAAAAAAAAAAAAAAGAAAAAGAAAAACCTGGGGACTTTCTTCTTTCTTAGTCCCACACTTCTCCTCCTCCCCACTCACTCTCATATACTTCTCCAGTCTAAATTCCCTCTATTTCGAGAAATTATTAAAGAAATTTCTTGCATTTAAGGTATAACTTCTTCCTGAGGTTTGTGTATCATATTATTCATATTATAATACCCCCTACCTTTATTTCTCCCTCTAATTCCAATGCAATAATACTTTCTGTAAAAATTACGTAGTCTAAAGTGGGTGGGAGGATTGCGCAGAAAAAGAAGTGCAGTACTATAGTATGAAAAAGAGATGATTGATTCAATTCAGTGAACTGCTTAGATTAAAATAGCTAACATTTATGCAGTCCTTCCTCTGTGACAAGCATTATTCCAAGCATTCTGTGCATCTCATTAATCCTGACAGCATCTTTATGAGATATATACTGTTATGATCCCCACTTCACAGATGATAAATCCAGAAACAGAGAGGTTGAGTAACTTTCTCAGAATCATACAGTTGATAGGTGACAGGATGAAGACCAAAACCCACAGCCTGACTCTAAGCCCATGCTTAGCTACTGTGCCATGCCACCTTCTAATCTTGGGTGCATGTCCCATGCCACTCATTGTAAGCCATGCAGTGGGAGGAACAGCAGAATGGAAGGACATGGCTCCTACTTTCCAGGGCTTTGTGAGCTATGAGGAAAGAGACACATGTATAAAAATCACCACAGAACAAGGAAAAATGTGACAGATAGAATAGGAGGGACATAGACAACTGCTTTAGGAGCTTAGATTAATTCTGGTGTGGCATTAGGAATGGCTTCTTAGAGGAGGTGGCATTTGACAAGCCTATAGACACAGAGAAGACATGGGTGGATGGCATTTCATGCTGAGGAGAACCTGGGAAGTTCAGGACAGGCCAGGACACAGCATGCATGGAAGGCAGCTATAAGAAGCAAGATTACAAAAGTCTACTGGGGTCTGGATGTGAAGAGAGCAAAGAGATAGCGAAGAGTGGGGTGGGACAGGATCCCCTTTGGCTGGGGTTGGGAGGATGCAAGGAAGAAGACAGGCATTGACTTTAGGGTTTGGCCAAGTTTGGATTCCTGTGATCTGGGAGAAGACCATAAAGAATCTGCTGATTCAGTCAGAAGGCCTTTTTCCTACAGCTTCTGACTGCTTTTCTTAAATTACCTCTGTTCAGGCTTTTTTCCAGTCCAGTTCAACAAACAACTCTTCAGGATCGTCCTTGATTATTGAGTACCAATTACTCCAAAACATAGTGACTTAAAACAACACGCACTTACTTGCTGACAATTCTGCCATTTGGGCAGGTGTTAGTGGGGACAGCTCATCTCTGCTCCACACAGCATCAGCCGAGGTAGCTCAGCTGGGGTTGGAAGACCCACCTGCAAGATAGCCTCACTCACGTGGCTGGCCAGATGGTGCTGTCCATCAACTGGAAACCTCATTTCTCCTCCAGCTGAACTCTACAGTTGGCTAAGTTAGGCTTCTCACAGCACAGAGATCTAGTTGTCAGAATTCTTAGAGGGGCTGGCTTCTCTGAAAGAGTAAACCTGGAAGCTGCCAAGCCTTCTTGAGGCTTGGTCTTAAGTTCCTGAACATCATGTCTACCACATTCTATTAGACAAAGCAAGTTGGAGGGCCAGCCCAGATTCAAGGAGAGGAGTCTACCGAAGGGCAGTTACAAAAGCAGTAATCTACCACTATCCCTGGTCAGTTTCAAGACTGGAGATTAAAAGTGTTAAGATATGGTCCTTGCTACACCCATATCATGAAAGTTTGTGTTAGAGTAAAAAAAAAAAAAAAAAAAAAAAAAAGCTACACCCATATCGTGAAAGTCTGTCTTAAAGAGAATGAAGAGACATAATAACTGAAAGTAATGCCTATGACCCTGTTTTTTTTTGTTTTTGTTTTTTTTTTTGTTTTTTTTGTTTGTTTGGTTGGTTGGTTTTTTGTTTTTGAGACAGAGTCTCACTCTATCACCCAGGCTGGAGTGCCTGAAGTGCAGTGGTGCCATCTTGGTTCACCACAACCTCCGCCTCCCAAATTCAAGCAATTCTTCTGCCTCAGCCTCCTGAGTAGCTGGGATTACAGGTATGTGCCACCACACATGGCTAATTTTTGAATTTTTTTGAATAGAGAGGGGGTTTGCCTATGTTGGCCAGGATGGTCTCAAACTCCTGACC
The DNA here is from genome assembly GCF_000001405.40 of Homo sapiens. NCBI lineage: Eukaryota > Metazoa > Chordata > Mammalia > Primates > Hominidae > Homo > Homo sapiens. Next base: position 96,092,190 of record NC_000008.11, read on the forward strand.
TAAAGTGATCCACCTGCCTCGGCCTCCCAAAGTGCTCAGATTACAGGGGTGAGCCACCACACCCGGCCAGGACCCTGTTTTTAAAAAAATCCAGGTAAGGAGACATTTAAGAGGCAGTAGGGATTTATATGAAATTAGATGAAACAGGAAATCAATGTTAATTTTCTTAGATATAAGAGTAATATTGTGACTATGCAAGAGATTGTCCATATTTTTGAGAGATGAATTATGAAGTATTTTCAAGATGAGATATCATGATATCTGCAACTTACTTTCAAATGCTTCAGGAAAAAAATATTGATTGACAGATAATGCAACTATTGGCCAAATGTTAACAATTATTGAGTCTAGGTAGCGATAATATGATCAATCATTATCCTGTTCTTTAAAGTTTTGTAAAATGTTTCGCAACAAAAAGTTGGAGATTAAAAGGTAATGGCCTACTTTTGACCTCTCCATGGAAGAAGATTTTGTAAGAGAAAACAGCCAGAAATACACATAGAAATCATACTTAAATGTGTAAGTTCCCTCATTGCATGCCCTGATTTAGGTCTTCCTGCTTAACACACTCTCTAGAACCCACAGGGTAAAGTCTGGAACAAGACTCTCCTAGAAAGGGGAGGTGGCTGCACCAAGCGTGGCACCACCATGCTGGCTTCTCTGTGCTTCATTTTCTGACTCCAGAGAACAAAATGCTCTTCCTTCATTTCCTTCTACAGCTGAGAGAGACTAGAACTATCAGAAGGGACTTTATGACAAACACACAGAACTCATAAGCGATATACACTACCAGAGGTACAGCACAGGGCACTAAGCCTATCATAGCTTTTCACCAAGCTTGGTTTCATATGCGTTGTCCATGTGAAAGCACTATCTTGCTGCCTTGAGTTCAGGAATATCGGGGGAGGCTGAATGCTCTCCTGTACTTACCTAGGGTATTGCTTCTGGGTTCTGGTTTTGGGTACAAGGACTCCTCTTTCCCAGACAATGGTACACCAAATGATCACATCTTTCCAGTGAGACTCCATGCCCGAGCCAAAATTATGATTTAATATGATTCAAGAGCCATTGCAATCCTGTAAGAACAATACACATGCATATGGAGCCTTCTTTACACAGAAACTCCTTGCCACCATTCCTCCAGTAGCAATCATATCAGTGTTGCTCTTCCCTTCCTCCACAATGCCTCCCTCCTCACGTTGGTTATAAGTTCACCTTATCCTCCATGCACCTTCTAACTGGACACACATACACATGCACAATATTATTCCCCTGGCTTCCATGATATGATCCTCTTTTGAGTCACCTTCTGTTTTGCTGATACCCTCCTGCTCTGTGTCTTTCTCTAGCTCTTCTTCTTTCACAAATGAGCTGTTTTCATGTGTTTTTTCACCCACTGGTAGTTTTCAATTCTGGCTGAATGTCAAATTACCCGTAGAGCTTTGAAAAGATGTATGCGTCCAGGCCCTACTCTTGGAGTTTCTAATTCATTCTGTCCAGGGTAAAGAGCAGACATTCCATTTTTCGCAAGCTCCCCAGGTGATTTCTGCCCTCTATGTTCCTGAGAAATCTCAAGTAAATGAATGAATAAGTTAACAAATGAGGGAACAAATGAAAATCAGGGCTTCAGTATCATGCCTATCCTGATGACACTCATGTCAAATAAACTGCAAGTTTTTCCTGAATGCAAATTTAGCATCTTAAGAGGGAATCTAGTAATTTTCTTGTGACACAGAGCTGAGACCTAGCTTCAGCTCTAAGAACATCAGGAATCTCCAGTAAATAATTATTGAATGACTAGTGAAGTCATGTTATTTCTAGTCCTGATATATCTTACAAGTTCTAGCCCTACATGTCCAACTGTTTGCTAGACTATTTACATGCATCTCAAACTATGTATGCATCTCAAACAAAATTTGTCTAAAACTTAACTCCTCATCTTTTGTGCAAAAGTTGAGTTCCTAGCATCACCATCATCTCAATGTCTCAGACCTGAAACCTCAGCATCATCTTTGTCTCCCTTATTTGTACAAATAGAGGTCTGACCCATTGCCAAGTCCTTTCAACCCTATTCCCTAATGTTCTTTGCATCTTGGGAGTAAAATACCCAGGTGTGAAATATTCTTCCTCCCAGTGCTAGATGCAGAAAGGCATCCTCTCTTTATGCAGCATAAAGCATCCTCTATTTTGGAGAGGATGTCTTGACACATTCTAGACCATTAGACTTCTAAATGTTTTACTAATAGGACAGACCTGAGAACCATCCAGAGTTTATCTCTTGCCCTCTGGAGCCCACATATCTTATCAGGCTCTAATATACTTGCCACTTAGTCATTTAGTCTGTTAGAATGTTGTCATCCATAGAGTGGATGTTCAGTGTTATGTTCTGATTGTCCAGATGGCCCAGGTGTCTTTTAACTATACAATGACAGAGGATTGGAGAGTTAACACAGTCCTGGGTCAAGACTCTACCTGACTTTTATTGTCTACTCCAAGTGAATACCAACTGCTTCTGATCCTCCTTTCTGATATTGGTGCAGGGTAACACATTTCCTAGATCAGTGGCTGCATACCATATACCTGAGGCCATGTCAATCTGTTTTAGCAAAGATGCCGCATCGGGAAGAGCAGCCTTGCAAAGAACTATTACTTGTTTGAGTTTGTGATGATTTACTGTCATCTTCCATGATCAACTAATTTTCATAAGTGTCAGACTGACAAATTAAATATAAACTTAATAGAGACCACCACCCTTTATACTTTGTACCTTTAAAGGTTGTGGTAAACTTCTCCTTCCTCTGGGAGGCAATGTCATTTTTTATTTACTATCTTGGCCCGAATATGTGGGCAGTTTCAGAGGCTTCCACCTGGTTTTCTTCACTACAAGAGCTCTTAACCCAGAAGCCAAAGAATGAATGTACAGGCTGTGCCAACTACTAAGTATGTCCAGGTGTGGCTGTGGTCTCAGTGGATCCACCGTAAACCAGATCTGGGGTAGGTTAAGTGGAGGCTGTGATGATTCTTTGCGTCCCCAGATATAAAGTCAATCAGGCCTTGAAGTGTTTGCCTATTTCCCTTTTTCCAGTCTATAGCTTCAACATCAATGACAGAAGGAACATTCTTTATGGAAAATTTCCAGCTAACCATCAAGGAGAAATAAAGCATTTTGCAGCGCCTAATAAAAGAATGGATGCAGGTAACAATGGTCAATGAATACTAAAACAACTAACTAGGTGAGGGTGAACTTTTTATAATAAATAAATGAGGCAGAGAGCAGCCACATCCATTGCTCAATCGTAGCATCAATAATAGAGGAACAACGACAGGTTATGTGTCTCCTGATGTAACAGACTAGGAAGCATATTACCTTGCAAATATTTTTGTCTAAATAAAATAAATATGAATTTCATTAATCCTAGACCTAATGATCAGCTTACAGAAAAATAAAAGGAATAAAATAATAAGTTAAAGGGCACCAAAAGGAAGCAATCAGCCAAACCTAGACTGTGAGACATTCTACAGAACAAGCTGTTCATTCCTTCAACAAATAAACAGCATTAGGTAGGGGATACAAGAGGGTGGACTGATACAGGAGGATAAAGAAAGAGACACAGCAACTAAATGCAACGTATTGACTTTGTTTATATCCTTGTTTGAATAAACCAACTGTAAAAAGACATTTTGAGACAAACAGAAATTTTGAAAAAGACTGTGTATCACATAATAATTAGGGAATATTGTTAATTGTGTTAGGTATGATGCTGATATTATGAATTAAGTCAAAAAATAATTTAGAATTTGCTTTAAAATATCCAAGCATACTAATGCTAATGTATATTCTTTTTTATTCGTCTTCTACATTGTCCTGTACCCTGCTTCCTCACTTTATGAAGTATCAGCTAATGTGGCAAAATGTAATGCGATGTGACAAATGTAACTCGGAAAAAAAAATCCTATAGAATGTAATAGGAAGCACCAGTGAACACTGCAGGAGGAACTAAGTTATTTTTGGATCAGATATTGGCAATTGATTTAAGTAACAGGTATCCAATATGAATTCATGGTTCAGTCCAGCCAGCTGAGAATGCACCAAAAGCAAATCAGTTCCGCTGCAGTATCAGTGAACCAGACATGAACTCAAATACCTATCGAGCTTTGAATAATGGTCATGTGAGTAGATCTCCTTGCCTGTCATTTTGGATTTCTTTAAAAGTTAGTGATGGTGAGCCATTTTTGTGCAGTATGGTTGGCCTTCCCTGAAGAGGGTTTTATGCACATATCTTGCAAACAAACACAGGATATATAATACAAATTTCCCAGAAACAGAGAATATCTTTGGATATCACTTCATTGCAGAATATCTGAATTTCCTCCAAATGATAATATGAAACTTTCATATGATATGGTCTATTAAAAATCAAGACCTCAAGAGTCAAATGGATGCACAAACATTTGAAACCACTGCTAACACAGTATCTCCCTGCATACCTATATAACTAATCTAAGCTTTGTGACCCACAAAATGTCCACAGATTGGAGGCCTTCCCGGGTTAAACCACTGTACAGAAAGGACCTTCTAAAGATCCAAACAAAAACAGACTAAATAAAACTGCAAGTCATAGTCACCCATTTTATATATTTCTGTTTACACACGCATTTATCTGAGTCATATTGCTGTGCTTTAAACTTTTGCCCATCAATAAATATTTGTGGAATAAATGAATGAATGAATGTTTAGGAATGTTCAAACTTCCTCAGTATCTAGTGATTTAAAAAAAACTCAAACTGGCTTATTAAAAACAATAAAAATAAAAAGGATAAAGGTGAGGATTTATTTCCTTAGATAACTAATAACTTTCAGGGCTAGTCTGATTTCAGGCCCCAGTGAATGAGGTAACACAAACAATACAATCAGGACATGGTTCCTCTGAATGTTTCTGTTTTCAAGCATGCTCTGCCCATGGTTAAAGGCAGTCCAGGAATGTGTGCTTCTCTCTGCAATCTCATAAGAAGAAATTACTACACTAAAGCATTGGAATCCACTCTAATTAAGTAGACTTACAACCTATTTTCATCCCTCCACCAATCACAGGGACCAAGAGAATTTTGTTCACCACATGGCCACATCACCACTTTTAGCAAACTGAGAGCATTGGTCCCCTGATTGGTTAGCTTGGATCTCATGTCTATTCCGGAGTTGGAGAGTGGACTCCTACCAGAATCACATAACAGTAGAGGGGGGATGGGGTCCCCCAAAAGAAATTGGAGTGCCGTTACCTAAAGCAGGGGGGAAAATGGCAGGGTAGCTAATTTAATTCTTGCTGCATGCATAATTTCATGGTTTTTCTCTGGAAGAGAAAGCTGCTGCTAATGTTATTTTGTCTATCCAGCATCTCAGATGATTCCATATATTGAAAAGTGTGGACACAATGACAGCCCATTTCAGAAAGGTGGCCCCTGGAAGTACATTGTACATCATTATGACCACCTGAGGCACAAAGAGATTTTCCCCAGAACAAAGGTAAACCCAGTTCTACTACCTCCTATTACTGCTTGGAACTACAAATCTATGACCATCTAATACAGGGAAGAAGCCACAACAGTAGAGTTGACAGAAGAGTAACAAACTTTTAGGAACTTAAGCCCCTAAATATGTGCTCTTTTATGTTGAGTGGCACCCTTACCTCAGTAGACCTGCCAGAAGTGACTCCTTTTGAAATTGCTTTCACTGCCCATTTGTCAAAACTTGCTGGAGGGAAGGGATCTTGTCTATCTTATTGGTTGTGGAAGCCCCAAAATTGAGCACAATGCCTGGGACATATCAGGTGCTCAATAAATGTTTTTGAGTGAATAAATAAGAAACAGTCAAACCTTTCAAATTTTTACCTTCTCTTCCAAAGTGGACTTTCAAGTGGACTTAGTTTTGTCTGTTTGCATCATAGCAAAGAAGAGAAAAGATCCTGAATTTTAATAAAGATATTTCACATTGGTATATTATATGAGTTTCCAGCATGCTTTTACATGTATTCTTATTCAAAATGACTCTCAGCTGGGGACAGGACATTAACATTATTATGATGTAGAAATGGAAGCTCCTAGAAGTTAGTTGCTAAGGTCACATGGCTAGTAAGTGGCCCAGCCATGAAAGATGGTTCCATGGGACCTCAAAGAAGAGGTCCTTAATTCTGGTGGGAGAGGCCCTTTCATAGGAATAAACTTCTAAAAGGACTATTGAGCAGGAATTTACCTGATGTGCAGAGATGAAGAATATTTCAGGCTCAACGAAGGAATCGCATGTACAAAGCCATTCAGGCTTGAAAAAGCAGAGTATTTATGAGCAACTAAGAGAAATGTGAAGGACAGAGAGCAGATTCTGGAGGAACTCTATGCTTTTTAAAGAGTTAGGACTTTACCATATAAGTAATGGATGGTTCAGAAAGTATAATAATCTGTTTTGCTTTTTTTATAAGTATGCAGAATGGATTGGAATGAGTAAGACCAGAGCCAGAGAGAGTAGTTTGAGTTGGTTTAGCCACATAGTAGACACTAATTAGGGTCACCCACATACAATTTCCTCTTCTTCCTGAGCCCGTGTGTCAGCTATACTTCTCAGCCATCTTGCAGCTGAAATGAGAAGTAATGTACATCACTTTGAGGCTGAGACATTTATAAGCTGGAAGCTACCTCCACACTCTCCCTTGTTGCAGTGATCTTAGAAGGTCGCTGCTGAGAAAATGCTGTCACAAGACGAAGGAAACCTAAGTCATGAGAAAAGCTCTCCAACATACTCCAACTTGCCCCTGCAAACAGCATCAGGGCCTGCATGAATAAGAAATAAACTTTTGTTGTGCTAAGACATTAAATAAAAGACTTCATTCCTACCACCAAGGGCCTTGTCTATTGGGAAGCTGGAAGAAAACACTGATGAATCAATCAGTGGATAGTACATGCCAATGCACAGCGGAGTGTGAAATTAGATGGACAGATTGTCATGGTGGAGTAGTCTGGAAGGCTTCATGGAATAGGCAGCCTCTGTAAGAGCCTTGAAGAATGTCAAGTAGAACTTGAAGAGGTCATGGAGGTCATTAGGGAAGTGGTTGAAAAGAACATCACAAATATGCCTGCTTTAATTGGGAAATGCTTGACTTCTCATGGTGCAGGAATCTATAAAAGGGTGGTGATAGCTCAAGTTCCATCTGATTGTTTTTCCAAGTGAGGAAGATCGAGCCTGGTTTGTTTTCTTAACAAACCATATTTTTAGTGGAGTCCATTATGAATCTTACATTTTTCAAGCTGTCTCAAAGCTTATTTTATGTTGACATATTTCAAAGCTTGCAAAATTCTTGCTCAGGCCGAGATGGAGAGTTCAAAATGAAAGGAAAGTGCATAGACAAGAGCATTACTTCATAACCCATTTAACTAGAGAGAAATGATCATTTGTGGAATCCCTCACGTTATCATCCTGCTATTTTAAAACACTCCTGTTTATAGTAGGCCTGGCTTGGTGAGAATTCATTGCAGACCAGGTGGCCACCTCCTGCTCAGTCCCCTCTTCAGAACCTATTTCAAAACAAGTCATCCACTGTGACTGCTGCTTGGCAGATCCCAAATCACGGTACACAGGGAGCCCTAAGGATTGATTCATTTATCTCAGCATCCTGGGGCCTCACATAACACAGGGCAAAAATACATACTCCTAGACTTGGCATGAGACTTGGCTCTATTAATACATTTTAGCTTCTATTATCTACTCCTAACTTATTTGTTTGATCATTTTTTCCACAAATGTTCAATAAGGAACTACCATGTTCAAAACATAGTGCTGGCCAGGCACAGGAGCTCACGCCTGTAATCCCAGCACTTTGGGAGGCCAAGGTGGGAAGATCACTTGAGCCCAGAAATTTGAGACCAGCCTGGGCAACATGGCCAAATTCTGTCTCTACAAAAAAAAAAAAAAAAAAAACAAAAAAAAGCCAGGCATACTGGTGCCCACCTTTGGTCTCAGCTACTCAGGAGGCTGAGGTGGGAGGATCGCTTGACCCTGGGAGGTCAAGGCTGCAGTGAGCTGTGATCTCACCACTGCACTCCAGCCTGGGTGATAGACAGGAGACAAACCCTGTCTCAAAAATAAAATGAAATATAATAAAATAAATAACATAGTGCTAAGTGCCAAGGGAGACGTGAAGATGAAGATGTAGATCTTATCTTCTAAGAGGCCAGGCTTTTCTCTTCTACTAACTTTGTGGCTGGGCCTAGGACTTGCTTCAGATAGTTGTTCAGGTAAATCAGAGTTTTCGCTGGTGCTGCAGGAAATTAAACTACATCCTCTGATTTTGGAACTATGCCTCTCAACTAGCTATTTCCTGGTCAAAAACCAAACTGAAGTTTTGGTGCTGGTTAAACTTACCACTCTCTCTTCTTCCAGTCAGACTTAGGGTGCCAATGTGGGACCTTCAAGAGACCCAGAGACTGCTCTGAAGATCAGACTGGCTCACTGGGCTGCTAAATTCATCTGGTCACTCCAGATTTTCACACAAAACTGACACAAAAGAGAAGGAGTTCTTCCCTTGCTAGCTACTAAGTGGGGTTTTATTCAACCACCAACCAAGTTGGTTAATAAAATTCATAACCAGACTTGGTGACCTGAACAGAATTTACACAAAAGGAGCTCTCTGACAACTGGTGTGAAGAAAGCATTCCTCTTAAACTCTGATCACTGACAGGCTTAATTTCATAATCAGAAACAGCAGGAGCAATAATTTATTTCTTTTTCTCCTCTCAGCTTCCAAATACACCTGGCTGTCATAGTAACAGGAGGCGTGAGGTTGGATTCAGTAGTAGAAACATGCTGCTCTTTAAAGGCATCAGCCAAGCAAATAAAAATACTGGCTTATTACATAAAGGAACATTGACTTTTATTTTAGCTATTATTGTTTTCATGAGTTCAGTAAATCCAGATGTAATTTTTACCATAACAGTAAAATACATTAGTTTTACAGTAGGCAGTTACAGCTGACTGATGGATTGATGGGTGATCATTGGTGCCCTCAGGTAGAGCCCTCTCTCTTGGTTTTTCTAATACATTTTATTTTGTGGCTGGTTTGTTCTATGTAGAATCTGATTTATTTGTAGGCACTGTTTTCAAAAGTAGGAAACATTTATTTTGTTTTGTTTGTCAAAGAATGGCCTTGCACGCTATTGTTTTGGGACATTTAGTTGAACTGGCACCATCCTGTTTTAAAACATCACAGCGTTAAGGAAACTTGACCTACGTCACCAAAGTGCTCAATCTTCTCCAGCGAGCCGTGCCAACAGAATGCATCTGTACATATGTCATACCATAACTTCTCCAGCTGAGCTCCAAGAGTAAACCTCCTTCTGAAAAATAATCAGGACCCTCCCCTCACCCGCCAAACCTTCAGAATCTTACCTCTTTTTGAAGGCAAATCTCTTACACAAAAATGGAGCATTTTTATTTACTACTCCCTGGGCAACATATTTTCTCTGGAATTAGCCAGTGAGTGATGGACCCTCACTCTGGAAGTGAGTGTCCATCAATAGAACTAGACTTCCCTAATGTCCTGTGGGGTTGTGTTTAAAATCAGGCAAAATCTCCAAGAATTTTGACAATGAGACACAGATTTATGCACAAGTATGTTAATGACCATATTTTTCATAACTGCAAAGGAAAAGAAAAGAAAAACAAGATACTCAATACTGGGAGATGGTTGAGTAAATTATGGTACAACTATCATGGCATGTTATGTATCTTTTTTAATTGTGTTAATAGAGAATTTAAATGGCATGTGGAAATAAGCATTATATAACAAATAAAAAATAAGAATGCAAAAATCTTATGTAAAGAATGCTCTCTACTATGTGAAAAATAGAGAAAAACAACTACCTTAAGGTAATAGGCTAAATTATGTATCGTTGTGATGGGACAGAGGTGGAAATGGAGACTGGGAATTGGGAATAATTATCCTGTTTTTATCCTCTTTGTATTTTCTGAATTTTCCACAGTTGGCAGGCACGATCTTCATATTTTGCTGTTGATGTTTTTGTTATTGTTTAGTAGATTTTAAGGCGAAGCAAAAAGCAGAATCTGCCATCCTGGAACTCAGCCCAATTTCATAGTTTATTTTTAGATGGTTTTGTGATCGTGAGATTGCATAGTAACTTATGCACTAGGGAGAAGATTGAATTTGTAGGGAATTTAGAGACAAAAAGCACTTTAACTTCTTTTAAGCCTCTGTTTTAAAATACATGGGGGGATGGGGAAAGAAAGATCTAAATAGGCAATGTCACAGAGAGGAAACAGGCAGGGAAGTTTAATGACACCACAGCATAGCCTTGTGTGAGGTCAGGACAAAAATGGCAGGTTTGTTTGTTGTTGTTGTTGTTTTAGGGGTCCCATGATCTGGGTGGTTTTTTTTCCACTTTTTTTTTTATTATACTTTAAGTTCTAGGGTACATATGCACAACGTGCAGGTTTGTTACATACGTATACATGTGCCATGTTGATGTGCTGCACCCATTAACTCGTCATTTACATTAGGTATATCTCCTAATGCTATCCCTCCCCCGTCCCCCCACTCCACGACAGGCCCCGGTGTGTGATGTTCCCCTTCCTGTGTCCAAGTTTTCTCATTGTTCAATTCCCACCTATGAGTGAGAACACGCGGTGTTTGGTTTTTTGTCCTTGAGATAGTTTGCTGAGAATGATGGTTTCCGGCTTCATCCATGTCCCTACAAAGGATATGAACTCATCCTTTTTTATGGCTGCATAGTACTCCATGGTGAATATGTGCCACATTTTCTTAATCCAGTCTATCATTGATGGACATCTGGGTTGGTTCCAAGTCTTTGCTATTGTGAATAGTGCCACAGTAAACATACGTGTGCGTGTGTCTTTATAGCAGCATGATTTATAATCCTTTGGATATATACCTGGTAATGGGATGGCTGGGTCAAATGGTATTTCTAGTTCTAGATCCTTGAGGAATTGCCACACTGTCTTCCACAATGGTTGAACTAGTTTACAGTCCCACCAACAGTGTAAAAGTGTTCCTATTTCTCCACATCCTCTCCAGCACCTGTTGTTTCCTGACTTTTTAATGATCGAAATGGCAGGTTTTGAATTCAAGATTAACACCTATACGTCTAAGAAAAAACTACGTAAATTGCACAGACTTGGCTCACACTTACCCAATTGTAAAGACATTTTCTTCCTCTTTTAGGGCACCTGACTCCAAGATTTGCAAAGCTGGCCCTCCTTACTCAATGCTTATAGCAATCAAATAAAGCTTAACAAGTTCACCTACAGTAAATAACCCTTCTTGTCCTTTCCCTATTGAGATAGGCAAATAGCACCTGGCAGATAATATGAGCTTTGCTTGGACTCCTTAGGGCAACAAGAGAGCTGGGAATGGTGCAACTGAGTCCCAAGACTTGTTCAAAATACTCCAGGATATGCGAGAATTTCTTAAGAGCAAACAGAATGAATGAGGTGGAAAAGATAACGGTTTAAAGAAAATACTCTGTCCTTAAATTTGGTGCACCTCTGGGTTGTTAGGTTATTTTTCTAAAAAAAAAAAAAAAAGAATATGAAGAAGAAAGGAAAAAAGAGACGTAAAGAAGGAAGAAAAGGAAGGAAGGAAGGAGAGAAAGAAAGAAAAAGAAAGAAAGAAAGAAAGAAAGAAAGAAAGAAATACAAACACCGAAAAGAGCCCCTTGTGGTTACAAAAATCACATAGCTATGTTATGAGGACCAATAAAACTATTAGCTATTGGCCCAAAGCCAAGAATCCATTAATGACAGACTGGTATCTATCCAGGAATGTAAAATGTTTTACTAAATAAACACTAGTGCAGGAAACATTCAACTTCTGTCATTATGTAAAACTCAAGTGTGATTCTATGCTGAAGTGGAACAGCAAACAGGCCAGTTCAAAAAGAAAGAAAAGAAGAAGCAGCAGATCTCTGGTACCAGTAGGAACCAACAAGACTTAAAATATTCTACAGCGTAACTTACAGCACCTGGCTATAAGGCATAATACCATTGTTAGAGAATGCCAATCGTAGCATTTAAAAACTAAATGAAAGAAGGAACTTGTTTAGAAGGAAGTGGAGTTAACCACCTGGGATAGTGGTTAGTAATTAAACTATAATGACTGATTTTTACAGCTTTTCAAGGCTATACAAACAAAAGATTAAGGTTAATTGAAATATGAGATTGAAATAACGATTACTATTTTTTTCTTGAGGCTAAATACAGCTTTCTCACATGTATTTACATATTTCTTCAGTGTAATAAAATCTTGTGAAAATTACCAATAAATATATAACAAATTCCTTGAAAGCATATAGTATCCAATAATAAAGCAGCAGCACAGTGCCTCACTACTTCTAAAACTCAGGATTTTGTGTGTGTCCCATAACATTTAGGATTCTTCATGTGAAGTTTATCTGCCTTCATGTAGACCACAGGGAAGAATTTTCAATCTGATTATGCTTAAATCAGCATTAACTTTCACTAGTACGTAAAACTTTATCTAACTGAAGAATCAGTTAAGGAGATCTATGGGAGTTATACAAAATTAAGTGCCATTCAAATACTTTAAGACACATGAAGATAGCCCCAAACAAGTCATTTTGACTAAAACAATCACATTTAACTAAAGAATCCACAGCTTGATATTTCCCCCTAACAATCACTTCCCATCTTCTGACATGACTCTTGTGTAACTTCTATACCTTCTGGATGTCTTTCATCCATGGGGAACCAAAATAAATGTTTTTTTAAAAATGGCAAGACCTCAATTATCCTGTTAAAAGCAACACAGATTGAGAGTCAGTGATGAACTGGCTCAGACTTCTCCATTTGCAAGACAAGACCATTTTCAGGATATAGTTTTTCATCCCCAGCTGTCAGATGAAAGTTCAGTCATATATTGTATGACTCAAGAAAAAAAAATGTGAAGTTAGGTAGAGGCTTCAAACTTGAGAATATGAACAAGAATTAGAAAGCAATCTGGGCAGCAGCTATTGCTACAAGGCCATTAAGGAGCTAGGAATTTAAGGGGTAGCTCTTCAGAATGCCTGGGTCAAGTCAGTAAAGTAAGACCCTTGATCTTTCCAATATTGCTACCACCTGTAGATAACACAGAGGTGGGACAGTCTATGCAGGAGGATACCAACAAAGGTCTCCATAGCAACAGCGCTCACCCAAACCCTCTCCTAACACTACGGTGTTTCCAGTATAAAGTCTAGCTTTTGTAATTTTTTTACAACCCACAAAAGAAGTGATGCAGAAAAAGCCCACTTTTGAAATCTACTTACTAAAAATGTTTTTCTAGTAGAGTAATAATTCAGGATTGCCCTTTAATCCTGAAGGCCTAGAAGGTTAGAAGGCAGAAGAAATTCTGAATTAACAGAAAGTCTGAATGATAACATTTTTGAAATAAAAGATATCTTCTTATTTCAAATACACAAACTGCTGATTAAATAAATAATCTATTTGAAATTGGAGGATCTCTGTAAATGTAAAGAACCATAATCAAAACCTCCATTACCCTGGATCCTGCTCATGTTTTTGCTGCAATCTACCTTTAGAAGGATGAATCAACTCACAAGACCATAACTCTGCATCAACAAATATCATTTAAAACTTCCAGAGACTTGATACTCTAATTAATTCACATCTACTGACCTATGTTGAGCGGTTATTGTTGTCCAGAATGATATCCCTGAGGAATTAAAATATTCAGAAATGAAATTTAATTACCTTATTAGCTGAAACAGAAAAAGAGAACATGTTTCTAAGGTGTTTAACCAAAAACAAAAACAACAAAAAACTTCATGGTACCAAAAAATTAAGTAACCCTGTCAAGATTTTACCATACAGTACTAACATTCTCAAAAGCAATTGTTCTCTCTAATCTGATTTACACTATTATTTACTTAGCAAACCCTCATTCCACAGCAAGGGCATATTTAAACCCAGTCCAGGATGAATTATCACAAAGACTAAATGAGGGAATGCTTAATTAATGGGCTTATGCCATATTTGGAAAACCCCATCCACAATCAGTTTTATGAAAAACCCTGCTACTTATTGCTGGTAACAATCATACCTGATTTTACCCCAGAGTCAAGAGAAACGTTTTACCAAGTCCTGTAACATCAGTGTGACAAGAATTAAAGAAAAGATATCTCCACAGTTGAATCTGTAAGAATTATTCTTCAAAAAAATAAACTCAGGAGGGGAGGAGATTTTTTTGACATGGTACAACAGTACAGAATTGACAGTAATTAGCAAAAGAGGAAAGATTAGACTGAGTCTGGAAAACCTCAGGACAAAAGTGTCCAAGATTAGGAGTGGAAGCAGCTTTGCTATTTGAAACAACAAAAAGAAATAAAATAATGGCCTGCATATTGTAGATAAGGGTTGGTAACCCAAATGCGTAGAATTTTTTACATTTTCTAACACCGTGATTTAATTATTGGATAAAAACAAAATGTGAGCTATTTAAGGATTTAAAATATATACCAAGAAGCCACTAAAATAACATTATGTGAATGGATTGCTATATACAGGTTTTTTTTAATTATACAAATTAAAATATACATGAAAGATGTGTGCCAGTGCCATAAGAAAGCAACGTTTCAGGTCTTGGTATTGGTATGAATATGATGGGTGTGCATAAACACAGTAGCTACTGGCAACAGTATTCCACAAGCAGATAAATGCTAGAAGTAGGAAATGTGAAGGTGGAAAAGTGATAAAGTCCTTATGACTCTCTTAAATGGAGTTAAGACCTATTAGGTCAAACCCTGCTGGGTAAATAAACTGCTCCCTGGTGTAAATTAGAAACTTTTGGAGGTGCATTAACATTTTCAGGCCCCTAAGGTACAGTTTAGTAAATTACTATTCCAGTGAACTAAATGATACCCTAGGGGCCTGGAAGAGTTAATGCACCTTCAAAAATGAGCAATTTACTCTCTTCTCACCAGTAGGATATCATGCACCTGCACACCCTTGCCTACCCAGCTGATAAAATATATTTGTCCATTCATTCATTCATTCATTCATTCACTCAACTATTGTTTCTTGAGCTCCAGCTCTGTGCTAGGCAATGTTCAAGGCATGGGAGTATAACTGTGAAAAGGACAGGCAAGAGAAGGACAGACAGAACTCCACAGAGTTGACATTCTGGCGGGGAAAGCAAACACTATGGAAGTAAAGAAAGAAGATGCATCAGAAGTGATACATGCATTGAAGAAAATAAAACAAAGGGATGTGCTAGAATGAGACTGGAGAGCCTACTCTGAAGTGGGTGTTAGAAGGTCTATCAGAAGCAGATGTGTAAGCCAAGGCCTGAGTGTGGAGAAGGAAACAGACGGGAACCTTTTTGGGGAGAAATTGTTACAAGCACCACGAACCTCAAATGCTAAGCGCAGGAAGAGACTTGAAGGAAGAAGAAGGTCTGGCTGCCTGGAGTGAGGGAGAGAGCGGGGTGAGACTCCCCCCAGGGGGCCAGGAACTTCCAGCACTGTCAAGTTCACTCTTACAAAAAAATTTGGTGAGAAAAAATGAAGAACGGGAGTAACTGTAATTTTTAAAATTGGAAAAAAGAAAAAACAAACACCTTTAAGATGCTCAGTGGTGGTTGTGAGGCGGGACATAGCAAGCTATGGGGGATCCTAGAGAAAAAGTGAGACGATCACTAACAGTTTGAACAGGTTCTGTAGGAATCAGCAATCTCCAGAGAGACAGAATCAAGAAGTTGTATGCAGAGACAGAGAGAGAGAGAGATTTAAAGGATTGGCTCATGAGATTATAGTGGCCGTGTGGGTCCCACATTTAATGGGGCAGGTGGGCAGACTGGAGACCCAGGGAAGAGCTGGTGTTGCAGTTCAGAGTTTGAAGGCTGCCTGCTGGCACAGTTCTTTCTTGCTGGTCGGGGGCAGGGTAAGAGGAGGTCAACCTTTGTGCTATTAAGGCCTTCAACTGATTGGATGAGGCCCACTACTTTACCATTTGCTTAACTTGATGGCTACCAATTTACATCCTAATCTCACCTAAAAAAACACCCTCACAGAAACACCCAGCATAACATTTGACAAACTATCTGGGCATCGTGGCCCAGTCAAGCAGACACATAAAATTAACCATAACAAGTTCACACGAGGAAATGAGAACAGATGGTCCATGTCAGGGGCATGGACCCACTCAGCATTTCCAGGGCCTAGAGCGCCCGCTTCTTGTCCTCACAGAACCCACACTAGGTTAGAGACTGAGGGTCCCAAGGCAATTCTGCAACCCTTCCAAGTCAGGGCTCCATGAAGCCTCCAGCCCACAGCTTCACAGCCTCCGCCATTCTCACGTGCATCTGACTTTGGAGTCGACCAGGCCTGGATGTGATTTTGGCTCCCTCTCAGAACAGCTATGTGGGCTTGAACAAGCAATTTAAACTCTTTGAGCCTTAGTGTTCTCATGTAAAAGGGGGTGATAAGAGCACTGCCCTCATGTGAGAGTTTTTTTAGTGACTATAAAATAACACAAATGGGGTGCTTGCACTGTGCCCAGCTCATAGTAAGCATCCAATAAATGCTACTTCTAACTGTTGGCTGAAGAGTCTTTCTAATAATATCTGCTCTTTTTTTTCTTTTTAAAGGGTCTTACTCTGTCACCCAGGCTGGAGTGCAGTGGTGCGATCACAGTTCACTGCAGCCTCAACCTCTTAGGCTCAAGCAATCCTCTTGCCTCAGCCTCTCAAGTAGCTAGGACTGCAGGCGCACACCACCATGCCCAGCTAATTTTGTATTTTTTAATTATTTTTGGAGGGACAGGGTCTCCCTGTGCTACCCAGGCTGGTCTCGAACTCCTGGGCCCAAGCAGTCCTCCTGTCTTGGCCCCTCAAAGTGTTGGGATTACAGGTGTAAGCCACTGCACCTGGCCATATCTGTTCTACTCCAACACCCCTGAATAATTGTTTGTGTGTGTGTCTGTGTGCACATGTGAGTGTGTGTGTTTACACACACATGCAGTCAGGGATATGTCCACAATAATATTCCCCTGAGCAAGAAAGGAAACCACAATTTTCTCATTGAGACAAAATATTTCAACAACCAAGGAGAGAAGAAATTTATTTAGGGAACATATCCCAAGCCTCAGGGAGCAAAATGACTTTTATCACTTCCTCCTTCCCTGCCCTTCACCCCTCCTCCTCTGAATATTCTGAAAGGCCCCTTCTCTCTAAAGGTTTCAGGAAATTCTCACGTCCCAAACATTTGTTTTTACATCCAGGAAACTAGAGTTAAGCATAGCTAAACTGATTTTCTCAAGGGTACTAAGGAAATTGGCTGCAGAGAGTCTTTCTGATTCATCTATAGAAAGATTGGGAGGTAAAATCATAACATTTTCTAAATATTTCTAAATAATTAAAAAGAAATACTAAAAAACAATTCAATCTTGTTGTTACATATCCACATGAATCAGGTATTTTATAGGTAGCTTAATAATAAAACCCAATAATAACATACTTGTAAAATCAACATCTTGCTGCTAAAATACCACCAATAAACATGATGGGTTAACCGTCTCGGGGTTAACATGAGATATGTCTGAATAAAGATGAGGCCCTGGGTCTCTTCCCTCAGGTCACTTGCATATTTTTCAGGAGCCAGTGCCTTAAAAGAGAGAATCTCTTTGAATGAAGAAAGTAAATGCACCATGCAAGTTGTGTCAAGCTGGGTCCGACAGAACACATTACATGGTGCAGCCTCACAGCTGAAAGTGCCCACACACTGCAAGGCAAATCCCAGGCAGGTTTGGTCATAATTGCTTTGCGGAATATAAGGCAGCCTAGTTAGCTGTTCCACTTAATGGGATGGCTTTTTAAACAGGCCACCCCTATATAAAAGTGAGGGGAAGAACAATTACTCCCAAGAATTGGGTATTTAGCAATTGCCTATAGGTAGGGTCAATTGAAGAAAGCCAGTGGACAGCCAACTCATCACTGAGCATAGATAACCTGATAAGCTAAAAATGTGATTCTGGTCCAGTTCTTAAAAAAATAAAAGATTGATAACTAGAGTCACCCTGTACTAGTAGTCTTACAACTCACAAGCAGTTTGTTACGGTTGCTAGATAGGGAGAAAGAGGTTCTGAGATGCCAAACCAGAAATGATGCTTTGGGCTCCAGGTCTCAACTAATTCATTGGATTTGGCGTGATTGAATACTAAAGTCCAGTGGAGATACAATACATGGACCAAAGATGTCAGACACGACATTTTCCAATTCTTTCCCATTCACGCTCACAATAAACCCCTAAAATAAAGATATGCGAAGGAGAGTGATACTCATTAGTTTACCCAAAGCCTCATGACTGCCAAATAATGGAATCAAACTCAAACCCCTTATTTTCCAACTTCAAAGTCAATACCCTTTACACTAAACTACAGTAAGTCCTCGAGGTTGTCAATAGGTTCTTGGAAATTACAACTTTAAGCTCCTACTTCATGCAATAAATCATTTTGCTTAAAATCAAGGTTTCCAAGAACCTATTGGTGACATTAAGTGAGGGCTTACTGTACACTGCAAATTGCCATACTTTTTTTTTTTTTGAGACAGAGTCTTTCCCTGTCACCCAGGCTGGAGGGCAGTGGTGCAATCACGGCTCACTGCAGCCTCAACCTGCCAGGCTCAATGATCCACTAACCTCAGCCTCCCAAGTAGCTGGGACCACAGGTGCATGCCACTACATCCAGCTAATTTGTTTATTTTTTCTATAGGTAGGGTCTTCCTATGTTGCCCAGGCTGGTCTCAAACTCCTGGGTTCAAGCGATCCTCCTGCCTTTGCCTCCCAAAGTACTGGGATTACAGGTATGAGCCACCGCACCCAGCCTTATCATACATTTTGAAGGCCAGAATCATGTGCCAATATCTATGTGAAATAGATGTTTGTGTAAGTGCATCTTTATGTGTGTATTACCAAAACCAGTCCAAGAGAAGTAGAGGTAAGCAACTACTCATGAAACATAAGTGGTGTTCATATTTAATCGAAATTGTTTGGGAAATCTGCTTGGCCTTGATTTGCCTGGTCTCTGTTAATACCCCCATCTGCACCCCCAACATTTCTTCTCTGGGCTCTCTGTGCTGCTTGATTGTTTTTTAATGAACACAAATTATTTTTATGGAAGAATAAAAGTATATAAACCACCACAACAAAATATAATGCTTAAATTAGCCAATCAAAAAATCTATAAATGAGAATAATTATGATGAAAAGGGAAAAAAAGGAAATACCTAAACTCAGCACTCAGATACATCATAATCTAATGGTTCTCACCCTTTTCAATAACAGGGATTTGTATTATTCCCTGGCAACCGCCAAGCAAAGCAGTATTTTGCAACACTTTTTTTACCAATCTATCATTTCAAACCACTAATCTGAGATTTCAATCAGTACAATGTAACGATGATGTAAAATTCCAAGCCAATGAAAAAAAAAAAAGATATTTTAGTAAGCTGTCCAATCTTATTGTATATGTGTACAAATTTTTACTAAGCTTTTTGAAACACTAAAAAAAGAAAACTGAAGAACGCTATTATTGTTTTAATGGATCCCCCCAGAGAACCTCAGAATAGAAGTAGTCAAACTGAAAGAATTGGCATTCATATGCATCTCAAAGTAATCAACAAGTGTTTATTAAATACTACTCAGTATATTTGCTCTCAAGGTCATGGAATTCACCTGAAGAAGACATTAAAAAGAATATTTACAAACGGTGAGATATAATAATTAGCATACTTAGGGAACTGGTCAATATCACTATTAACCAAAATTTTTTAAACCACAAGATGTTGTTTTTTGCAAATGAAATGGCAGAGATATTTAAATATTATAATGCCCAGTTCTGGCATAGGTGCAAGTAAATAGATATTCTCATACAATTACTACTAATGAGTGTTGAAAATGGTATAAACTTCCTAGAAGGCAATTTGGTAACAACAAGAAGCCTTAACACATGCATAATTTTTTATTCAAACATCTTGACATTTAACGATTTAACTGAAGAAAATAATTGGAGCTAGATATGTGCACAAAGATGTATACAGGGATGATCCTCTTGGAATTATTACAATGGTGAAAAATAGGAAATAATCTAAATCTCCAATAACTGGGGAGATGATTTAAAAAATTGTGGTATATAACAAAACATTATAATACATTATATAGAGTCATTTAAAGTCATGTTTTAATGCTCCAGCCCATCCTCCCACTGTTGGTTTCTTTTTGTAGACATGGGGTCTTGCTATGTTGCCCAGGCTTGTCTCAAACTCCTGGCGTCAAGCAATTCTTCCGCCTCAGCCTCCACTTAATGGTTTTACTATCCCCATTACATCACAGCAACAGCAAGCTATTACTGAGTGAGTGTTTTGTGTCTAAGGCAGGTTTCAAACATTAATAATTGTGCAAATTAATGTTTTAGGAGAATATTTTATGATATTGGAAAACTTTCATATCATTCTTAAATCAAAAATGTGCATAATGATATATATTATATGATTCCAATTTTGTAAGAAGCAAAATATAGGTGCATGTGATTCTGTGTGTGAGTAGATATGCACACTCAGAGAAAGAAAGACTGGGAAAAGTACATTAGCATGTAAACAGTAGCTATCCTCAAGTAATGGGATTATTGGTGATTTTCACACTTTCCTGTACATTTTAAATTTTCTAAAATGAATATATGTTGCCCTTTTAACCATAGAAAAAATATATGTGATTTATAGACCAGTGAAATCCCTTCTTCAACTATAAAATGGTAAAGTCATTTGATGCTGAAATAATGTCTAAGTCTCACAATGAATTCCTATAGATGACTCATGATTACATTTCTACAAAACTTTTGGAAAGCAATTTGGTAATAATGTATCATTGGAAAGAAAATTGTTCTGGCCTTTTAACCAATAGCTCCGCTTCAGGAATTTTTTTAAACACTCATCCTAGATGCTCATGCTTTAAAATACATAGCAGTAATTATAATGGCAAAAAATAGAAATAATAAAAATGTTTAAAAATAAGGGATTGGTTAGGAAAATTATGGCATCAAATCAACGACATATTAAGCCAGTATTAAAAATGATTTTCATTAAGAAATCTTGAAGATAGCAAAAAAATCAGGATATAAAACATATCTGTAAGAGTTCAGTTCACAAACCCAAGAGTAAAAAAAAAAAATTCTATAACAAGTTAATTTCCCTTTTGAGCTATGTTCCTTGGAGTGCTAGAAACTTTACTACAGAATCCAGAGTTTTTCCTTTCTCCTAGCTGCTCCTCAGTATCAGCAGGGCACTTGGGCTCCTGTGGAAAAGTCTACCCTCCAATCTGCCATAGCCCTCATTTTCAGCCAAGATCAACCTTCCATCTTGGATCATCTTGTTGCTCCTAAACCACAGTATAAGACCCTCTGTGAGACTGGTTTAGGCTTCCTTTTCTGAACAAACCCAGGGCCATTTTTTCTGTATGATCTTACCACTTCCCCAGGTCCCACCTGAAAGATGAGAACAGACTCCTTTGCTCTCAAATCTGATATTCTGTCTCCAGTTGTTGCCATTTTCCTGGTGATTAACCTGAAGAATAGAGCCTAATGTCTTCCTCTGGAACCTTCCAAATTTCCCCTGGGTCATCTTTTTCTTCTTCCCAACGAGAGAGAGAGAGAGAGAGAGAGAGAGAGAGAGAGAGTGTGTGTGTGTGTGTGTGTGTGTGTGTGTGTGTGTGTGTGTTTATTGAGGAGTGGGTAAGAGCAAGGTCCTATACTTCTGAAATCCTGTCCTCACAATGCTGATCTATAATCTTCATATGCTTAAACACATTGGCTTTCAAACCCCAAAGCCAAGGAATGGGTTTTGTTTTCTCTGCTCTCTGCTCAGTCACATTTCTCCAGAAGCAGAGAGCCCAGAATAGTCCAGCCGTTTGGGAAGTACTAGTAACCTAAGATACTAGGCCTGTAAAATTACTGATAATTAAAAAGGAGTTAAGCATAGAGGGAAAAATCCACTACAAATAAACTTGCTAAAATGTTAGTAATGGCTATGGTTTCTGGATAATGATTTTATGGGTGACTTTACTTTTTTATTTCTTCCCTCTTCCAAGTTTTTCTGAAAGCCTGAAACTATGAGAGGTGAGATATGGAGCAGCTTCAGGAAAAAAAAGGGAAACAAAATAAAGGTACATGGAAAAAATACAATTGGGATGTTATTGAAAATATTCAAAATATCAATGTGTAAATATTTTTGAAGTAGACTATGTCAAGGTAAAACATGCCATGCATTAAGAATGCCACTGAAATGACAATGTAAGAAAAACTTGTGGCTCAAAATACACAATTTGCATCTCTTAGGGCTTCATTTTACAAATAACACTGAGTTGCACAACACTGTTTCTTATGTCTGGTGGGCTTTGATAATTTCTTCAACATGAGTATTCAAAACACTTCTAGGCATTATGATAGGTCTGGTGATTAAAAAAGAATTTTGAGAAAATGACAAGCTTTGAATAGGGCTGAACAGAGAATTTCTATGAAGAAGCAGATTTGAAAGTTAAGTTTATAATTGTGCTAGCACTGCTAGCCTATTAACTGTTCAAGCTCATGAAGTCACCAGGATGTACAGTTAACTTTTCTTTTCCTTGGCTTTGCTTATTGTATTGTCAGTTTTACAGCATTTGTAACATACTGTCTAATTACATGCTAGTCTAGATGAACTTCAAAGAAAGAATTTTTCTACTTTACTGAAGGTTTGGTCCCCACCTCCATTAAAATTAGGTATTCTGTTTCTGCTTGCTGAATAGGCACGTTCCTATGAGAAGTACTTACTTTCAGTTTGCCACTGACTAGCTATGTGACTTTAGTAAATCCCATCTTCCTTCTAGGACTCAGCTTTTCCTTACCTTGAGAAGGTAGCCTCTCCTGCTCCATCTTGGAGTTTCTCTGTAGCCACTATGGACTCTGAATGGTACCTGCCTCTGTGTGTCTCAGTCTCCTGTTCTGATGCCTCCTTTTCTCTGGGCCTATTAATATTAGGTCATCCTAGGTGCGTTTTAGAGCCCCCTCCCTTCTCTCTCTACTCACTTTGAAGGTGACCGTCTTCAGATCCATGGCTTTTAATCTATATCATTTGTGTACTAATAATTCCCCAAGTGACTTATGTATACTAATAATTCCCCAACCTCGCCCATGAATTCTAGACCCATATATCCACTGAAGTCCCTCTTGAATACGTGATTATCAACTGTGACTTAATATGCCTAAATCAAACACCTGCTCTTCTCCCCAAAACCTCTGGACTTGCTGCTCTGCACATTTCAGTTAACAGTAACTCCATTCTTTCCATTGCTCATGACAAAAGTCTTAGGGTCATTCTTGCTTTTTTCTTTCACACTTTACTTCCAATTCACCAAGAAATCCAATGGACTTTCTCTTCTAATTTTATCCAGAATCTGTTCAATTCTCAAGACTTCTACTCTTCTCACCTGAGTCCAAGTGATCATAATTTCTTTCATTTGGATTGAAGCAGCAGCCTCCGCTGGTCTTCCAACTTCCTTTCTTGCCCCCTACAGTCCTTTCTCAGCACAGCAAGTGGAGCGATCCCAAAGAAACATAAGTCAGTTAAAATATTGCTCTTTTCTACTCAAAGTCCTCCAGTGGTTTGGCCCTTACTCAGTATAAAAGCCAGATCCTTACAGTGGCATCCAAGGCCTAACACTATCTGCTGCTTCTCTAACCTGGCTCACCTGGCTGGATCCTCCCTGGCCTCCTGTCCCTCAAACACGCCAGGTCACTTTAAGACCTTTGCCCTAATTTTGCCCTCTTCCTAGAAAGCTCTTACTCCACATCTACATGGCTCAATCCTTCATCAATGTCAAGTCTTCGTTCAAATTTCACTGTCTCAAAGTGGCTTACCCTGCACAGCCACTCCCTGCCCCTCAGCTACACTTTGTCTCCAGGGCACTCATCACCTTCTAACAAACTATTCTTATTTACTTAATTTTTAAGTTTCAATTGGAATAAATTACATAAAACATGATAAAATTATCATCATAACAATTTCTAAGTGTATAGTTCACTACTGTTAAGTTTATTCACATTGTTGTACAACCAATCTCCAGAACCCTTTTTATATTTCAAACCTGACATTTTACTCGTGAAACAAACACTCCCCTTTCCCTCTGCCCCATCCGCTGACACACACCTTTTTTTTTTTTTTTTTGAGACGGAGTCTGGCTCTGTCCCCCAGGCTGGAGGGCAGTGGCGCGATCTCCGCTCACTGCAACCTCCGCCTCCTGGGTTGAAGTGCTTCTCCTGCCTTAGCCTCTGGAGTAGCTGGTACTACAGGCAGGGACAACCACCATTTTACATTCTGTGTCTAAGAATTTGACTACTCTAGATACCTCATAAAAGTCGAATTGTCGATGTTGAGCCAAGATGGCCGAATAGGAACAGCTCCGGTCTACAGCTCCCTGTGTGAGCGACGCAGAAGACGGTGATTTCTGCATTTCCATCTGAGGTACCGGGTTCATCTCACTAGGGAGTGCCAGACAGTGGGCGCAGGTCAGTGGGTGCACTCACCGTGCGCGAGCCGAAGCAGGGCGAGGCATTGCATCGCTCAGGAAGTGCAAGGGGTCAGGGAGTTCCCTTTACGAGTCAAAGAAAAGGGTGATGGACGGCACCTGGAAACTCAGGTCACTCCCACCCGAATACTGCGCTTTTCGGACGGGCTTAAAAAACGGCGCACCACGAGATTATATCCTGCACCTGGCTTGGAGGGTCCTTCACCCACAGAGTCTCGCTGATTGCTAGCACAGCAGTCTGAGATCAAACTGTAAGGCGGCAGCGAGGCTGGGGGAGGGGCGCCCACCATTGCCCAGGCTTGCTTAGGTAAACAAAGCAGCCTGGAAGCTCGAACTGGGTGGAGCCCACCACAGCTCAAGGAGGCCTGCCTGTCTCTGTAGACTCCACCTCTGGGGGCAGGGCACAGACAAACAAAAAGACAGCAGTAACCTCTGCAGACTTAAATGTCCCTGTCTGACAGCTTTGAAGAGAGCAGTGGTTCTCCCAGCACGCAGCTGGAGATCTGAGAACGGGCAGACTGCCTCCTCAAGTGGGTCCCTGACCCCTGACCCCCGAGCAGCCTAACTGGGAGGCACCCCCCAGCAGGGGCACACTGACACCTCACACGGCAGGGTATTCCAACAGACCTGCAGCTGAGGGTCCTGTCCGTTAGAAAGAAAACTAAGAAACAGAAAGGACATCCACACCAAAAACCCATCTGTACATCACCATCATCAAAGACCAAAAGTAGATAAAACCACAAAGATGGGGAAAAAACAGAACAGAAAAACTGGAAACTCTAAAAAGCAGAGTACCTCTCCTCCTCCAAAGGAACACAGTTCCTCACCAGCAATGGAACAAAGCTGGATGGAGAATGACTTTGATGAGCTGAGAGAAGAAGGCTTCAGACGATCAAATTATTCTGAGCTACGGGAGGACATTCAAACCAAAGACAAAGAAGTTGAAAACTTTGAAAAAAAATTAGAAGAATGTATAACTAGAATAACCAATACAGAGAAGTGCTTAAAGGAGCTGATGGAGCTGAAAACCAAGGCTCGAGAACTAGTGAAGAATGCAGAAGCCTCAGAAGCCGATGCGATCAACTGGAAGAAAGGGTATCAGCGATGGAAGATGAAATGAATGAAATGAAGTGACAAGGGAAGTTTAGAGAAAAAAGAATAAAAAGAAATGAGCAAAGCCTCCAAGAAATATGGGACTATGTGAAAAGACCAAATCTACGTCTCATTGGTGTACCTGAAAGTGATGGGGAGAATGGAACCAAGTTGGAAAACACTCTGCAGGATATTATCCAGGAGAACTTCCCCAATCTAGAAAGGCGGGCCAACGTTCAGATTCAGGAAATACAGAGAACGCCACGAAGATACTCCTCGAGAAGAGCAACTCCAAGACACATAATTGTCAGATTCACCAAAGTTGAAATGAAGGAAAAAATGTTAAGGGCAGCCAGAGAGAAAGGTCGGGTTACCCACAAAGGGAAGCCCATCAGACTAACAGCAGATCTCTCAGCAGAAACCCTACAAGCCAGAAGAGAGTGGAGGCCAATATTCAACATTTTTAAAGAAAAGAATTTTCAACCCAGAATTTCATATCCAGCCAAACTAAGCTTCATAAGCGAAGGAGAAATAAAATACTTTACAGACAAGCAAATGCTGAGAGATTTTGTCACCACCAGGCCTGCCCTAAAAGAGCTCCTGAAGGACGCGCTAAACATGGAAAGGAACAACCGGTACCAGCCACTGCAAAATCATGCCAAAATGTAAAGACCATCAAGACTAGGAAGAAACTGCATCAACTAACGAGCAAAATAACCAGCTAACATCATAATGACAGGATCAAATTCACACATAACAATATTAACTTTAAATGTAAATGGACTAAATGCTCCAATTAAAAGACACAGACTGGCAAATTGGATAAAGAGTCAAGACCCATCAGTGTGCTGTATTCAGGAAACCCATCTCACGTGCAGAGACACACATAGGCTCAAAATAAAAGGATGGAGGAAGATCTACCAAGCAAATGGAAAACAAAAAAGGCAGGGGTTGCAATCCTAGTCTCTGATAAAACAGACTTTAAACCAACAAAGATCAAAAGAGACAAAGAAGGCCATTACATAATGGTAAAGGGATCAATTCAACAAGAAGAGCTAACTATGCTAAATATATATGCACCCAATACAGGAGCACCCAGATTCATAAAGCAAGTCCTGAGTGACCTACAAAGAGACTTAGACTCCCACACATTAATAATGGGAGACTTTAACACCCCACTGTCAACATTAGACAGATCAACGAGACAGAAAGTCAACAAGGATACCCAGGAATTGAACTCAGTTCTGCACCAAGCGGACCTAATAGACATCTACAGAACTCTCCACCCCAAATCAACAGAATATACATTTTTTTCAGCACCACACCACACCTATTCCAAAATTGACCACATAGTTGGAAGTAAAGCTCTCCTCAGCAAATGTAAAAGAAGAGAAATTATAACAAACTATCTCTCAGACCACAGTGCAATCAAACTAGAACTCAGGATTAAGAATCTCACTCAAAACCGCTCAACTACATGGAAACTGAACAACCTGCTCCTGAATGACTACTGGGTACATAACGAAATGAAGGCAGAAATAAAGATGTTCTTTGAAACCAATGAGAAAAAAGACACAACATACCAGAATCTCTGGGACACATTCAAAGCAGTGTGTAGAGGGAAATATATAGCACTAAATGCCCAGAAGAGAAAGCAGGAAAGATCCAAAATTGACACCCTAACATCACAATTAAAAGAACTAGAAAAGCAAGAGCAAACACATTCAAAAGCTAGCAGAAGGCAAGAAATAACTAAAATCAGAGCAGAACTGAAGGAAATAGAGACACAAAAAACCCTTCAAAAAATTAATGAATCCAGGAGCTGGTTTTTTGAAAGGATCAACAAAATTGATAGACCACTAGCAAGACTAATAAAGAAAAAAAGAGAGAAGAATCAAATAGGCGCAATAAAAAATGATAAAGGGGATATCACCACCAATCCCACAGAAATACAAACTACCATCAGAGAATACTACAAACACTTCTAGGCAAATAAACTAGAAAATCTAGAAGAAATGGATAAATTCCTCGACACATACACTCTCCCAAGACTAAACCAGGAAGAAGTTGAATCTCTGAATAGACCAATAACAGGCTCTGAAATTGTGGCAATAATCAATAGCTTACCAACTAAAAAGAGTCCAGGACCACATGGATTCACAGCCGAATTGTACCAGAGGTACAAGGAGGAACTGGTACCATTCCTTCTGAAACTATTCCAATCAATAGAAAAAGAGGGAATCCTCCCTAACTCTTTTTATGAGGCCAGCATCATTCTGATACCAAAGCCAGGCAGAGACACAACAAAAAAAGAGAATTTTAGACCAGTATCCTTGATGAACATTGATGCAAAAATCCTCAATAAAATACTGGCAAAATGAATCCAGCAGCACATCAAAAAGCTTATTCACCATGATCAAGTGGGCTTCATCCCTGGGATGCAAGGCTGGTTCAATATACACAAATCAATAAATGTAATCCAGCATATAAACAGCCAAAGACAAAAACCACATGATTATCTCAATAGATGCAGAAAAAGCCTTTGACAAAATTCAACAACGCTTCATGCTAAAAACTCTCAATAAATTAGGTATTGAGGGGATGTATTTCAAAATAATAAGAGCTATCTATGACAAACCCACAGCCAATATCATATTGAATGGGCAAAAACTGGAAGCATTCCCTTTGAAAACTGGCATAAGACAGGGATGCCCTCTCTTACCACTCCTATTCAACATAGTGTTGGAAGTTCTGGCCAGGGCAATTAGGCAGGAGAAGGAAATAAAGGGTATGCAATTAGGAAAAGAGGAAGTCAAATTGTCCCTGTTTGCAGATGACATGATTGTATATCTAGAAAACCCCATTGTCTCAGCCCAAAATCTCCTTAAGCTGATAAGCAACTTCAGCAAAGTCTCAGGATACAAAATCAATGTACAAAAATCACAAGCATTCTTATACATCAACAACAGACAAACAGAGAGCCAAATCATGAGTGAACTCCCATTCACAATTGCTTCAAAGAGAATAAAATACCTAGGAATCCAATTTACAAGGGATGTGAAGGACCTCTTCAAGGAGAACTACAAACCACTGCTCAAGGAAATAAAAGAGGATACAAACAAATGGAAGAGCATTCCATGCTCATGGGTAGGAAGAATCAATATCGTGAAAATGGCCATACTGCCCAAGGTAATTTACAGATTCAATGCCATCCCCATCAAGCTACCAATGACTTTCTTCACAGAATTGGAAAAAACTACTTTAAAGTTCATATGGAACCAAAAAAGAGCCCGCATCGCCTAGTCAATCCTAAGCCAAAAGAACAAAGCTGGAGGCATCACACTACCTGACTTCAAACTATACTACAAGGCTACAGTAACCAAAACAGCATGGTACTGGTACCAAAACAGAGATATAGATCAATGGAACAGAACAGAGCCCTCAGAAATAATGCCACATATCTACAACTATCTGATCTTTGACAAACCTGAGAAAAACAAGCAATGGGAAAAGCATTCCCTATTTAATAAATGGTGCTGGGAAAACTGGCTAGCCATATGTAGAAAGCTGAAACTGGATCCCTTCCTTACACCTTATACAAAAATCAATTCAAGATGGATTAAAGACTTAAACATTAGACCTAAAACCATAAAAACTCTAGAAGAAAACCTAGGCATTACCATTCAGGACATAGGCATGGGCAAGGACTTCATGTCTAAAACACCAAAAGCAATGGCAACAAAAGCCGAAATTGACAAATGGGATCTAATTAAACTAAAGAGCTTCTGCACAGCAAAAGAAACTACCATCAGAGTGAACAGGCAACCTACAAAATGGGAGAAAATTTTCGGAACTTACTCATCTGACAAAGGGCTAATATCCAGAATCTACAATGAACTCAAACAAATTTACAAGAAAAAAACAAACAACCCCATCAAAAAGTGGGCAAAGGACATGAACAGACACTTCTCAAAAGAAGACATTTATGCAGCCAAAAAACACATGAAAAAATGCTCATCATCACTGGCCATCAGAGAAATGCAAATCAAAACCACTATGAGATACCATCTCACACCAGTTAGAATGGCAATCATTAAAAAGTCAGGAAACAACAGGTGCTGGAGAGGATGTGGAGAAATAGGAACACTTTTACACTGTTGGTGGGACTGTAAACTAGTTCAACCATTGTGGAAGTCAGTGTGGCGATTCCTCAGGGATCTAGAACTAGAAATACCATTTGACCCAGCCATCCCATTACTGAGTATGTACCCAAAGGACTATAAATCATGCTGCTATAAAGACACATGCACACGTATGTTTATTGTGGCACTATTCACAATAGCAAAGACTTGGAACCAACCCAAATGTCCAACAATGATAGACTGGATTAAGAAAATGTGGCACATATACACCATGGAATACTATGCAGCCATAAAAAATGATGAGTTCATGTCCTTTGTAGGGACATGGATGAAATTGGAAATCATCATTGTCAGTAAACTATCGCAAGAACAAAAAACCAAACACCACATATTCTCACTCATAGGTGGGAATTGAACAATGAGATCACATGGACACAGGAAGGGGAATATCACACTCTGGGGACTGTTGTGGGGTGGGGGGAGGGGGGAGGGATAGTATTGGGAGATATACCTAATGCTAGATGACGAGTTAGTGGGTGCGGCGCACCAGCATGGCACATGTATACATATGTAACTAACCTGCACAATGTGCACATGTACCCTAGAACTTAAAGTATAATAAAAAAAAAAAGAAAAGAAAAAGACATTATAATAAAAAAAAAATAAAGTCGAATTGTCTTTTTGTGGCTGTCTTCCTTCACTCAGCATAAATGTCCTCAAGGGTCATCGTGTTGTAGCATATATCAGAATTCCCTTTATCTTTAAGGCTGAAGAAAATTTCATTGTACGTATATATCACATTTTGCTTATCTACTCATTCTTCGATGGACACTTGAGTTGCTTCCACCTTTCAGGTGTTGTGAATAATGCTGCCATGAACATGGGTGTACAAATCTCTCTTTAAGATCCTGATTTCAGTTCTCTTGGGTATATACTCAGAAGCAGAATTGCTGGGTCATATGGTAATTTTATTTTTGTTTTTTGAGAAACTGCCATGATGTTTTCCATTGTGGCTGCACCATTTTACATTCCTGTCAATATTGCAGAAGGGTTCCAATTTCTCCACATCCTCACCAACACTTGTTATTTTCTGGAGTTTTGGTTTTTTAATATAGTAGACATCTTAATGGATGTGAGGTGATATCTCATTGTGGCTTTTATTTGCATTTCCCTAACAATTAGTGCTGTTGAGCATCTTTTCATGTATTTATTGGCCAATTGTATATCTTCTTTGGGGAAATGTCTATTCATGTCCTTTGCCTATTTTCAAATCAAGTTTTTATTGTTGACATTGTTGAGTTGTCGGAGTTCTCTATGTATTCTGGATATTAACCCCTATCAGATATACAATTTGCAAATATTTTCTCTGATTCCATAGATTGCCTTTCCATTGTGTTGATTGTGTCCTTTGATGAGAAGAAGTCATTTACTTGTTTATTATGCTTACTGTTTTGATTTCTGTCTCCCCTCTAAAATGCAGTCTCTGTGAGGGCCAGGCCATACGTATTTCGTCCATGGCTGCATCCCCAGTGCTATGAACAGTGCTTGGCACTTAGTAGGATCTCAATAAATATTTGCCAAATAGCTGAATATGTGAATGGACAGATTAAAGATATGGTCTGGGCTTCTTGCAGTTCCTAAAACCCATGTGTGGTGCAAAAGTGAAAAAAATCTGAAGCATAATTAACAGTTATTTTAAAAATGCTCTAAAACAATAGCTTACACATAGGTTTCTTGAATGAAGGGCTTTTTAAAAACTCTTCTCCCATATGTAGCTGGTTTCCCAGGCTAGTTGGAAAGCATGCCTGCCTCCTTCTTTGGAATCCATTAAAGTGACAAATGCCAACTCTGAACACAAACCGTGTTCATTCCATTTCACCCACCCTGTATTATTGGCTCTCCTTGCCCCTACCCGGCCTCTTAATACCTGGCTGCTCTCCCGGTCTTCTTCCCTGTCTGAGCTTCTCCCCATGGCCCTTTCTCACATTGCCCCATATCTGCTTTATGTCGAAGGTCCCAGCCCGGCTCTGTCAGGGATTACTTTGCTTCCATTGTTCTGCCGAGGACCACACACTGGGGCACGGCTCAGGTACCCTTTAGTCTAAGGAGGCCTGTGGGAACCTTGGAGAAAGGAATAAAGGGGGGCAGTGATTGAGCAGTACTTAGGAGGGGCCAGTTACATGTCAACCCCGATTAATGATAATGGTAATTTAGAATCTGCTTATGGTTTCTATTGTTAGGCTTTGCCAAGAAGTTTCCGACATGGTATTTCAAAGGGTTCCGGGGCTGGCTGATGCTGCAGACTTAACCTTCTACTGCAGGGAGATCAGCGAGCAGGGTGTGTGTGGCTTCAGAGGAGCGGCTTGCCTGAAACAGTGTGCCCTGTCATTAATGCGGGTCCTGTCTGGTCAGGTGCATCTCTTCCTTCATGTTCACCAGGATCCACCCACTCCAGTGCAGCAATAGAGACAAGAGGACTTTGATTATTCTCATGACAAAGACAAATTGTTGAGATTGTCCCTTCTCCTTTACTCCCTCTTCTAGGTTGCTCTGTTCACGCAAGCAAAAAAAAAAAAAAAAAAAAAAAAAAAAAAAAAAAAAAACTATACTTCCAACTGAGAACAATGAACTTTAGCAAGCTTTGTTGTCCAGGAGAGAGGCAACCTATAAATAAGGTTAAGTGTATATGAACTTGGCCACAGGCTGCTGAGATTCAAATCCTGACCCAGTTGCTTTCTAGCTTGGAGACTTGCAGCAAAACACTTAATCTCTCCGGGACTCATTTTCCACATCTGGAAAATGGGGATGATGATAAGACTTCCTTTGTCATTGATAATGAGAAATCAGTGAAGTACTGCAAGTAAAACCCTAAGAACAGCATCTGACACACAGTAAGTGCTTGTCAAATGTGCATTATTACTATCATTGCACAATTGGGGAAGGGTCAGAGGTCTCTTCCTTTAGAACGGGGTTTCCAACCTCAGCACAGTTGACACTTTGGGCCTGATAATTCTTGGTTATGGGGGGCTGTCTGTGGATTGAAAGATGTTTAGCAGCCTCCCTGACCTCTACCTGCTAGATGCCACCTTCACTGTCCCCCCAACCACAACAATCAAAAATGCCTCCTGCCAAATGTCCCTGAAAAGGGAGGTGGAAGAGGGAAGGGAGTTTTTGCCTGGTTTTGACCTACTTCTTTAGAATAAACAGCAAAAATTCTATATAAATGCATTTCTGTGGCTATATCCCACTGTGTGAAGGCAGTTTTCCTTAAACTGGGAATTTCAATATTCCTAGAGGGATTTGAAGAGTTACAAGATCACAGAAAGCGATTCCAACACGCTTTCTATCCTTGCAATCGTGGTTGGCCACTTTAGCACCTCCATCCACAATTAATCCCTGCCCTCCAGAGGGTGGCCCACCATTCATTAGCTGCTACCTGGCTCAACTCCCACCTAAAGGGCAGCAAGACCAGATGCTGCAGGCAGGACAGGGTGTGTGCCCTCCCCAAATCAATGCTTGGCATGTACTAGATGCTTTGTGAAAGTTGATTGAATGAAAGCAAGAATTGAGTCATGCTTTAGCATAGTTTTTTTTTTTTTTCATTTTCTGTTTGTTTTTGACTCACAGAACCTCATCTTTCCAAAGAGCAGTAAATCTCACACAAAACTGAAATCTGAGCGGCAGAACAGGAAAACTAAGGCAGAAAAAATGTCCCAGCTTAGGAAAAAAACAAGAGAAATTGCAAAGGAGTGATGGTGGGGCATCTTTTGATTCCTCCATCTTCTGGGGAAAAAAAAAACTGTATTCTGTTTTTAGCTGGTAATACATTTCTTTCCATATTTTAGGGATGCAATGAGCAAGGAAAGACGAGGAGGGGGGTCCTCCTTAGAGGCTTAGAGATCAAGCAGTTCTCTCTCCCCACTTCCTGTCTGCCCCCAAAAAGAAGGCAAAGTATGTGGGCCACCTTAACAGAGCGGGTGGCCTCTCTGTTATTTCCTCTCTTCATTTCCTCCAAAGGAAAATGAAGGCTCAGAGCAGAACTGAGAGGAGAACTGAGCAATACCATCAACATCTCGCCTGAACCTAAGGTGGAGGAGAAAGTGAAGTAGTCATACAAAAACCAGAGGAACAACTTGAGATGGTCAATGAAAGACAAATTAGGATTGACCCAGTTGCTTCTACTAGGAGTCAATCACTCTGGTCCTCTTTTTCTCTTGGCTATGATCTGGGCTCAAGTCAGTAGGCATTTGAGTTGTGAGGACGTGGTAGTATGCTCTTGGATAGAAAAAAGACCCAGAAATCCAGTTCCCCAGAAGAAAGAGACAAGTCCCCCTTTCCCTTCTCCAGAAAAACAAATAAACAAAGATAGAGACTTTAAAAAATGGTAATTTTAGGGGGGGAAAATGGGGTCATGTTGAAGGCTGTGTAAACTGAGAAGACTAACATATGGGGACAGAGGATTAGGTCCTCAGACCTCCTTCTTGGACTCTTTGCTGAAATTCCTTCTCTTCTTCCTTGTGGAATTCTGATGCCATTGATTTTTTTTTTTTTTACAAAGGTGTTCTTGTTGCTCTCATTCTCCAGGAACTGCATTTCACTCATTCTTTTCCCTGTGTTCTAATGTAGAAAGCATTCAGACAGGACATAGCATTAAACTGCTTAGACTAGGAGAGTCCCTTGAAGAGCTCTTGGATGGTGGTTTTTTGCTAATGTCCACCTTGGGCCCATTGGTTGGAATGTTGTAGATAACTGTCTTGATATTGTTGGGGATCCATTCCTTGTAGCAGCTGCTGCTCTTGCTTCTTAGTTGAGCATGTCCTTATACACTTCCTTCATATACTTCTGTCCTCAAAAAATGATGATGATGATAACAGCAGCATGACATAGATCACATGCTGCCATCTTGTTTTGGCGTTGAGAGTTTGCTGGGTGAGCTTTGCTGCAGTCAGAGCCGAGTACTAGTAGTTTCCCAAGCTAGTGAGTGAGGCAAAATCTGACATAAAGAAGTAACATAAGGAACGGGGGCCAGGCAGACCACCAGTTTGTGGAAATTTGTATTGAACTGGCCTGGAAAGTGGAGACAGGCAGATCAAGATGGCGTGGCTCA
The DNA here is from genome assembly GCF_000001405.40 of Homo sapiens. Classification (NCBI taxonomy): domain Eukaryota; kingdom Metazoa; phylum Chordata; class Mammalia; order Primates; family Hominidae; genus Homo; species Homo sapiens. The sequence goes on from NC_000008.11 coordinate 96,127,173, forward strand.
GGTCACTGTCAATGTCAGAGGGTCAGCTTGAAGTTTCAGAAACAAAGTAGAGCACCTCATTATTTATGGTGTCCACCAACCAGTGGGCAGAGAATATGGTATGGTATTTGGCCATGGTGCCTAAACTTTGGGTGAAGGGCTTGTGCTAGATGTTATGAGGTGATCAGGGTCCTGGATACAGACCTTGCAAATGAGAAGGGTGCCCATGCCGGAGCCCATGCCCCCATCTAGCCATTGAGTCCATAGGAAGCCTTGAGGCCTGTAATGGCTCTAGATACCTTAGATACGATATCACGATGGAGGCTGTCAGCTCTGCTTCCTTCCTTCTGTGGCCATAGCCTGCTCCAGACTGACTAAAGACAAAGTCGTCTGGCCTGAAGATCTGGTCAAAATGATGTGAGCAAACATATTTCATAGTCCTTGATATAGAATCATCCTAGATGGCAAAAGAAATCAATCAACTACCTGTAGCCTTATTGAAACACCTGAAGATCTGGTCTGGCTACAGATCACTGTTCTATTGTAAGTGCTGGCAGGCTTGATGCTGTGCTCGTCATTGAGCAACAACCAGAACTTAGTATATACTTGATTGCCACCCTACACAGCTTGGATATGCAGGATTTCCCTCAGATGGAGAATTTACTTTTATGTTTATCTTTCACAGTATGTGAAGAACAAGAGAATAGTACATGTTTTTTGCTTATTGCACACTTTAAGAATGGGACATGTCCCAGGAAGCTGCAGCCACTATATTTGAGTCCAGAGATTCTGAGATTGCTGCAGCTCTGGCTGTTCAATTATTTTCCTTCTAATTCCTTGTACCCATCTTAGTTCAGAAGCTTTTGAAGGCCAAAAGATGATGCCTTCTCCATTCTATTAACTGTCACTGTGCCTAAGAGTGTTCAAGACTGGCCAACGATTCAATAATCATTGGCTATTTAAAAGAAAAAGCTTTGCAGGCTGTCGACTTAACAGATACCTCTTGTGCTCATCATTTCTCAAACATGGTACGTGGGTGGATTTGGCCTGAAAGAAGGAGAAATTTCAGGGGTATAAGACAGCAATTTTTCAGGGCTCCATTATTTTCTGTTGCTCACTTTTCTTGTTGTCAGAACTGAAGAAGCACCAGCTACACATACATCAAGATAAGAGCTGCGCTTCCATTAATGAAAGGGGAGGGTGTGTTGGGAATAAAGGAGTTTTTTACATTGCAAATGGGAAAAGGGAATTTGTTTTAAGGCCTTATCTGGCTTTTGATCATCTGGACAGGCTTACAGAAGAGAAAAGTTGGTGTTTATTTTAAAGACAAAAATTGCTTTTCCTTGCATCAAATATGTTTTGCAGCTGCTTATACACATTGCTCTGAGAGGCAAACAAGGTAGACCTGTTCAGCCTAGGTATACAAGACAGTCAGCATATTAATAAAGAAAAGTGTACTTATTGTACTTAATGCAACCAGTTTGTAAAAGGCAAGAGGACTTTCAAAATCCATGTCTGACTGCCTAAATGAACAGCATCCTACAATAACCAGAGGGTGCCACAGTTAATAAGCAAGTGTCCATTCATATTAAGAGAAACAAAACAGGAAAACAGAAACACATTCATCTGGTTCCTCTTTTCCAATGTGGGACCAAGACTCTGAGAGAGAACAAAGCTCATCTAGACTGCCAATACCCAAACCAGGGGTTGTTTCAGGTATCCATTAGCTGCACAACTCTTACTAACTTATGCTAGCTATGCAGTCACCTCCCTGAGGCTCCCTCTGAGCTCAAACTCACACACTTATCCCCAGTCTACCGACCACCCAGCACTGTATTTACATCTGACTGCTGCTCTCTTTCAATAAAGCACCTCTAGGGAGAATATGGTGTCTTTTCTACCTCTAATTCTTAACATGTTGTTTGGCAGATGCTAATAAACTTTTGCTGAGCAAATAAATGAAACAGTGAATGAATGAATGAATGAATGGGCATCCACCGGTGTTACAGAGTGTGACTATCATCACTGCATGTTGTTCTCTTTGTGTACATGAGAAAAAATACCGCACCCCCAGGGTGGCTTTAATTCCTAGGTTAGTGTTCATCAATGAAATCTACTACAGTCCAAGGGTACCTCTTCATGGATGTTAAAAGCCTGGCTAGCCCCGGTCAGTTAATCCTTTCCTTTTATTTCCTATCAACCTTATCTCAATGGACTCTTTGCTTCTGCCTCCTTTCTGCTCTTATCCTCAAATACCTCCCTTCTTCACTCACTTTTTTGTGCTTCCATAACATTCCGCCTACATCCTTTCATCAGTTTTAACTCTTCTTATGGCAACTAGGAAAACCCAATCCAAATGGCTTAATCAAAAGAAAACTAATCTAGTGCTCATACAGTTGAAAATTGCAGGGCTAGGACTGGCTTCAGGCATAGGGCTCAGATGATTTCATGAAGACCCAGTTTCTCTCTCCATCTATTAATTGTGCATTCCACTATGTTGTCTGCATTCCCTGATAGACTCTCCCGCCTCGTGGTTGTAAAATGTCTGGAGCATCTCCAGTTTATAGTCTTCTACACTCAAGTCCTTGATGAAAGAGCCTTCTCCATCAATAGCTTCATTAAAAAAATCCCAGGGTTGAGCCTTCCTAGCTCTGACTTGAGCTTGGTGCATACTCATGTACAAATCATTATGCCCAGGGGGCGAAATACACTATTAGAATTGGATGAAGTTACCCCAATGCTGGGACTCAGTATCATCAGCTAAACTCCAAGCACGCAGGCTAAACACTGAATAAAGGTGGTTTCCCCAAAACAAAATCAGGGCATTCTTGATTCAAGAAGTGTGTATGAATGTTGAGTGGCAAAAACAACAAACAACCACTACAATCCTAAACTTGCTTTCTGCTTTTCTCTTCTCATCTTCTCTGTGTCATTCGGCACCCACATGAGCCAGATATTCTTTTTCTTCTCTTCCCTTCTCTACTGATATCTCTATTGATATCTTGGTATCTACCTCAGACACATATTAGTCCCATTTTTGTCCCTGGCTGTTCTCTGCCTCTTCAGTAATTTCCCTCTTTCGGCCATCCCCCAATTTCTACCTGGATTTTAACTTCCCATCATTATCTTCAAGACTTGGAGTACCTGCTGGTAAGAATCCTCGGACCAGAACTGTAACATCTGCTGGAACTGTTTGCTTTCTTCAGTGACCACAGACTCTCCCTCATTTTTCATCAGCATTTTCCTTCTGTTTCTATAACCCCATCAAAACCAAATATACCCAGGCTTCCCCATCCATCTTAGGAAACAAGACAAAACCACTTTCATTTAGCCTTGGCAGCATGCCCGCCTCCACCTTTCTCCTTCCTGTTCCCTGTCCCCTCCCCACCATCAAACTATCACTCCATCTCAACCCTCCCCTCCAGGCTTAAGCTCTCTGAACTTGTCTCTGCTTTCTTTCACCAAACTCATTTCTTACATCCCTGCAGTTCTGTTTCTGGGACTGTCTCCTTTCACCGCCTTCCCAAAGATTTCCTCATAGTCAAAATATTTGAGTCCTCTCTCTCTCTCTCTCTCTCTCACCTTCCACATCCAAATTGTCCTCAAGACCTTCCAAATAGACCCTGCAAGTGTCCCCTCACTCCATCTCTTCCTCTCTATTCCTCTGCTTCTGACAGATTGGGAATTCTCTTGCAGCTTCTCTCCTCCCCTGTTTCCCTTGCTCCATCCAGACTCTCCATCCTTCCACGTCCTTCAAGCCAATGCTCACAGCGAGTTTGTGAAACACTCTCCTACTTTAAGAACTGTTCCTGGCAAACCATGAGATAAAATTCTTATGCTCCAGCTTGAAATGCAAGGCTGCCCATCCTGCATCCTCGCCTGCATCCTCACCTGCCCTCACAATCCTAGAGATGTTCTGTACTGCAGCCGCACCTCCCTGCATGTGCTCACACAATCCTTCCACCTTCCCCCACTTGTACAACTAGGAAATCCCTATGCTTTCCTCAAGGTTCTCACCAGCCATCTCCAACTCTGACACTAATTTGGCCCCTCTCAAGCAGCCTCCCTCTCCCCACCTTGAAGCAGAATTCACCCCTTCGTGACTGTGCTCCTCAAACAACACTGAGAACAACTGCTTGTGATTGTCTTAAAGCACCAGACCCTGAGAGCTGCCTCCCTGCATCTCTGTCTCCAAGCCTCGCACAGTGCCTGGCACACACAGCAAGTGACATCTTCACCACCCCTCTCTCCACACCCGAAGCTTCATCTGCTCTACATCTCTTCCATTCCCCAAATTATTGCCTCTCCAGTGTCGCTTCTGTTCCTTTGATGTGACCCACTAACATCCACAGAGCCTTCACACTTCTTTCTAGATATCATTATCCTGGAAAATCAAATCTGCTCCTAAGCACCCACTTCCCGGCTTAGCTCCATGTCCTTTCTTCACATCAGTCCTGCTTCCTCTACCTGTGCACAATTTCATTCATCTAACAGGCACTGATTGGTTCTTCCACATTGTTTATGTAATAAATATCTATTGTCCCTGGGGATCTTGCCATCATATGGAACATTACATCTTTCCCTCATGGTCCCCCTCACTGACTGCTCACTGTCCTTGTTGACTGGACATAACCAGGTAGGTCACTTTTCACTATTCCTATCATCCTGCTTTTTCGTTTGTTTGTTTACAACCATCTCTTCAAGATCTCTCTCTCCCCCTGCGTGTGCATTGCTAAGTATGTGATTTATTCCTTGACCCTCAGCCATATGTAAACTAAGGCCAGGGTGACTGTGTAATTTAACAACCAAACAGGATACCTGGGCAGTGAACAAAGGAGCTATTAATAGTTTTGCCTGGGCAGTAAGTATAAACTGGGACCTTCCTTGACCAATCAGTACATCTGGCTTTCCTAACTGCGGCCTTATTACTTGAATTTTTACCCACCAGGTTCCAACACTTAAATGCTACCACCATGGCGTGATGTGGCCAGCATCATCTTCTTACCCTTCATTCCAGCCTCAGTACTCTTTAGTAATTTCCACTGCTTTTAGCATGAAATTCATACTCTTCCTCCTGGAGTTTGCCACAAGCCTGTCAGACCCAAAGTCTTTGTTTGATCTGCTGTCAAGCAAATACTGGCAACTTCTGTCCATTTCTTTCTCTCTCTCTGAAAGATTTCCATCCAGTCCTGACCTGCAGGAATTACCTCCTCTTCGTAGTTCAGATTTTCCCTTCTCTTTCCAATTAAAACCCACCTTGAAGCTCACCTTCACCAGGAATTCCACCATGATGGTAAAGAATCTGGAGAGGAAATATTCCTATCCAAAGCCAAATATCAACCTGCCCTATTTATTTCCATTCTGCTTTATCTATAAGAAAGAGACAGAGTAAATGAATAAGGGGGGAAATGTTGCTGTTCATCTACACCTTTTTTAAATATTTTAACCTTGCAGATACAACTCATGCCTTCTGCATGTTTCAAGCACCAGCCTCTGGATTAGCACATGTGTATTTTGAGAATAACAATATCAAGGATGTGGATGGGCTTTCAAGTAATTAATGCACGTTTGAGGATAGCTTCTGCAGATTTCAAAATAACGTTGCCCAAAATGGTACCTAAGGGCTCAGAGCTGCCAGAAAATATTGGTATTTTCTACTCCAACAGGATTTTTAAATTTAACAAGTGTTCTTAATCCTAAGAGTCCAAGCATCTTTGGAGCTAGGTGCCCATTCGGAACATGTGCCTATGCATCACTCACATTCCAACAGAAGCTGCTCCCTCTTCTGGTCAACACCGAGGGAGAGTGCAGAGGGAAGAGAGATTCCCCTTTGCTCTGAGCGTGCAGAGGTGCAGTGTGAGAAAGACAGATTGTCTTGCTTTGGAAGACAATCACAAAGATGAGATAGGCTCATCTTCAACTCAATTATCACATTTGGTTTAATCAGCTTTGTGAGACTTTCATTTTAACCAGAGTCAGAAAATGCCCACCGTCATTCTCAGCAACTCCAGAGAGTGAAAACAATCATTTCCTTTCTCCTAAAGCCTGCAGCCCTGCCAGACCACTGTATCAGTGCAGTTCTCGCACCCGCCCCGCCCCGCGCCCCGTCAGCTCCACATCGGGGAGCCTTGCCAAGCTGAAAAGGAAGGAGACGGCAGTTCGGGTCATTAGAAGGAGTTGCCAAAAAGTGCTCAGAAAATGAACAATTAATTTCGGCTGTCAAAACAGATACTAGAGGAGCCCAGCTAGAGTTCAAGCATTTTTTTCTCTACCAGCAAATCCAACGCTTTGTTGGTGATAAGAGATGGAGCAGATTCTGAGGATGTTTGTGAGACAGCATTACACACTGGTTGAGACCACTGTGGGCTTTGGGATCAAATTGCCTGCTGTGGGTCCCACCTTTGCCTTGTTCTGGCTATGGCCAAGGGTATTTTATTTAACCTCTCTGAGCCTCAGTTTTCTTATCTGTAAATTAGGGATAATACAAGTAGAGAGGAAGAAATGGGGGAGGATGTGCTGGATGCAGAAAATGCACCTAGTAGTGTAAGAAGTGAATACATGGTTGGCATTTTTTATTATTATGGGTGGTGGTGATATTTTTATGCAAAACCACTGCTTGTCTTGGAAGTTGATAAGTTAAATCTGCTTGTTTGAATCTTCTTCCTGGATGGCTAGTACCTTGCCCAAATTTCAGAAAATTTTCCGAAGATCAATTCCTTTAGGGGAATGCTTACTGGTAAGCCGCAATTTATTGACTCAGTAAAAATGTTCCCCATGAATGTAAAACCTCAAAGTAAAGAGAAATATATTTTGTTGTTGTTCTCCCCTGGTTAGGCTGCAGTGTAGATGACACATACATAAGTAAAATGGAATTTGTAAAGCAAGAAGCAGAGTATTTTGAAAAATTAAGTTTCTTATAAATCTTTAAGAAAATGCATCTGTGTCAACACAATAAAAATAATATCCCACCCTACTGGTTTTCATCTTCTAGCCCTGTGTAAGCACTAACTCATTAACCCCTTCCACCGCTATTCAGTGGTTAGGAACTGAAGAGCGCTGCTACTGCTCTTCGGGGGGTGGAAATGAACAGTCTACCCTCATCTCCAATGACATTAGTTTCCCCCCACCATGGGTCATAATTTTCCGGATAACTCAAGAAAGCAGTATCTTAAAAGCACATTGTACAATGACATTTAATAAAATTAAGAATAAATCATCTTCGTAATTGGGAAAAGTAGGAATTTTTTTCTTGTTTTTTTTTAAAAAAAAGCTTCACCCTACATTCCTGGCTCGTCTTTCTTTCTCTGTTCCCACTGACATGTCCCATACCACTCTTCTTAACAACTGCGGAGTCTGGTAATCCATACTAATGCCTATTGTCTTACAGACTATTAGTGTCTTCCCAATATCTATTATCCCTTCTCCTATGGTTACAGAAATTCAGTTTTATCGGTGGCAACAATGTGCTCAGGTAAAAGACTACATTTCCCATCATCTTTTGTAGTCAGGTTGGGGGAGGCACATGACTAAGTTTTAGCCAATGAGATGTAAGTGAACGTGTCAGGTGAGATTTCCAGAAAGACTTCTTAAAGGTGGCTGACTCTGCTGAGATGGGGGTGACCTCTTTTTGCCTTTCCCTCTTCTGTGTCTTGCTCACTGGAACATAGATGTGATGACCAGAGCTCCAGCAGCTATTTTGAACTATGTGGCAAACTTGAGAATAAAAGCCATACTTTTAAATGACTTTTTAAATTATCTGATGAGAAATCACCGTAGCAAAACTGAAATGCCAAACTCCAGGTTTTGTTTTTGTTTCTGTTTCTTACCAGAGAGAAACAAACTACAGCTGCTCCTCAACTTCTGATGGGGGTTATGTCCTGATAAATAATCCATCCTAAGTTAAAAAATAGCATAAATTGAAAGTGTATTTAGTACCCCAATACTAGTACCCCAAAATGTATTTAGTAGCCCGTAAGGTCGAAAAAATCCTAACTTGAAAACATCGTAAGTCAAGGACTGTCTATATTCTTGTTTAAGCCACTGTTGTTTGGGGTTTTAGGCAGATGAACCTAATATTAATTGACACGTCTACTTTTTCCTTCTTCTTTTTTTTTTTTTTTTTTTTTTGGCCCCAAAACAAATTCTCTGCACTGGTTCATTTGATTATCTGTTCTACCAAGCAGGGTTGACATAATACCCCCTCCATAATTTTTAATATAGTTTACTGAAATATAGATTCCAGGTGAGTTTGCTCATCAGGGTTAATAAGATATGTGCCAATATTCTGATTCTCCAAAGGCATACATAGTTCATTTCAGGTAGAGAAAAAACTAATTTTGTGATCACATGTTGCACACTAAGCCTGGCAGGCTATCTCACCAATGTGAGAAATTAACAGTGAGGGTGAATGGCTCACTAAGGACTCAGGGAAATTTCACTTTTGTACAGAGGAGATCTGCTTCCTCTTCTTTAGCATATTATTTGAATATCTAATCTATTTACCACATTGGGCAATGATTTTAGCAAGTCTTCTACAGAGATGTTTCTATTTAAGTCTATATCCTTAGTGCTAAGCACAATACCTGCCAAATGGTAGATGCACAAAAAAATATTCACAACTATTTAACAAATTATGTCCTTTACTACAGGCTCATTTCAACTACCGTTCCTATCACCAGTCAAAAATGAATGTAGCTTTCAAAACATCTATTAAAAAATAATAATAATGATGATGGTAATAATAATTACAGAGCACTTTTTTTCTTTTCTTTTCTTTTCTTTTTTTTGTTTTTGTTTTTTTGTTTTGTTTTGTTTGAGGAAGGGTCTCACTCTGTCACCCTGGAGTGGAGCAGTGCAATCTTGGCTCACTGCAAACTCTGACTCCCAGACTCAAGCAATCCTCTCACCAGAGCACTTTCTACATGGATTTTTTTCCTCAGTATCCATGGGGGATTGGTTCCAGGACCTCCCTCAGATGCCAAAATCCTCCATGCTCAAGCCCTTGATGTTAAATGGCATTGTATTTGCATATAACCTATGCACATCCTCCCATACACTTTAAATCATCTCTAGATTACAATGTAAATGCTATGTAAATAGTTGTTACACTGTACTGTTTAGGGAATAATGACAAGAAAAAAGTCTGTACATGCTGAGTACAGACATTTTTTTTCCTCAAATATTTTTCATCCAGGGTTAGTTGAATCCACAGGTGTGGAACACCCAGATACAGAGGGCCAGGACAAACTGTACCAGGTCATTTATTAAGCTTGAAAAAACACTGAGAGAGGTTTATGTATTGTGTGTATTTAGTTCTACATTATATCTATAGCTACATTCCATGCCCAAGTCACACAGAATCAAAAAAGAAGCCATTTAATTTGGTGCTGTGACACTGAAAGCCCCTCCTCTCCTCTCCACCCACCCCTGCCATATCCAGAACCTGAACTGACTTCTGAATGCCTTGTTGAGTGTGCTTTTTGGAAGAAATACTTTGACCTATGGTCTACCTTTCTGAAGCAAAATAACATATGAGGTTATAGGGCACTCAAAGTGTGGTCCATGAAAGAAACTCAACTGATAACATTCATACAAATTTACCATCTTCTCCATCTGTAGAAAAAGATCAGTGTGTTAAATAACAAATAATGCAGACTATTTTAGGTGTAGGGGAAAAGATACGCAGAAGACAGACCTGTCTACAGCTGCAGACCCACCAATAGACAGCCCAAATTCAGACATATGGGATAATCTGGAGGAATTCCAAGATACAGTGGCTGTTCAGAGAATGCCTCAAAGGGGTCTCTAATCACTACCCTGGCCCTTTGTTTAGCTGAAGGTGCTCTCACTGCCGACTAGAGAACAGCAGCTATCTATGTGCTGGCTAAGAAGCCACTTTCCAATTAACACAAGTAAACTTTTAGAAAACAGAAAATTCTTTTTTAATAAAACTATTATCTAGGAAATCGTTTTAGGAAAAATCATTTGTTCAGTGCAATGGGAGGGGTTAATGGTCACTAACAACTCATTCCCAACAAACTTCAGGAGTCAGGCTTTAGTAAAAGATAAGGCATGGAATGAATACATACAGTTTTGTTTAAGCCTAAACCAAACATGCTTATAAGAATAATGTTGTTGTTTGTTCTAGACAGCAATTTTAAAGTCAGAAAAATGAAAAGTGCTTTCTTATGTGAATAAAGCATGAGCTGAGCCCTCTAACCAAGGGCTTTGAACAACTCTAAATCTTCTACCATGATTTGAATGCTGTTGGTGTCCGATAAACATTAGCCACTAGTAAGGACAAAAATAATCATATAACTCAGAGGCTAATTATTTATGTAGTTTTCTCAGCTTGTCAGATATTTTAGGGATAAAACTGGAGATATGGGACGTTCCAAAATTGAGACCAAACCTCTGAGACTTTTAAGACTATCTTGACACAGACAGGTAAATATTCCCTATGTAGATTACTAGATTGGTTTTAAAGGAAAGGAGTGATGATATTTTGGAGTCCAAGTATCCCTTTCTTCCAACAAATTAGAGCCCATCATTTTCCTGGAACTTTCAAAAGAATGTTAACAAAGTAGGAATCAAATCACTTTTTTTTTTTTGAAGTTTAGGGCACAACTGGATGGCATAAGTCACTTGGTTTTCCCAAGTAAATCATGAAGTCTTCTGAATAGAAAAGAGATACAGAGACACATGAGATGTGCCCTTTTCCAACAAGGGGGTGACCAAACATGAAGCTGTGGATGGCTGAATCTCAGCATCATGGATATATTCCCTTTAGTCATTGACCTAGTTTAAGAGTAAATACTCCTGTTATGCTTGTTTTAAAATTCCCTTGACACGTCTTGTTGGTTTTTATCTGTTTTCAGGGGAAACGATATATGAACTAGTTTCACATTCCTGTTACTAAATAATTATCATGATTAAGATCACCCACTATTTTTCAGAAGTTAAAAAATAATCACTTGGAAATGTGAATTTTCAAAAAGAAAGTTGAATCAAGAAGTTCTAATTTTCACTCATGTGATCATTCTCAGACACATCTGGCATACCTATTCTCAGATGATACCAATATATAATAAGTATAGTAAGTATTTATTAAATTCTGCCTTAACAAACATGTTATATTCCTAATAAGTCTGAACTTCTTAGAAGGGTCAGCATTATACCTGTTTTGAACATCAGAATGGTATAAAGAACCCATGGCTATAAATATTACCCTTCTCCTCATCCCTCAATCCCTAATCCTGTTCTCCCTGCTTCCTCAGTAGTTATAGGGGACAAGGGCGGATTAAGCTTTGACAGAATTTGTAAGTTAGAAAGCAGAGGAGTAAGTCATAAAAGCAGAACTTAGGTCGAAGGAACAGCTTGCCTGTATGAGTCTCGAAAGTCTTAGAAGTTCATCTTCAATTTTGAATTTCCTTTCTCTCTAGTTCTATATGTAAAGTTTCCCAAAGCCTCAAACAGTGCCTGCCAGACCATGGTAACTCACTAAACAACAGCTGAATGAGGGCAGATGAGAATGCGCTCTAGATTCTGCCAGATAAGTTCTAGCTCCTCCCAAGCAAGTTATTGAACCTCTCTAACTCCCAATTTTTCCATCTGTAAAGCAGAGTAATAACAGAGTTGTTGCAAAAATTACCTAATAAAATAAGAGTAGTAATAATATTCCTGTGAACTCTTCAAGCATAGGGACCAGTTTTTCATTAACACACGTTAGTGTTGTGACCAGAGAACTAGACAAAGAATAAGGGATGTATGATTTCCGTTAGATGTCATTTTAACATCTGTAAGAGCTGTAGCTCTTCCAGACAGAAGAATATAGAAAAAGAAACACACAAAATTCAGATGATCAGAGTTTGATGATAAAGTCAAAAGAGGTTATGGACAAATATGTAAGGGCAGAATAATTCAATACAGTGTCAATAAAGTACTTTTAAAGCCAAAGATGAAAGCAAAGAAAGGTCCTAAGAGAGATAAATAATAATGAAATATAATTAACTAGTGAAGCAAGTTACCTACAATCTTAATGGGGAGTGTGGAGTTCAACTTACCCAAATCGGGAGGAAAAATTAATTAACTGGCTTATCTTGAACCCAGGAGAGGCCAACTCGTCAAAGATAGGAATTTGGGGTTCCTTTTTTTCTGTGACTCTTAAAGGGGACTTAACATGTTGGTTAGTGTCCAGGTAAGATCCATCTCATTTCTTGACCAACGCCTCTGGAAGATTTGCGCCAGTCTGCTGAAATAGTCACCCCGTCTTGCTTGTGACAGTATGATTTTTCTGTAATGGATTAGCGTTTTTAACCCAAAGATATTTTAGAATGAAGTACAGAGATTAGGTAAATCAAATTTAAACTATTAACAATTTTGTATTAAGTTCAAAAATAGTTTTTGTAATAATTGGGACAATCTATATATATTTGGTATTTAAAATATTTGTGGCTGGGCATGCCTGTAAGTCCAGCACTTTGGGAGGCTGAGGTGGGCAGATCACCTAAGGTCAGGAGTTCAAGACCAGCCTGGCCAACATGGCAAAATCTCCTCTCTACTAAAAATACAAAAATTAGCCCTACTAAAATACAAAAATTAGACGGGCGTGGTGGCGAGCACCTGTAATCCCAGCTACTGAGGAGGCTGAGGAGGGAGAACCGCTTGAACCCAGGAGGCAGAGGTTTCAGTGAGCTGAGATCGCACCACTGCACTCCAGCCTGGGCAACAGAGTGAGACTCCATCTCCAAAAATAATAAATAAATAAATAAAATGTTTGCGAGCTTTAAAAATGTACTTTATTAAGATACCTAACAGGTTAGCCTCTAACACCAATTTAAATGGGTAGTTGAGTAATTAATTGTAGGTTCCTGATGTTGAGTCAAAAGGTATAAACTACATTGGGATGCTTAATAGAACTTATGAATCACCATCTTTAGAAGTTTAGTGTATTAGCTTTACTTGGAATGGTTTAAGTATATTGGAAGGTTTTTCCCATTAAAGAAATTTGAAGTGCCTTAAAAAGAAAATGGGATATATTAAGCTCATAAAAGCAATGTACAATAGTTAAAGGAAGTTTATTAACTAGGTTGAAACTAGAATTGGTTAATTAAGGGAGGTTGGTCCATTCAATGTGAGTTGAAGACATCAATCAAAGGCTCCCTTGAAAGTGACTGTCAAAATTTCTAGATTTACAAGTAGACTAGGATTTGTAATGTATTCATTCAGAATATTTACTGGGTGTCTGCTAGGTGTTAGGCACTATTCTGGGTGCTAGGAATATAGCAATGAGCAAAACAAGGGCAAAAACATATCATAATGGGGCCTGGACACATTAAACTTAAAAGCTTTAGAGAAAATTTAAAAACTAAGTTATTAAATTCTTTGCTTTAATATGTTAGATATTAACAATAAAACAAACTGCCATAAATAGCCTCTTTATTGCACAGAATTTCTCCTAAGGGACACCAAAAACTCACATTGACAAGTGTCTCTATTCATTCTTTTATCACTAGTGCCTCATTCACGTTTAACTCTCAAAATTGTGTGTAGCTTGAGTGTTGAATCTTCTCCTCTATGTTCTGGAGTTTTTCACATCATTCCCAAAAAATCTGAGTTAACCAAGATTTTCTTCTTAAAATACAAATCTCTCTAAGGTTAAAGGCTAGGAGATATTTACATTTTCATGCAATTCAATCAGATTGTGTTTTTCCTAACACCTGAGTTAAGGAATAAACTAATAGAGGAAAGAAAGAAAAATAACTTTAGACATGAAAATATTTGTTCAGAAAAGGGAAATCTCTGGATTGGGAACATATTAAAGTACAAGTCTGGTAGTCCTCAGGGCATTCGTGAGCTTGGGCAAATTGGGTGCCAGGTATAAAAAGAGTGGTGCAAAAATGCAAAGAATTCTCAACGATTTCAAAAGCAGCTTCCACCCAGAAAAGACAGTCTCTTTTCCACTTTCCCAGGTGATTACATCCTCTCAAAACTCAGAAGTCAAAATTGCTTTGTTAAAAAGCTCCATTTGGGTAAATAAAGTTTCTGCAAAATGACCTGGAAACTCAAACAATCACCGTGTCCACGGGAAAGTGTTTCTTAGTTCTAAGGGTCCACTTGCAACCAGTTTTTTGAAACATGACCTATTTGTAAATTGACTATTGTGTTGATAACCAAAACTCATAAAAATCACACCCAGGGCAGTCCCAGCAAAGAGTAGAGAGCCAAAGCCCAGTAATGGCTTAAACTGTAAGTTTACTGGGCCAAGCCCAAAGCTAAGAATTCAAGGAGTTTTGCAACCCATACCCATTTTTCAGCTGCCCTTATGCCAGCAGTTACAATTCACACACTCCAAAACTTCAGGCAATGCTGCTGGCCTCTGTACCATTTCCTCCTCCGCCAGCTGACCAACCCTAAGGATTGTAGCTAACTGCACATTCCCCACGTCAATATTTAGGGACCAATCAGAGAGCAGGTAGATGATCTGGGGACAGAATTGTACAGTGGTTAACTCCTCAGGCTCTAGAGTCTGAATGAACTAATTTTAAATCCTAACTACAATTCCCTGGCTGGATGCCCACAGGCAGGTTACTTAAATTCTCTGCACCTTGGTTTCCTCATTTGTAAAATGGGGATTATAATAATATCTACCTCTGAGGGTTTTAAATGAGATTCTACATGTGTAGAATAACATCATGCCTGATAGAGTGAGTGCTCACATTCACACATGAGTTCCCCAATTCACAGCAAGCACAGAAAAACATTTGTATCTTCTGCTTCCAGTATGCCACAAAGGTAATGAGTAATTACACTGACATCTTGGTTGACTTAGGTAACCACTTTCTTACCTCAACATTACTGCTTTGTTTTTTTCAACATTAAAGCAACTAAGAAATAATCCAATTTCTATTTGGATTCCTGAAGTGCTGGGATGAGGGACAGGCTTATAAACACTGGTCTAATAGGTGACAAGGATTTGGCTTTATTCTAGTAATAAAAATGTCATGAAAAAGGAGTTATTGAAGAGTTATGAAGAAAAAGTGTAATGCTCTAAATGATAGATTTTTAAAATCATCAGTTTGTTTTCAGGCATTGAGTCCCAAACTGGAACAAACTACCTCTGACAATAATTCTGTGAGAAAAGGATTTTTCTAAATCGATCCATATAAACCAGGCTGAGTTATTAAGGAGAAAAATGCGTTTAATAATATAGCATTCGATTGCATATCATCCAGGAAAGGTGTACTGTAAAAAATGTTTTGATTATTCATTGACCTCTGGTAACTTTAGCGTTGTAAATACTTGTATTATATGAGGTAGACAGTTTAAAAAAAACTCTCCATTAGACAGACTTAAAATTTTGTAATAATATTTAAGAAAATGGTAACATTATGAAAAAATGAAATATCTGATTAATGCTTAACTTTGTACAACTCGAATATAAACTTTAAAAATATTAGAAATTATAACATTTGAGTGCATATAACGTTTTGTACATTAGGATGAATTGCATGCTGTCCATTTCCTCTTTGCACTTTCAGTCACCTTAAATAAACAAATATATACAGCCTTAACAGAACAACAGTGCATCCAAAGCAAATGTGCATTTTAAATTATTTCTCCTGGCCAAGTCTTTTTTTCACTTAGCATTTTTATATTAGCATTTCTTATCATCCCCACCCTTTCTTTGACAGTTTGTAGTTCTCTGAACCAAACAAGCAACAGGTTTAGATTGGAAGAGAGCAAAATCACTTAGGAAAAACTAAAACTTTTTAAAAGGCTGGTACAAATTCCATTGATTAAACAATTTTATAGTCAAAGATGAGGAGGAAGCTAACTCTTCAAAGGGCCTACTCATGGGCAATGTTTGAAAACAATACTGGTGCAGGCTGGGGGAAAGTTCATGTTTTTGACTATCTGGGAATGGGTATTTCAATTTCACTGTGCTCTCTCCAGCTTCCTCCCAGAAGACGAATTCCACCCCTGTCTCCTTCCTCACTGCCTGTTCCCCATCTCCCACCCCAAGCTCAATGTAACACTTGGCTCTTTTCACAGTTTCTCATTACTAAGTTTTAAAAACATTGCCTAACTGATAATTACAATCTGAACCAATTCTTTTGGGGGAGCCCTGGGCTATTGCTGGCTGGTAATCTTTCAGGAATGTCAAAGAGAGGGGAGGGAACTCAGATTTTAAAGAAACTTCAGAGACAGGGACTTGTGTCCCCTTTCATCCCTCCCTTCCCCACTCCTGGCTCCTGGCCTGTCCCTTGATCCCCATCCTCCCTGAGGCCCACCATCTTCCCTCCTGATGGGACTCCTTCTACTTCTTGGTTCCTTTTCCCTCCTTTGTAGCTCTTACGTTAATTGTTTTGTTCCCCACTCCTGCCCATTTTTTTGAACTGGAAAATCACCTTCCCCTTAGAAGTGCATGTCTGAATTTTGGCAAATTCTGTTGAAAGAAATCAATTAGAATCAGAAAGGGCATTTGGGTGGGCTACCTCCAGCCTGGGCTAATGCACCTCCGTGTCAGCCCCAGTCAGAGGCAGGCCTTGTGGTTTCTCATTATCCTTCAAGGGGTTCCATTTGGACTAATTCTTGTCATTCCATCCATACCAGCTCCCCTTGCCCCCACCAGAAAAAGCAACAATGAAGGCAGAGACCTGGGCCCTCAGGAGTGAGATGAAGGTTGCCAGTTCCTGGTACCGAAAGAGGCCAGGGCAGAGCTGGTAAACTCACAGAGTACACAAATGGGTGAGAGGGGCACCCGTGGGCCCACCTCTCTCAAAGCTCTTCTATAGGCAGGACCATTCCTGACTTAACTATTCTTTTTGCCAATTTCCCTATCTAACACTTTCTGTGTGGGAGGGCACAAGACATGGGCTATGACATGGCCAGAGACCCCACCTTCTTTACACATGTAAAAACCAACCAAATCAAGATGCGTCAACGGTGATTCTTCCTCCCACATTGTTTCCCTTTTTAAACTGTTATTTTTTCAATCCATGGAGCAGTTGAGAAACGGGTATGCATCTCTCCTCCCCTCCCCTTCTATCAAAGCCTGTAAGACACATAAGGAAATCCAAAGCCACAGTAATAGAGAGAGAGAGAGAGAGAGAGAGAGAGAGAGAGAGAGAGAGAGAGAAAACAGAACAAAAGAAATCCTCCTTGGCTTGTTTTTCCAGGGTGGCCAGGCAAGGTGTGAAAATCCATATTTCCCTCTGGGCTGGCAGGTAGAAGTTACTGGGAAGGCTGCGCTCCCTTCTCTCCCACCGGCTCTCACATCCAGGCTGTTCCCTCACCCTCAGCCTCCCCCAGCGCCAGCTTCCTCCTCCGCCTCTCTGCAGCCAGGCCTCCCCTGCAAGGCGGACCTTGGCCCACCTTGGTTCCGGGCCAAGGCGGCGGGAAAGGCACCGCTACCTGCAGCCGCACGACTCCACCACCATGTCCTCGTACTGCTTGTAGACCACATTATTGCCCGCGTCGATGTATAGAATGCTGATGGGAGTCAATTTGGTGGGCACGCAGCAGCTGGGCGGGGTGGAGCCGGGGTCCATGGAGTTCATCAGCGTCTGGATGATGGCGTGGTTGGTGGGCTCCAGGTGCGAGCGCAGCGGGAAGTCGCATACACCCTCGCAGTGATAGGCCTCGTACTCCAGGGGCGCGATAATCCAGTCGTCCCAGCCCAGCTCCTTGAAGTTCACGTGCAGGGGCTTCTTGCTGCAGCGTAGCCTGGACTTCTTGCCGTGCCGCTTGCCATGGCGACTGGCGAAGGCCGTGCGCCGCCGCCGGCGGCCGGGCGAGGGCAGCCAAGGCCTGGCATCCGGGGCGCCCGACGGCGGCGGCCACGACCCCTCGGCGCCCGCGCCCGGGCCCGCAGCCTCGGCCGAGCCCAGCTGCTCGCGCATCTCTGCGAACAGGTTCTTGCGCTGGGATCTGGTGAATACCACCAGCAGGGCCCGCTCCTGGGGAGGCCGCACCCTCCGGCCGAAGCCCAGACTCCGCAGGTCCGGGGGCGGCGGTTGCTGGGGTCCCCGCGCGCGCGCCTCGGCCTCCCCGGCGTCCAGCTCGCCCCATGCGGCCCGCAGCTCCAAGCACAGCTGCTTCCAGGGCTGGTGGCGCAGGCCCTGCCACACGTCGAAGACTTCCCAGCCGGCCGGCGGCGCCCCCTGCGGGTCCAGGGTCCGCGCGTCCAGCAGTAGGGGCGAAAGGCAAGGGAAGAGCTGCACGTGGAGCGGCCCGGCTGGTGGCCCCCAGGGCGCTGAGGGCGCCTGGCGAAAGAGCCGCAGCTCCGCGCCCACCAGCTCTTCTTTGTCTGAGAGCATGGACACATCAAACAAATACTTCTGTCTCCGGAGAGGAGTGTGCGAGAGATCGTCTGCGAGATAAAAAATAATTACAGTCAGTTTCACTTAAGGGGGAGATCAGCCCGGTGCTCTTCGGCCGCCCCGGGAGGAAAAGGGCGGGGAGTGGGGGCAGGTCGGCCGGGCAGTCCAGCTTGCCCGGCCCAGGGCCTGACCACCCCGGCTCCCCATCTGGCTGGTGCATGGCGCGGGGAAGGGGGCGCGCCAGGACGGGCCCCCTCCTTCGCGTCAGCTCCGGACTCTCAGGGCGGAAGTCGGTGGCTGCTGGCGAGGCGGCGGCGGCGGCCTACCGGGTTTTCCCCCCAAAAGGCTTCGTAACCACTAATGTGCCCTTTGTGGTCTCAAGCCTGGGCCGCGTTTCCCCTAGACCTCCTCTGGGCTGGGCTGGCTCGTTCTCGTTGACGTCTCAAATGTCACCTCCTCCAAGTAGCCACCCCTGAGCACCCTGATCTAAGGTAGCCTCTCCAGGTCTCTATCACAGGACTGGCTTGATTATCTTCCCAGTACTTAGGATTATCTACAATTACCTTGTTTACTTTTATCTCCTTAGTAGTCTGCCTTTCCCAGTAACACTCTGTCTGCCTCCACCAACCCACGGGAGCTAGGCCGATGTCATTGTCCACCTTGCTCCCCTCAGTGCCTAGGGCGGTTCCTGACCTGGAGCACACGCCGGTCAGGTAAGTGGGAAACTTCTACGACAGCGAATCTTAATCTGGCCCACTAAAATGTCCTGGAGAACTGAAAAACTGCCAGGACCAGGGCTTGATTCAGCCTATTGAATCACTGTCTAAGGACAGGACTGGCCATGGGGTTTTTGTTTATTGTTTGCTTTTTTTTTTTTTTAACTCCAAGATGACTTAAAGGTGCAGTTCTAGTTTAGACTCACTAGTCTGGGGTAACATTGCTGCCCATCAGGCGGTTTTGGTGGGTCCAACACAGTGCAGGCAGAATGAAGAGCTGGTGAGAGATTTATTTATTTATTCACCAATCATTAAACAACAAACAAAAGAGCAATGAAGTTTCAGAAGTATTGGGGGCAGGGGGTGACAAATGAACAAACACACACACCTTGCATCTGTCCATTGAGAACATCCTGCAGTCAATGAGAAAAATATATACCTGGAAGGCAGAAAACTGGAAGGCAGAAAACCTCAGCCAGGGACAATTAGATACACACACACACACACACACACACACAGAGAGAGAGAGAGAGAGATAGAGAGACTTTCCCATCTCTCCTCCCACTCCCAATCTAAAATTCTCTCACTTTGCAACTATTCCTGAAGATAAAAGTTTTGGTCATAAGTGAGAAAAAGAAATTTAGGACAGGTGAGGTAGGGGAGTGTAACAGGCTTTTAAAATCCAAGGCAAATTCTTCAGAACCAAGGCAAAACCGGACTTCTTTTTTGACACATTTGTGCATGAAGCCAACTCCACTTCAATGTGCAAGGCGGAAAGCTAACCAGATTTTCCTGGGCTGCCTTCCCATAAAATATTTACAACCCAGCAAATACAAAAATCCCCAAAGCCCCCAGCCTTCCCCAGAAGCTAGTAAAGTTTGGGTCGATTTCAATAGTAAAAGTGTCACTGGGCCCAGCATCCAACCCTCTCTACCAGTCCAGATGTAGCCCGGGGGCACTGGCTCTGGAGCCTCTGCCACACCCAGTTTGTACTCGGGGCTGACCGTAGCACTGGCTGGTTCACTCTTACGCACATGCCCCAACCTGAGATGGGGTGTGGGAAGGGTTAGAGAGGTGAAAAGGGAAAAGCTGCTGCAGGCAGTTGATTTATGGAAGCCAAGACCTTCAAACAGACCAGGGTCACATTAAAATCAGGCGGAATTCAGCACACTTTCTTCTCCTTCAAAGAAACCTGTGTCTGACAATGCTCAGCCTCCACCCAGATCTCTGGACGTACTGCCTTAGGCTTGGCTTCCTGCCTCTCTCCCCAAACTAGGGATGAGATGAGAGCAACAAATCTAAGGCACTTGCTGCACTAGCTAAATGTGGTTAGGAATAACATATTTCCAATCTATATCCACCTGCACAGAACAGTTCTGAAAGGTAATTACTTGTATTATTCCCATTTTACAGATGAGAAAACCAAGGATTGGAGAAATTAAGGTATTGCCAAAAGTCAGACAGCCAGAAAGTGGTGAGGCTAAGAGCCATACTTATGTCTATTTAATTCAGAGTTGGAGCATTTAGCCCCTAAACCCCACTGCCTCTCCACTGTAGTCCAGGTACTGGAGTCTAAAAGTAACCAGAAGTGGCCAGTGTATAAGAAAAGGGGAAAAGAGTCCAAATTATTTGCAGGGCTTGCTAGGAATAAAATCTAGGCTCCCTTAGGAAATCATTTCCATCTTTGCTTACACAACTCTTGAGATGGTTTGCCACTGGCTGGAGTGCATTAGGCAGGTGTAAAGAATTATGATTTACTTCTCTCTCATGCAATATGGGGGAAATCAGCCTGCTTTTGTTTTTACTCTTTTAAAAAAAATGTGTGGGCTAATAAATGATTAATTTGCACAGCTGAGTTAAAACTGAGGCAAGCATCTGTAGAGAAAGATCTCCTACTGATTCTGCAGCCTTAGGATTTCTGATGATCTTTCCAGCAAGACCAGCCCACCCCTACCCTTTCCACGTTTCAGTGCAAGAATGCAAATGGGACTTCAGCTTCTTCTCTCTTCTCTTTCCACACTAGCTCCATCACCTACTTCAAGGGGCCTCACCTGTGAGCATGTGGCCATCCCAGCTGACAGCTTAAAGCTGTGCACAGTTTCACAGGTGCACACATCAGTGGTTCGATCTACCTTTGGGGGAACTGAATGGATGAAGAGGCTGTCCAGACCCTGCAAGTGAGCTCAGGGATATTTGGGCAAGAATTATATGGCCCAGGTATCTGGAGCTTGGTCTGGAATAGTGACTCTCAAAGCCACTAAATCTGCAGTGGTCTTTAAATCTGCATCATCAGCATCACATAGGCGCTTGCTAGAAATGCAAATTCTCTCTCGCTCTAGAGGCTTGTGGTAGGGTCTAGAATTTGTATTTCTAGTAAGCTCCCAGATGATGCTGATTCTGCTGGTCCAAGAAATTACTCTAAGAACCACTGATCTAACTGGGGGTTGTCCTCTAGGTTCTTTGAATTCACCACTGAGTAGGGGGGAGCACCAAACAAGGTGCTGCAAAGCACAGGGCTCAGGGCAGCATCTAAGGCAGTACTCACCAGGACCAAGTCAATTCTACCTCTCCCAGCCCATTCGTGGCCCCCAAAGCCACCCCCATTTTTTTATCCTTTCAGCCACAAGTTCTCTTGGTTCTGGGTCTCCAGAACCTCTAACCCCTAAACAGAAGGTCCAAGAAGGTGGCTCCTCTGTGCAGCTCCCCTGCAGACCACATTCCCTACCTGTCTAAACCTGCATCACAGAAATAGCTCAGAGGAGGCATCCAACCTGGGGAGTGAATACAACACCATGCACTGTTACCCTGAAGACACTTTGCCTGCTGCCTGCTGACCTGGCATCACAGAGCCTGGCTCAGCTGCCATGAGCCATCTGTGGGCAAAAAGCCAGCCCTTCATACTCCGTTCCAAAAGCCTCCTCTCCCATTAAGTCTTGTATAAATGAAGACTGATGTCATCAAATGATCCTCTCTCCCACCCCTTTGACTAAAAAAACATGCACTTGTCACTTGAAAATCTGTGGCACTTTCCCACATCCTGGAAGTGAATCCTATGCTTTGGGCCCTTAAATTGAAATTGACCAGAAATACATGGTGGGAGTTTTTTATTTCCCTTTTACTTTGCATCAACCTGGTTTGTTACAGCTTATTCACACCTCTGTTAACGGTGTTTGCTGAACATTAGACATATAAACATTTCCAGTTACAATTGCTGGATTAGGGCTTATCTTCGTTTCCTGGCAGCTACGTAGAGAAAGGAGGGTGAAGAGAGAAAAATAAGAAGGAAGGAACAAACCGTGGCATGTTAGAAGATACTCCTTCATAATGGTCAACGAGTTGGTAAAAGGCTGAAAGCACCTCAAACATATATTTCTGGTGTAGAATTTAGGAAAAATTTAAAAGAGGGGAGATGTTGGTCAAAGGGTACAAATTTTCAGTTAGGGTGAATATAAGGTAAAAAATAAAATTTTAACTAAAAAAAGAAACCAAGAGAAGGAATGGTACCTATTTGCAAAGTAATTACCATTGCACCCATTTTAAATGAGAAAACTGGCCTAGAAAGGAAAAGGGCATCTGTCCACGGTCACAGTACGTGGCTGGAGAAAGTTGGAGTGGCAAACTCCAGAGCGGAAAGGAAAAGATGCCCGCAACGCCAAAGGCCAGACGCCCGGGGAACCTGAGCCCCAAGAGGGCGGCATGAGGGAGGGACACGTAGCTGCAGGACTCTGTGCGCTTGCCCACTCCAGCCTGCCCACTCCAGCCCCAGAGCCTTCTGCTGGGGGCTACTTCCTTGGGCTAGCCTGTAGAGGGTTTCCAAAAACCAGAAACTTCCTTTGGTTGGAGGTGGGAAGGGCCTGGCATTGCATTTTCCCAAGACATCTCTGAGATATATACTCAGCTTGAGGTCCCTTTTGAAAGTCCTAGTTGGATTTTGTCACTCGCCTGGCTGTGCACCCACGGCTCCAACTTCCCGGACTTGCAGGATTCTTGGTACGGCTGACTTTGGGCTCCACGAGATTCCTCCGCGCGCACCTGGCTCACATCTCTGAGTACGCAGTGACCCTGGATAGCTACTGGCCAGGCGTCCCGCCACGCCTCCCAGCCATGTTCTCCGGTGGCACAGGCCCCGCGACTAGGCCACTGTCCAGAAAGTCGAGAAGATAGTGGACTTTCCCATCCCCAATCCCCAGGCAGGGAGAATCACCCATCTTTGCAAGAGAAACTCTAGGCGCCTTTCCCTTACCCCCTCATTTTAGAGCCAGCAGCAGCATTGAGCGCTTGTAGGGCACCACCTTTGTGCTAGGCACGTGCTCAGAGCTTTGATGGCCTCTCTCACTGAATTTTCACAGCGAACGTCTAAGGTCAGGCCTACTGTGATACTCACTTATAGATGAAGAAACTAAAGCTCTAAGAGGTATCTTGCCCATTGTCTTGAAACTAGCAAGGGACAGATGTTGAAGGTCCTAATTCCAAGTGCCCTGACCCCAGTCCTGCAGCGCAAGAGACAGGTGTTGAAGGTCCTAATTCCAAGTACTCTGACCCCAGTCCTGCAGCCATGCTGCTCTACCAGGGTCCTGTTTTGGCAGGGGGCCAGGAAATAGGACATAGCTTCATCATTAGTGTAATCAAGGTGGGCTGGGTTCCCCCAGGATTTTTTTTCTTTTCTTTACTACAAAGAAGACCTCCAAGCTCAAAATTCATGACTGGGCTTGGAGTCATTTTCTCAACTAAGTCTCTCACCTTCCGCGCTGCACTGAGGGGGCAAAGTCCATCAGGTTGGAAATAGAGCCAGGTGTACTGGGTGATTAAAAATGAGCCACCAACCCCTCCTCCTGGAGTGTGAAGGGCTTTAAGGGGAATCTGTGTGCCAACTATGTACCCTCTTCCTGAAATACAGATCTCTTGGGCCTCCCCCTGAGGAGATACTCATCCTGAGTCAGGCCTCTGTTGAGATCTGAGCTTTGCAAGCTGCTGACGCATTGCTAACATTCTTACTGAGATGTAAGTTCGGGAAGCAGTCCATACAATTCACCCTTTCCAGGGTGCTTTTTCTTAACCCCAATACTCATGCCTGATCCCCCAGCATAATAATCGTTAAGAGCAAACACTGGTGTGGCACTAAATCTGTTCTGGGCATGATCTAAATTCTTAACTTGTAGTAACTCATTTAATTCTCAAAACCACTTCTGAGACAGCCATCATTCTAAACTAAAAGAGACAGCTTGAGTAACTGGCTCAAGATACTAAGTAGTAGAGTGGGCAATCTGGCTCCAGTATCTGTGCCACCACCCTAGACATCCCAGCCCTGATCTCTGTGCCTTGTAGAAACCCTGAGAAACTCTTCCATGCTGCCCATGCCTGGAGGGAGGGCATCAATCCCTGGCCGGCAAGAGTCACTCACTTCAGCAGAACTACAGCAGTCATTACTTCAGCAGAAGAAATGTCGATGATTGGACTTGTGAAAGAGAATTTAGGAGGAAAATTAACAGGGCCACAGAGGGGTGCAAATGAGATAAGGTGTGAGAGAAAGACTTCTGAATGCAAATGTCAGTCACTACTGACAATGTGGAATGAGCATAGGAATTTAAAGTCTAAGAGACATAAATTTGAGTCCTGATCTGTGACTTAGTGGCTGGGTGACCTTGGTTAGACTGGGTCGCATAATCTCTCCCAGCCTCATATGCCTCAGCTGTAAAATGAGAGAACCACCTGTACCTTGCAGGATCATTGTAAAGGTCAGAGTCAAAGTACCTCAGGGATGTGCATAGTACATAGAGACGTCCAGTGAATGCAGCCAATATTTCTGTGACTACTTACATCTTCTAGGGGAAGGTGCACCTGTCCTTCTCTTGACTTCCTTTGAAATCCAGTTCTCTGGACTTCAGTCCTTGTGGTCCACTTCTCTCCACAAGATTCCAGAAGTGAGTGGAGGAAAGGTGCTAGGAAGCATGAGAAAGATGAAGACGCTTCCAGTTCCTGCTTATCTGAAGTCAAGTGAAAGTCAAGGCTCATGGAGGCTGCAGCCTCACCTCATCATCCCGATTCTTCTCAGTCCTGTGAGGCCCTGTCACCACTGCTGTCCCTCCCACAGTGCCAGGTGAACAGATGACCTCCACCCCAGCCACATCAAGGATCCAGCCCTTCTTGCAGGTTTCCTCTTCTGCAGGGGTCAAGGCCAGTGACAGCCCTTGTGCTAACCCAAATGACTCCCTGGCTGGCAGTGCAGCCCTGAGAGGCCTAAGGATTCGTTTCTTTCCCCACTTTGGTGTCCTTTTGTGGGGGCACGATCTGACCACAGGGCCAGTCTGGGGTGGGGATAAGGAGGCAGATGTTACTGATCTTCACTGTGCAAAGGGCCAGACACATATTGATGGGGAGGGCTGCAATGGAGGGCCCCTTGGGCTGCAGCATGAGGCCAGGCCTGTGGTGCTTGTCACTTTCGAAGGTTTCGTTGGCGGGTCTGTCTTCAGTGTGTGTTCCTTCTCATCACACATTCACCAGTCCAGCTTTTCTCATGTCTCTTGGCTTCCCCAGTGCCCTCCCCAATAGCTTGCCCTGTATTTCTGCTTCCAAAGACCAGAGGGGTCCAAGGCAAGTCTTCCACGGAGTCTTGGAGAGGCTTTTCCACTCTTTCCCTCAGGCCTCCAGACCCAGGCCCTTCTCTTCCTGAGGGGCCTGGGCCTTGTAGACTCCACAAGTTAAGTGGGTCTAGTGGCCTGCCTGGATCCCTGGGAGAAATCCCTGTATGGGCACAGCAAGCTGCGGCTCAAGGTGAGGCAAATGAATGAGAGTGGAGAGAAAGAAAAGAAAGGAGATCCTCGAATCCCACCCAACTGAAAACAGCTTCGCACCCCTCACCTCGGGGCCTCAGCACCGCCTTTAGTGGCCTTAGCTCTAACCCCAGGGTGCCTGTTTCTGACAAGCAGTGCTGGCTGGGGAGAAGCCCTCTCCCGTGAGTGCTGCTCACCCTATCAGGAGCTCCAAGGCGCTTTAAGGAAACTCCTTTTGTCTCTAGAGGATGAAACAGATTCATTTACAAAGCAGTTTTCCTGAACTTAGTTAATGACCCTGATGGCTGCGTGCTCTCTTGAGGGGCCAGAGAGGCAAAGCTGAGATCAAGGGCACTTCACTGTGCTTCTCTTTTCAACGGGGTCCCATTCTGGGCTCCCGACCACAGCGGCTCAAATCTTAATTTGACATCACTGCAGATGAAACCCAAACCGAAGCTCTCGTACTGTTCCCGCGCTGAGCCCTCCCTCCCCATCTCACTGAGGCGCGCACGCGGCCTGCCCTTCCCCTGGGGCCGGGACCTGGGGGGTTGGCTAGGGGCGGCCTTCCCTGCACTGTCGACCGGTAAGTCACCCGGGAGCCCAGGGGAGCAACCAGGTCCTCCACGAAGGCTAGGGGAGCGGAAAGGGAGGAATCCTCAAACTGCCATCGGAGCTGGAATATGATCGGGCTGCATGGCTTCAGTTTTGAGATCAAAAGTAGAAGGAAGGGTGTTCATTTTATGTGACTTCCGCTCCCTGACCAGTTCTGAGCTTGCAGGTGGGGGCGAGGGTTCAAACTGGCTTGTAGTCGCGGGGAGGATATTGGACTCAGCACCCAGGGGTCCTGCGCAGGAGAAACCGCTGTGCTGTGCTCTTTAAGGTGCTGGGCCGTGTGCAGTCTGGGAGGAAGGGAGAGCCGCAATCTCTGTCTGCGGTGTTCATTTAGGTCTGACTTTCGAAACAATTTAGCAAAGTGAGATTCGTGGGCCCTAGTCTATTCCTAGTCAATTTCCCTCCACGCTGAGCTTCGGAGCGGCAGTGGGCTGGGAAGTGGAGTGGGAGGCTGGACCAATTTGCCTGGAAGCCAGGTTTGCAAAGCAGGCGCACCGATTCTCCTGGGCTCCTATGTTATTAAGGGATGCCCTCTGCACCCCACTAAAGCCAATCCCCTGCGCTGCCCCTGTGCCCGTCCTCTGTCCTTCTCCCCAAGCTAAACCAGCCTGGGCTAGAGGCCCGCCCCTGGCCTCTTTCACGCCCACTCTCGGGTCCCTAAACCATGCCCCGCCCCCAGGCGCCGGGGCCACTAGCGCCGCCGCGCGCGCTTCCCTAGGAACGTTGTCCAGCGCCGCCCGCCGCCCGCCCCTTCCAAGCTCTTGCAGCCCCTCACCCCAAGTGGACCCAACCCTCAGTCCCCAGCAATGCTAATGGACTGTCTTAGAAGGCAGAGAACTGCAACCCTGGAACCCATTAGTCCAAGGAGGACCTATTTAATTCCTGTAAACAGGAGATACTATTTAACCGACTTAGAGTTTAAAAATAAACAGCCAGGCCTTGGGGTGGGGGATGGAGGGATGTCAAGCAACGGAATGGCACGGTGAATCCACATTCCGGCATTCCACACCTCGAGGGCTCGGCTCGATTCAGTCCCCTGGTCCAAAGAGTGTCGTTTGACCCGGGTTATTCAATACCCGAGGGGTTATCGAACTAATGGCTTTCCTTTTACTTAAAAGCCCCCAGGGATTACTGTTGATTTGCTCTAAGACCTTTGGTGCACGCAGTAGTCCTAGCAGGAAACAAAAGTTCTCGTTCTGCCCTGTTTCTATCATACCATCTTCCTCCCCACAGTCTCCACCTCATTCCCTTCTTCCTTCTCCGCCACCGCCCCAGAAAGACGTCACCACTTTCGAGGAGGTGTGTAAGAACCTCAAGGACTCCAGCTAAGAAAAACATGTGGTGTTAGGGCCTCCGATGCAGTGCCCTGCGTTCCCCGCGGGTCCAGGTGACACGCATCCTCTCCGGTCGGAAAGAGGAGCTTTCAAGTCCTGATTCAATTGGGGGGTGGGGAGGGTGGAGAAGAGGGATTCGCCAGGCCTGTCGTGATCTGTGGTCTGAGTGACTTTTTTCTTTTAATGCGCAGAAACCACAAGGATGTTTGAGCACGTTTTTAGATCCCCTCCCCCATCGGCAACTCCACCGCGCGAACTCCCAGAGGCCCGAGAGCCTCCCGCGTTGAGGAAAACGCTATGTCCGTCTCAGATTAGCCTCCTTTGCCAAGGAAACTCGCCAAGAATCCCTGCGCAACCTGCGCTCTCGCTGTAGAGCATACTAGGTGGTCTTTCTTTCTTTCTTTTTAGAATCTTCTTGCTTTTCCCTGTAAGGCAGACCTTAAGGCCTTAAGGATTGGAACTACAATAACTGATGTTTAACAGCAAGTCAGTGCCTAAGAGTTTGGTCTGTGGCCTTAAACGTGCCTTACTTATTCGAACCAGAAGAGCAAAACAAACTTCCAATTTAAGGCTTCTTTCCCTTACCCCCAGGCTTTTTGCAGGACCTTCCAGTTCACCTGGCTGGAGGAGGACCGTGAGCCTGGACAGTGGCACAAACCCCGTGCCCGCGCTCATGCAGGCGCACCCTCATACGCACACACTTGAACGCTTAGCAAGTCTTTTCCAAGGCTGTTCCCTCTTTCCGGGGAAATAAAGCCTAGATTGGAACCTTCTGCCCAGCTTCCTCATTTGGCCGTCTGGTCTGCATTAGTGTTTTTATAAGGGACTCAAACAAATCGAATACAAGGTCACCAAATAATTAACAGTTGTGAATTCCCTCCGTCCCCATTAAAATACTTCCCTGCTTATATTTCATTTTCGGTTTGCCAACGACAACAGGGTACCGGCAAAAGCACTGCTGAGTTGATTACACCACTCTGCGGCTCAGGTCCACCCAGAAACCCGCTGTTTTGCATAACATGAGGTACCAGATGAACTTCAATCGCGAGGGGACTATGCAACTCTCTGAATGCCCTCCCCGCAGCCGGGCTATTCCCAGAATGGTCCTGCTCTGCCCTTTGGTAATCACGACCCAGAAGGTGAATGGAGAAGCCAACAAACAATCAGTGGCAAACTGTCCTGAGAGTTATTTCTAGGGCATCAAGTTCTTCAAGGATGTTCCCATCTCGTTTTGGTTTTTATCTGTTCCTTACTGCCTCCTTTTTGAGAATATTATTACAACAAGAAAAAAGTAAAGGGTATTCTTATTTCAAAGCCATCTGGAAACCTAACTCACAGCAATAGTCTTAGACTCATTTCGGTTCTCTCATTCTTGAGAGTTGTTTTTTCTCCTTGTTGGAATTATGTGGCACCTTTCCCTACATAAACTGAAAGTCTGAATCAGTCAGTCTCTTTCTCTCTCTCTCTTTCCCTCTCTCTCTCTCTCTCTCTCTCTCTCTTTCCCTCTCTCTCTCTCTCTCTGTCTCTCTCTTTTCCTCCCTCCCCTCTATCTCTCAGCCCTGCTAAATTCATAGAACTAATTGTCTGGCTTTCCCAGGCCCCAGGGCTGGGGGTCCAGGGCCCCAGTACTAGTAGCCTTTTAATGAGTTATTTCATGAGCAAATTGTAATTTCATCATATCCAACCTTGTCCATTCTCATCCCATGATGGCACCTAAACACACAGGCACACACCTTCTCACCTTTATGGATCCAACATCATTTTTAAAGCACAATATAAGAGCATTTTTAAAAATCAGGGATAATATGGTTTGTGCATCTGCTAAAATAAGAACAGGAGGAAGCAAAGCACACCAAAATTCAGACCCTCACATCTAGTTTCACTCACACTCCTAACTGGGTCTTAAGTGACTGCAGACAAATATTAGACTGGGGGAAAATCTTTCCATTTTTTGACTTCTGCTTCTTGTCATCATCCATTAGAAACCACCTCACCACTTAAACTATCTATACAGTGCTCTAGTTAAACATGCAGGGTCTCGAATCTTATATAGGCCCCACCTCTCGCTAGCTGTGTGACCTCGAGCAACTTGCTTAACTCCTCTGTCTTCTTTACTTCACCTGTAAAACGTGGTGATGATAGCGTTTTCCTAGGAAGTGGTTGTGATAACTAAGCGAGATAATTCATGTAACCAATTTTAGTGCAATGCTTGGTACACAGTAAATTTTCAATAAATCGTGGTTACTATTATTACTCCTAGGTGTCTGGAGAGCATACTGAAAGAAGGGACCTGTTTTAGGTTTGTTTGGTTTCTTTTTTTTTTCCCCAATAAGTTCTCCTCCTGGAGGATAGGGAGAAGTGGCCTGGGATGGAGTACAGAACTTGCTTTCTTTATAAACCTAAAGCGTCCTTCATTCACTTTGGGCAGAGTTTATGCCTGTTCTCCCACTCTCAACCATAGGCTTCAGGTGTAACTTTGGGGTTTCCGGGGTAAGGAAGGCTTTTTACAGATACTGTACAGGAGCAAGTCGCCCATGCCTCCTGGACTGACTTCGGGGCTCCTTTCCTTTTCTTCGCTCCTCCCCTTGGGGGACCCCCGGCTCCACCGAGCCAGGCCAGCCCCACTCGACGGCGATTTAAACATCCCTTAGGCAAGGCGCCAAGTTAGCGCTGCTGGCCCAGCTCTAGGCGGGCCGCTGCTCTTTCCTCCTCGCCAGGCCGTCCACGCGTTGGGGGAGGGGACCCTAGGGGGGTTGGCGCGGTTAAGAGCCCCACGTGAGAGGGGCGGAAGTCCTTGCCAGGAGCCGGGGATGCGCGGCTGGCGGGTCCCTTCCATCACGGGAGACGAGACACCGTTTGATGTGTTATGACATGAACCCTCAATTAGATCGCTGAGTTGAAACACTCCAATCAGGGGCCCGATGCTAAGCAAGCCCCGGAAGGTCCAGCCTGAGGTCACCGCCGGTGACACATCAAATCAAAATCAGTGAGAGGGAAAGTGAGGCTTTCCCTTTATCAAGCTGGGGCTGCAGCCAGCAACGCACCCCCTCCTCTGCGCACCCCTCCCGCCCGTGGCTCCGCACTCCTTCACCCCCGCGCGGCGTGCGACAAGCCGCACCGCCTTCCCAGTCAACGAACTGCCTTTCTTCGCATTTTCTGAGAACCCGGAGACGCGGAGGAGACAGCGCCTTTGAAGATGCTGTCCGGGTGGTCATGCAGCGTCTCCTCCCGCTGTGGACCGCTCGCATCCCCAGCCCTCCACCGCATTCCGGGGTTGTAGCGGTACTTGTGGATCTCGGTCCTGCTAGTCTGGAGGCCTTGGCTCGGGAACAGAGGCCTCCCCAGACTGGGTGCACATGCAATCCCTCCTCTATCTCCAGGATCGGGGGCATACAGCGCAGTGGCGGGGATGGGGGTGGGGAGGCTACAGGGCAAACCAGGGTAAAGTGATTTCGCGTCTACGCCGGATTGGGGCCCCCAAGACTTTTCCCCAACCCTTGTCTGAATGCCACAGGCTTCCGGAGACACCTCCGAACAGCCCGCAGGGTCTTTTGGTCCTGTGCCAAATTCACAGGGCGCAGCGAACCAGTTATGGTGCCCACTTGGGGGAGGGGCAGAGATTCTTGCCACTTCATTCCCGGGCAAAGAAAATCCGCGCCCAACCGCCGGCCAGCCTAGGCCTCTGGGACTTCTTCTCTTGAGGAAGGGCCTCTTGAGCAGTCTTCTCTGAGCTTCCTTAGCCTCCTTCCGCAATTGTAGTAGAGAAAGTGCACGATTAACAGAGGACTTTGAGGGACAGAAACAACTGTAGCAAGGCGTGCGTCGTGGGGAGGGTTGGCGAGCTGCACGGGCAGCACGGAGGCCAGGGACTCAGTTGCACTACTACGAAGAAGCCACATGTCTTTGCAAAGGTGACTTTAGTAGCCCTAAAATCATCATAAAATACCTGGCGTTAATTTGCCCTCTGGACCTTTCAGCAGCTCATGAACCTCGCTGACCTCGGGCTGCAGCGGCGAGACCCTCGAGCAAGGAACGCGACTATGAGTGAGAGGCGGGGACTGGAGCCGGGGAAGAGCTCGGGGCTGGGGGCGGGGGGGCCGTTAGCCTGCTCTAAAAAGCTTAAGAGATGTGCGAGCACCCAGGGTAGCAGTGGCTGAAGCAGCTTCCGAATCCCGAACCCCAGCGCTGCAAGGTTTCCGGGCAACCCCACTTAACTGGGAGCAGGTCAAAGTCATGGAGCTAAGTCTAGGGAGGATGGAGGAGTGGATATCTGCCTAAATCGCTTTTATCCCGTCATTTTCTTCCTTCCTTCTCTTTACTCTTCCTTTCCTTTTTCTCCCTTCCTTTCCTGTCTCCTTCCACATTATTGTCTCTCTCCTTTAGGAGCTTAGTTTCCGATGCCTGTGGATCCTTCCCTGATTTCTGGGACCAGAGGTGGTGCGAGGTTTTCTTGAGGGCACTGGCCACGCTGCAGATCAACGCCGGTGGCAAGAAGGGGCCGCAAGGGTTTCCGCAGACACCCACACATGCAGGCGTTCCCACAGAGGGTACCAGGGATTTCCCAGACCCCCACCAGCCCTCAGGAATAGCGTAGAGAGAGGAACGTCGCCTGGCTGAGAAAGGTGGATGGGCATACCCATGTACCTTTGTGTATTAAGTACCCACAACCTCCGAACTTAGCCGTCCCTGTCCCGGCCCGCCCAACTGCTGCCGCCGCATCTGCAGAAACCACTCGTGTTGAGGCCTCGGAGCAGCCGGGAGCACCACGCTGGAGCAAAAAAGCCGGAGGGCGCAGGGCTCCAGCCCGGCTGACCATCCCACCCAGCGCAGGGACCAACGGAAAACCCGCGCGGCGCCAGGACCAGGGGGCTGCCCGACGCCGCTCGCGGACTAGTTCCTCAGACTGTGGGACTCCCTAGTGCCGGCTTTGCCCAGGGCTTTCCAAGGCTGTCTCATGCCCTAGATCTGCCCCAGCAGCTCAGGCCTTGGACTGCGAACCCAGTATCCCGAGACACCGATTCCATCAGTCCCCATCCCGACCCCTCTCCAGCCGGGTTCATCCGCCTGCTGCCTCCCGTCCTCCACGTTTCCCCCACCAGCCACCAACAAGCGGCAACCACGCTGCCTTCTGCAAAAGAGGAAGAAGGAAAGAAGGGAGAGAGAAAGAAAGGGGGGGAAAGGAAGGGAGGTTTAGAGACTGGAATAGAATCCGCAGCCACATTCAGAAACTTACTCGAGCTTGAGAAAAACAATTTAAGAAAAGTAAAAAGGAAGTGTCCAGAGCAGGAAGGGAATTCACAAATGTAGCCTCCAGCGGGAACAGCTCCCTGGCTGCCGAGCTCCAGCGGGAGGGGAGTCGAGCGTTTTCTTTGCCACTTACCTAGTCCCCTGTCTACAAAGCTGGTGATCGTATTAGCCGACTTGGAAGACTGGAAAAAGCTGGCATTGATGCCCAGCTTCTCAGCGATGGAGTAAGTCCTGTAGATTGACAGCATGTACTCGTGGGGCACCACGCGCGGACCCCTGCCTGGCGGCTCCTGCGCCCGGGGCTGCTGAGCCCGGGGTTCGTCCTGAGGCCGCGGCTGTGGTTCCTGGCCCTCCCGGCCCGCGTCACTGTCGCGCGGCGCCCGCTGCATCTTGCCTTCCTTGCGGCTTCGCATGCCCTTGGTGGAACCCAGCTCGGCGGACGACGAGGAGGATGAGATGGAAGCCTGCTGGAAACCGGGCAAATCCCACAGAAAACTGATGAGGAAGACGGCCGAGAGCAGGACCCTGGGAGTATCCATGGCGGGCAAGTGGCTGCGTCTCCCCAGGAGGCGGTGGCGGCGGCGCAGGACGCGCGGGGCACGGAGCGGCTGGACAGCGGCCGGGGCCCGGCTCCTCGGGCGGACTCGGAGTGCGAGGAGCCGGGTCCCAGCCACACAAACCCCGGCCCCGCCACGCCCCCTCCCGCCCCTCGCCGGGAGGGGAGGAATGGGGAGGGAGGGCAGAGGAGGGGTGGGGAGGGTGGGAGGAGAGCCGGGTGGTGCGGGCCGGAGGTGTGGGGGAGAGGGGCCGCGGTGCGCCGGTGTGGCAGGAAGACGCAGCGCCCCCGCGGGACGCGCGCGGGGTTGCCGGGCGGTGCGCGCGGCGCGGGCCGCAAGCGCTGACCGGGGGAAGGCGGGCGCTGCCGGCCCGTGGCCGGGGAGCAAAGGCTGGCCCGCCGCGCCAGGGTCCCCCTCGAACTCCCGGAGGTGTGGTCCCTCCGCAGCGCGGCCCCGGCTCTCGGTCCTCGCCAGCCGCCTCCACTTTCCTGGGAGCGAGCGGCCCCGGAGGAGGGAAGCGGCGGCGGCGCCCCCAAGAGACAGCTTGGAGCAGGCGCCTCTGCTGCAGGCTGCGTGCTGCCTCGGGGCGGTGGTACCCTCCCTCCTCGGCCCCAACCGCCAGGCCTGCCGTTTGCGCCCCTCAGGGGCCAGCCCGGAGCCAGAGAAGCCTCGCCCTGGGCCAGGCGCAGGGCCCAGCTCGGAACAGCCCCATTTTCTCGGTTGGGTATCGCTCTCCACAAAGACAGGCGTCTATTCCCGACCCTCGAGGTCAGGCAAAGGCCACGAGTCTTTAGAGTTTGGATCGATGCTAAAAGCTGCTGCGCTCCCCTGCAGGCCCCAGCCTCTCCTCTCGCAGTCCCCAACCTCTTCTGACGCAGACTTTAGCTGCTCCACTTCTTCGTCTGCTCCCGGGATCCTCTCCCTCTCGCGGCCTGCCCCCCGCCTCCACTGCATCCCCATTTTCCCTCTCTTCTTTCCCTCCCGCCTGCAGGACTTCCTCCTTCCCCAAGTTCCTTCTGCATTCCAATCCCTCTTCCCCAGCCTGCTTTTCTTCTCACACTGCCCTCCCATCTCACACTGCCTTCCCACCCTCTCTCTTCCCGGCCTCCCCCCTCGCCTTCCAGTGGACCCCTCCCTTTGCAGCTCTACCCCAATCTGTTTCTCTTCAGCCCAGCCTCGCCCCATCACGAGTTTCCTTTATCTGTCCCCAGATTCCCCGTGCCTGTCTTCCCCGCCCACTGCCTCGCTCATTCCTGGGCCTGCACGCTGAAAGGCGATGCGGCGTAGCGCTGCTTCTGTCTGCCACAGTGCTCTGCCCTGGACTGCTATGGGCAGAAGAGTTTCCCTCAGTACTGATTGGGTGCTCAGGCACCAACCATAAAGTACCCTCCTTTAATCGTGCCAACAGCTTTGTGAGGTTGGCGTTGACTATTTTCACCTTCACGGATGGAAAAAAAAAAGACTCAATGGAAATAAGTGACTTTTCCAAGGCCACTCTGCCAAGAGGTTATGCAGCAAGGGACAGAACCCAGGCTCCCACCCCAAGCCCAAGATTCTTCCCACTACAGCATAGACAGTCATTCCTGGCCCAACTTCTCTATTTCAGTTCTGGCTTTTTTCTTCTCTTTATGGTTTCACTTGATCTCAGGTGGCTTCTTTCTCCGCCATGCTACTTTCTGTGTGTGTTCCCAGTCTCTCCAATCTCCTCCCTCTCACTTTCTAACCCCTTCTTCCTTTTGCTTTTTCATCACCTCTTCTGTCCTGCAGGGACCACTCACATGACAGCCTGCAGGGGGAGGGAGTTTTGCTGCGCTGCTCCCCTCATCCTTTAACTTCCTTAAGGTCTGGGATATGCCCTCCACCCTGGACACTGGCCTCCTCCAGGTAATGGCAAGCACCCACAGAGAACTTGTGTGTCAGTCATGGTTTGAAGCCCTTCGCCAATATTATTTTACTTAATCTTCACAGCAATCCTGAAATAAGTGCTGTATTATTCCTATTTTACAGATAGGGAAAGTGAGGCCCAGGGTCACACTACTCCAGAGTCTGGGCTCTTAATCACTGGGCTATTGAGCTTGGCTGCTCTCCCCTTGGTCTCCGTGGATGCCCCTTCTGGCCCTATCCCAATTCTACTTATGTCCCCTAGTTTGGGTTTCATGGTTGTCAAGTTCTGAGACCTTATACTTGAAGGTGCTTTTACTATAATATTTTCTTCCTTCCTCTCTCTGTGCTTTAAAATGGCTTGTTAATATTTACAATAAAATAAAATAAAAGGAGATAAACTGAAAGAAAAAATTATTTCTCAAATTTTTGCCACTACAACAAATCCAAATGTTTTTACCTTTTGGGTTCCCTTCCACTCCTTCTTTATTTGTTATGCACATATCCTTTTCATATTATTGTAATCCAGGGATAGATATTATGTTGGATTCCTCCCTTGTCACTTAACATTTTACAACCAAATCCACTGCCTTCGATGTCTCTCCCCTATGTCCCCCCTTCACTGCCCCTCTGCTGGCCTGCAAATGCAATCTCTGTAAAACCACAGACTCAAAACTCCCCATTTCTCATTTGCAGAAGGAACATTTCCCCCCTGCCTACCTGTCGCCTGTGGGATGTAAGTGGTCTTTTTTGGCCTGCCCTGTGTCTTGCTCTGTATGTCTGCCTCTCAAGTGTCATCCGGGAAAGTGCCCTCCTTGTGATCTATTTCCATCCCTTCCCCAGGAAACAACACTTGTGGTTTGTGTTATCAATATTTTAATTTCTATCAGTATGGTGCCTGGTTAACAATGATTCATAGTTTTACAGTTTCAGACCCTCCATCCAATAAGTACTGTATGTTTCCTGCCTGCAGAGGCAACTCTATGTGTTCTCTCTTCATTTTGCCCACAGCAATTATTATCTGCTGCAAGTTATCAGTAAACAGGAAACAAAGTAATGAGCCTATTGCTGTGGTTTAGGACCTCTCAGCCTGCTAGATGGAGCCACACGGAACAGTAAATGACACTGAAACAGGGACCACAAAGGCCATGGTCTGTTGTCCTTCAGGATTCCCCTGGGGCTGACATTACCCTCCGTCATCGCTATCAGCCTCGGGTCTTTGCAAGAAAAGTTCTAGCTGGTCTTTGCCTGAAAGGGCTGCAGCGATCATTTTACAGGTGAGGAAACAGAGGTGCAGACAAACTCAGTGGAGAGAGCCCGAGGTTTTAAACTAGTCCAAAATACAGCTAGGATTAGGAGCCAAGACATTCTGACTCCTAAGCGAATGCTTCTCCTGTATTAAAAAAAAAATTTCAAAGATCATGACAATGACCCACAGTAGTATATAGTGTCTGATCTCTTCCTCTCCAGTGGGTAAATTTCAGATAGTTTCAGATAGGAATCCACCCCAATGTGGAGACCACACCAAAGCCTTTGCACTCATGCTGTCTTTCTCTCTCTCTCTCTCTCTCTCTCTTGCTCTCTCTCTCTCTGTGTGTGTGTGTGTGTGTGTGTGTGTGTGTGTGTGTGTGAAAAATAAAGATACGAAGAGCAAACCACAAGTCCAAATCTGCTTTTAAGATCTCTTCAGGGAACATTTTGAGTCTTTGAACTAGTGCTATAGAATTTAAATTTTCGATCTAATCTTAGATGTTCTAGTAATCTTAAACAACTTTATCTGTGAAAAATGTTAGAAAAGTGAAAGTTTCTTGAGATGCATTGAGAAGGTCTGATGTGAGCACCGTGGCATTCTTGTAGTGGTTAGATTTTTCTACACCAAACAGATGGAAGACGTACAACTGTGCAGTATGGTATCTCCTGCCCCCCTGTGGACGCCGACGGAGTTACCTGTGGAGAACCAAAACAATACTGGACAGGAGCATGCTTACAGGCACTTTCAAAGTTGAGCAAGGGATAGTGGCATCTATTAACATAATTTTAAGAAATCAGAGAGTCATGTCTAAGGTATGTGTATCATTTGGCAACAAAACATCCATAAATGAGAGATCTGTCCACCCAGAGATACAGGACCAAAAGCAAATAGAATTATCCTGTTATTATCTCAAATCGGTGCTGGTATTGTTTTAAAATTATTATTTTACAATAATCTAGGGAGAGAAGATTCTCTTAAATAAGTAGAAGACTTTATATCTTTTGTTATTTCATTTTTCATTCAGGTGTCACTCCAAAGACAACTTTTATAACAATGACTGAGGATGTTGGACTTTGGTATGGACTCCACCTAGCTGTGAAGTAACCATACTTTAAGGGGCTCTGGAAATATACTCTAGAAAGATGTCTTAGCACCTGAAATTTTGCAAAAATAAAGTCACTTCTTTAAGGTACTTTCTTTATAAGACCCCTGTTGAAACACAAACATTATCTAGTAGGATCCCTATTCGTATTTTACTACCACTATTAGACTATTCCAAATAAACTAATAATCCTGTAAGACTGGCTAGCTGACACCTATTTGGTCTAAAAGTAATGAGACTTAAGATTGGTGGATTTTGATTATAAGAAGACAGAAAGGGCTGGGTTTTAAATTCTGTTCCTTTGCACTCCTAGAGCCTCTGGCAAGAATAAGGAAGAAACCAATCAGGTGCACCTCAGGTTACCCACACTTGCTTCAGCCTGAGCAGTCCTGCTTTTATCTGTTTTAGACAGTCTCATAAAATTTCATCTGCAAAAAGATCCCTCAAAAAAAGAAAAGAAAATGAAAGCTATTGGCTTAGAGTACTGGGTAGTGTTCCTCAGAGGGTGGTCAGGGTGAAAAATGCGTGAAGTCTTGAGCAGCAGGAGGAAAGCTAAAGACTCTGCTTCAGGAAAGTGGAAGAAGAGGCAAAAAAAAAAAAAACCAAAAAAAACCTGTGACAGATACACACAAAATACAGCTTCTCCTTTATCTCTTAGACTGGGAGGTACCAGCCCTATTAATACCCTCTGTTTTCCCTAATTTATATTGAGACTGATTATTCCATTTCTTTTGTTTATTTATTTGTTTCCTTGGCAGAATAATTTACAGAGAAGTTAAGTGAAACGAGTTGTGCCAGATGACAGAATACTCTGGGTCTCAGCGTCCCCCCACCATCAGCTGAACGGGGTCTCAGTGAAAGGCAAATCAGAGATTCAGTTGGTCCCATGCGTGCCACCAGAATGACAGCACTGAGATTGGTAGGAATTGGCATTTTAGTTCTGGATGTTGAAAGAAGCACCAACACTCACGGGGGGGAAATCAAAGCAACCCAGTCACTGCCCTTCTTTGGTTCCACTGCAGGGCACATAGATGTCCAACCATCTTGTAGTTTGCCAACACCAGTGGTTCTCAAAGTGTGGCCCCTCAAGCAGCGTGTATCAGCATCACCTGAAAACTTGTTAGAAATGCTAATTCTTAGGCCTCACCCAGATTCAGAATCAGAAACTCTGTTGCTAAGGCCCAGCAATCTGTGTTTTGACAAGCCCTGAAGGAACTCTGATGAACACCAAGATTTGAGCCCCTCTGGCCTACACCATGAAACAGGGGCAAGTTACCTGCCAAGAACTTCAAGAAACGCTTTGATTTTAAAGGGAAAGCTGTAAAGGAAATGCATAGTATGCAATTTTATTTTCAAATTAATGATTCTCATTCCTAATGAGCAAATAATTTTCATTCTCCATGTGAACCA
The DNA here is from genome assembly GCF_000001405.40 of Homo sapiens. Lineage (NCBI taxonomy): Eukaryota > Metazoa > Chordata > Mammalia > Primates > Hominidae > Homo > Homo sapiens. Next base: position 96,166,356 of record NC_000008.11, read on the forward strand.
CGTGTATTTAATTGCCTACAGCCATACCAGGCCAAATGTAGCTAATCTGGCTTGATCTCTAAAAGTAAGTGAAATTGGGCCTGTTTATAATCTGAAAGAAAGACAGAAACGTCATCAGAATGAAGTTGACTGCAGACATCTTCTTATACACTCTGGATGTTAAATGAGGGGCTTAGAGCCATGGGTTCGGATCTCAGCTCCGTCACTTCCTAGCTACGTGAATTCAAAATCTTCTACTGTGAGTTTTGTCACCTCAAACAGAGGTGAAAATATGTCCCTCTAAGTTTTTTGTGCAGACTATACAATAACATATGTAAATTCTTACCACAGATGTAAGTAAATATGGTGATTATTAATTAGTCAATTATTTGGATTTTTTAAATGTTGAAGAATTCTTTAATTTTAGTAGTTCTCAATCTTGATACTTTCATTTTGGAGTTACACTTTAAAATTTTTAGTTTAACTCGCTTTTATATTCTCTTAAATTTTTTTTTTCGTTAAGTAACTTCTCTAAAATGGCTGTTTGTTTGACACAGCGAGTTTTTCCTCTATTTCACTGTGAATTTGGGGCAATACTTTTCTTCTGTAATGATTTGACATGTTTTATGTTTGTCCAAATATTCTAGATTAAAAACACATTGCAGTTTGCTAATAGGTATTGGGATACTTAAATTGAACAGACGAAGTGCCTTCTCAAATGAGCGTCTAGGATGCTTATGAGAGTAAAGATGATTAAATTCTAGGAAAGATTTGATCGTTGCCAAATCTAGCATAGAGAATAACAATCATATAGGAAATTGTCTTTCCTGTTTAGGATCAGATTTGGTTTGAAAAATTACTACCAACTTTGTAAACATTAAAATAGAAGCAATAAAGATGTGAAATTTCACACAGGGGATCTACAATGTTTGGATAATTATAAGCATATGGCTACTTTACATGAGATCTCTATTAAAAGTGTATTTACTAGGGCTCTGGGAAAACAGGGTTCTCAAATTCAGGGTTTATTTACATACACTGAGAATGTCACATTTACTATCAATTTATCATAATCTATTTTTACTTCAGAGCTCTAAATAGTATTAACAAAATGATAACAGTATCTGTTGTTTATTGCTGTCTTGTCTATTAGTTAATTTACCAGGTTTTACTCATGAGAGAAAAGGAAAAGAGCAATTAACTTTCAATCAAATGTGTCAAATCCTTTCTCGATAATTTTAAAATTTCCTATATTTTATGTTAATATTTAGGGCATATGCCTGTGTGGAGTAGTTTCAATATGTTCTACTCAAATAAAAATGATTGATGTAACAATTGTATGTGCTTTTTTAAAATAGTACTTCGATGTGTCTGTTTCTAGGAATTAAAAAAAACCCACACATTTGTTGCCTATTTATTTAGAATTAATTAAATAAATACTTTAAGTCTTAGAAATGGTTGAAACTTTATTTTGAAACGAGTAACTATGGGATTTAAGAGTTTGAAAAGTCAGGATAAACCCTACCTTTCTCAAAAAACCTTTCCATGACTTTTCTTCTCAAGTGCTAAGATTATGAAATATCAACAGCTGCAAGTTATAATAAGTTGATCTTAAATACAAAGTACAGAGATGGAAAGTAGGATAGTGGTTGCCAGGGGCTGCAGGAGGAGGAAATGGGGAATTCGTATTTAATGAGTACAAAGTTTCAATTTGGGAAGATGAAAAAGTTCTGAAGACGGACAGAACTGTTGGTTGCACAACAGGGTGAATGTACCTAAGGCACGGAACTGTACACTTTAAAAATGGTTAAGATAGTCAACTTTACATTGTATCTATTTGACTACAATAAAAAGTACACATATAATAAAAATTTTCCAAAAAAATCCACTTGCAAAATATATGCTTAAAGACAAAACTTTTTTAGACAGCTTTGTTGACAATTTTGGCTTTTTCATTTCACTGCATAGACTTTGTTAATAAGCATAACTGAGTGTGGTTTTTTGTTTATTTACAGAAATGTCAAGGGGAATGTTTTATTAGTCCTTTTGCCTCTACCTCTCCAGCTGTATCATGTGAGCCATCCTGAATTTCTCACTTTATTTTTTTCCTTAGATAAGACTGTTTCAGTAAAGATTAGAATTTGCTAAGCTATTTTATTAAAGGACTAATATGTGAGGGAGTTTTTTTAAATTTTTTATTTTTTTATTATCATACTTTAAGCTCTGGGATACATGTGCAGAACGTGCAGGGTTGTTACATAGGTATACACGTGCCATGGTGGTTTGCTGCACCTATCAACCCGTCATCTACATTAGGTATTTCTCCTAACGCTATCCCTCCCTGTGAAGGAGATTTTAAAGCACCATATGAAAAGTTGATTCTATAAGTTCCTGGTGTGCCTATTCCAATGTTTAACAGGCCTCCAAGGAAGAAAAATTCTGAAATAGTTAAAATTTATATTTTTCCTCCTTGCCTTCTCTTTCCAGAATCATCATGTTCCCAGTGTGTCTTTCTCTTGGCTAAACGTCAATTAATGCCTAATATCTACCTCTCCAAGAGTAAATTGATTCCAGGCTTAAGCTTTCAAGAAATACATGTATTTCAATAAAATATTCTTGAATACCAAAAAAGTATTCAGGTCAAAAATCATGATGTCTGAATGGTGGTGGTGGTGATCCAGGCACAATGACAGTCCCATATGTTTATGTGGCTGTATTCCTTTCTTGGAATCTTGCCACATTTACAGTGTACATGTTACAATCATAGCTCGCAAAGGCAGGACAGGACTATAAAAATCACATGGTCCAGCCCTTTCTTTTAGAGATGAAGAACTATGGCTGCAGAAACTGGTAAGAGACTTACTGAGGCTTGTGTAGTTCATCAAGTTGAGAGCCCCAGCTCCCAATCATGAATCCAGGACTCTTTTTAGAACACCAGCACTTTTTCCTGTACTGTTCTCCAAAGAGTATCCATTTGAATGTCCTTCCTTTCCAAAAAATTTGAGGACTGTGAGGATAATTTTCATGCTTTACATACTTTTAGCTATTCCCCTCTGGGCTGGGTAAGCATGATGTAGAGATATTCAGGTACTTGATATTTACAGGTGTCAAATACAGGTATTTACATACTTTAAATGCTGTTAGGTATATCCCACTGGGTGAGGCACACATGACATAGTTATCAATCTATATCATCTATTTAAGTATCTGTGTCGAAATGAATTGACCTTCGCTTTCTCTTGTCCTCCTCTATCTCCTGCACAGCAAGGACAACAGGAATTATAATCCATATAGAGCAATTTGCTTACTTGAAGACTATTATGAACTCATGACCAATTTTTCCTTTTTCTGTCTGCTTTAGGTGTTTCAACAAGACTTTATTTGTTCAACGTAATGCCCTCCCATAAAGGAACTTACACAACCTAATCTAGACAGATTTCAGATAAAGCCATGGGTTCTTTTAATCCACTTTCGGGAATGTTCTAGTTTTGGCCTCTACACATTCTCACTGTAGAAAAAAGTCACTGAGGTGGAGGTTAGTGCATTTCTAATTATTGAGAATGCTAACATTTTAATATTAAAGAACAATCAGAGTTGCAGAAACAGTGGTGAATCCACCCATTAGCAATTTAAAGAAAATAACAAGGGACGAGTTAGGAGTTTGCCTCCTGTTATTTTCACTTCCCTGGCTCCCTGAGTCTTTCCAATTCAGCAGGGCCTCTCTCATCATTTGCTCTCTTTCTTCTCTGCTCAGAGACTGGCTCTCTTCCTCTCCACTACTGGTTTTTCTCCATCTTCCTCCCTCTTTTCATTCCCGCCTCCTCTTCTTTCTCCCAGCCTTTTCTTTTTCTCTTCCTCATTCCAGCTCTCTTCCTATCCTTTCTCCTCTAACTAGCTAACATCTGGGACTGAAGCACATTTTAAAACTTTCCATTCACATTGACCCTAATTTAAGGACCAAATGAATTGAACTTTATATTTTCCTCTAAAAAAAAAATCCTACCAGTTAAAACTAATCTACTTTTCCTTTTATTTAAATGTGGCCCTTGATAGATTTATTTTCCCACAGTGGCCCTGAAAGGGGAAAAAAATTTTTTTAAACCCTATCTGTCCCATAAGGATTTTATTATTTGGTATTTGTTTAAATATGGCATCAAATAAATACAGATTCCTTCCTTGTATTGGTGTGTTTTTATGGTTGGGTGTAGTGTAGCCAACACTACAATTCCCTTGCTGCATTTTTTGAAGGTTCATATGGCTGCCATGGATTCAGTTTGACCCTCTCTTAGCAGTTAGCTCATATCTTAGCAATATTAGGCAGTATGTAACTTGCCAAGACTATCACTTTAGGAGTGTAATATAAATTAATAATATCTGAAATTATAATTTTAACACTATAAGCCTCTTCCATAAACATTTTGGCTTCTATTGGCACTCAAGGTCTTCTTTAGGTTTTGTTTGTTTGTTTGTTAGAGACAGGGTCTTGCTATGTTGCCCAGGCTGGTCTCAAACTCCTTGCCTTAAGTGATCTTCCTGCATCAACCTCTGGAGTAGCTGAGATTAGAGGCATGAGCCAATGCATCTACTGCGGCCAATACATTCTAGCCCTAACTTCATCTCCCCTTACTTCTAAGCAGAGATCTGGCAATTGAGCCGCATGATGTTGTGGATCCTTCTAAATCTGCATGTGTTTTCTTGCCACCTATGTTCTGCAAACACATGTGCCTCATGTGGAAGGCTGGCCTGCCTGCCTCCTCTCCACCATCTGCACCTAACTGTAACAGACACGTTTCATGGCACCACCACCACACCCCGCCCTAGCTCCTAATGTGTCCTGCAGAATGGGCGTATGTGGATCTGAAAGATAAAGAAGAAAAATTAAACCCTTGAGTGAGTTTATCAGCTCTTCTGCCTTCCATGTTCTCCAACCACCTCTGCACATACATACATCTCTTCCTAGAGTAAGAAGCATTGGTTGGGGTTTATCCTAGTAAAGTAACAGTTCTGTAGAGCCATGTAGCACAGAACTCTCCCAAAAGAACCATAGGCAGGAAAATTTAGTGAGACTACATTTTGAGAAACTCCTAACCACTGTGACAAGAAGAATCACAGAAAGTCAGATCTTAGAAAGTCCTAAGAGATCACCCAGTATAATTGGCTCAAAATAGGCAGTGTCGAATAATGGTTCAAGCTGCCCAAGCACAAATCCTGCCGCTACCATTGCAGCTATACAGTCTTGGCATCTTACAGAATGTTTTCTGTTCTTAACCCCTTCTATAATGTGGGGTCAACATGCCATCTAACTCACAAGTTTGCAGTGAGGATAAAATGAACTAATGCATGTAAAACCCTCTGAATACTGACTGTCACATAGAAACATCTTACTGTTAGTAATATTATGATTTTACAGATGAGAGGAATGATGCTCAGGGTCAGGTTCTGTGCAGAGTCTCACAGTTAGTGACAGAGCTGGGATGAAAAGCCATGTCTCCTGACTACCATTCAACCAGGTAATAAAAGGGTGGGTGTTCATGAACTTCATGAAGTTCACAGTGAGTTTTTGCAGGATGACTAAACAGATTTTAAAAAAGATTGGGGGTACTGATGAGAGAGCAGAGCTTACAACCGATGCCTTCTAATCACTATCCAGGCATGCTGGATTGAAAACAAATGGACAATTTCAATGTGGTGATGCAATGCCAAATGCTCTCGATTGCAGTGTTTCACAAACTGTGGGTTGTGACATAGTAGTGGGTTATGATATCAGAGTAATGAATAATGACCACAGATTTTTTTGAAGTGAAAGAATGGAATAGAATAAAACAGAACAGAAAGAATAGAATGGAATGGAATGGAATGGAATGGAATGGAATGGAATGGAATGGAATGGATCAGAATACCTTGAACATAGTACAAACATTCTATTGGAAAATTTCAGTGGTACGTCTCTCTCTCTGTGTGTGTGTGTGTGTGTGTGTGTGTGTATGTGTTGTGGGTTGTCCATAAAATTCTTACTAGAGATGTGGTTAATTTTTTTAAAAAAAATTTCTTTAGAATTGTTCTCTAACACTTTTTAGCATGGTTAGATATATAGCTAGAAAATTTGTGAGGAACAACCTTCTTAATTCCTTTGGAATAAATGGTTTCACTAATAATGGCCTTTTCTATTTATCCTCCCTGGGATACTCATCTGCTTTAGCCACGTTACATTGCAGGCAAAAGAGCCGGGACAAAGGAGTGAGGGAAAAGTGTAGCTGCAGGCAGAGGCTGCTCATTGCTACCATTTTCCAGGAAATGATTACTCTGGCTGGCTGGCCAGATCAGAGCCCTGACCATAGCCTCCAAATTTCCACCAGGACAGGTTGCATTGGCCACATGATTGATGGCTGAAAAATATTAACAGCATCAGCTTAAATGAAAGAGGGATTAAAAGCTACAGTCAGTGTCTCTGAGGACAGAGCTCACCCAAAGAAGCCCGTTAAACAAACTGATGTTTCCTTAAAAGTTGTCTGCAAAATGTGCAAACTGACAAAATGTTTACAGAATCCCTAGTACTCCGCCAGCTAGGTTTACCTTTGGCAAATCACTCTGATGACTCTATAATTACTACAGTCCTGTGGTTATCTTTCTTATAAAATGGCTGGAGATGAAAGAAAACCAATAACTGAGGCCAATTAATTCAAGCTGCCATTCCCTCCCACAAAGAACTGAAGAAGATCTTCATGGCAACTGTTCAATGTGATTTTTTTTTCATTTGAGACTCTCTTTTATAAAACTAAAATACACAGACAGCAAACTTAACCTGGTTATTTCTTGTCCTCTTCTCCTGCCCCCATCGAATCACTGTTCTTGAAACTTATTGGTTTAGAAAAACTCAATCCAGACCAGTTAGCCTCAGGGTACACTAACATGCTTTTGAACCAGGCAGTTGATAAGTTGATTTAAAAGCCTGTGGGAAAACGCTAGCAGAGTGCCTGAGAGAGTAGCATGACTCAAGGGCCAAGCATGTGTGGGTGCCGGTCAATCTTGCCACCTCAATATTTCTTTAATCTTTCACTTTAAAGTGTCTGGAGCTTCTATCCCACGTAAGTGGGAAAACTGGTATTCTTCCTGGCCTTGGTATTTCTGGGGATTCTTGGAGGATGATGTTTCTCCCAGTTTCCTCTTATTCCAAATTTATGCTGAATTTTCACTTTCTTCTGTCCTTCTATGACAATCTCTCCTTGCAATCTTGCCTTGAATGCAGTTGTCATTGCTTTCGCCTCTGGCTCCCCACAGTACACAAGAATGCCACCTGTGTCAGGCTGCTACTGAAGGCGGAAGCCCAGCAGATGCCAACATTAGATGTCTTTTTTTTTTTTTTTTTTTTTTTGAGATGGAGTCTCGCTCTGTCGCCAGGCTGGAGTACAATGGCGGGACCTCAACCTCCCAGGTTCAAGCAATTCTCCTGCCTCAGTCTCCCGAGTAGCTGGCATTACAGGTGCCTGCCACAACGGTCAGCTAAATTTCGTATTTTTAGTAGAGACGGGGCTTTACCATGTTGGCCAGGCTGGTCTTGAACTCCTGACCTCAGATGATCCGCCCGCCTCGGCCTCCCAAAGTGCTGGAATTACAGGCATGAGCCACCGCGCCTGGTCTAGAAGTCTTTGTTTTTAAGCCATTCTCATTTGGATCACCTCTGTGACCTTCTCACAAGCCATCTCCAATTCCCATCCCTCTCATCTCTGCCCAATTTCCCTACCCCCTTCTTTCTTCACAGACTGCCCAGGACATCTCAAAATCTTGTTTCTTTATTACATAAATCAAATCAGCTTCCCGTTTCTTCCTCTATTGGTACCCAAGAGATACAAAGCCCATTGCAATGAGCCAACCAACAATAGACTCAACCATGACGGCCAGTCTCCAGTCATTATATGTAGAAGCCTATAAATATACTGAAATCAAAAGCTCACTTTTTCTCTGAATCAGATTAAATTCTTGGGGAAGGCACCCTTACCCTGATATGAAATATGCTGCCCAATCTTTAAAAGCAGAAACAGACCTAGTCAGATTCTCTAAAGGTTTGTTTCTAACAGTGTTTTTCCTCTTCTCACTACTATGGATATTTAATAAACTTGCTTAACTGAGAAACTGATTTATTAAATATGTGACATTTAGAGTTTATAAAAACCAAGCATGTTGAAAGAATTTTCTGAGCAAGAAAATATGTGCTCATACTTCCAGGACTCTTCAATGTAGCATTTGCTATTGTTGTTGTTAATAATATTTGCTATCTAGCCCAATGTGCTAGCTAGCACACTGCCAGCCCAGCCACACCTCTTATATGAAGTTAAATGTAAGTCACATGGGTAACTTCATCATGGCTAAGGAAAAACCCCCTAAACCAACAGCTTTGGCTGAGTCTCTAAGCCTTTAGCTAAATTAGTTAAGGGTACAATTCAACATTTGGCTGACCTGATTCCATCAAGGCAAAAAATGAGAACTGGACAAGACAACGCGCTCCAATATACATATATACTTACTTAAGCAGAGTGCCTGGATAGATGCTCCGTTTTCTCTGCATCTATTCTTGACTTGTCCTGTAGATATTTTAGAGTAAGGATTAGAAGACTTTGTTCAAACTTTATTGTCTATTTTATTACTTGTGGTCCATAGGAGATAATCCAACAGGTAACAGCAGTTTTTCCACAATAGTTGTGTTAGGATAACATGGCATTGAAAGCCCCTAGAGGTGATACCCTAGTTTCCATATTGGCAATCTTATTCCTGAAAAATAATTGTTTCCCAACAGGTGCTGGAGAGGATGTGGAGAAATAGGAACACTTTTACACTGTTGGTGGGACTGTAAACTAGTTCAACCATTGTGGAAAACAGTGTGGCGATTCCTCAGGAATCTAGAACTAGAAATACCATTTGACCCAGCCATCCCATTACTGGGTATATATCCAAAGGATTATAAATCATGCTGCTATAAAGACACATGCACACGTATGTTTACTGTGGCTCTATTCACAATAGCAAAGACTTGGAACCAACCCAAATGTCCCACAATGATAGACTGGATTAAGAAAATGTGGCACATATACACCATGGAATACTATGCAGCCATAAAAAATGATGAGTTCATGTCCTTTGCAGGGACATGGATGAAGCTGGAAACCATCATTCTCAGCAAACTATCGCAAGGACAAAAAACCAAACACTGCATGTTCACACTCATAGGTGGGAATTGAACAATGAGAACACATGGACACAGGAAGGGGAACATCACACACCAGATCCTGTTGTGAGGTGGGGGGAGCGGGGAGGGATAGCATTTGGAGATATACCTAATGTTAAATGACGAGTTACTGGGTGCAGCACACCAACATGGCACGTGTATACATATGTAACTAACCTGCACACTGTGCACATGTACCCTAAAACTTAAAGTATAATAAAAAAAAAAGAAAAATAATTGTTTCCAAAGTTCATCCTCCAAATCTTAGGTGAAGTATAAATCTTTTTTTTTTTTTTTTGGAAAGGGTCTCACTTTGCCACCCAAGCTGGAGTGTAGTGCCACAATCATAGCTCACTGCAGCCTTGACTTCCTGGGCCCAGTCGATCCTCTCCCCTCAGCTTCCCGAGTAGCTGGGACCACAGGTGTGTGCCAACCACAGCTGGCTCATTTTTATATTTTTTGTAGAGACAGAGTCTCCCTGTGCTGTCCAGGCTGGTCTCAAACACCCGGGCTCAAGCCATCCTCCAGCCTCAGCCTCCGAAAGTGCTGGGATTACAGGATGAGCCACTGCACTGGCCTTGAAGACCTTTTTTATTGTGAGTTTTCAAAATTTTACTCATTCCAATGTTTCTGGTATGAACTGCTTCATCAGTCTGATATCCAAATAAGACCTCATCTCTTTTGAATATTCAGGTAATCATTTGAGCTCCCACTTGTCCATTTTAACAGAATAGCCATTTTCGCTGGTTCCCTACTTTTACCTCTTTGCTACTCACTTAAATGATTCAAGAGCCTCAGAGACTTATTGAGTCTAAAGGAGCCAGTCTTTCCTCCTCCTTCCTGTGTTTTACTCTCACCCAAGGATGCTCCACCCTTGGGGTCTCTGGTGTAAAGCTTTTATGTTTGTGCTCAGGGGTTCCCAACTCTGCCCTTTCTTACAGGATGTCAGGGTCAAGACTGCCTTCCAGGCTCAAATATACACTGGGCCAGAATAAATGATACTCCCCCTTTCCTGCATGCGAGCGCTTTTCAAGGGCCTTTGGGGTCCTTTCCACACATGGACTTTCGTTGAGGCCATCTCAGCCCATCAGAAAATTTCTCATCAGAAAGGAAGGGCGGTGAGTCTTGAGTTATTTCCTTCCTAGAAAACTCCTTTACTTCTATGCCTAGTTCCCATTCACCTATGAAACTGCCAGATTTGCATATTAAGGAGTACCAGAAAAAGTATCCTTCCTTGGCCTCATACAATCCTATTGCACCTGCCACCCAAGCCAAAGAGCATGTCTACTTACATTTACATATCTGAGAATACTCTCCAAGGACTCTCCCCTGAAAAGGAAGATATGTTCCCCAGTGATAGCCCTCAAGGAGCCATATGCAAGTTCTCTTTCTGAACCAAACATAGTCATAATAAAATTTTAAAATTAAATTCTCTCTTATCACACTGCCTTTTAGACTAAACACATATTTATAAATGGATTTCCCCATTAAAGTCTTTCTTGTTGTTCTCCTTCTTTCTATAGGACCAACTAAAACCAACCTTAGACCTTTGGAGAAGAAATTCTTAATAAGGTAAATTTTGGGTTCAACTGCAAATGTTAAGATGTGTGAGATATAATGCATGCATTCAGCACTTAATAATCATTGGTAAATTTTGACAATTTCCTCCCCAATCTATCTTCCATTTGCAGTCTGCTGTTATTTTGTTGACTCAGTGATTTTTACACCTTCTTTAGGTGACCAGACCTTCACCTTTGTGGAAAGTCCCTCTTACCCTAATCCCAGCACCTCCCACCCCAGCCCTGTATAGGGAGTGAGGACCAGGACCAGGACCCAGGCTGGCCTGGCCATAATATTCTACCTACCCTCCAGCCCCTGTGGTTGGTCTAGGTTTGGAGAAAGACAGGTGCTGAGCCAATCAGAAGCCTTTGCCCAGATTTTTCTAAATGGAGTTGGGGAAGATGGTCCTTTTTCTCTCTAGTGACACAGTTGACAAGAAGTCAGCAAAGAGCTGCCAGCAACCTTGGCTGAAGCCCCTCAGAGAAAGCTGGTGCTCCGTCAGAGAGAATGGGGGCCACCTCTTAGAAAGGCTAAGGTGAGAGGAGAGTCTTGATGGCATGGAGTCCCTAGTTCTGTTCATCGAAGATTCATCCCTCCCTTTTTGGCCTAAGCTAGTTTTAGTTGACTTTCTATCACTGGTGACCCAAAGAGTCTTGACTATTACAGAAGTTGCTTCCGGGACCGGGAGCGGTGGCTCAAGTCTGTAATCCCAGCACTTTGGGAGGCTGAGGAAGGCGAATCCCGAGGTCAGGAGATCGAGACCATCCTGGCTAACACTGTGAAACTCCGTCTCTACTAAAAATACAAAAAAAAAAAAAAAAAAAAAAAAAATTAGCCGGGCGTGGTGGTGGGCGCCTGTAGTCCCAGCTACTGGGGAGGCTGAGGCAGGAGAATGGCGTGAACCTGGGAGGCGGAGCTTGCAGTGAGCGGAGATGGCGCCACTGCAGTCCAGCCTGGGCGACAGAGCGAGACTCCGTCTCAAAAAAAAAAAAAAAAAAAAAAAAAAGTTGCTTCCAGCCTTTAACATCCCCAGATCTGCGCCCCTCCCCCGCGAAGCTGGGATGGTCACATATCTTTCCATTCTGTAAACCATACGAAATGTCATTCCAATAAATCTCAATTTCTGCTTAAATTTGTTTAAGCTGGATTTCTGAAACTTACTACTTAACTTTCGTGGATTCATTTCCTCTTTCCTCCATTTCTCCATCGGTCAGTAGACCTTAGGAAGAAAAAATATTTCTGATCCTCCTTTAGAGACATAAGACCTATTTGGTTCTGTGAATTTGGAAAAGGAGAGAAACCGAAATGCCTTTCTTTCAGGTCAACAGGAAAGAAGGGAATGTTAGCCCCATGTGGGCAGGAAGAATGTCTGTTCCATGCACTGCTGCACTCAGGGCCTCACAGCGCATTACACCTAGATGCTGAGTAATAAGTACCTGTTGAATGAATGACGAGGTACAGAATTATTGGAGGAGAAATGTGCCTTTAACGTTTCATATTGACTTGGTTCTCTTCCTATGTTCCACTTGCATGGTTGGCATTCCAGCCCTCATCCTATAGCACAGAAATTCCATGTGACATGTATTTGTCTCCCGCGAGACCAAGAGCAGCCCCAGGGCAAATGACCACATCAAATTCATCCCCCAATGGGGCACATTTGGGACACAGTGGCAAATAGCCAGTGTTTGATAAGTAATTGAATGTTGGATAAATGAATAGAGTCTGAATCATGGATTTTAAAGAATGTGTTACTTTCAAAACCATAACTGCTATCAGTGTTTCCAAGTGAATGCCCCGCTGAGACCTGTTTTTACAGCCCCATGAGACTCATTTTTGATCAGCTCAATCTATTTACACACAATAAAGAAGCCACGGACCTGGCAGGGCACGGTGGCTCACGTCTGTAATCCCAGCACTTTGGGAGGCGGGCGGATCACGAGGTCAGGAGATCGAGACCATCCTGGCTAATACGGTGAAACCCTGTCTCTACTAAAAATACAAAAAAATTCAGCCGGGCTTGGTGGTGGGCGCCTGTAGTCCCAGCTACTGGGGAGACTGAGGCAGGAGAATGGCATGAACCCGGGAGGCAGAGCTTGTAGTGAGCCGACATTGCGCCACTGCACTCCAGCCTGGGCGACAGAGCGAGACTCCTTCAAAAAAAAAAAAAAAAAAAAAAAAAAAAAAGCCACCAACCAAAAGCTTTAATCACATCCCCTGAGATCTTATTTGTGGTTTTCATTTGCTTAACTAGTGCTTTCTCCATAACCTGCCCTGGCTCTGGCCAGACTTAAAAAGACAATGCATTTCCAGTGGAAGGACCCCGATGGCTGCATGTCGTCCCTGTGGTGGGCCACTTTCAAACAGAAGCTCTGGGAACAATGCCGGACCGGGGATGGTCCCAGAGCTGCTGCGGTGCTGCAGAGAATGAGCATCTGCTGCTTGGCTCTGAGATGATTAAAATGGCAGAGACTGGGAGCCTTCTCACTGAAATTATTCAAAAGCCTGCCTCATTCTTAGTACAAGGTTCAGGGCTTCTGGTGCCCAGAATCACTATTATTTACCTCAATGTCTAGAATAATTTGTGCTTTGGAAACCATTTAAATTAGCCTCTTGGTTACTTATTTATCTTAAGATTGGGGGAAAAAGGGGGCCGGGCGCGGGGGCTCACGCCTGTAATCCCAGCACTTTGGGAGGCTGTGGCGGGCGGATCATTTGAGGTCAGGAGTTCGAGATCAGCCTGGCCAATATGGTGAAGCCCTGTCTCTACTAAAAATACAAAAGAAAAAAAAAAAAGCTGAGCATGGTGGCACACACCTGTAATCCCAGCTGCTCGGGAGGCTGAGGCAGGAGAATCACTTGAACCCGGGAGCCGGAGGTTGCAGTGAGCCGAGATCGCGCCACTGCACTCCAGCTTGGGCGACAGAGTGAGGATCCCGCTCAAAAATAAATAAATAAATAAATAAATAATTTTTTTAAAAAAAAAAAGGAAAAAAGGAATCAAAGAAGTTCTTCCCTATTTTACTATTAGTGACCCTAATTCACAACAAGGAGCCTAATACTCTATGTCTGAATCAAAAAGATTAAGATTGTATTTTATTTGACGGTGTCACATCTGTCAGGTTCTTGTACCGATCACAGCAGCAGAGTCCAGAAACCAAGCTAATGGCGCCCTCTGGTGTTCAGACCACAGCATGCACCGGTTTAATCTGTTTAAAAAGATACAGTATCTAAAATACTTCCTCCTTCACCTAAGAGTGGCTCGGTTTGCAACCAACACAGCACATGAGATGGCCCAGAGGGAGTGGGTGTCACCATGGGGATCGCCCATCTCAGAATGGATGCAGGCATCTGGATAGCGCGCATGTCCATAGTAACCACAGTGGAGCGCTCATCCGAGAATGGATCCTCTCTCCCATTTTTTTTTTCCTAAAAATTGTGACTCCCAGGCTCTGATAGCCCAAGGAATGAAGACGGGGCCACAGGAAGTAATTCACACTGAACTTCTCACCAACGTTGGAGATGGGAACTGGAGCAGGTTTTCATTTAGAAAAGTAAAGAAATGAAAGCGTCTTTCTCCTGGTAGCCTGGAGCAATTCATACCTGTTTTATGTATTTATTGATTTATTCCTGTCTCACTTCATTTCACAAAAACTTTGAGCTCTATAAAAAATCCATAGAATACAAATAAACTCTAATGAGCAGCTATATTTTGGAAGCTGTCTAATATATGAACCATTTTCCCATGTTTGAGGAATTACCTACTGTTTGAGTGGGTGAATGGCAGGGCTGTCTCTCATAAAGATGCCTCGAAGCTCAGATACTCACTTTGCACTGCTTCCCTGGCTGTGAGAGTCTGTGCACATGCCTGGTCTTGACTAGGTGGACACTACCTCTGAGGACTCTGCACCTACAGTGTCAGGGGCCTGTGTCCAGAGGCCAGGGTAGCAGTGCCCTTCCCAGATAGTCACGGCAGTATGATTAGGCTGTGGTTCTCACTGTCCAGCCTCCATCGGCACCTTCCTATTTCCTGAGCCAAATGTTTTCTATCTTCCCAGAGATGAATTATACTGAAGATTAATTAGAGCATGAAATAAAGGTTAGGAAAAAAATGTAAGTATGCATGCCCTTACCTTAAAGCTTACAAAGTGGGTACATTTGAGTTAAATATTTGACCCTGGGCTTCCTGGCAGCTGAAGTGAAAAGGGAAATATGGTTTCTTACCTTGTTCTTGAAGACAAAAATACTAGCTCCCTAAAGGAAGCAAACGTTTTACTAAGGGTTGAACTTTGAAAGGAATTTCTCACACTGGGGTTTCTCATAGTGGTTCCTGATGCTATAATAAACCATTTCCCTAATATCGATCAAACAGCAAATGATTCTTATAGTGATTTTTCACAGCATCCCTTAGTGAAAGCTAAAAGCAAAGCAAAAAACTTGTTACTCTTTGAAATGGGCAAGTTCTTATAGTTTTTCTGATGGTGCAGCATTTGGGATATTTAGAAAAAGAGGGACTTCATGCCTCTATAGATATTTTTTCTCAAAAAAGGGTTTTTATCAGAATTGAATAGCACATAGTTTGAAGTTGTCTATGATAAAAGTCTAGAGAATTCCGAATTGTTAGAAATAAAACAAGAGAATGGTAAAACTGATACCCTTTCCTGGTAAAATAATAATAATAGCAACTACATCATTGAGGTTTAGGTGCTGAATGTACAGGTTCTTTTACTACATTATCGATTCACCAAATGTGCCAAGCATGGTGTATGTCGATGAATATGTACTTACAGAACTGACACTCTAGTCAGGGAACACAGTAACATCCAAGTAAACAAGTAAAAACAATTTCAAGTAGTGATAAGTGTTATGTAAACAATAAAATGGAATTAGGTGATCAAGGTGTCAAGGGATGGCCATTTTTGATGAAGTGGTCAGAAAAGACTTTTTTGAGGAGAGAACATCTGCCCTGAAGCCTGAATGATGAAATAAAAATAGCCACACAGAAGTCCAGAGGGAGATCACTCTGGGCAGAGAAAATAGCAGGTGCAAAGGCCCTGGGGTGGGAACAAACTTTATGTGTCTGAGAAGCAGAAACAAAGCTATTAACTCATGAATCCTTATAAACAATCATGATGTGTTGTTGTGTTCTCATTTTACAAATGAGGAAATGACAGCTAGAGAAGTTAAGTACGTGGTGCCAGATCCTGTAATTCAAGAGGCAGAGCTGGGATCTGAGTCGGGCTTCCCTGATGCCCCTTGGAGAAAGCTAGCTCCTCCTGTGGGTGGCCATGCTGTTGTGCATGGAAGAGGGCCCAGGGCATGAAGCCCTTATACAACAGGGAGGTCTTGATTCTCCCAGCTTCCCATTTGCCTGGTTTCTTCTCTCCTCCTTTGGGAAATGTTCACCTTCTCTTCCCTCTTGAAACTGGGCCCCACAGGTCCCAAAGAAGACACCCTATGGCCACCCTCCCTCCAAACCCAGGGGCAGCTCCAGGAAACTGAGAAGTGATCCTACATGTATCTTGCAAAGCAACTGACAGAAATGTCAGGGAAGAAAGGTGTGGGGGCACAGAGATGGGAATCTGACTTGTCAGAAAGGCCATGGTGATATTGCTTTTAGAAAAATAATCTTTAGGGTGGGAGGAGGTCATTTAGTCCATCCTTCTGTCTCAGAGCAGAACTGGACTCAACTTGCTTTAGGCAGACAACAGCCTCATCCTATGGGTGGGGGTGGGGGTGGGGATAAATATTTCTTCATAGATGGA
Organism: Homo sapiens; assembly: GCF_000001405.40. Classification (NCBI taxonomy): domain Eukaryota; kingdom Metazoa; phylum Chordata; class Mammalia; order Primates; family Hominidae; genus Homo; species Homo sapiens. The sequence continues at coordinate 96,182,877 of NC_000008.11, forward strand.
CATTGGAAATTGCAGCTGTATAGGTGAGAATCTGTAAATGCAAAAAAAAAAAAATGATGAACATACCCGAAGTAAACTTCAAATAGAAATGCAACAAAATGAAGTTCATGTTCAAGTAGATTCACTAAAACGGAAAATATCATTCCCATCCACACCTTTACCTCACCCCTTGGTTTTTGCTTGGGTCTGGGCATCCATTAGAATAGTAATAGTAGCAACTAACTTAATTAAGGGTGTATAATATGCCAGACATTACCCTAAATACTTTAAAGGACACAATTAATTTTGAAGTAGGTACAATTATTATTCTATATATTTTAATTAATAACTTTATATTTGGAACTTACTGTGTACCAAGCACCATTCTAGTACTTTTCACATATTAACACATTTAATCCTCACAGCCATGTTATATGGTGCAGGTAAAACCCCATTTTATGCATGTGAAAACTGAAGCCAAAGGAGATAGAGGTTAAGTAACTTGCCTGGGTCACGGAGTTAGTAATTAAGATAAGCAGATTTAAATCCAGTCTATTTCCAGCACCTTCATCCTTAGTCTATATAGAACTGTAATGGAGAGTTTCCCATCCAAAAGCATGCATGGCTGGGGACAGGGTGGGGTCCTTTCTGATGATCCTTGTCTGCTGGCCTGCAGCAGCCTGCTGTAAACTCAAGCGCAGGCAGAAAGAGGTGGGAGCCTTGTCCCAGCTCTCTCCACCTCCTCCCCAGGCAGGACAGGAACAGTTCTTGCCCAAGGTCCCTCCAGCTACAGGGGAGTTCCCAGCCACGCCTTGGTCTCCCTGGGCCACTCATATTCACCTTGCACTTTGCGGATTAAAATGAGCTTGATTCACACTCATTATTTCATTTGCTCTTCCCACACCTCTGTTACCAGGCTCCCTTCCTCCATGAAGCTGCCAGAGACTTCCTTCTCTGAACCTCCAACCCGTCAGTGGCTGCCCCAGTACTCTGGGTAGAGACCACACTCCTCCGAGTGCCTGCAGGACCTATCTAGGTCTGGCCCTCACTGGCCCCCTGCAGCCTTGTCCCTCACTCTCTCCCTACACCTTAACCTGTCTTCCATTCCTATCATATCTTCTAGTCCCCAAACACATCATTCGCTTCGTATTCCTGCCTTTCCTCAAGTCATCATTTATGCCTAGAGTACTCTTACCTCAATCTCTTGTCTTTGCCAGGAAACCTCCTTATCATTTTCTCAATAAATTACAAAGGCAGGCATTTCCTATGTGCCAGGCACCATTCCAACCATTTCATTCCTATTATCTTACTTCCCACTATGGAATGTACGCTATCATCATCCCCATTTTTCAGCTGAGGAAATGGAGGCATGGAGAAGTTAAATAATGCCCCCAATATTGCACGGCTAGTAAGCGGCAGGGCCTGGATCCACGCTGACTCTGTGACTCCGGGGCTCCTCGCTCCTGCCGATGAGGCGGTAGTCATTGAGCAGCTGTCTTCTAGCACAATATTCACTTCTGAAACGATCTCCCCGACAGCCCCCTACAAAGTTAATGCATTTCTTCCACTCCTTTTCTGTGTACCCTTTGTAGGTCCCTCTATAAGAGCATTGTGATGAGGCACTCCCTTTCCTAATAAACACTGTTCTTCATGCATGCCCAAGCTTAGCTAGCACAGCCCTAGAACTCAGTGTGTGTCCAATAAATGTTGGCCGAGTTAATTTTTCAAGTGAAAATGCAAGGTCAGGTAGATCGCCTGGGTGCTGCTGGGTGCCCAAGTGTGAGCTTAGCCCCAGGTTCCTTAGTCTCCTTCGTGTGCTTTGTCCTTCTGTGCCTCTCCGCCTCACCCTTCCCAGACCTCTGTGCAGGCATGCACATTGGAGAAACAAAACCGAATTTAAACAGTTCTTGACTCAGAGGCATAGGAAGTGGCCATGATAACTTTAAAAATTCTCAAACAGCCCTTTTCAAAGGTGTCTTTCTTTATTCATCTGTCACCAGTCTAATGACAGACACCTGCACTTCTATTTTATTAAAAGTTTTTTCCCTAGAGTATTCTTCCCTATAAAAATGCAAGTACTCTAACGGGAAGTAACATGGTAAGCTTTTCTAAATTTGCCATAGCTTGGTGTAAATTAGTTTATTCACCCTTCTCAGCAGGAAGGTTCGCTGACTGCTGGGATTTAACAGACTGCAGGAAGAAACAAAGGGTCCGGAGCAAGGACACAGAACAGCAGCCCCAAGTCGAGAGCCCCGGACAGGGCAAGGGCAGAAGTGTCTCCTCAGAAGAAGGTGCACCTGGAAGACGAAAGGCAGGGTTTGGCTTGGGAAGCAGCAACTAAAGCAAGGTGGGGAGAAGTCTCCAGAGGAGCCAGGAGCAGTGGCTCATGCCTGTAATCTTAGCACTTTGAGAGGCTGAGTCAGGAAGATAGCTTGAGGCCAGGAATTCAAGACCAGCCTGGGCAACATAGCAAGACCCCTTTTCTACAAACATAAAACTAGCTAGGTATGGTGGTGTGCACCTGTGGTCCCAGCTACTTGGGAGGCTGAGGCAGGAGGATCTATTGAGCCCAGAAGCTGGAGGCTACAGTGAGCTATGACCGCACCACTGCACTCACTCCTGGGTGACAGAGCAAGACCTTGTCTCAAAAAAGAAGACTCCAGAGGGCATATTATACATGGACAAGACCCCACAGTGGCTTAAAAGAGATTAGTGGATTGATAAAATCACCAGCTCCAGACAGCTATCTGAAGTAGCTGGAATTTCACAAGGCAAATAATTTACCACAGAGACATAGACAATTATAGACAAATACAATTTTCCACTTCAGGGTTGGGCATGGTGGCTGTTTCCTGTAATCCCAGCACTTTGGGAGGCTAAGGCAAGAAGATCACTTGAGGCCAGGAGTTCAAGATCAGCCTGGGCAAGACAGTAAGACCCCTGTCTCTACAATAATAATAATAATAATTGTTCACTTAACTCTGGCTTCCATTTCCCCTACAAATGGAGACACATTGGTCCATTTTGCCAGCATCTTTCCAAGACCCCTTCTGTTTCTCCATCCCCTGTACCCCTCATCTTCTGCCTTCCTGGCATCACAACACGCTATTTGGACTCTACACCTTGGTTCCTTCTCCAGAACCCTGGCTCTTGGATTTGTTACTACAGTTTCAGTTCCCCACTCCTCAAGGACACTATTCTGAGCCTCTTTTCTCCAGCTTGACACATCGTAACTTTAAAATGTCACTCATCCTTGTGAGATTTTCTCAAACCAGGCTGGCTGTCCTCCCACTGTTCACCCCTGAGCATAAGGAGTACCATATATTAATAAATAATGGCTACTAATCCTTATGTGGACTTGACTACCCCTCTTAAACAGAAAGCCATTAGTTAGGTGTGCAATATGGTACCACCTGGTGGTTTAGAGCAACTCTAAGGTGCTTTCAAACCAGGGTCCCCTCACTACATAATATTCAGCAATTTTATATTGAATATGGTTGAATATGGGATCTGGAAATCGATTGTAATGATTCCATTTTCACATACACACACACGGATGCTTGCACACACACACACACACACACACACACACACACACACACAGGCATTTCAGGTTTCCCATGGCAATCTCCAAGATAACGTGTTCTTAAACATGTGCAGGCCTCCATATGGGAGCATTTTCTGCTTCTGAGTTAGCTTTTGAGAGAGGTGTAGAGAGAGGTGCCCATAGAAAGTCAAGGGTTGGCAGCTGCCGGTAGGGAGGTAGCCAGCTGCTTGTGCTCCCTCTCCTAGTGCCCTGTGAGGTGAATGAAGCTCATGCTGCTCCTCTCAGTCCTGTGAAAGCAGATAATTCTGGAACAAGTGAATAAAACTGTTCTGCTTGACTTCCTTCCGGGGGGCGCTGGAGCCTGACCTTAGCTTGGCCATTGTCACTGAGGATGTGAAAGCCACAGGAAGCACCTCTAAAGCAGCAGTTCTCAGCTTTGGCTATACATTAGAATTACCAGGGGCATATGTTAAAAGTTCCGTCTCCCAGACGGCACTCTAAACCATTTAAATCAAAATATTTGGGGGTGGAACCCAGGAATCGGTATTTTTGAAAACCATCCAGATGATGCCAATATGTGACCAAACATGAGACCCACTGCTCTAAGGAAAGCTGTGGTTCAAGTGATCACCATCACCACTAACATCATCATCATTTCCACCCTCATTTATCTAACTCCTTGACCCATGTGTTCCCAAAGTGACATATTTTGACATAGTAAAATAATCATTTGGCTGAGAATAGAGTGAGAGGGTATTTTTTTGTTTTGTTTTCTTGGGCTGTTTTGTTTTTTTTTTTTTTTTAGATTTCATCACTAACTAGCTTTGTCATCTTAACTAATACCACAATTACTAATATTACTGATGATTATTATGATAACAGCTGTATTTATTTCACCCTTACTATGTGCCAGACACTGTGCTAAGAGCTTTATATGCATTGTTTCACTTAATCCTCATCCAGTAAAGTAAGCATTAGTTTACAGAAGAAACTGAGATACAGAGAGGTAAAGTCAATTGTTCAAGATCACAGAATAAGTAACAGAGCTGAGATTTAAACTCAAGCTGTCAGACGTGGAAGCCCATGTTCTTAATCACTCTTCAATACCACCTCCTTCAATAACTTGCCCCCAGTGACAGAACTGGGGAAGCAGAGAATACGAGATTCCTATCCAAGTCTGCCCAACCTCAAAGCTCACTCTTTAACTAGTATGCTATACTGCCATGCCATCAACACAAAAGGTATGTCAGGTTAACATCTCTCCCACTGATCTATTCACTTTTCCAAAACATATATGGATGACAAGGAAAGAATCTTTATGGCTAGAGGGACCCCAAACAACCTAATCCAGTGAAAAGGGTATCTGCATTGGGACGAGCGAGTGCTCCATTTAAATGTTCAAGGGATCTCCATGTGTAGGAAGAAAAACACAATTCATAGGTAAGATTTAAGACCAGAAACTGCAGGTTTGCAGGCTGGTAAATTTTTCTTGCACTATGTTCCATATGGCAATAGCAAATGGGGTTTCTAATTTATTTCATTTCTTTAGAGACCATAAAAGGTATACATTTGCAAAAATCAGTATGTGTTTCCTTTTCTGCCATTTCACATGATAGATAAACACAACCCCCAGACCTACAATAGAAATTACATTGTCCTTTCAGATTGCTCCAGAAATATGTATATAGCAATGTCTAAACTCATCAGGGAGTTTAATTTCAAAGTGTTCTGATGTCCTAGGCCAGAATCTCATGGGAATTCACTTTCAGACATTCCTGGGAAGCTTCGAGGACATCCAAGGAAAGGTCTGAAATTGATTAGAGCAATATATTCCAGGAGAAATGTTTTGCACGACCGTTCTGGAGGAGACTGTCATCACACTCAGATGAGACATGCAAGCCCACAGTAACTCACACCTGACAATAGGACCTGGTAAGCAGGCTGGGCCAGAGGCCCTTGGTCATCCCAGTGCTATGTGGCCAAGTGGTGGGTGTCTCTCCCTTGCAACCAGGTGAAGAAAGCATCTTCAAAGACTATATGTCCATGGAAATTCCGCTATAGACTTGCTCTAAGTAGGTAAGAGAGAAAGGAGGAGTCTTCGGAGCAGGTCCTCTGAGGTTTATCCACTCAGGGCCTGGACCATATCAATCACTTATAATATGAAAAGTGTGATAGATGGAGCAAGAGAGGGAAAAAAGAGAGGAGGGGGGATGCATAAGAGAAAAAGAGCTAGAGAGAGTAAGAGATGCTTGTTTTCCTGAGATACTTCACTTCCACTACTTCAACTAGGTAGAAAAGTTGGTAAAGTAAGGAAAAATAAATGTTCAAGCTGTGTTCCATTAAAGCTAAGAATTGAACTAGGGCTCCATTATTTATTAATGCATAATTTACACATTCACTCAACACTGAGTCCCTAGTTTGGAAGTGTTGGAGGTACAGTTGTAAACAAAAGACCCCATCCTATGAAGTTTACAGTCTAATGAGGGGGATAGAAAATCAACAAAGTAACCAACCAAAAAGACATAAAATTCAATGTCAAGTGGTGGTAGGTATCATAAGTTAAAACAAACAAACAACGGAGTAAAAGGTTGAAAGTGCTAGAAGCCAGCAGGACATGCATTCTGAGGACATGAAATTTGGAAAGTCTTGAACCAAATGAGTGAGTGAGCCATACTCTGGAAGAAAGAGCAATTTAGGCAGAGGGAACCATGAGTCCCACCAAGGGTCTTGAGGTGGGAATGTGCTTGGCTTGTTGAGGAACAGCAAGAAATATGAAAGCAAATCTCTCCAATCAGGAACTGACAGAACCATGTCACCTGGATATAACATCTAGCCCCACTTACAACTTTTTCTATCATCAGTATCATATTGCTACTTTGTCCACGGATTACATAATGATGACTCAGTCTCACAAAACATGATTGACTTGCAACTAGGTAGCTGCTGTTGTCTGAGTGTTGTCCCCCAAAAGTTCATGGTTGGAAACTTAATTGTCATTGTAACTATATTAAGAGGTAGAGCTTTTAAGAGGTGGTTAGGCCATGAGGGCTCTGTCCTGGTGAAGGGATTAATGCCATTACTGCAGACGTGGGTTAGTTATCACAGGAGTAGGTTCTTGATAGAAAGGAGAGTTTGGCCCAGTTGCCTCCCTCTGCCTTGTGTGCTCATCTGCCTTTCTGCTTTCTTCCATAGGAAGAACCTCACCAAATGGCTGCGTAGATTCCAGTACCATGCCCTTGGACTTCCCAGCTTCCAGAGCCATGAGCCAAATACATTTTTATTGTTTATAAATTACCCAATCTGTGATATTCTGTTATAACTGCAGAAAACAGACTAAGACAGTGGTGATGATCAGCCTGTGGATGTGCACAACCAGAGTGTGCTATTTTAACCCCACAGATATACTTTTTATTTATTTGCCATATATATGTTTATCCAGTGTACAAAATTCATATGCTATATACAACATGTAATAATGTTGGGTCCACATTTTAAAAGTATAAGGATTACTTTATTTTTAATGCAAGGTTAAAGTGCTTACTGAGATGATAATTCAAGTTTATGCATTTCGATAATACAAAAGTATTCTTTTTTAATTCTCAAAGACAAAGCACTAAGGATCAAATACAAACAACATTTGCAAGACAGCCAACAGCAGCCATCAGGCATACACAGGCCACCTCTCACAAGAGAACTTAAAGATTACAAAATCAATTGAGGGAAAGATCTACAATCACAGCCCCCTAGTCACCATAGTTTTGTAGCACTGACCTTACATAGCACTATCCTGCATATATTTTGTGTATTTTCCATGAACTCAGTGGCAATGCTGCTGATGGGCTACTCAAGAAAACCCAACAACAGAAAGTAAATGCTAAGGAATACTAAGAAATAAGATTTCCAGCTTTGGGGGGGTCACAAATTATGGATTTTTTGTTCCCCAGGAGCCAATTTTCACCCACTGGCGGAAGCCATATTACCCTGCTAAGAATGCATGTCCTAAACTGTGAGCTCCTCAATCTTAAGGTCTATTATGACCTTCATCTTTGTATTCCATCCTTAGCATAGTGAATTGCACACACACACACACACACACACACACATACACACACATATATATACACTTTAAGTTCTGGGATACATGTGCAGAACGTACAGGTTTGTTACATAGGTATACACGTGCCATGGTGGTTTGATGCACACATCAACCCATCATCTACATTAGGTATTTCTCCTAATGCTATCCCTCCCCTAGTCCCCCAACCCCACAACAGGCCCCAGTGTGTGATGTACCCCTCCCTGTGTCCATGTGTTCTCGTTGTTCAACTCCCACTTATGAGTGAGAACAGGAGGTGTTTGGTTTTTTGTTCTTGTGTTAGTTTGCTGAGAATGATGGTTTCCAGCTTCATCCATGTCCCTGCAAAGGAACTGAACTCATCCTTTTTTATGGCTGCATAGTATTCCATGGTGTATATGTGCCATATTTTCTTTATTCATTCTATCATTGATGGGCATTTGGGTTGGTTCCAAGTCTTTGCTATTGTGAACAGTGCTGCTGTAAACATACGTGTGCAGGTGTCTTTATAGTAGAATGATTTATAATCCTTTGGGTATATACCCAGTAATGGGATTGCTGGGCCAAATGGTATTTCTGGTTCTAGATCCTTGAGGAATCGCCACACTGTCTTCCACAATAGTTGAAATAATTTATACTCCCACCAACAGTGTAAAAGCTTTCCTATTTCTCCACTTCCTCTCCAGCATCTGTTGTTTCCTGACTTTTTAATGATTGCCATTGTAACTGGTGTGAGATGCTATCTAATTGTGGTTTTGATTTGCATTTCTGTAATGATCAGTGATGATGAGCTTTTTTTTCGTATGTTTGTTGGCCGCATAAATGTCTTTTTTTGAGAAGCGTCTGTTCATATCCTTCGCCCACTTTTTGATGGGGTTTGTTGTTGTTGTTGTTGTTTTTCCTGTAAATTTCTTTAAGTTCTTTGTAGATTCTGGATATTAGCCTTTTGTCAGATGGATAGATTTCAAAATTTTTCTCCCATTCTGTAGGTTGCCTGTTCACTCTGATGATAGTTTCTTTTGCTGTGCAGAAGCTCTTTAGTTTAATTAGATCCCATTCGTCAATTTTGGCTTTTGTTGCCATTGCTTTTGGTGTTTTAGTCATGAAGTCTTTTCCCATGCCTATGTCCTGAATGGTATTGCCTAGGTTTTCTTCTAGGTTTTTTATGGTTTTAGGTCTTATGTTTAAGTCTTCAATCCATCTTGAATTAATTTTTGTATAAGGTGTAAGGAAGGGGTCCAGTTTCAGTTTTCTGCATATGGCTAGCTAACGCTATTTATTAAATAGGAAATCCTTTCCCCATTGCTTATTTTGTCAGGTTTGTCAAAGATCATATGGTTGCAGATGTGTAGTGTTATTTCTGAGGCCTCTGTTCTGTTCCATTGGTCTATATATCTGTTTTGCTATCAGTACCATGTTGTTTTGGTTACTGTTGCCTTGTAGTATAGTTTGAAGATAGATAGTGTGATGCCTCCAGCTTTGTTCTTTTTGCTTAGGATTGTCTTAGCTATACGGGCTCTATTTTTGTTCCATATGAAATTTAAGGTAGTTTTTTCTAATTCTGTGAAGGAAGTCAATGGTAGCTTGATGGGGATAACATTGAATCTATACATTCCTTTGGGCAGTATGGCCAGTTTCACGATACTGATTCTTCTTATCCATGAGCATGGAATGTTTTTCGATTTGTTTGTGTCCTCTCTTATTTCCTTGAGCAGTGGTGTGTAGTTCTCTCTGAATAGACCAATAACAAGTTCTGAAGTTGAAGCTGTAATTAACAGTCTACCAACCAAAAAAAGCCCAGGACCAGATGGATTCACAGCCGAATTCTACCAGAGTTACAAAGAGGAGCTGGTACCATTCCTCCTGAAACTATTCCAAACAATAGAAAAAGAAGGACTCCTCCCTAACTCATTTTATCAGGCCAACATCATCCTGATACCAAAACCTGGCAGAGACACACACAAAAAAAGAAAATTTCAGGTCAATGTCCCTGATGAACATCGATGCAAAAATCCTCAATAAAATACTGGCAAATCAAATCCAGTAGCACATCAAAAAGCTTATCCACCATGATCAAGTGGGCTTCATAACTGGGATGCAAGGCTGGTTCAACATATGCAAATCAATAAATATAATCCATCACATAAACAGAACAAATGACTAAAGCCACATGATTATCTCAATAGATGCAGAAAAGGCCTTCGACAAAATTCAACAGCCCTTCATGCTAAAAACTCTCAATAAACTAGGTATTGATGGAACATATCTCAAAATAATAAGAGCTATTTATGACAAACCCACAGCCAATATCATACTGAATGGGCAAAAACTGGAAGCATTCCCTTTGAAAACTGACACAAGACAAGGGATGCCCTCTCTCACCACTCCTATTCAACATAGTATTGGAAGTTCTGGCCAGGGCAGTCAGGCAAGAGAAAGAAATAAAGTGTATTCAAATAGGAAGAGAGGAAGTCAAACTGTCTCTGTTTGCAGATGACATGACTGTATATTTAGAAAATCCCATCATCTCAGCCCAAAATCTCCTTAAGCTGATAAGCAACTTCAGCAAAGTCTCAGGATACAAAATCAATGTGCAAAAATCACAAGCATTCTTATACACCAATAACAGACAGAGAACCAAATCATGAGTGAACTCCCATTCACAATTGCTACAAAGAGAATAAAATACCTAGCAATCCAACTTACAAGGGATGTGAAGGACCCCTTCAAGGTGAATTGTACAGTTTATTATCATTAAATGTTTGATAAGTGAGAAAATGAGAGAGGGAGGTAATGAATGAGTAAATTAATGAAACAATAAACATTAATCTGCGAGACAATTGTACACTGGAGTACTCGGCAAAGGAATTACGAATAAAAAGAAGAAGAGAGAGAGAGAGGCTTCTTGGTAAGAAAAACAAAGAAAATCAGGGTATGGAGTGGATTTCAGACAGAGTGAAAAAAGAACTCTGGCCTGAGGATAAGAAAGTTTTGTGTGGGGGAGAAAGCATAGCATGATAGGAAAAGTAAGACATCTCATATTGGAAATTCTTTGTTTCATTTCCAGCTCTATCACTGACTGGTTTATGATTTTCAGCAATTCACATAGCCTCCCATCTTCTAACCTGTAAAATAGGGATAATAATACCAATTTAATGTGGATAATATTAGAAACAAGTAAGATATGCCAAAAAACTCTGTAAAGTATAAATCATAGTAGTAATGTAATCGTTGGGCCTTAAGTGTGAAGAGATAAGGTGGGGCCACAACATGAAAAGTCTCAAATGCCACGTGGAGGTGTGGAACTGATGCAGTGAGCATCAGTACTGTTCAAGGTCATTGGAAAGTCACAGGAGAATAATGTTCATTGAGTGGCTACTATGCTCTCAGCAAATATCTCTCACACCTACCTCATTTAAACCTCATGACCAATCTATAAAGTAAATCTTAATATTCTCATTTCATGGATTGAGCACTGAGACACAGGAAGCTTGAAGCTGACAGCATTTGTTGATGGATCGGTTAAGGGATGCCAGGAAAAGGAAGACAGTGAGGATGAGTCTTAGTTTCTGGCTTCATCACCAGGTGAATAGTGGTGCTACTTACTGAAATCAGGAACAGTTGGCAGGAGAGGTGGATGGCAGGAATAAAGAGCTTTGTGGTGGGCATGCGACATTGGAGATGGCTTGGAGACATGCAAATGAAGAAGCAGAGTAGGAAGTTGGCATTTTGAAGGTGGAGCTCAAAAGAGAAATTAAGGTTGGAGCTACAATTTGGGAAATCATCAGTATATACATACTGTCATTTTAAAAATATATATATTACTGAGACCACCTGGGGACTTATGGATGGACAGGAAAAGAGAAACAAGGCTGGCAGAATGCCACACTTAGAGGTTAAGATGAAAGAAGTAATGGAAGAATGCAGTGTCCTGGGAGCCAAGAGAGTCCAGCGTTTCGAGCTGACTGAAAGGTAGAAGGTGACAATTGAGAATTAACATCTGTGGCAGCAGAGAGGTGATGAGCAACCTTGTCAAGAGGCGTTTCAGAAGAGTAATGGGTTACCCTAATTAGGGAGGATCCAGAAAAGAGTGGGAAATGAGCAAGTAGGAAAAGGAGTATACAAATTCATTTGAAACATTTTGCTATGGAGGGAAACGATGTATGAGCCTGTATTTGGAGAAGGAGTTTGGGTCAAGGGAGAAATCTTAAAATATGGAAGATTTTACAGAATGTTGACATGCAGAAGAGAATACTGGAGGTGAGAAAGGGAAAACAGCAGCAGTAAAGTTCTTGAGTAGATGAGAAGTGGTAGGATCTACTCCACAAGACAGGGAAGTTCACTTTGGATGAGAGACCAAAATAAAAAACCGATTTGTCTTTTATAACAGGAGGAAAGGCAGGGCAAGTGGGTAGATACAGAGACAGGTTGTTGTTCTGGTGGCAGAATGATGAAATAGTTCTTTTCGGACAGCTCTGCTTTCCTGGTGATAAGAGAACAGAGGTCCTCCTCGAGAGTGAGGAGGGGACAGCGTAGGATAGTTGTGTAGGGAGAGAAAAGAAAGTGTAACATAGTTGTTCTGTGGAAGGAAGAGTGAATTGAGCAGAGAAAGGTGGTAAGAGCACTGGGTGGTGCAGAGAGCCCACTTGAGATGCATGATCATAAATTTAAACAAGGAAAAATCAACGTGATGTGTGTTTTCCCCTAGCTGAGTTAGCTGCTTGAGGGCAGGCACAGAGTAATCAGAGAGCTTGGTTGAATTTGAATTGGGAGTTTTCCAGGTGAGTATGGTGGAGGAAAAGAGAGCTCTGGGAGTTGAGGGTATAAGTAATAGATTGGGGGTGTAGTAATAGGCTACCATGATGGACTACAGAATCCATGCTGGGTAGAGAGGGAAATGAGGTGGTTGGGGCAGAAGAGATGGTGGGAAACGACAGTGAAAAGGGTGTTAAAAGATGGAATTTTGGGGGTGGAAATACTAAACAAAGGAATGTGGGGTGCTGGAAATCGTGATTTAGGAGGTGGTGCAGTTATTGGTAATGTCAAGATTCAGGGTTAGACTCTTGGAGTAGAGAACTAACAGATAGCAGGAGAGGTCATTGGAAGTGGCAGGTCATGGGACTGAGGCAAGTGTTAAGGGGATTATCTCTCTATGTGGATGCGGAAGCCACCAAATGTGATGACAAGAGTAGACTCAGAAAGCCCAGCTTCAGAGATGTCCTGAACCATCTTTGGCTCCCTGAGGTCTGCTCATGCCAATGTTTTATGATTCTCATGATATTCAGTCTTCTTTATTACAGGAGTACCCATTTCTGGAGCTACAGTGACAGGATTTCAGTTCCTAGTAACCAAAAAGCCATTGTCCGAGCTCACCAGGAGTTCCTCCTGTTTTCCATTCACAAATCAGATTTCTACTTTATTTCCCCTTGAATTATGCTGAGAGAACCTGAGGGCTAGCATGAGAGGTGAGATTAGGTTGGGTCCTAGGGATGGACGAGAAGAGGAGAGGAGGCAGAATACTCTCTCCTTAGTTTATTTTTGACAGTAGACTGGTCAGGTAGCTCTAGAATTGTCCTGAACTCTGTCATTGCAAGACACACGACATCTTCTTCACTACAAACTCTCGCCAGGGTGAGTACAAACCATGGTCTACACGTGCAGGTGGGCCATATTGTGTTTTGCAAATTCTGCTTTTCAAACTTTGATATGTCCTACGTTTCTAAACACCATCTGTTTGCAGAGGAACTACAGAAGATTCCAGTTAGACCATGCGCTTAACAGGATGCTCTGTACTGTGGGACAAGATTTTTGATGAATTAAAATTCAATTGAATCACCTGAAAGATTTATTTTCAAAAAAAGGAAGGAGAAGAAAGAAAGAAAGGAAGAAGGAAAGAAAGAAAGAAAGAAATGAAAAAATACACACAACAACATTATTTGACAAATTCTGCTTCACTGAAACCCACACACGTCAGTGAAAGTGGTCTGAAATTTTTAACAACTGCTAAGTTTGGGCTGCTTTTAATAGAACGTAACCTGCAGTGAGGCACAGCTGTAGCTGTCCTTCCAAAATGAAAAGAAATCATTTTCAGAAATGAGCCCCTGAAATGGTCATTTAATCTGTGGTAGGTGTGCCCCACAGGCTAGAATGTCATCAGAATGCTGGTCTTTTCCCTGCTTCTCTGCAGGAAAACAATGTAACAGAAAAGGATTTATCAGGTGCATTATCACTAATGTTCTCTGAATGCTTAAGTGTTTCTGTGGATTGGCCCAGATAGCTTGAAAAAAGCTGCTGGCTAATAATGAGGACACATGGAACAGATGAACAAGTGTAGCACATCACAGTAAAGTAACAAAGTTCTAAAGGATGGAGATGCCCCCACCCCCATCTCACCCCATCGTGATCATCAAAAAGTACTTGGCTTGTGGAATTCTTGCGTCCCTGCCCAGTGATAGCACTGGCATTTAGAAGCAGTATCAGAACACTGAGTCTCCTGTGACTTTGTCTGCCTTTCCCTCACCAAGGAGACATAAGTGGATTATGGGCATGAGCCAGAAAAACCTGCCCACAGTTTTTCCATGTCCTGGGAGAAGCCATGCTGTAACCTATAACTTTAGGAGCCAAAGCAGCACCAGCCCTAGCCTATGTGGAAACTGGCATTTTTGTTTGTTTGTTTGTTTGGTAACTTATTTTCAGGATGTATGTTTAATGTCACACTATATAAAAATATATACATTCAGGCCGGGCACGGTGGCTCACGCCTGTAATCCCAGCACTTCGGGGGGCAGAGGCGGGTGGATCACTTGAGGTCAGGAGTCCGGTGACCAGCCTGGCCAACATGACGAAACCCCGTCTCTACTTAAAATACAAAAAAATTAGCTGGGCATAGTGGTGGGCATCTGTAATCCCAGCTGCTCAGGAGGCTGAGGCAGGAGAATCGCTTGAACCCGGGAGGCGGAGGTTGCAGTGAGTCAAGCTCACTCCACTGCACTCCGGCGTGGGAGACAGAACAAGACTCCATCTCAAAAAAAAAAGCCAAACAGATAGATAGATAGATAGATAGATAGATAGATAGATAGATAGATAGATAGAAAGAAAGAAAGAAAGAGAAAAGAAGATAAGATATAGATATATATATATACATTCAGTTTTATAGCGTAAGTTTTTTATTCTTCCAGTGCTTGGCAAATGTTTAAACTATTAGGTGGTGAGACTATCTATGGATGAGGGGAGAAAAGCAGAAAAACTAACCTTATGGTAGATGAGAAACAGAAATATGAAATAGAAGCTTATATCTGTAATTATTGGAAAAGAGCTAACACTTGGTGATAGGTGTCTTAAATTTAAACTGTGTTTTATTCATCTTTGAATTCTTAGTGTTTTGATGATGAGGAAGGTATATGTAATGCACAAAGTTAGCCAGACATGGTAGTGTGCATCTGTAGCCTCAGCTACCCGGGAGGCTGAGGTGGGAAGATCACTCAAGCCTTGGGGGTTGAGGCTGCAGTGAGCCGTGATTGTGCCACTGCACTCCAGCCTGGGTGACAGAATGAGCCCTCTCAAAAAAATAAAAAAGAAAAGAAAAAAATAAATAGTATATGCGTGTGCCTGTAATCACAGCTACTCAGAAAACTGAGACGAAATAATCACTTGAGGTCAGGAGTTTGAGACCAGCCTGGGCAAGATAGTGAGACCTCGTCTCTACAAAATTTTTTTTAAAAAAATTAGCCAGACATGGTGGCAGGCACCTGTAGCTTCTTAGGAGGCTGATGCATGAGAATCTCTGGAGCCCAGAAGTTTGACTCTGCGGTGAGCTATGATCACAGCACTGTGCTACAGCCTGGGCCGCAGAGTGAGGTACCTCCTCTAAACAAAGGAAATAAAGAAAGAAAGAAATAGCATATGACTCAAACACAAATTGCATCTTGGAAGAATGTTTGCTGAAAGGAAATGTGTGTGCCTACAATGTGCCAGGCCTGTGTATGATCTCATGTAATCCTTGAAACAGCTCTCTGAGGTAAACGTCATTACTCTCAGTTGACAGAAGGAAAGCAGACTCAGAGAGGGTCAGTAGCTTGCTCAAGGCCACACGCAGCTGTTAATTGTTAGAGCACAATCTGGAAGAGCAAGTCTTGACTTCGCAGCCCCAGATCTTTCTTCGGCGCCATGCTGCCTCCTGTCTGATTGCATATCAGTGGCTTCACCACTATGCAGCTTAACTCAAGCCTTGATTAGGGCACGTCACCAGTGTTTGCTTGTTTTTGTAACTGAACATGAATTCCATGAGCCATACCTTTAAAGGAAAACACAATACTCTGAGCCAGGCATGCTGGTATCTTCTTTATCTTTGTATCCTTAGCATCCGGTAAAGGTTTGGCGCATCGTAGGCCATAATGTACATAGTAAAAACTGAATAAATCATCAAGCAATTTGACTGTGAGTCTAATCTACACAGAAACCAAGTCCTTGTTATGAACTGTGTTAAGGAACTTTACATATATTATTCAATACCTCTGTGAGCCTCACCATAAAAACAATTTCTTAGTGATTCATTTTTCATTCCTCCAACAATGTATTGTTACGTACCCATGACTGCAAGGGAGGAGACTTTCTTTTGGGAACAGAACTCTGTGAAGATTTGGCACAGAAGAGTTCTAGAAAGAGAATCTCCAAGCATGACTGGGTCTGATGATGAAGACCTGTCTACCCCTCCTTCCCCATCTCCCCAGCTTCCTGCTTCCTACTGTGCCATCCCAAGGACCTGTAGTCTTCCACCCCTGGCCACAGCACCCATTTTCCTATTGCCCACCTCTTTGCCTTTGCTCATGTCTACTTTGCCCAGACTTCTTTCCCCTGCTCCCCTCTCTGCCTACCCACTTCCAGCTCTCATTCATACCTTATGACTCTGTTAAGATGCCAGGTTTTTTTTGGAGTCCTTCTGGGATTTCTTTCCAGGCTGGCAGATATGAAAGGTCTTCAAAAAGTTCATGGAAAATTCTTATTATGAAAAAATTATGCACAGATTTCAAAAAAATTTTGCACCAAAATAAACTCATAATAACTTGCTATAACATTTCTAGACAGGATATAGTTTGAACCACTCACAAGAATTAGACATCAGTTTGAAAAGAACCCCTGTCAGAGCAACACAAATTTGCTAACACTGAAGCAAGAACAAATATCAAATTTATGGTGAAGCCTGGAAGGAAGAAGAGTGCAATTACTGATCCTTTACAAAAAGTTTGTAGGGACAATGCCCCAAAGAAATAAGCAGTTAATAAATTGATTTCTCATTGTAAGAAGGCATGAGATGATGTTGAAGGTGAAGCCTGCAGTGGCAAACCATCCACATCAATTTTTAAGGAAAAAATTAACCTTGTTAATGCCCTAATTGAACAAGACCAACAACAGCAGAAACAATAGGCAACCTCATAGACATCTCACTTGGTTCAAATGTACACAATTCTGACTACAAAATTAAAGTTGAGCAAACTTTCCACTCAATGGGTGCCAAAACCATTGCACTCAGATCAACTGCAGACAAGAGCAGAGGTTTCAATGGAAATTTTAAACCAGTGAGATCAAGATCCTAAAGCATTTTTTTTCAAATAATTGTAACAGGAGATGAAACATGGCTTTACTGGTATGATCCTGAAGACAAAGCACAATCAAAGCAATGGCTACCAAGAGGTGGAAGTGGTCCAATCAAAGCAAAAGTGGACCAGTCAAGAGCAAAGGTCATGGCAACAGATTTCTGAGATGATCAAGACATTCTGCTTGTTGACTTTCTGGAGGGCCAAAGAACGATAACATCTCCTTATTATGAGAGAGTTTTGAGAATGTTAGCCAAGCTTTAGCAGAAAAAAAAAAATGCTTCACTAGAATGTCCTTCTCCACCAAGACAATGTTCCTTCTTGTTACTCTCATCAAGAGTTTCAGTGGGAAATCACTAGGCATCCACCTTACAGTCCTGATTTGGCCCCTTTCTCACTTCTTTTTTCTTGCTAATCTTAAAAAGTCTGTACCTATTTTTCTTCAATGAATAATGTGAAAAAGACTGCATATACCTTGTTAAATTCCCAATACCCTCAATTTTGGGGGTTGGGCTAAATGGCTGGTATCATCACTTCCAAAAGTATCTTAACTTGATGGAAATTATATTGAGAAAAAAGTTTATAGTTTAAAATTTTTATCTTTAAATTCCATTTCCCATGAACTTTTTGGAGTCCCCTTGTATTCCTCTCTTTAATGCTTCCATTATTTTCCTAATCACTATACTTCCACCTTCTACTAGGCTGTGATTTTCTCAAGGACAAAGGTTATGATGTATTTATCACCATATAAATGAGAGTTAGGAAAGGAAGGGAGGGAAGGAGAGAGACAGCTTTTCTATAGATGGTGAGTCTGGGACAATAAAGCATAAGGAAGAAGATAACAGCTCCCCAGATTTGAGGACAACTTATGGAAAGATTAAGTTGGTAGGAACATTTTAAACTATCAGAAGAAAGGATGTAGTTACAATAAAGATAACAGATGGACAAAGCATGAGGAAACAGAATAAACTTCCTTGGTATTTGCTGCCCATAACAAGGGAACAGGCAGCAGTAGAAGCAATCTGATTATCTAGGTACATAGACATTGCTAGGTTTTAAATTCTCATTCCTTAAATGATTCTTACAAGATTTGCTGGACTTTATAAACTTATATGGCTGGGCCAACTTTGCATAGTACATGTATTCTATAGAAATTAATATGTATGTTGAAATAATTAGACAAATACACAACTCACTGGAGGTTTTTTCCATAAAAGCTATTAAACTGAAAGGAAAGTCAAATTCATGTATAATGGGATTTGCTGAATGTTCATCTCTATGTGGCTCAAGGCTGTGTCAATGTGGGACTAGTAGAAAAGTAATTCTATGTCTATTAGGTGGTTTGCATAAAATCACCAAGTATCATTTTCATAGGGCCCCAATTCACTCTCACCAAGTAATTCTAGAGTTAGGAACCTTTCCAAAGAATTCCTGCAGAGCTATACTGGGATAAAATCTGGCCCTTTGTGAATATAAAATGGAATTTTATTTAAACAGTTGTAGCTCTTTGGGTCTTTTCTGGCTGACTCTAATATTGCTCCTTGTCTATATACTTTGGACACATTTTCACCTCCCCCTAGTAGAGTTTTACTGTTTAATCATCTTCCTCTTACCACCTCCCCCTTCTAGTGAGTTCTGTGTTAGAATGAACAACTATTCCTTAGTGGTCTGTTGATGAATTTCACAGGAAAGTTATCACTAATAATCTCCAACGCATGTCCCTAAATTTGGTACACTGACTGAGTCACTTAATCTTCCTATACCATCATTTTTCCAGCTGTGAAATTTGCTGATAAGTCTTCATGCCTCAAGGTTTTCTACTGCAAAGGTTTCTGCTGCATAGCTTTTCCACCATTTCTTTGTCCAGAGTAAGTAACGACTTTCAAAGTCCACGTGAAAAAGGCTGACTTCAATTATTGTTCCACCTGTGTCACTTCTCTGGCAAACATGGGCCAATAAAAATGCATGTGACCTGCAAAATCTTTAGTAGTATTTTTGCCAAATAATTCTAGTTTATGACTGTGAACTTGAATCAGCTATGCACTGGTCAAATCATCTAATCATCAGACCTAGCCATCAGGATCAGTTTGTGCTTATCCAATAATAGATTATAATTTATTTTTAAAAATATTTTATTTTAAGATTGACACATAATAATTGTACATGTTTATGGGCTACATAGTGATGTTTCAATACATATAATGTATAGTGATCAGATCAAAGTAATTAGCATATTCGTCACCTCAGACATTTATCATTTCTTTGTATTGGGGAATTTGATAGCCTCCTTCTAACTATTTGAAACTATGTAACTGATTATTGGTAACTGTAGTCATCTTACAGTGATATAGGACACTAGAACTTTTTTTCCTATCTAGTTGTAATATTATATATTATATCCTTTAACAAATCTCTCCCCTTCTTCCTCCTTCCCCTACCCTTTCCAGCCTCTACTTTTTACTTCTGTGAGACCAACTTTTTTTTAGCTTCCACATGAGTGAGAATATGCAGTGTTTAACTTTCTGTTCCTGGCTTATTTGACATAACATAAAGTCTTCCAGTTCCATCCATGTTGCTGCAAATGACAGGATTTCATTTTGTATTCCATCGTGTATATGTATATTTTCTTTATCCTTTCATCTGTTGATGGACACCTAGGTTGATTCCATATCTTGGCTATTGTGAATGGTGCTGCAAAAATCATGGGGATGCAAGTGTCTCTTCAATATACTGATTTCCTCTCCTTTGGAGAAATATCCAGTATTGGGATTACTGGATCATGTGGTACCTCTAGTTTTTTTTAAGAACCTCCATACTATTTTTCACAGTGCTGTACTAGTTTTCATTCCCACCAAAAGTGTGTAAGAGTTCCCTTTTCTCGGCATCCTTGCCGGCATGTGTTACTTTTTGTCTTTTTGATAACAGCCATCCTAAGGTGAGATGATACTTCATTGTGGTTTTGATTTGCATTTCCCTGATGATTAGTGATGCTGAGCATTTTAAAATATATTTGTTGGACATTTGTATGTCTTCTTTAGAGAAATGTCTGTTCAGATCATTTGCCCATTTTTAAATTGGATTGTTTTTTGCTGTTGAGATGTTTGAGTTCCTTGTATATTCTAGATATTAACTCCTTGTCTAATTTTTGATTAAAGAAAAAAAGATTTATTTATACAGCCAAAAATAATTATTGGGTATATATGATGTGCCGGGTATGGTGAAGCACGGTGAGTGTTGTTTCTGGCCTTAGAGGTGGGAATGAGTTAACCATGGGATGAGCTTTAGGCTATGAGTAAAGTAATTTCTATGGTTGACAATTGGGCTTATCAGTAATGTCTAAGTAAGGACTCTGTCCTTGTTCCACTCTCTGGTACCAGCTTAAGAAGGCCAGACCATCTTTCTTCCCTACCAACCCCTTGGCCAGAGTAAAGAGCCAAACTCACCTCCCTGGGAGTGAATGGTATCCATGCTAGCCCAAGCATCATCACATCAGCCACGTCACATCAGCTGCGGCAGCCTAGATTCCCAACCTTCCGGAAAACTTAACCTAAAAATTCCCCTCAAGCAATCTGAAAGTCTTTCCTTCCCTTTGCCACCAAATGTCTTGAAACAGGGACCTACTATGCTGCCTACATTTTTTTTAACACCACTTTCTCCCCTCTCAAGTTTATCTTCAATGTTATTCACTGTGGCATCTGATCCCATTGCTTGACTGCTCAAAGCACTTTGCTAGCTCCTATGGGTTCACCATATCAAGTTCAAGTAGTTCAAACTTTTCAATCTGAACTGAGACCATTTCTATCTTTTTAATGAGATGCATTATTAACTAAAAAAATCCTTTATTGAAAATTGAGTATGTGTTGGGCAAGATGCTTATGCTTTCTAAGCATTAACTCACTTTGTCCTCACAACAACATGGTGACACTGATACAATTATTAGCCCAGTTTACAGATGAGCAATAGAAAGCCCAGAAAGGTTTAGTAACTGACCCACCATCAGCTGCCTTAGGGTGGAACTGGAAATCAGGCCTGGATCTGCCTGATTCACTGAAAGCTTTCCATGCCTGCTGCCTCTCATGGCTTCTGGTAAGCCCATCTTACAGTTTCTCTCTCTCATTTCCCATATCAACAGGATAGCCAGTGCAAAAGGACATGCAGTCATCCTGAATATATATCTACATTTTCTGATAATCCTCGGGATGCACAGGGGCCTCCAGACCAAATGGAGGCCAAAATCATGAGGGAACACAACTGAAACACAGAAGAGCAAGCCGCCAACACCTACCCTCACCCACACTCTTGTGACAGGTGGGAGAGATGGCCTGTGTATATTGTGTCCCATTGGCCAAGATCTCCTTTGGATGGGTTAGAGAAAGCATATCTTTGAATTAATTTCAGCAAATGCCAAATACTCAGTAGGCAACCCCCTGCCCTATACACACCACAAGCCACTGACCTCTGCTTCAGTGGGGCTCCACTGCATTCCAGTTTATCAGGACAAGTATTTTGTTTCATAAGCTTAATAGATTGTAAGTACCTTATCTGATTGTCTCTGCACCCCAGCATTGAGCAGCGTCTGAGCATCTGCTCAATAGCTCAGCTCCATTTCCACCTTTCTGAGAAGCCTTCCCTTACACCAACCAGCATGCTATTTCTCATTTTCAAGCAGGAGTAAGAAAACCCTCCTCTGCATTTCCAAAGCACCACATTCATTTCACCAGAAAAACCTGTCACCACTAGTGAGCCCTGGTTATTTCTCCAACTTTACCTTCTTTACTGCCCCCTTGATTTTTCATTTTTTAAACTTTAAATTAATGATTTATAATTGTTTAAATGTATGGGGCACAAAATGATGTGATTTATGCATACAATGTGGTATAATTAAAGCTAGGTAACATATCCATCACTTCAAATACATTTTTTGTGGTGAGAACATTTGAAATTTACTCTCTTAGCAATTTTGAAGTGTACAATACTCTTGTTAACTATATTCACTACACTGTCAATAGAACTCCCTCCCTTCTCTCTATATGTATATATATATGTGTGCGTATAGTTATATACATAAATATTTATATATATATATACATCTATTCCTTCTGTTTGAGATTTTGTTTGCTTTGACCATCAACTACTCATTCTCACCACCCCCTAGCCTCTGTAATCACCATTCTACTCTCTGCTTCTGTGGGTTTGATTGTTTCAGATTCAACACATAAGTGGATCATGTGGTATTAATCTTTCTGTGCCTGTCTTATTTCACTTAGCATCATGGCCTCCAGTTCCATTTATGTTGTCACAAATGACAGGATTTCCTTCTTTTTTGAGGCTGAATAATCCTCCATTGTATAAATATATCGTGTTTTCTTCATCCACTCATTCATTGGTAGACACTTAGATTGATTCATGTCTTGGCTATTGTGAATAGTGCGGCAATGAACATGGGAATGCAAACACCTCTTTGATATACTGATTTGAAATCTTTTGAATAAATACCCAGAAGTGAGATTGATGGATCATATGGTAGTTCTATTTTTAATTTTTTGAGGAACCTTCATACATTTTTCCATAATGGCTGTACTAATTTACATTTCCACCAACAGTATAAAGGGTTCCTTTTCCTCCACATTCTCACCAACATTTGTTATCTTTCATCTTTCGATAATAGCCGTTGGGCAGGTGTGAGGTGAGATCTCACTATGGTTTCGATTTGCATTTCCCTCCTTGCTTTTCCTGCTCCAGCCACATTGGCTTTCCTTCCATTTCTCAGTCATGCAGGTTACCACATCAGGGCTTTGCACTCTCTGGGAACTCTGTTCCCCCGGAGCCACATGGCTCACTCCCTCATTTCCCTCTTAAGAACCACCTCCTCAGAGAGGCTGTCCCCAAACACCCTATCCAACTAGCGCCAACTCCCACCACCACTCTCTAGACCCCTACCCTCTTCAGAGCACTGGCCTACCTACTTAATTTTTCCTTTGTATTTGTCCATATAGCTACTTACAGCGAAAGGAAAGCTCCTTGAGGACAGGGACTTCATCAATTCTCTTTTAGAACAGTCATAAGAGAGTAATAGCAGTAATAAGTAGAGTGTTCTCTTAAAACATCATAAGCACTTAATGCATACCTAGTAAATGAATGAGTGAATTCCTCAAAAGACTCTGAGAGCCTCATCTGCCAGGGTTGTGTCGTACTCATCCTTCAACTGCTAGCATCTAATGTGAGTGCCTAGGACAAGACAGGAGCTTTTTGCCTAACTTATGCTACGAATTAGAGGTGTGTGCAGAGAAGCAACTGACCTTTACTGTCTATGTGATGGGTGCTCTGCTATGTGCCTTCAGGATAATGCTTTATTTTATCCTCATAACTTTATGAAGTAGATGCTATTGCCCCCACTTAAGAAGGAAGGAGACTCAGTGTCACAAATCTGGTGCAATTTGCCCACGGGCACACAGATAGTTAGGGACATGTGTGGGATCTGAAGCCAGTTCTTACATCAATGCCTATATTCTTTCTTCCAGCTTGTTGCCTCTCCAGAGAGCTTAGCTACATTTAAAAAAATGGATATTTGACCCACACAAAATCCTCTAAGGAATGAAGTAAATCGAATTGAAAATATAGAAAATTTTTTTCTAATTAAGCTATTTTACTTTCCCTGATTTTAAAATTTATTTTTCCCCTAAGTCAATGATATTTTCAGATTTCCTTTCAAGAGAAAGTAGGATGGAAGTGATTATGATGATAAACATGACAGTCATTTAAACCAATTGTGAATATAAAATGCTGTATCAAGCACAGCAGTGGTGAAGCTAATGTCATTGTTACTGCTTTCAAATGGGCCACATCTTTTTCAGAAAAATTAATTAACTTGCTCTCACAGCTCTTTTAACTTAACCTTGAGCAGTTGTAAATTTATCTTTTTTAAAAAATGGAAGGGTTTGCAAATATACTCCATTCCTGAGATCTCAAGGAAAGACTTCCGTTTCTTGGAAGAGTGCTGTTGAGGATGTGCCTTTCTGGGTGCAAGACCCAAGCACCAGACAGCGCTCATCTTCAAACTGTGTTTCATGGAGGCTTATTTGGAGAGTCATGGGTATTTTGCAAGAAGAGTGAAGCTTGGACTAGTTTATAAAAGTACTGATTTTTAAATATTTTACATTTTAGTAAGTCTGAAGTCAGTGCCCTTGCCAGATGACATCATCAGCCTGGTGGTTGTGGTCCATGTGCTCCCAGTCAACTAAGGACACATCAGGAGACAACCATTGTGAGAATGGAAATCCAGAGGCAGAGGTTTATGTTCCTTTGACTCAATAATCACCGTGCCTATTGCAGTGTGGTGGTCCTTGGTCCTGTCAATTAAAACCCAATAACATAAAATAAGACTAAAACTCGCCCTCACTTGTTTAAGACTAACTTCTCTTAGCTTTAAATACAACCTGTGTGTCATTGACTCCTCAATGTACATCTCCAGCTAGAACTTCTCACATGGACTCTGCAACCCACCCATCTGCAGCAGCTAGCATCTCCACCTAGAGGGCTTAGAGGCACCTCGAACGTACCATGTCCCTGAGCCCTTAGCTGGCCCTCACCTGTGTGCACCCGCATAGCCCCTGCTGCCATTGGCCCTGTCTCGGCATTGTCACCTCTACTCTTCTAGTGGCTCAAACCAAAAATCCTGGAATCATTCTTGATTCCTCCTTTCTCTCACGTTGCACAAGAGACTATCAGAGATCCTATTGGATTTACCTCAAAACACACCCAGAATTCAGTCCATTCTCACCACCTTCTCTGCTGCCACGCTGGTCCAAGCCACCATCATTGTTCCCTTGCACTCTTAAAATTGTCCCTAACTGGAGCCCCTGCCTCTGCCCTTGTGCCCCCAATATAGTCTGCAAAGTACTTTAAAAAAAAATGGAAGTTCAATCATGATTATACTGTTCCACTGCTCAAGACCCTCCTATGGTCCTCCATATTACTGAGAAGATAAATCAAGAGCTGGTATTACTTTCCTAGGGTTTCTGTACCAAATTACCACAAGCATAGAGGTTTAAAACAACAGAAATTTTACTCTCTCAAAGTTCTAGATGTGAGAAGTCTGGAAGCAAGGTGCGCACAGGCCCACACTCCTTCTGGAAGCTTTGGGGAGAATGTGTTCATTGCCTTTTCCAGCTCCTGGCACTGGCTGGCACTCCTTGGCTTGTGGACACATCTCTCTGTGTTCTGTCTTCTGATTGCCTGCTCTTCTTCATGTCTGACTTATAAGTATACATGTGATTGCCTTTAGGGCTACCTAGATAATCCAGAACAAGCTCTGCCGCCGAAGATGGTTAACTTGGTCATATTTTTGCCATGTAAGAGAGTAATCACAGGTTCCAGGGATTTGGACACAAACATATATTTTGGGGCAACCATCGTTCAACCCATTATAGGGACCTATGTGATCTATCCCCTTCACCTCTCTGGCCTCATCTCCTGCTCCTTTTATCCTTGTTCTCTCCTCTCCATACTCACTGGCCTTCTTGCTGTGCTTTGTGTAGACCAAGCTCATTCCTCCCACGGGGCCTTTGCATGTGCTGTTTCCTCTGCTGGAATGCTGGCTGTCGCCTCCTTCAGGTCTTTACTCAAGAGTTACCTCCTCAGGGAGGTTTTCCCTGGTCACTCTATCTCAAATTTACCTCCTAGCATTTCATTTACCCCTTCCTTGCTTTACTTCTTCTCCTCAACACTTATAGATTTTACCTAATTGTTTGTCTGCCTTCCCCACCAGAATGAAAGCTCCCTGAGGGCAGGGACTTCTGTCTGTCTAATTCACTGATATGTCCACAGCACCTAGACCAGTGCTTGGCACAGAGTCTTTCAGTAAATCTTTATTGAAAGAATAAAGATATTGAGCACTTAACCACTTGCTAGACACTATGCTAAGGGTCTCATATACATGAACTCATAATGATCTTCACAACAATACTAAATGGAGGGCAGGCCCATTTTCCAGAGGAGGAACATGTGGCTTCCAGATTTAGTCACCCAAGATCACATAGCCAGAAAGAAGCCCAGTCAGGATTCAAACCCACACTGTCTGACCCCAAAGCCTGTGTGGGCAATGACTACAAATACTATTGGTATTAGTTTGCCAGGGCTGCCATAACAAAGTACCACAGACTGGGGCCTTAAACACAGAAATGTCCTCATAGTGCTGGAGGCTGGAAATCCAAGATCAAGGTGGCGACAGTGTTGGTTCCTCCTAAGGCCTCTCTCCTGGGTTGTAGATGGCTGTCTTCTCCTGTGTTGTCACATCGTCTTCTGTATGTGTGTGTCTATGTCCTCGTCTCCTCTTCTTACAATGACACTAGTCATATTGGATTAGGGCCTACCCAGATGACATCATTCTACTTTAATTACTTCTTTAAAGACCCTGTCTCCAAATCCTGTCACATTCTGAGATGCTGGGGGCTTGGCTTCAACATATACATTTGGGGGAACCACAGTTCAGTCCATAACACTACTTCTCCATCAGAACAGCAGCCAAAAGAAAGGACTCCCCTATTCTTGAATCCTTCATCCATAGTTCATTTCTCTGCCATCTTTATCTGCAGCGGTTCTTTCTCCTCAGCTAACAATGCATATAACTCTATGCAATGAAAAAAATCCTCCATCATTCTATCCCCTTCAGGTTGGTATCCACGCTCTTCTTCACTTCACTAACAAACTTCAACAGTCTCTCTTAATTTTGTTTCAGTCTCTTAAAATCATCCTTCCTCCCAACATTCAATGGCATTGCTTTTACAACGGTCACAAAGCTCAGGCTTATGGCCTCTTATTTTTTTATTTCTTAGAGACAGGGTCTTGCTCTGTTGCCCAGGCTAGAGTGCAGTGGTGCAATGTAGCCCCGACCTCCCAGACTCAAGTGAACCTCCCACCTTGGCTATGGAGTAGTTAGAACCACAGGCACATGCCATCACACCTGGCTAATTAAAAAAAAAAATTGGTAGAGATGGGGTCCCACTATTGTTGCTCAGGCTGGTCTCAAACTCCTGGATTCAAGAGACCCTCTCACCTCAGCCTCCCTAAGTGCTGGGATTACAGGAATTAGCCACTATTCCTGGCCCTTATGGCTTCTTTACAACTTCTCTTATCTCTTCCTTTCAGCATTGCACACCCTTTACCACACTTCAGGCTTTCAGTCCACAGCTTATCTCTCATAACTATGACTGCTCTTTGGTTGTTAAATGTCGGGAAAGGAGATCAGGAGTGATTTCTAGTTGATGGAGTAAGAATGGAGATGTCTATTTAGGGTTTATTATTTGGGGGTTAGTATTTAATGTTGCCAGATAAGGCCGGGCGCGGTGGCTCACGCCTGTAATCCCAGAACTTTGGGAGGCCGAGGCAGGTGGATCATGAGGTCAGCAGATCCAGACCATCCTGGTTAACACGGTGAAACCCCGTCTTTACTAAAAATACAAAAAATGAGCCGGGCGTGGGGGCGGGCTCCTGTAGTCCCAGCTACTCTGGAGGCTGAGGCAGGAGAATGGCGTGAACCCGGGAGGCAGAGCTTGTAGTGAGCCGAGATCGCGTCACCGTACTCCAGCCTGGGAGACAGAGCGAGACTCCATCTCAAAAAAAAAAAAAGGTGCCAGATAAAATACAGGATGCCATGCAAATATTTGGGACGTAATTACTTGTTTACATGAAATTCAAAGATAATTGAGAGTCATATTTTCATTGGCTAAATCTGGCAACCCTTCTAGTATTCAATTTAGGTGAAAGGTCCCTCCTTGCCCTGCATCTTCAGTAAAGTCTGCTACTCACAGTCAGTGGTAATCTGGGGAGTAAAGGAACCAAGGTAATGTCCTGAAGGGGCAAGGGCTTGAGAAAGGGAGAATGCACACAAGAGATTGCAAATTCAGAGATAGCAGTTGACTAGAAGAGAGGTAAGAGGTGAACACATCATGAAATCCCAAGAGAGCTAGAAAAAGGTATAGTAGATATCCACCTTATAAGAAAAAGAAGCTCAAGCCAACTGATTTCAACATTAAAGGAAACAAGAACTAACACTGTCTGTAATTTGATTTAAAATACCTCAGCATAGAGTGAAATATATGTATATGTTATCCTAGGAGTAACCTATCAGAAGCACAGTTAGCATTTGGAAAACCCTAATTAGGCATATACACTCTGGAAGCAGCTACCACAAGGGCTTTGATGCTGCACTCAGGTCTGTAAACTAAAGGCCAGGCACAGTAGCTCACGCCTGTAATCCCAACACTCTGGGAGGCCAAGGCGCGCAGATCACCTGAGGTCAGGAGTTCAAGACCAGGCTGGCCAATATGGTGAACCCTGTCTCTACTAAAAATACAAAAATTAGCCAGGCATGGTGGCGCATGCCTGTGATCCCCGCTACTTGGGAGGCTGAAACAGGAGAATTGCTTGAACCCGGGAGGTGGAGATTGCAGTGAGCCAAGATCACACCATTGCACTCCAGCCTGGGCAACACAGCGAGACTCCCTCTCAAAATAAAAATAAATCAATAAAAATTTTTAATAAAGAATGTTACAAGAGCCTGGTGTGATGTACACACCTATAGCCTCAGCTATATGGGAGGCTAAGGCAGGAAGATCACTTGAGCCCAGGAGTTCAAGGCCAGCTTGAGCAACATAGGAGGCCTCATCTCAAACAACAACAAAACTGTTATACAAATGTCCTCACTGGGGAAAGGAGTAGTGCTAAATATATAGGAATTGGCTAGAAATGCTGCGCAGGCTCCTTACATGAACAGGTTATTAGATTTGGTGACGCTAAGAACCTAATTCCTTCAAAAGGTCCTGTTTTAATCACCTCCTATGCACCCTGTTGGTGAGAAAGAGATTCTGCTCTGAGGTCATGAGGACAGCTGAACACACAGCTGGACAGGTGAGATTGACAGCAGTTTATTAGTCACATATACTCACAGCCTGGGAGGAGACACTGCATGCCATGCAGGGCTGCACGGAGGTTATACTTGGGAATGCAGTGAACAACCAGGGGCTGTGGGAGGCAGGCTTGTAGTATCAAGAGGGTGAGACGCCCCCCTAGTTCCTGCAGGAGGATGCAATAGGCTTGTCTGAATAATTCCACAGGCTGGCAGGGAATAAAACTAGCTACTCAGAGATAAGCAGAAACTGTTTGTGGTTTCCATGATAAGGAGCTTTGTTTGGCTGGGGGACCTTATCCAAAATAACAGAGGGAGGGGAACTGGTAGTTAGGCCATTTGAGACCCTATGGATTTTATAAGATCCAAGGCAGCACACAATATTGGGTCTTGATTTTAGATCACACGGCCCCATAGGCTTAACGCTCCGTTTGGTCCTGTGTGTCTCTACTTCAAGCAGGATTTATCCCATTAGCCTAGAAGAGAAGCTGGCTGCATTGCTAGTTCATCTGCCTCAAGAAAATGTCATGCAAAATATTGCGGGCAATCTAGGACTTCACCAAACTTACAAGAAAAGACTGGATGAATGTCTTTTGTTGCTAATAAATATGTGTGGCATAATTCCTCTGAGGCTTGCTTTTTCTATTGTAACATACCTCCCAATGGACATAGTTTGTGGGAGGGATCATATGCTTCTCATTCATTTCTAATCCTCAGACTTTTACTCAAACCATTCTGGCAATTATGATGGGCCGACAGGGTCCCTGGTAGTATAGAAGACATGGGGGTTTCCTGGAGGCTGACACTAGTGAAACATAAGCAATACCCCAAATCTGTTTTGAGTACCCTTCTCTTCTCACTCAACACTCACTCTTCAGTGTATCTACTCCGAGAGCCAACGATCATTTCTCTGTGGGTTTTCCTAAATTAATGATCCAGGTCTACTTTGGAGCACCAAATTTACTTTCCTGCCTGTATGGTGGCCATTTCCACATGGAGCCATTAATTCATTAATTCAACCATTTATCAGACATTTATTGGGTAGTAAGTACTCCAGATACAAAAATACGAGAGTCTTGGTGTCTTCATGGAGTTTATGGTTGGATGACGGATGTCATGCAGGCACTTAAAATCAATACATCCAATATAGAACCACAATTTTCTATCCCCAAACCTATTTTCTTGTTTTTCAATTAAAGACATCACCATCCCACCACCTCCTAAAATTTACAACTCCAAAGCCATACTTGTTTCCTCTCTCTCTATCATCCCCACAATTCTTTTTTACCTTTCTGCCCTTGACATGGTTCAGTTACCATTAGCTAGGGAAGAGCATAACAATATAATTGCAATAAAGTTTTGTTGGGTTGAACTGAATTTTATTACAATCCCTAAACCTCTATCCTTACC
Organism: Homo sapiens; assembly: GCF_000001405.40. Lineage (NCBI taxonomy): Eukaryota > Metazoa > Chordata > Mammalia > Primates > Hominidae > Homo > Homo sapiens. Next base: position 96,213,386 of record NC_000008.11, read on the forward strand.
ACCCTAATATTTTATTGTTATCTTTTATAAGATCCCTTTTAACACAAAATATTGTCTACAAAGAACTGTACTTTGCACATCTCTTAATCAAGTTTCCTATTTTTTTGATAAAGTTTCTAAGACTTCAAAAAGTCTGAAAACCCCACTGTCCAGAAGACCAAAACAAACCAACTGACATGGTCTGGTTTTTAAAGGGCAGATCTGAGGTATGGAAAGAAACATCTTTGCTGCTGAGAAAGATGCTGATGGTGCTATTCAGAAAGGGACTCTAAGGATTCCAGTTTTAAACAAACTCTAATAACAAAACACCAGCCAAAGAGAAAGTTGATCCCCTGACGTAAATAGTGCCAGCAATACCACCTTCCTGCCTTCTGCTGACGCTCAATGACGCATCTTCCACCCCACTTGCAGGAGAGCCAATCAGTTCCCTTTGAATGAAATCTTTATTCAAATGTTTAAACACTCCAGGGGGAAGAGAGGGAGAGGACAAGAAAAGTATTTCAGAAACAAATGGGGACCCAAACGCCAAGTTTCTAAGTTTCTGTTCTTGTTACTGCTCAGGTTTTGGCCCTGTGAAGACGTTCTCAATTCCATGTTTTTCGTTAAGCTGGTTTGTTTGGCAAAATCCAATGATAAATACAAAACTCTGAGGTCAGTCTCACCTTACACAGAAAGTTAGAGCTGGGAAGCTCAGCTTTCTGTGGTCGAGAAACTTTGGAAGCCACCAATCTGCTGTTGACAACGGGAGGCAAAGATATGGGCCAGATAATTTTTTCTTTACAAATGTACGAATCTAGGACTTTCCCCCTTAAAAATCCAACACACAAGTAAACCTTTGTTGATGGTTCGTTCACTGCCAGTGGTTAGGTAGGCGTGGGGAAGGCAGGGTGGATGTTAGGAGAGAATGAACACATGCAGTCCATACATACCCCGAGGTCTGTTCTCTAGTTATTAATAAGCAACAAAACAGACCCTTGCCTCTTTCCCCTATTCCTCTCACTCTCAGCTACTTGTAGGTAGTCACGCTCCTGAAGGGTCAAGACTTTGAGGGGAAATGGGAAGGAGCAGGGCTTTTTCATTTGTCAGACCAGCTGGTTGGTCTAGAACAGTTGATACTGACTTCTTGGGACCCTGACCCACTTTCCTCGCGTTGCCCTCCAGGTCACATTTCCCTGCGGCGCCTCTTCTCCAAATCAGTAAAATAAGCCCCTTTTCTATTCCAGCCACTGTCAGTTCATGTAGAAATGAACAAGTCTAAATGTGAAAAGAAGCCTGTTCCAGTACTGGACATCTGAAGGTCAGGGTTTAGTTGTGTGTTACAACCTGTGAAATCATAATAAGCAACGCATATTATGATTATAAGCAAAGTAAGTGCCATGCACTGCTCTGCTCACTTACCTACCTAATCACAATAAACTTAGGAAATAGGCCAGGTGCTGTGGCTCACGCCTGTAATCCCAGCACTTTGGGAGACCAAGGCAGGAGGATCACTTGAGGTAGAGAGCTTGAGACCAGCCTGAAGAATACGGAGAAACCCTGTCTCTACTAAAAATACAAAAATTAGCCAGGCATGACGGTGGGTGCCTGTGGTCCCAGCTATTCGGGTGGCTGAGGGAGGAGAATTGCTTGAACCCAGGAGGTGGAGGTTACAGTGAGTCGAGATCACACCACTGCACTCCAGCTTGGGTAACAGAACAACACTCCATCTCAATAATCATCATCATCATCTTAGGAAATAAGTAATATTATCATAATCCCCATTTTTATAGATGAGGGGACAGAGACACAGAGAGGCTAAGCAACCAGTCTAAGGTCACACAGCTTATAAACAGCAGAGCTGGGATTTGAACCCAGACAGTCTGAATTCAGAGCCCCTTAACTACCCCCCAACCCCAGACCCAGTCTGTCCTCTAAGCAAAGGTGTGAGACTAATGGCTAAGTGGCCTGGGGAACATGCCCACCCCCATTCCCATGGTTGGAGAGCAGCAAGTGAAGGCTGCTTGGAAGAGCAGAGAGAACCACATAGGGAGAGAACAGCAGCTGCACTGGCTCCTTGGACTGGGTCCTGCCAAAAATACAGATCTCACCGCGCTGACCTAGGCACAGGGTCCATAGCTGCCAGCATGCCTGCCAACCAGCCGATCAGAGAGGCCTGATACATGCCTTAACATGGCATTGGCATGGATGGGTGCTCACCCTGATGAGAAAGAAGGAAAATGCATAGTGCCCTCAAATGTGGATGAGACTGAGGTGCAAATGCTGGACATAATATGTATATATCCAACCAGTGACCCACCAAAGGCATGTAGCTTGAATCTAGTTTGAGGACTAGAAAATTACCAGCCTCATAATCATAACACAGCCAAAAAAAGATCTATTAGATGCCATATTAGTTAGGTCAGGTTGCTATAACAAAATACCACAGGCTGGGCTGCTTAAACAACAAATGTTTATTTATCATTGTTCTGGAGGCTAAGTTCCAAATCAAGGTGCCAACAGATCTGGTGTCTAGTGAGCACGTTCTTCCTGGTTTGTAGACAGCCACCTTTTCATAATGTCACATGCCAAACAGGAGATACAGAGGACGCAAGCTCTCTTTTGTCTCTTCTTATAAGGCACTAATTCCATCATGAGGGCACATGACCTAATTCCCTCCCAAAGACCTAAACTTCAAATACCATTATATTGGGAATTAGGGGTTTCAACATATACATTTAGGAGTTGGTGGCAGGACAAAAACATTCAGTTCATAGCAGATATCATTCTTTGAGGCTTCACCAGCACCCAAAAATTTATGCGCGTGCACACACACACACACACACACACACACACACGAGATTGAGAGAGAGAGAGAGAGAGAGAGAGAGAGAGACTGCACAATCCTGGACCAAGTCCAGAGAGTGCTCATCCTCACTGCTAAGCACCTCTACTCAACCTTCACACAGACAGAATGTCTAATTAATTCTTCTCTCCCACACCTTGTTCTCAAAAGGCTAATTTATTGTCACTGTGTCACAAGGGTAGACAGTTTATCTACTTTATTCACCACTGTATCCCCAATGTTCCATTGCCTGAAATACAGAATTACTCAGCCAGGATTGTTTAATTCAATTACTCAGACAATCCCATTTCTTCATGTATCAGGGTCTGTCTATATCTTCCTCCTGAAATGTCCAGTGTGTCCAAACTTCACAAAGTGTCTCTGGATTATGATGAGACTGAGCTACCTCTGTCAACTCACAGCAGAGATGGCTCCAATTTGTAATTACTGCTGGCATTTTCACAGTTGAAAGACAGTAAAGATTCCAGAGTAAAAATAAGTTCAGGTTAGGATTCATGTAAAGATTTTCTAAGCGATCAGAAAGAAATGTAAAAATACTATATTTCTGTTTTTGCTTAACTCAGGCACAATGCCTAAACTTCAAAGACAAACTTGTTTGTCAAACGAAAGAATTTCTTCAGATATTTAAACAACTGCCTTCACCAACCCCTCTACTCTCAAATCCCTATCTTAAATCTCTGAACCAAAGTCCACCGAGCCTTTTCTCCTAGAACAATTGAGCTGTGAAATTGAGATTATAAATTCAATCAAGCCCCAAAGCCGAGTTCCAAGTTGAAGTGTTAAGGTCTAATGTTGATATTTTGCTTTTTAAGTCAACCAAGTTATAATTTGAAACAGTTGTTCATTGGCAAATCAGTTTTTCTTACTTTTTCATGATCTTCAGATAACAATCTCAACAATTAAAGGCTTAAAATATGGGTCAGTCAGCTAAGCAATGTATTTAGGACTCAATATTCAAGTTAGCTAGCTAACAAAATCTTATATCAAAATTTCAATGTCGGTTGAAAAAAAAGCAATTTAGGGAGAAAAAAGAAAGACAAACCAGTGACCAGCCCCAAAGTGACTATTTCTTTTTTTGGACCACCTATTCATGATCACCTTGTGCTGCAAATATTTGAGTAAGAGACATAAGGTGCCCTCTAACCCCAGAAGCGAGTTGCAGCAAATGGTTCAGCATGTTCTTCGCCTTCTCAACCAATTTTCCACTAGGAAGTTCTCCCACTAATGAAAGATATCTGATGTGTTGCTTTTATACCAAGTTTTGATCACCAAGTTACTGAGTCAATTTCCTAATTAAAGGCATTAAGATTTGACCCTTGCTCTGGAGGGCAATGTAGGACTTCTTGCCGTCAACAAACTGCTCCCAGGTCTTCCAAAATGGGACAATAAAAGCCACTTTTCAATAGTTAAGTATTTAAAATCATTTAAATGGTAGCAAAGCCCGCAATGCTGGCAAACTTATTTGTGAGGGTTCTGACACAGATTCAATCCAAAATGCATATTAAAGAATGAGAGAATTCCAAGATATAAGTTAGGATAGTGCTTTCCAGCAAGATGCATGCTATTAAGAAGTAAGAAGGAGGTGGAGAAATGAAAAGCAGAGAAACTGAAGAATCATCAAATATCTTAGTTATGAAAAACTGAAGAGAAATGGGGCATTCCAGTTGAGGAAGGTTTGGAGTCTGATTTTCAATATAGGAAACATGTACATGTTTGGAGTTATACTATGTTGGTAATCCTTGGCCGGGGCATTCAGATGATTCTCACGTTTTTTGTGTTTGCTTGTTTGCATACTGATATGGTTTGGCTGTGTTCCCACCCAAATCTCATCTTGAATTCCCACGTATTGTTGGGGGGACCCAGTGGGAGGTAATTGAATCATGGGGTCTTTCCTGTGCTGTTCTCGTGATAGTGAGTAAGTCTCATGAGATCTGATGGTTTAGAAAATACATGAGTCTCCCTGCACAAGCTCCCTTCTCTTGTCTGCCACCATGTGAGACAAGCCTTTCACTTTCCACCATGGTTGTGAGGTCTCCCCAGCCACACAGAAATTTAAATCCAATAAATCTCTTTCTTTTGTAAATTTTCCAGTCTCAAGTAAGTCTTTATCAGCAGCGTGAAAACAGACTAATATACATGCTGAATCAGAATTTCTAGGGTAGGGCCTGGGTGTGTGTCGTACATTAGAACCACTGCAGGTTAAGAATTAAGAACAACATTGTACCACGTATGTATTTTTTCTCCTTGATTTTCTTCTTATATCACAAATTAATTTTTCCAATACCATTAATTTTAAAAAAGAACACATTCTGATTATAAAAACAAATCACTGAAAATTTGGAAAATGTGAAAAAGCATACATAAAAAGCTTACCATCATTTCTAATTTCAGTAATCAGAAATACCCTTTTAGTCTATGGAGTTTCAATCTGGATAGATTTCAAAAGATCTGTGGCACAAACCTCTAAAAATTTATGGAAAACTACTGCTTAGTCTTTTTTTTTTCCAAACCCATACGTGGTTTTTTGTAATACTGGTATTGTATATTTTGTTTTGAAACTGCTTTTTTATTCAGTTAACAAGAATACATGCACATTTGTCCATATCCTTAAGTACCCTTTGAGAATATCACTTTTACAGGGTGAATAACATTCCACCAGCCATCTTCCCACGGTTGAACAGTAACTCTAACTATGCTTGAACAGTAACTTGAACTATAAATAATGCTGTCATAAACATCCTTGTACATAAATCTCTGCATTTTTATATACACCTTTTACATTCTGAGATGTGAAATTACTTACTGGGTTAAATGGTATGTCTTTTTAAAGACAGCATCTGCTGCCAAATTGCTTTTGAGAAAGATCATCTCAATCTGCACACTGACCCGGAATGTATTAAAGTGTAAAGGAATCTATTTTTTTTTTGTTTGTTTGTATGGTCTTTTTTTTTTTCAGGCAGATTCTGAACCTGCGAGTATGTTAACCTACATGGAAAAAGGGACTGTGCAGATGTGATGCAGTCAAGGACCTTGAGATGGGGAGATTATCCTAAATTATTCACGTGGGCCAATGTAATTCTGCTCTGTCGCCCAGGCTGGAGTGCAGTGGTGAGATCTCAGCTCACTGCAACCTCCGCCTACCGGGTTCAAGCGATTCTCCTGCCTCAGCCTCCCGAGTAGTTGGGATTACAGGCATGTGCCACCACGCCCTGCTAATTTTTCTATTTTTAGTAGAGATGGGGTTTCGCCATGTTGGCCAGGCTTTTATCAAACTCCTGACCTTAGGTGATCTGCCCGTCTCAGCCTCCCAAAGTGCTGGGGTTACAGTCATGAACCACTGCTCCCAGCCTGTTCGTATGTTCTTGAAATGCATTGTGTAGCTTTGATTTCTTTTCAGATCTCTTGTATTAGCAAAGTTTTTTGGAAAATGACAACCTGATAAAGGGCCCAAGCGTCCTTAAATGAGTTACCTGAAGAAAGACAAAAGAACTCACCTGAGTTACTCTAAAACCCTTCATCAGTCCCAGCCCAGGCATCTCCTGCTCCACGAGGACCCCCCAATTATCCATTCCTTCCTGTGGTGTCTAGGTGTTAGATGTGTCCACATCAGAACTCCGCATCTGAACATGCTGCCTCCTGGGTGGAGGGAAGGAACCCTTCATAGTGTGAGTCCTGGTGGAAGGTAAACCCCTCCATCCTGTTACCAGAGCATCAGAAACTATATGCCTTCTCCTGATAGCTGGCCCAGTATTCCTGAACCAGGCTTCACCAACTATATGTTCCAACTCAGGAACTTTGTCTTGCAGGAATCACACAGGCACAAGGATAGCTGAGAAATGACTCATGGCAGCAGCAGGGGCTTGCAGCTGCAGTGGCCAATGCAATGCTTCAGGTCCTGGGCAGGACCTCGGCTATGTACTTGAGGCTATCCATACCTCTCTTGCATTTTTCTTTCTTGCCCTCTGTCTGAATAACAACCTCCCCAAAGATATTCCTATCCTCCTCCCTGGAACCTGTATGTTAACCCACATGGCAAAAGGAACTGTGCAGATGTGATACAGTTAAGGACCTTGAGATGGGGAGATTATCCTAAATTCTCCAAGTGGGCCAGTGTAATTCCAAGAGCTTTTATAAGAGGGAGGCAGGAGGGTCACAGATAGGCAACGGCCATGTAGCAATGGAAGTAGAGATTGATGTGGACATCAGCCAAGGAATGCTGGAAGCCTCTAGAAACTCAGAGATTCCAGGAACTGATTCTTCCTCAGAGGAGCCAGCCCTCACAACTCTTTGATTTTATCCCCATAAGGCTCATTTTGGACTTCTGACCTCCAGAACTGTAAGATAATAAATTTATGTTGCTTTAAGCTACTAAGTCTCTTCATTTGTTACAGCAGCAATAGAAAACTAACACACCTTCTCACTGATTCCATGATATTCTCTCAATACAAATTTCTGCTGAATTAAACCACAGTCCATTTCAGTTGCTTATTACCAACTGAATGTTACCTACCTCTAGCCTACACCCCAGCGTTGGTTGGGTACCCATCTTCTATGCTCCCATGCCACCTCCTGCTTCCTGTGAAGGAGCCTCTCTCTCCCTGAGTTGTGATTGTCTGCTTACTGGGCTATCACCCCTCCAGACTGTACTCAGTAAGAACAAGGACTGAATGTGATTCATCTTTCCATGCCAACACCTAACACATTGTATGAATAAATATTAGTTGCATGAACAAATTAAAACTTATTTGTATATAAATGTGCAAAAAAGGTGGAAGTGGCTTAAGAAAAAAACTTTCTGAGTAGATAAACATTCATACTAGGCTCCTTTTCTTTAGACAATGGAAATTATTAAAAAATCATATACTTCTCTAAAAGGAAAATTCTGTTCAGATTTATGATAGAACTGTAAAAAGCTGAGTAAACTTACAATATGTTAGCTAAATCACTTGGACAGAACTGAAAGCAGAGTCAATGTAATCAACATATGATAGTATTAAAACCTAATGAGAAATTAAATGTCCGTTTGAGTAATGCTGGGTGTGTCTATGTTTCTCACACTTCAATGTTATTGTAGGACACTCCAGTGGCTGGTTGCAAAATCTTGATGGTCTGCTAAACCTGGCTTTATCCAGGCTGATGTAGAACACGCATTTGAGACATTTGAACTTAGGAGATCTCTCTCCCTTGCATGACAGGGATTTTCTCCCCTCCCTACCAACCATGTTTCCTGTCTAAATTTTTTAAGCCTTTGGATTCTATCCTACCAAAATTCAAAAGCACAAGTGCACAAGGATATTCACTGCAGCTTTGTTTGTAATAACATTCGATTGGAAGCAACCCAAATGTCAATCAACAGGCAAGTAGTTGAATAAATTGTGGTACATCCATAATCCGGAGTTGTATGCATTTCTTAAAAAGAATGAGGTAGTTTATACATACTACTTGCCTTATAATCATATTTCACTGTTAAAAACCCTCCAGGGCCTACAGTTGCATTTGAGTAAAATTTAAACTCCTTCTTCTGGTCTAAAATGCCCTCCATGGGGTGGCTGTGCCTACCTTTCTGACCCGAGGGTTGGCACTCTTCCTTCTCCATTTGGATTCAGCACAGTGGCCTTCTCTGTCAACTCCTTCTCAGCCACCCCCAGCTCATTCCTACCACAGGCCCTTTGCACTCACTGTCCTCTTTGCCAAGAATGTTCTTTTCTAGATCAATGTTTATCAGCTTCAATTACACATTAGGACCATCTGCATCCCAGGCTGCTTCCCAAACCAATTAATGTGGAAACTCTGGCGGTCAGACCCAGGCATCAGGTTATTTGGGGTTTGTTTGCTTGTTTGTTTTGAAGCTTCCCAGGTGATTCTCTGCACAGCCCACCTAAAGAACCAGGGCTTCCTGCGGTGGCTCCTCTCCAACGTTCAAATGTCATCTCCTCAGAGACAGCATGATCACTCTACTTTCACAACTAAAGATTTCATTTAAGAAATAGAGTTTAGAAAGAAAAGTATAAACAAAAGATGAGTACAAAATGGAATTGAGTTTGTAAAAATAAAGGTAAGTGTGGGACAGCATTGTTGAAAAGACAAAATAAAAAATAAAATAACCTGATTAAAGCATGGGCAAAGGACCTGAATAGACATCTTCCTAAAGAAGACATGAAAATGGCCAAAAGGTACGTGAAAAGGTGCTCATTATCACTAATCATCAGGGAAATGCAAATTAAAACCACAAAGAAATATCCTTTTACACCTATGAGGGTAACTACTATGAAAATGACAGGAGATAACAAGTGTTGGTGAGGGTGTAGAGAAAAGACAGTGCTTGTGCACTGTTGGTGGGAATGTAGATTCATGCAGCCATTATGGAAAACAGTATGGACATTCTTCAAAAAATTAAAAGTAGAACTACCATGCAATCCAGCAATCCCAGTTCTGGATATATACCTCCAAAAAATGAAACCACCATCTCAGAAGGCATCTGTGCCCACATGTTCGATGCAGCATTATTCACAATAGTAAAGACATGGAAACAACCAGTGTCTGCCAACAGATGAATGAAAAAATTGTCACACACACACACACACACACACACACACACACACACACACAATGGTATGTTATTAAGCCTTAAAAAATAATAAGATACTGCCATTTGTGACAACATGGATGACCTGGAAGACATTATGCTAACTGAAATAAGCCAGACACAGAAAGAGAAATACTGCATGATCTTATTTATTTGTGCAATCTAAAACATGTCAAATACATAGAAACAGAGAAGAATGGTGGTTTCCAGAGTGGGAAGGATCAGGAAATGGGGAGAGGTAGGTCAAAGGATACACAAACTTGCAATTATACAAGATGAACAGGTCTAGAGATTTCATGTACAGCATGGTGACTATAATTATATTGTACACTAAAAATTTGCTGAAAGTGTAGATTTTAGGTGCTCACCAGACACACATACACAAAGTACTATCGTGGTAATGGATATTTTAATTTGCTTGCCTGTAGTAATCATTTCACTATGTATATTTGTATCAAAACATCATGCTGTACACCTTAAATAAAAAAGAAAAGACAACATAGCAATTTCAAGGAAGACAGAATTTAACTTTCCATTTGCTCACTTGCAAAGTGTGATCTTGTACCCGTTACCTAACATGTCTGAGCCTCTATGAAAAGAGGATAATTGTGCTCACCTTGGAAAAATTTTCAAGGAATAAATGAAACCTGAAATGGCCCACAGTGAACACTAGGTAAATAGTATTTATTATTGTTAAATAGTAAATGATTGGTTGAAGTAGTAAGTGCTTTACAAAGTCAAAGAAAATAGAAATGTCAAGTGCCTGGGGTTGACAAAGAGCTTCTCTCAGTAGGCAGAATTTAATTTTTGTCTTAAAGTAAAGCTAGAATTTAGACAGAGTATGGTGAGGATTGCAAGTGCCATTGCAGGGGACTGAGAATAGAAGGAAAAAAGGTTAGAGGTAGAATTTTGCAGAATGTGTTTGGGGAAGAGGGAGTTAAAACAGGAGGAAAGAGAACACAATGTTTTCAGAATGGACAAACCTTCTGTTTTCTATCATATGGCATCTTTTTAGCACTGGCATTTACCTGCATTAAATTGTGTAGAAGAGTAAGTCTCTGATTGGAAGCAGATCTATCATGGGTAGAGGCAGACAGGTGGGGGTGGTAGAAGCCAGGCTTTGGAAGGCCACTCCCTTCAACTGGAACTAGTGTGGTCTCCTGGAGTCTGACTCTGGGGCATGAGTTAGCTTACCTCAAAGAAGCAAGCTTTGGTTTTCCAGGAACTGACCACAAACCAGTTCCAAGTAGCAGCACTTGGTGCTCTCATGGGGCAACCTAGCCATTCTCAAGGGCAGCCCAGTTCTGTGTGAGTCAGAGTCCTGGCAGGAAAGTGTGGCACACCCAATCAGGCAAACCAAAGAATGTCCAATGAAGGGACAATTAACAAACGGCAGGCAAGGTCAAGGAGAACCAACTTTGATAGAGATAGCAGAGTGGGGAGGGATGGAAGGGAGAGCTGTAGGAATCTTGAGAGGGGCTGCCTGACAGGAGCTGTAGCTTTCTTCAGAGGAACGTGGGCTGGGGAATAAATATCTCTGTCTCTCTCATCTGCCCTCTCTTGCAGGTGGCCACCCTCCCCACACTGGCTGGCCAAGCCCAAGCCAGAAGCCAGAAGGCAAAAGTGTCTATTTGTGCAGTCTTTACATCAATTTATCTCTCCTGGGGTACAGAGCTGAATCCAGAAGGGACAAGAGTAGATTTAGAATATGCAGCACAGCCAACGTCTCACAGAATGAGAAGCCACAGAAGGGGCTGATTACCAGGCTGCATCACCCTCAACAGACCCGTGTTTGTGGAGCCCCTCCGGACCTCTCTCTTTTACCCTTCCTCACATCCACCTCTTACACATCTAACTGATATCCAGTCAGGCCAACTGGACTTCTTAGTATCTCTCAAAAATATACTCTGCTCACACCATATCCCTAAACTCCAGAGGGATTGAAGATTTATGGTTTTGTTTCTTATACCTAAAAGTACTGGATGAAACCTTGCTGGATATTTATGAAAACTTGGAGTAAAGAGAGGACTTCTCAAAGCATGACCTCAGAGGCAAAACCACAGAGGAGAGGACTGAGAGTTTGTACTACATAAAAATCAGAAACTTCCATTTGACAAAACCCACCATGAACAAAGTTGAAAAGGCATCCAAAAAACCTCAAATAAAATTCAAACGATGAAATAAAAATATCATTTCAGCAAATGTAAGTAAAAGGGGTACTATCTAAACATATAAAGGTCTCATACAAATAGATAAGAACTGACCCAGGTTTGGGAAGGGGGAAGAGGGAGCTAAGAGGAAAACTAAACAAATAAGGAAAAGGCTGTGAAAATTAAAAATAGGCCCATAGGTGAAGGACATGAACAAGATTGATGAAAGAGAAATAACAACTTGATAATAGCATATGGAAAAACGTCTAGCTACTCAATCCAAGAAATGCAAGTTTAAACAAGAAACTCTCCAACCAAATTCACAAAGATTGCTTTTAATGAGAGCACTCAGTGCAGGCAGGAATGCAATAAAGGGACCCTCGTGATTGCTTAGATGAATATAAATTATTATAAACTTTTGAAAAGCAAATTGGAAGTCCAGTATTGAAAAACTTCAAATATTCATCCCCTTTGCCCCAACATTTTCACTTCCCAGAATCTATCCAAACACTCTGCTGCTCACAGGATGAAGTCCAGGCATCTCAATATGGCGTACACCTTTCAGGTTGCATCTCCCATGTCTCTCCAGCTGATATTTGCCACTCCATCAGTGCAAAACTGCCTGTCCTTCCCTAGACATACATCCTGCACTTCCATGCCTTTGAGCATTTCCTGCTCATTTTCTTCTGCTTGGAAAGCCCTTCACCATCTTCTTGGCTTAGCTAACTTTGCTTACTGTTCTGGAATCAGCCACATTATCAGAGGCCCTGATTCCCATCCAGGTTTAGTTAGTTTACCTTCTCCATGTTTCCATAGTACCCAGTACATATTTTTTGTGGACAATTCACACAGTATGTACATCTATGTTTACATATTCATGCATCTGATTACATACCTGTCTCTACCATCTTGGTTTTTCTCTGTATTCCCTACACTGGTGGTTTTTAGCTGGGAGCAATTCTGCTCCCCCAGGGGAACATTTCCAGACAATGTCTCAAAACATTTTTGGTTGTTACAGTTGGAGGCAGGAGGCGCTACTGGTACCTATCGTGTAGAAGCCAGGATGCTGCTAAATATCCTGTAACACACAGAGGAGGCCCCCACAACAAAGAATTATCTAGCCCCAGATTTCAACAGTGACGAGGCTGCTATATTCTTCCTAGCTTCTGCCTAGCCTGGAACATAAACACATACATCAATTTAAAAAATCCAGAAAATTATGTAATGAACAAGCATAAAATGGACTTTCGAAGCCTAATTTCTTCTTCCATACAATGGGCATTATAATAGCCATGCCAGAAGGTTGCAGGGAGGATTAAAAGAGACAACATACGAACAGTGCCTAGTACAAAGCTAGTATTCCATCAGTATTAGTTCATCCCAACAATAAAGAGCGTAAGTTAAATCACAGACCCAGAATGTTTTGGTACTGAAATGAAAAAGACTTTTTAGTCAAAGCCCTTCATTTTCTAGCTGAGGAAGCCAATCTTTAGACTAATGACTTGCCTAAATCATTGGCCTCAGATCAGTGTTTCCAGTTTAATGGCAAACCACATTTTAAATGCATGCATAAGAGAAAAATTGTAAGCTGACTCCTTTGTAAAACAAATAATTATCTTTTTTTGGTTTGGCTTGTGAATACAATTGTCACAGATATGTATACAATTTTCTTAAAATATTTAGAATACTAACAGAACAATTATTCAACTGGATAATGTTACCAGAAGTTTTCAGGGGTTTATTTTAAAATTACATTTTTACATTTATGCAAAAATAGGCACATGTATTCAAACAAAAAGTTCAATAAATAATACACTCTTTCTTTGTAGGAGATATAATCAGAATCCAGAATGACAATTTAAATAGTTTATCATAAGCCTCTGGAATATTAACAGGCTTTCTGACATCTATGCTAAAAATTAACCACCGTATAATGATTCAGTTCTTCTTTCTTGCTCAATTGCTAATACAATAAAATTTCTTAGCAAAATATAACTTAGAGGCACTATCCGACCTGAGATCTCAGATTCTAACATGTTATGGCTTTTAATATGAACGCCAGTATAACCAGAATGTAAACAAATTATGGCATATAAATTAAAACATTTAAAATATTTTAACATCTATAGACTTTATTAGGTGTTCCTTATACAGTCATCTGGTATGTTTAAAGAGTGAGCAATCATATAAAAGGAAATATGGTCATAACTGATTGAAGTAATAAAATCCTGAAACTAAATAACATCTCATAATTCATTGCACAACATATATTAGATTTCATTACATCAGTATATAGCTTAGTAGTAAATTCTCCTGATGGCCATAAACCTCTAAGGTGTTGTCATCCTGAAAAATGAAGGAGGGGAGGGAGTTGGTGGGGCGCAGAATGGAGAAATCTTCCATAGTGCTCGTGTGATGTACACTAAGTTGTAAAGTTATAGGGCATCGCCACCTAGTGGCAGAATTTCATGCCTTGTTCTAATAAAGGGATTTTCCTTGTTTTCCAAAGAGCAACCTGTCTTACTCACTTTCTAACCATCCCTCTCTGATACTGTCCCTCCTAAAATCCATGCTTCCTCCCATACACCATAAACCCATCTGCTCTTCATCCATCAAGCTGTCAAGGATTTGGTTATGACAATCTTCATGTTCACCTAACTTTTTAATTCCAAGTAGTTTGGTTATTTTCAAAGCTACACACAGGATGCCCATATTTTTAAAACTCCATCCTATTTGTGAAGGATTATTACTTTGGGCTTTGGCCCAGTTTTTATTCTTACTGCTGAATCTTTTCATAAGTCAAAATTAGTGCAGAGTTAATGCTTGAAAAGGGAGTCCTTAAAGTAAATAACTAAATGAAATCACTACCAAAATGTACACTTTGGATTTATTAAGATTCTAGAATTTAAAAACAGGAAAAGGTGCCATTAGTAAAAACTCCATCACTAACATTTTGGTACCACTCGTAGAGCGTCACATAAATATTCAGACCATGATAACTCAGTGCAGGAATGTTATCAAATATTTCCATGCAATCTGGAACTAGGACCACAGCTGGCAATTGGGGGTCTGAAGGCCCGACATCCCTTACGCTGCTTCCTACATCTTGACAACAGGAAGGCCAAGTGATACTAGGTAGTGCACTACAACAGTGAACATAAGCCAGCCATCTGTTTTTTTGCAAAGTATAGTAAAACAAACAAACAGAACATAGACCACTTCAGAGTAAACAAACATAACTTTCTTCAAGATGTAGGAAAACTGTATATTCAAAACCAATCTCAAACTTTAAACAACAAAAGATATCAAACATTTTAAACTGTACAAAGCAAATTAGCAGGATTTGAATATTGGCAGTTTTAAAATGTCACCCATCCAAAACACAAAACAGGGAGATAGCCAAGTCTTAGCTCCATCCTAATCAAAGCTGTCATGCAGATCCAGTTCCACTCTTCTCATCTCCAGCAGGTACTTCACTCAAGGAGGTGACACCCAAGGGGAGTAGATGAACCAGAAACAAGAGTGCCACATAGAAGGAAGAGAGGAGACCTTGGACCTTAGCTACTGGTTAGCTATTCGACATTGATGATATTCAGCGTTTTCCCAAGTTATTCTTTCTCGCTTCTCAGCACATAATTTACATTATGCATACTATATGCCAGAAACTGTTAGTGCTTGACATGCAGTCAGTTAATTTTCACAACTGGGTGAAGTAGGTTTCTATCATTAGCTCTATCTTAGGGACAAACAAACTGAAGCACGGAGAGGTTAAATTGTATTCCTAAAGCACTACACAGTGAGCAAATAGATTCAGACCTGTGCAGTCTAACCCAGAATTAGCTCTGAATCACTCTACCATTCGGTCTACAGGACAATGTAGACCAGACTACAGGACAATGTAGATTTGGTCTACAGGACAATGCAGAGTGCCTGTGTTTCAGGCACTCTCATGGTGATTTTCCACACAGGACGGCTTTTGATAATAGAAAGGCCCTCTCTTTCAAATGAAAGGACTTCACTGATGGATTAACAAATTCTCACCCATTCACCTGTGTGAGCCAAATACTAGATCTACTTTCTTAGTCTTCATAACAAGCAGGACGATAACCATAATTTATAATGAACACAAAACATTGATCTAGTGTTCAAAGAACTTTTGCACACTTGTTCTCATTTAGAAGAATGAAGTAATCTGGAAACATAGAATAGGCATACACTTTGGCTTTAGGAAGAACTCTTACAAAATCAGAGGTTGCCTTATGTAATACCACACTTTACCTTGAGCAGGTGGATAGCCTGGGGGTTCCTGTTATACCTCAGTCTTGGTCAGTTCTATTTGTTCCCCTGTCCTTCAGCAGTGCCCTTAGGCTTGCTTTAAACATTAACAGCATTCATAAGCATGGTTTCTAGGGTCAGAGCCCAGCCTCCCTCCACCCACCCGGCTCCCTACACACCTTGACAGTGCTCTTTGAGATGCCTCAGTTGTAGTCTCCTTGTAATTGTGCACAGTAGACGTCTGAACGAATAGACCAGAGTCCTGCAAACGTGATCTTGAAATCACTATTAAAAGAGCCTTTGCAGAGATCTACTCAGGAAAATTTTCTGAATAGACAAATGCTTTTAAAGGGGGTTCTAGACAGCCCATCTTCTTGGCCTCCTTCTGCAAAGTAGGACTACATTAAAACCTTGTCACAATGTGACCTGAGCAAAACCATTATCAAGTGATCTAGTTGTCTTCAACCATACAAAAGAAAATTGACATGATTTCAGGATAGGTTTAGAAAAATAACGACCAGCGAAAGGAAAAAAAAAAGCGGGGGAGGGGGTTCCTAGAGAATTTAAGAGGCTAATATTTTAGCAAAAATTTAAAGATGCTCTTTATGATACACACATTTCTCATTGCTTTACAAACTTTAAATGTAACACAAATTCGTTTTTCACACTGTTTTGTTATTTGAGGTAAGGCATTCCTGCCACACACAGCAATGACTTGTCCTGGAAAACCAGGGAGGCTGCAGGTCCTACTGTTCCTTCTCTACTAGCTGTGGCTCCACACTCTCACCTCTACCAAAGAAAGCATTTCAGAATTTAGGAGTGGAAATGATGACAACATTGAATAATCCTAATTTTTTTTTTGAGACAGTCAATGTCGCTCAGGCTGAAGTGCAGTGGTGTGATCTAGGCTCACTGCAACCTCCACCTCCTGGGGTCAAGCAATTCTCCTCCCTCAGCCTCCCGAGTAGCTGGGATTACAGGTGCCTACCATCACGCCTAGCTAATTTTTTGTATTTTTAGTAGAGACAGGGTTTCACCATGTTGGCCAGGCTGGTCTCAAATTCCTGACTTCAGGTGACCCGCCCGCCTCGGCCTCCCAAAGTGCTGGGATTACAGGCATGAGCCACCATGCCTTGCCAATGATTCTAATTTATATTTTTAAAAATTACCCTATAATCTTAAAACTTTTAACTGACTAGTATCCAACCCTTAAACTTCATAACAATCATTTCCAAAGTGGAAAAGTCACTGGGATATGGGGACAGTATGATTTGTCTTTATACTTTTATTTTTCTAACATCTTTTTGTTTTCTAGTATACATGTTAGCACAGGAGTATGTATATTACTTAAGTATGCCTATGTTGGGGTGCAGACATAATTTCTTTTTAAATGATAGGATGCAAAATCAAATCTGTTTGCATACCAGTGAAGAGGCTATTTCTCAATCTTGGCAAACTAGGGGGTGCATACCCCCTTCTTTTATTCAGTAGCTTCCATAAGGATGTAACTTACGGAAGTTATATCCTTCCATAAACTGATAGGCTATCCAACCAGTGAGGAAAACTGATAAAGTGGCTTCTGAGCTCCAAGTAGCAGTTAAACACAACTAAATATATCTTGAAAGTTTGGAAAAAAATTTAACAGTAAAGGGATTCAGTAGTTATTCAGTATAAGGTTTGGAATTCAAAAACTCCAGCCATTACAATAGACATTTATTTAAAGTAAAACATCTTCAGACCAAATAATTCTTAAAATTGTTTGTTTCAAGTTTAACCATCTTCATAACAGCTGCATCCACAGACTTCAACTACATGATTACTTCTTTGCCCATTCTTCTCTTTCTTTTCTTTCCCGAATAACCTCTTTCAGATACGGTTCAAGGTAGAAATTTTCCTAAAGAATGAATGAAATATTATATGTTACCATCACGTACTGATATATCCCAAACACTCAACAGGTCTTCAATAACAAGAAAAAAGCAATTACTTTTGAATTTCCAATTTTAGAAAACATATTCTCAACCTAAGAACTATCTGCTTTTTAAAATGTCAAATCTGTGGTGATGGTGTGATAAGTTGCTTTGATAGGTTATGAGGGGGAAGTCTTTTCGGGAAGAAAAAGAAATGAATGTCCACAGGCCTTTGCCTAGTTTCAATGCAGTTCAAGGGGTGAGAGTTTGCTTCACAGAAGCTCTTCTTGGGATCTGGAGGGACACTCAATGGGCTGATCTTTTCATCTAAGTAGGAAGCAGAGTGCAGAGCTGGAACAGCAAAGACCTGGGAGGCAACAGACCTGGATTTTAGTCCTGGCTCTCTATATTAGAGACTTGCTTAGTAATTTCAGAAGAATCATTTCACACGTAAGACTCAATGTGGTTTTCTTCTAAAACGGAAATAACATTTGCTTTATTAACCTCACATATTTATTTGACATGACTCAGAGAACTCTAACACTATGCAAATGAACATGTTTCTCTTGTTTCTAAAACTCCATCCTTAATGAGCAACACTGTCAGGTAGATAAAGCTGTGCTACCTCTTCATATTTGGTCCACTGCTCTTTAGGCAAGATCTGATGCTTCAAGTTCAGGTCCAGTGCCCTCTTAATGCGAAACATCCTGTCATTATAAAGGTTCTCAGGAAGTCTTCTTATGGCTTCTTTTACATCTTCATCCTCGTATATTGTATCATCTCGCATTAACCCTATGATAGATGACAAAGTTAGATTGCACATGCATCTCAAAAATCGCGGTTTTTTTAAATTAGTAAAATACCTTTATGACTTATAACTTACAACTTTTGGTGAACTATCGAATTCAAATCACTAGGTTCAATGGAAATTCAATGCATTTCATACATTATAGGTTGGTGCAAAAGTAATTGCAGTTTTGCCATTAAAAGTAATGAGTTATTACTTGATATAATGGGTTACTTCTTGAACTAGACTATGGAAACAATATATGAGCCTCTTAAAATCCAATGCCACAAAATTCATATTTTATCTAAACCATTTACAAAATATTTTAAATGTTTACTTTGTTTTTAAACACACATTAATAAACCACATCTCTTTTTTCTCATAGTTTAAATCTGAGATCAAGGTATTAAAGAATCTTAAAATGATAGTATACTAAGGAACAGTGACTTTTGCTTACACTTTCTTCAAGCTTCAATAGTAAAAGATGAAGTTCATGGTAAATTACAAAGTTCTAAAAAAGCTTAGGAATCATATGATTGCATGGACGTGATAAAATTTTAATATTCAAAAACTCTCTACTTTCAATGTTTATATAATTTAAATTAAAATTTTAAGTGGAAGGCCGGGCGCAGTAGTGCACACCTATAATCCCAGCACTTTGGGAGGCCGAGGCAGGTGGATCACCTGAGGTCAGGAGTTTGCGACCAGCCTAATATGGTGAAACCCCGTCTCTACTACATACAAAAAAAATTAGCCAGGCGTGGTGGCACACGCCTGTAATCCCAGCTACTCAGGAGGCTGAGGCAGGAGAATCACTTGAACTCGGGAGGCGGAGGTTGCAGTGAACCGTGATTGCGCCACTGCACTCCAGCCTGGTGACAGAGCAAGACTCTGTCTCAAATAAATAAATAAATAAATAAATAAAATTTTAAGTGGAAGAGTTGGGAAAGGGGGTGTAGAAGGAAAATGTCTTACTACTTAAATCATTACCAAGTCGAACATTTTAGAGGCTTTCATCCCTCTTCTCTCAAAAAAACTTTAAAAAGGAACTGGATTTAACATAATGTGATTTAATTTTAAAATCTTCTGATGTATACAAGAACTGAAATGGTTTTTGGAACCACAGTAACACTTGCAAAAGCAATACTCTCAGAAAAACAAAAAAAAAAACAAAGAAACAACAACAACAACAAAAAACATTAAACAGCACAGCTGCTTACCCAGTTTATTGAATCCTGCAGCATTGTAATACCATTTTCGAATACCATCCAGCCACTTGCCTGATGCTGAAACTGATAATTGTCACACTGTTAATTGCTACAATTTAATTATACTATATGAACACATTGATAGGCAAGCAACCAGTACTCAGTTATCTTGCTGATGAATGCAAACATAGAAATAAATTTCCTTTTAAAAGTATATAGTATATACAGCAAGAATTTAATCAAAAGAATTAGATTTAAAAGAAAAAAGTTTATACTCTATAAAATGTTGATAAAAAGTGCTTATTTTATTTATGAGCAAAAGTGGTTGCAGGAAAATGGTGGCAAGTCATGAAAGAAAAGGGTAAACTCAAACACTGAATGTACAAAAGATCCATAGGTACATCGTGTGCCCTTATGCCTGCCCTGTTACCTTCAGAAATGAAGGGGTGGGAGATAGGAAAAGGACTTGGAAATTTCCATCATTTGTAGTTTCATAAATAGATCACAGGAAATAATTGTAAACTTTTCATTTCAAGAGAGCTGGAGTTGTAGGGAAAAGACAGTGAGATTTCAGCATAGACTGGCAGGTCTAAATGACCCTCATCCTCTAAAATTTTTACTCGATATTACAGTTATTTCATTTGGCCACATTCTTTAAAAATGTATGTATTTTGGGGAGGATTTTGATACCATTAGTCATTTAAACATTAATATGGATTCGTAAAAGAAGTCCATTTACCTCCTCCTAAGCAACTAAGTTCCCCCCAAGGGAATGGATATTGAAAAAGGATGAGAAATAGGTAATTTTAAAACTGTTTGGGGAACAGGGCTGAGCCTGATGAAGTAACCCAGCAGGGTCCAAGTACAGCAGGACCGTATCTGACATTTTAGGAGAGACATTTTACAAAAGGAGAGGTAGAACAGGTTTGTATTCTCTTTTAAAATTTTGTCTAGGGTTAGCCCTTACCAAGGAAGGAAAGCAAACTCTCCTTTCACTCAACTCTCCTTGCTTGCAAACTCAGTGCACTACAGATTACGTGGCTTTAGCAAATCTCCTTGGAAATTAAGAGTCATGTATAAAACTGCTGCTAGAAAAACAAGTATCAGTCAACAATCTACAAACATACTTGTGGAAGACAGATTATATTCAACCACCTATCAGTGACTATAATAATATTCACTAAGCACTTATTGTGCACCAAACACTTTCCTATTTGCTTTACCAACATTAGCTGATTTATTTACATGTCTGTTACTACAGAAGGGGAAGCTGGCTTACAGAAGTGATCCCACCCAAGGTCAGAGTTAGCTAATGGGAGTTGAGATCTGGTCTATGTAGTTCCCAAACACGCACAGAAGCAGTGTCTTGAATTTAGTAAGACTCCTTCAATATCTGCCAAATTAATAAAATAATTATTTAAAAAGTCTCCCCCACCCCCAAAAAGCTCAATGTCAATTAGGTTAACGGATGTTTCTGGCAACCTGATGTTTCCTAACAGCTTCACAATTGCTGGGGGCGGGGAGAAAAGGATCAACATTTTTTAAGCTACTCCAACTTGGTTGCATTGCAGTGAGACGAGATTGTGCCATTGCACTCCAGCCTGGGCGACAAAGCAAGACTCCGTCTCAAAGACAAAACAAACAAACAAACAAAACGGCTACTCCAACTTGTACCGCCAGAGGGCAGAGATTAGCAAAAAAAAAAAAAAAGAAAGAAAAAAGAAAAAAAGAACCTACAATAAATTCAAATTTCTCCAAACCTACTGATCAAGCTGACGCTCTAGATAATCCAAGGTCAACCTGAAGCGTCGCTCGTATCCCTTGCTCAACTGTCTCTGATTCGCAGTTTGAGAAGCGCGAGGGGTGCAATGATATTTCCAATTCTACTTCCTTGGGTCACTTTGCCTCAGTTATCTTATCAGCGTAAAAGGGAAATTAATATCTCCCTCGTCGCAATGGCAAGAAAATTTATAGGGCCAATGCACACGATAGAGCACTTGGGTCATAGAAAGCACTGAGCTCATTCGGGTTGAAAGTCATCCACTAGTTATCCTCTTGTGCCCTTTAACTTTTCTAAGGCCAAGGGGAAGGACTTCCAAGCACGGGCAGCTGGAACTCCAGGGCTGTCAGAGCCACCGCGGGCACCTTCACAAACAGCGGGTTAACATCCCAACCCTATACAGGCAAGCCCGCCCTGGGGACAGCAAACGAGTGGGGAAGCACATCCTTTTCACTGGACTGAAGCAGCCAATTTCCCTTCCGCGACAAACTTGGCCACTTACAAAGAAGAGAGAAAACGGAGCAAGCTGCAGCAAAAATAAACGGTGAAGCGCGACGATGCCGGCCAAGAAGACCCCCAGTTACTTACCGGCCTGCTTACCAGCCATTTTGACCAGAAAGAGAAGCGTTGCCTTCTGGGTAAGTCATAGAGGACAAGCTGGGCCCAGTCCGCAGGCGCGTTACGTCACATCGCGAACAGAGAAAGGCCGCTTGCGCAGGCGCAGTTCTGACGACTGCCGTTCAGCACCTGCGTAAGCACCTCTCGGCCAGGGTGAGGCCAATGGAGTAGGCGGGGCATTTTGCGTGCTACATTCTAAGAAGTATTGGTTGTGATGTGATGGGAAGAACACAGGTCAGGAATTAGGAGACCAAGGCTTAAAGCTGGGTTCTGTTATTTGCTGTTAATAGCTATGGGAGCGTGGACAGTATTAATTCAGCTCTTTGTGCCAGGCAGGAAGCTAAATGTTTTAAGGGCATCGTCTTACTTTCTATTGAAGGACTGATGGATGTGCCATCCCAAAAATATATGGAATTGGTACATTGATTATTTCGAGTTGAAAATATTGGAGAAATTGTAGTTTCAGAAAAGGTTTGATGACCTATCTCTTCCTGCATGCAGCAAGCCATAAAGCTTCCTCCAGGATTCCTCTGGAGTACCCGTCCCTTACCAGAGGGAGAAAATAGCACCTATCACCAGAGACGAAACTGGGGGCTGCTTTGGACCTGAATATACTTTCCGAAGTAACCGTTATCTTCCACTAAGTTTACACCCCAACACACACACTTTTCTCCTAATGACTCCGCGAGAAATTTACTGCCCCTAGCCAGATCCCCTTTCTTCTGATTTGTAGTTCGTGTAAAAAGTATAAAGGCATCTTACATTGGCCACTTCACTCTTTTGTGCGGATCCCCATGTACATGTAAAACTAGTAAAATTAGTATGCTTTTCTCTTGTTAATCTGCCATGTGTCAATTTGGTTCCTAGATTCAACCAAAGAGCCCACATAAGAGCAAAGGGGAGGGAGGGTTGGAGGTGATCTCTCACTCCCCTAAACTATCTTTTAATTCTAAAAGTACTGTAATTATCTCATTGTAGAGAGGAGAAAGCTGAGGCTCAGAAAGGTTGAATAACTTGTCCAAGAGCACATGACTAGAAGAGTCCAGGTTCTTCTTCCAGAATCTGAAAATCCAGATGCAAATTTGGGGCTCCTTAATTCTAGGGTCATATGCTATACTGCTACACTACTAATCCAGGAAAGACACCAAGCCTTTCAGGCCTTGGGTTTCTCCAGCTGAAGATCTATATCTAGCTATTTTAGTGGAAGGTTAGGTCAGAAAAGGTTTTGGGTTTTTTTTGTTTGTTTTTTTTCACCCTTTTTTTTGTTGTTCAGCCTCTGTCACCCAGGCTGAATGGCACAATCTCGGCTCACTGCAACCTCTGCCTCCTGGGTTCAAATGACTCGTGCCTCAGCCTCCTGAGTAGCTGGGACTACAGGTGTACACACTACCATGCCCGCTAATTTTTGTATTTTTAGTAGAGACGGGGTTTCACCGTGTTGGCCAGGCTGGTATCAAACTCTTGACCTCAAGTGATCCACCCACGTCAGCCTCCCAAAATGCTGGGTTACCCGCGTGAGCCATCATGCCCAGCAGAAAAGGTTTTTAAAGATTAAATCTAAGATGTATTGCAGAATTTGCACACAATTTTAAGACAAAAGAGAAGTATATAGATTTTCTCACTTTTAAGGTCTCAACCCCAACATGCGAAGTCTTAGGCATAAACATCTAGAGACAGAAAACAATTAGGGGGAGCTAGCATGACTGATAGTTACTGGTGAACTTCTACCATTACTCAGTGATATCTTTTTTTTCCCCTCAGTTTTAAGCTCAGAGCTGGGACAATATAGAGTAGAACCTTGTCTCATCCTAAGTTCAAAAGGTTAGATTTAACGATCTTAGTCACATTCCAGTTCTAAAATTATATTGATTTTCCTTTTTCTTCTATCTCCATGCTGTCACAATTTCTTCATTAGTCAGTCCTGTATACAGCACTAAAGCTGATGAATGATCTATCTTACACTAGCCAAAGTGAAGTCTGAAAGATGTGAAGAAATGCAGTACATTTGTACATTGGCACATTGCCCTGCAGAGGGTAGGTACTCAATAAACTCTCCTCCCTTCCACCCTTTAAGTTTTAGCTTGCTGGTTACAGGTGAAGGTGGCAAGAAAAGACATATCAAAAGATCTGAAACCCAAAATTGTCACAAAATCCAGCTCCTAAGGAATTAAGCTAGAGAGACTGAATGTTTGCTGGTAGTGATTGTTGATTCAAAAACTATTTTTGGTTTTCTTTCCTCCCAGCACAGGATTAGGGATTGCCTCTCTGCCCTATTAAAGTTAGGCATGGCCATGTGATACTTTGGCCAAGAAAAATGTGATAACTTTTTAAGAGCAATTCTTCACATTCCTTTCCTTTTCCATAGACTGGCAACACTCCAGAAATGATGGAGACAGGATACATCAACCTGTATCACTGAAGATGATGTGGAGCAGAGCCTTTGTGGTCCTAAGAAACATGTATAAGATAAAAACTTTTGTGGTTTTTCAATCATTTGAGGTTTTAGGATTGTTCATTGTATCAACACAACTTGCCTATTCTGACTGCTAAGGTTGTTCACTGGGTTATTCATAAAGGCAAAATGAGGTTGTGAGCCACAGAAAGAGAGGACAGGATGGTTCCATGGTGTCCCCAGCTTATTTTTTATTGTTTCCTGTTTATTGATCTCATCCATTGGAGAACTCCATGAAAGCACATATCTATGCCACACTCACCACTGTATTATAGAACTCAAATGTCGGTTGCATGAATAAAATATGTAACAGGAAGGCCACTATACCTGGCCCTGACCAATTACAAATTTAGTTTTTCATGAGGTTTTTTAAAGGGCATCCAGCACACCACAGAACCCTGTGCACAACAAACTACCCCCAAAGTTAGCGGCTTAAAACACTTTCTCCCAATTCTGAATTCCGCTGGGTCGTTCTGCTTAGTGTAGTATCTACTAAGTCTGGGACATCCCAGATAATTTCTTCATGCATGTCTGGTGCTCAGTTGGCATGTCTGAAAAAGCTGGGTTTGGCCAGACATCTTTCTGTCCACCTAGTTTCTCCAGCAGAGTAACCAGACCTCTCTACACAGTAGCTTAGGGTGCCAAGAGCAAATGTTCCAAGAGGGCAAGCCCTGATGTGCAAATCCTTAAGCCTCTGCTTGACAAATGTCCTCTGGGCCAAATCACATCGGCCCAGAGTCAGTGTGGGAGAGGACTAACTACACAAGAGTGCAAATACCAGGTATGGTTCATGGGGGCCCCCAGTGTTAACAGTCTACCCAATCTGGTGATCATAAGGCAGACAACTGAAGTCATGATGCTTCGTTTTACAAATAAAAAAGCAAAGGCTCAGAAATGAAATCACTTGCCCAGGATAACACATGTTGTAAATGGAAAACAAATATTTGTTTACTGGTAATAAGTCAAAGGCTAGTTAAGCCTTTCACTATATCTCATTGCCCCTAATCTTTAAACTCCACTTTCCTTTTCCTTATTCTTAGCCAACTGTGAATATCTGTGTTCAAGAAGTTAACAATGTAGATAATCCAAAATGAAGTGTGTTTTGTAGCATTATCTGAGCAGTAGATATTAGATGACTAATGTAGTATGCTCTGGAAACTCGTAACAGTTCAAAGGAAATAAAGCCATTTTATAATGAAACCACTTTAAAAATCCTCCACTGTTTTCATCTTCACGAGAATGACAAAGCACCAACTTAAAGTAAACCAACTCTTTCCCCTTCTCTGAGCTTGCTGTATTTCCTAAGAAGGAAGGAAAAAGTCAAACAAGAATTAAGTCACTAGGAACTTGATGAAAGTTCTACCACAGTATATGTACCCAAATTTACAGTATCAAATGGTTTCCAATATCAGTTGAGACCCGAGGCATTTAAAAATATATTCATTTATTCATATATATATTCACTTTACAATACTGCATTTTAACATACATAAAAATCTAAAGCGTTTTTAAGAATTTTTCAAAGTCCTGTACTGATGCTTTGGCAATCTCTTCACAAAATATTTCATCAGGAATAGATACTAGTTTGTCCAAAGAGATGTAGTTAGGTTTTGCTGGATCATACTGTGCTCTTCCTAAATAGGTAAGAAACAAGTGTCTTTCTTTGACCTTAAACAGCCTTGTATTAAATACCTAGAAAAGAAAAAAAAGTTTTTAAAAAACACTGCACACGGGAGGATGAAATATTAAAAAGTTTACTTGGCAAAAATTTTAATAGGTTAACCAATACCAAGTACTGACCATGTGTTCAGTAAGTAGGATAAATGCCAGAGGATTTAAATCCTATATTTTCTGTGAAGAAACTAGAAAAAGGGATTCAAAATCAACATACAAAACAATAATAAAATAATTCAGGGCTATACTGTGTGCAAAGAAGATTGAGTGCTCCAGAGACAGAGGAGAATGTGTTAAAAAAGCAAATCTTCGGCCGGGCGTGGTGGCTCACGCCTTTAGTGAGGCTGAGGCAGGCGGATCATCTGAGGTCAGGAATTCAAGACAAGCCTGGCCAACATGGCAAAACCCTGTCTCTACTAAACATACAAAAATTAGCTGGGCGTGGTGGCGCATGCCTGTAATCCCAGCTACTCAGGAGGCTGAGGCAGGAGAATTGGTTGAACCCAGGAGACGGAGGTTGCAGTGAGCCGAGATCGCGCCACTGCACTCCAGCCTGGGCAACAGAGTAAGACTCCATCTCAAAAAAAAAAAAAAAGGCAAATCCTCAAGCCTCACCCCAAAACTACTTAATCAGCAACTTTGAGAGCAGAACCCAGAAATCTGTCTTAACAAGCCCTCTAGATGATTCTGATATCTACCAAGTTTGAGAACCAATGTTAGAGATTAAGATGTTATTATATAAAAATGTATAAGATTTCATAATCTGTAACACCTCTCTCTCTCCCTTTTTTAAAATTTGCACTCCTCCCCTTAACTAGAATCAAAATGAAATGAATCTGACCTCTGGGAGAGCAACTAGGGAAAGTATGTCTTACCTGCCTCAAAGTAAAACTCCTAAAAACTAGAGTAAGCGGCAGCAACTTTAGAAAGGAGTCAGAAGCAGGCAAGGCTCTACAGCCAGCTACAGAAAGAAGAGACAAATGGGAGATCCGGCCAGACTTGAGCTACAGCCCTGAAGCCTGAGAGACCTGTGAGGTTCCCCGATGAGGCTCAGAGGAAGCCCTTTCAATATTATGCCTGCCTCAAGCTCTCCTCTTGGCTGTTACAGATATAATGTGAACACGGGATGCGTTCACATAACCCCTAGGCCTCTTTCCCTATATTCAAGTGGAAACAGTAACAGATCAGTTGGAAAGGACACTATGAAAAGCAATTGTTGAAAACCAAAGTACTATGAGAAGAGTGACTAAAAAAAGCACAGGGTGTACCTCAACATGGGTTTGGCTTGCTTTTGGAACAGAACATCTCCCTTCTCAGTCTCTGCTATTCTGCCCTTGTTCTGATAACTAAATTCCCATGATCACAATATTATGGATAACGAAGATGTAAGAGGTTTTAGATAGATTTTTTTTTAGAAGTATGACTCCTATGCAGTGATTCTTGGCTTAAAAAACTATCACCCGGCCGGGCGCGGTGGCTCACACCTGTAATCCCAGCACTTTGGGAGGCCAAGGTGGGCGGATCACGAAGTCAAGAGTTTGAGACCATCCTGGCCAACATGGTGAAACCTCGTCTCTACTAAAAACACAAAAATTAGCTGGGCATGGTGGCAGGCGCTTGTAGTCCCAGCTACTCAGGAGGCTGAGTCAGAAGAATCACTTGAACCCGGGAGGCGGCGGTTGCACTGAGCCGAGATCACGCCACTGCACTCCAGCCTGGCGACAGAGCCAGACTCCATCGCAAAAAAAAACAAAAAAAACAAAAAACAAAAAAAAACTATCACCCAACAACAGACAAAACCACAAATGGTTCTGGTGCTCCTAAACGATTACTAATTTCCTAAATATAATAACACTTCAAAGCATTTATTTAGCTTATGAGCAGATATTATACGTTTACTTCTCCAGTGGACCAAAGTTACTCCATCATTAGAGAGTTGTGTACTCTTTCAAGTCCAAAAGCTACTGCTCAGATTGCGGTGTTTCTCCCTTCTTTTTTTATGGATGTGGTGGTGTGGGGGGAGAGTTGTTGGCCACCAGGGGCTACTTTGCCATTGGCACAAAAATTTCATCCTATTAATGACATATTAAATTCTTCGGAGTTAAAAAAAGTGCCCCTAGCCTGAGAATTATTGGTTCCCTCTAATCCTAAGGTGGACTTCAACTTTGCCTTCACAGAAAGTCACAGAGGAAGGGGAGAGTGAAGGTTTCGGGGGATCCTGAATATAACCTCTTTCCTTAGCCTAGTGATTTCTTCACATTCATTACCCTAAAACTGCTTTTGTTATCCTTTACCTTCCAAGATCTCTTCTTTGAAATGACTAAATTGATCATAGTTATTAAGTTATACTTCTTTCCCCATTTTTAATTAATCGTAAGTCAGATCTGCCAACCAGGAATATTATCTACATGAGAAAATTAGTTCCATGCCACTGAGATTTAAACACCAGCCAAAAATGTAAAGTCTATATCAGCCCATTCACAGCCTTACTGTCCGTTAATGTATTTTTTCATTAATAAGCTTTTTATTTTTCTGTTTTTATTCCCCAATAATTCCACCTAGACTCTAGGAATCTGAGAATCCCAATTTGGAAGCCACAATTCTACAACAGAGCTTCTCTGAGGCAAGGGTTTGGGGTGCCTAAAATCTGTGTTTTTAAGTGATTTTGATGCATCTGGTCAGCTTATAATTTCTTCTATTTGGAAAGCTCCTCTCCATCTTTTAAACACCACTCCCTCTTCTACAGACAATTCAAATGTACTTCTAGCAGATCCTAGTAAAGGGCTTGGGTTTTTAAACTGGACTGTTGGAGTTCTAATCGTGGTTCTGCCCCAACCTTGTTACTTGGGTAACCTTGGACAGGTTACTTAAATCTCTTTAAGCTTAAGTTCTTTATGTGTAAAATAGGGGTAATAATAGCATCTACCTCATATGGTTGTTGTGAGAATTAACTGTGTTAATACAAATAAAGCAATAAAGATAGAGCTGGCACACAGTAAGTACTCAATTGCTGTTATTACTTCTATAATTCTCCTACCGCTTCTAAATCACTGTAGGAGCTCTGGTTAGGACTCTACCATCATATAAAGCAATTCTATTTTTAAACCTGTCTTCCACACTCGATTATAAGTTCCACAAGAACAGAGATCATGTCTGCTTGACTTTTGTATCCTCAGTGCCCAATGTGTAGCACTGATGGATGCTCAGTGATATACTGGAAAAATGAATTACCCACCAACCCAGGGAAAAACAAATTGTCATTTCTTTTTCGTTGAAGATTATTTCACAATTACTCCATGAGCCAAATTCACAAAACTGTAGGCTTCTAACACTTCTATAATGGGTATATTTACGTTTGGTAAAATAGGAAAATCCTATATTAGAGGCCCGTTCCTAGTGAAGTATAATAGGCAAATAAATATAGCTGTATGTGAAGGAACTGGACCTAATGCAGTCTAGTTCTGAGAGTTGTATTAAGGTCATATTTCTTTTACCCATCTTTTTTCAAAAACAGGAACATGTGTTCTAGCAAATGGAGTAGAGGGATCACTTAAATAAAAATTCAGTTTGTCATTTATCCAATAAATACTGAGTGGCTATTTGCATAGGAAATAGGAAAAAAGGATTACTTTGATAAAATCCAATCATTCATTTGTTCAACAAATATTAATTGTGTGCCTACTTAGTGCCAGGTGTAGTTCTAGGCACTGAGGATTTGGCAGTGTATAAATCAGACAAAGTTTCTGCTTTTAAAGAGTCAATATTCAAGATTAATATTCTTGTGAACAGCAGATAATATCACTCACTAGGTAAAGAATATGGAAGCTTGATTAGCTTAGAAAATATAATTACGGCTTTGGCATGATGGCAAACTGGATCACTTTTATATTGGGATGGGGATCATTACAATATGGCTTATTGATTCATGAATTTAAATAAACTGTGACTAAAAAGTACACGTAGCAGTGAAAGGACCTTTAAGGGAAGTGATCTATTCCAAAGTAAAGTAGAGAAAAACATGAGAGAGAAGAGAGACTACATTAGATTTGTTGGCCTGATTCCAACAATCAGAACTAGGACTAGGTAGAAACTCCAGGGAAAGAGACTAATCACTGATTTCTCCTCAGGAGATGGACATTTGCGCCCTGCAAATTGTAAACTCTTCCCAGCGTACAGAACTATGCAGCTGGAGAGCAGCTCCAAATGAAGCGCAATGGCAGCGCTTACAGAGAGAGCTGTGAGTGGCATTACCTGTGGGAACTTGACAATGATGTGGTGGGGAATGCTCATCACATTGTGCACAAAATCAAACGTCTCGGTAAGTTTCATTTTATTTGCAGTTAACATCTTTGGGATTCTGGTGATCATATGTTGAATTTCGTTATGTTTAAAACCAAGTTCAAGACGATAAACCTAAAAGAAAGTAAATTTGCTATGAATCGTTATGTAGAAATAGTTATTTTGGTACCATGGCAAGGCTGCACTGATTTTTTTTTTTTTTGAGATGGAGCTCGCTATGTTGCCCAGGATGGAGTGCAGTGGCATGATCTCCTGCCTCAGTCTCCCAAGTAACTGGAACTACAGAGGAATGCCACCACACCTGGCTAATTCTTGTATTTTTAGTACAGCCAGGGTTTCACCATGTTGGCCAGGCTGATCTTGAACTCCTGACCTCAAGTGATCCACCCACCTTGGCCTCCCGAAGTGCTTACAGGTGTGAGCCACCGCGCCTGGCCATGATTTTTTTTTTTGAGACGGAGTCTCGCTTTGTCATCCAGGCTGGAGTGCGGTGGCACGATCTCAGCTTACTGCAACCTCCGTTTCTTGGATTCAAGTGATTCTCCTGCCTCAGCCTTCTAAGTAGCTGGGATTACAGGTGCCCACCACCATGCCTGGCTAATTTTTGTATTTTTAGTAGAGATGAGGTTTCACCATGTTGGCCAGGCTGGTCTCAAACTCCTGACCTCAAGTGATCTGCCCACCTCGGCCTCCCATGCCAGGGTTACAGGCATGAGCCACCACGCCTGACCATGATTCTTTTAAACTTAAAATAACATTTTAAAATTTGGAGACAGCTATGCCAGTGCCTTCAAGGAATTACAGCTTCCGGCTCCTGGGGTCACCAGAATTTCAAACCCCTCTGCTGAGAAAGAGCTACACCATGATGGTCATGAAGCTCACCAAAGGGGCAACCATAATTACAAGAGGGAATGAGTGACATGGGAGCGCTGCAGGTCAGAGGCATGGGCCCAACACCAAACAGATCCTTCAGCAGCAGGATCTTCAAAATGCTTTTTGAGCTTTTGCTCCCAAGTACACCCACATATGTGTTGTCTGAAAAACGACATGTCAACATTCCAAGCAGAGATGAGGAACTAAACAACCAAACACAGGCCGGGTCCTCTACTTGCTTTCATAGTGTCCTGTGTGCCCCCACCAAGTAACTGCCCCCATCACTCTGGATTTGATCCCCCACTAGATTGTAAGCTCCTTGGGAGGAGAAGCTGTCTCCTCAGCATGGCGCTTGGGCAGGAGCTCAATAAAAAGATTTCTTCAATGACTGAACTGTTCACCTCAGAAAACAGCCCTTATATAATATTTCAAATACTACTACAGCTTTATATACTAACTAGTCAGCTGCTCTTGGCTTTATCTTATTCTCTTGGAGGAAGGACAGTAAAGAGTGTCTGGTACATTCTGTGACAGAATGAGAGCTGGCAATTGGGACAGGTGCAAAGGAGAACAATGTGCTGGCTGCTACTCTTTTCACAGAAGTCTTTTGGATCCAGCCTCCAAAACTCCCTGAGACATACACAGACTGTCATGCTGGCCAACAGGAGTACTTTCGTAGACTGGTAACACTGCCCAGGTAACAAAGACGTCAGACGCCCACACTGGGCAACAGAAGCAGTTTCAGGGTACCACTTATATCCCTATCTAATGCTTTAGGATTGTGGGTATCAATGTCTGCAAGGTGATTTACTCAGGTTAATACCTGCTCAACGTGAAAATATTAACTGAAACAAACTGCTTGCTAGACATTTGTTAAAGATAATTTCCTATTTCTCTTTTTAGAAATAACTTATTTTAAAGTCTAGTTTTCTTTTACATGACAATAGCAAAATCTGTTCTCTTCAGAGGATTTTAACACTTAAAGAAACTGATTTCTCAAAAAGCCTAAAGTTGTCCTACCTTCATATTTTCTTTCACGGGTTCCAGACTTCCAGTTAGCAGCCTTGGGAGACGAACTACCAGATCTCTAGTCTGTGGTTGCAAACAAAACAATCTAGTATTACTATACGTGCATCTTTAACTAGTTTGGAAAATTAAGGCATTATTAAGATACAAAGTTAAAACTTAAAATATGACCCAATCAGAAAAATGATAGGAACCCCAGGAATAGATAAGATTAATACTGTTTGGAAAAAAAGAAAACAAAAACTGAAGGAACCAGTTTGATTAAGTATTATAAAATGATGGAGCTCTATGTTTAAACTAGCAGGATAATTCATTTTTGTACAAAAAATACCAGGAATTTATATGATTCACATGGGCCAGGCATCTGCTGGGAACATGAGATCTATCAGCTATTAAAATGTACCTGACATGGAAATAAACAAATTCTCTCCTTTTCTTTACCTTCTTCACACTAAGTTCAAGTTCTTTCTGAAAAAATCCCAATCTGTTATCCAGTCTTTCCACTGAAAAGTTCAGCAAAAATGGTGCTTTTCTGACCATCTGTGCAACATCTGCTTTACTGAAATTTTTTGAATGCAGATAAGCCACCCTAGAGAAACATAAATACATACGCATGTGATAAACACTTACATTCTTTTTTTTTGAGATGGAGTCTCATGCTACTTCCCAAAGTAACAGCTGTTTTTAAAAAGGCTCCCACACCCTAAATTACTAACTAAATAAAAGCATTCTGTAACAATGGCAAAAACACGTTTAAAACAAAACAAGCATTCACCCAACTCTAGATGGTTTCCACTTATACTTAAAAACAGAAAATAATTCTGAAATCCACTAATAGGTATTAGTTGCGGTTTTTGCCATTACTTTCAATAGCAAAAACATGATTACTTTTGCACCAACCTTTAGATTCTCTTTTCAATTAATCTGGTTTATTACTTGGTAAGAAAGAATGAAATAGCTTCTGCTTAAGATTTTTTTTTTTTTGATAAGAACAGAAAAACACAAATTAAGAAAATAACACAAATTAAGAAAATTAAGGAAATAATGGTTATAACTGAGAGAGGCATTTTTTAGGTTAGTATATTTACTGAGCCCCTCCCCTCCCCTCTTCTATTCTTTTCTTTTCAGGAAGAGTCCCGCTCTGTTGCCCAGGCTGGAGTGCAGTGGCATGATCTGGGCTCAATGCAACCTCCGCCTCCCAGGTTCAAGTGACTCTCCTGCCTCAGCCTCCCAAGTAGCTGGGATTACAGGCACACACCACTAGACCCAGCTAATTTTTGTATTTTTAGTAGAGACGGGGTTTCACCATGTTGACCAGGCTAGTCTCGAACTCCTGACTTCAAGTGATCCGCCCACCTCAGCCTCCCAAAGTGCTGGGATTACACTTGAGTGACCATGCCTGGCCTGAGCATGTATTTTTATAAATGATTTTTACTACAGTCTTTCAATATGTATTTTGTCAACTGAGAGATTTTCCTGCTAAGTTTCTGAAGATCAAACTATGTAAGTTAGTAAAATATAGAAAGTTTGACTATAAAATAACATTTTTAAAAAATCTAAAACATAGTAAAAGATGGTTTTACTAAATGTCTAAAATATATCAGGATATTATTTTGTTTAATTCTAACCAGAAAAACAAAAAAACTTGTGAGCCAAGTGAATTTTCCATGAGGAAACATGGATTCAGGGAAGTTAAATAACTTGTCTGAGATCATCACCTAATTACTGACAAAACTAAGATGTGAACTCAGGCATGCCTACATCTAAAGCCTATGGTATTTTTATACTATATACCAAAACTTATATTACTTTATAATCACATGACTATTACTCCTTTAAAAATAGTTAAAATATTTATACGTTTAAGTATATAAAAATTTTAAATGCATGGCAAAACAAAACAAAACAAAAACACCCCACTATAAATGAAGTCAAAAGACAAGTGACAATCTAGGAAAAATATCTGCAACATGTCTCAGAGACAGAACTAATTTTCTTCATATATAAAAGAACGTTTACCGAAAAAGAAAAAAGCCTGATTAAAAAATAGCAAAGGATATATTACAGAAAAGGAAATGTAAACAGAAATTCAACATATGAAAAGATGCTCCAAACAACATTCCATGTTTCAACATCTGATGCTCCAACCAACAAATAAAGTACTCTTTTTATCTATACAATCAACTGAAAGCAAAGTGTGATAGCACTGTATCTGTAAGGATAACAGGGAAGCTGGCACTTCTGTACACTGTTGGGGAGAGTATAAACTGGAAAACAACCCCTATGAAGGACAATTTGGCAATATCTATTGAAGTTACAGATGAACACACCCTTTGACCTAGCATTTCCACTTCTAGAAATACGTCCTACAGAGAGACACCAATATGTGTGATTTTTCAGAAGTATGTACAAGGTAAGTCACTACAGCCTTGTCCTAACAGTGGACTGGAAACATACTCCATGCTTATCAATAGGTACTAGCGAGATCCGCAGCATGGACTGTACTAGAGTTAAAAAGAATAGGCAGCACCAAGAAAAAATAATCTCCAAGATACAGTGAAGGTAAGATAGTGGGATACAGAATAGTGTGTATAAATGCTACCAATTGTTATGTATTTGTATTCATGTGTGTATACACAGATATATGCTTCCTAGAAGGTTGAACAAAAAATCCTGATAACAGTAGCTGTGTCGATAGGTGGGTCTTGAAAGGCCAAGGGACAAAGTAGGAGAAAAGGAGGTATTACTTGTTTTTTTGGCAGCAAGGTTCAGCATTTGATTAAAAAATTATCAAAACTATTGTCTACATTGTAATGATTTTTCCAATAAAAAATCAAGATATAAGGCCCACCCAACCAAAAAAAGAGTATTTAAATAATTAAAATGCGACTATTCATTTGAAAATTCTACAAGGATTTTTTAAATATAACTTTTTATTTAAAAAATAAGTACATGAAATCAGTGCTGTTATAGAAATAAGACTGCTGCATATATCAGAACCAGAAACAAAGTTCATTTAAATAAAGGTTCTCATACCTGTGCCTATTCAGTATTTTTTACTGTATACTCTTTTGAATACATGTGGCTGCATTACCTATTAAAAAATTCTAAGTAATTTTTAAAAATGTTCTACAGCTTAATTTGATAGCCAGCCAGGTTTAGGAATCAATGGACTATGCTACCGACGTGAGAATATTCCTCAATTGTTAGGAGCATATATGGCTTGAGCAAGTAACTTAAGCTATTAAGTTTCCTTCAAAGAATTAAATGTAGAGACAGTGTGTAGTAGTCAGAACCCTGGAGTTTGATTAACTGGGGTTGAAACCACTTACTCTGCTACTTATACTAACGGTGTGTAATCTTGGGCAAATTATTTAACCTCTCTGCGACTCCTATGTACAAAGGTGCTATTAACAATAATGGTGCAGCGTGTGAAATGATCCCTACCCTCCTGGTATTCATGCTTTCTTGGAATAAATCTTGAGCAAAAAGGGCAAGCTGGTTTTTGACTGCAGAGAGAATTAGTGTTCCTGACAGCCAAGAAGACTAGAGCTGGATATGTCAGATGAGTTTCTTAGAATCATTCTCTCTCCCTTCTGTATTGTGATAGACTATCACTCTCATGAAGGGAAAGACTGTTTTTGATGTCTAAAGTTTAGGCCAGTGTCTCACATATAGAAGGGCTCAAATGTTCAATTTAATAAATAAGGTTTTTGTTTAGTTTTTTTTCCTAATTCCGAGAAAAGACATTAGACTGATGGTTTAAGGAATCGCAAAGCTCTCTGAAATGTAGTAAGGATCAACATCAGTGTGGAGAACAGTCTGGAGGGTCATGACTAGAGGCAGACCAATTAGGAGACCATTGCAGTAATCTTGGTGTGATATTATGGGGAACTGAGGCAAAATAGTCAAAGCAAAGATTCAGAGAAATGTCATGACTGATTTGAGCTATAAGAAGAGAAGAACTGATGGGCTTTCATGATTTATTAGATGTAGATGATAAAAGAAGAGAAAGCAAGTTAATACCAGTATTTCTGAGTTGGGCAAAAGGGTATTCAGTGAATCTGGGAATACAGACTGGGTTGAATGACAGGTGGGGGCGACGATGAATTCAACATGTTAACTTAGGGACAGGGGTTTTGCCTTGTTCTCTGTGGTATTCCCAATGCCTAGCAGGATTCTTACCTCACAGATCAATATCTCACTGTATTTATTTTCACAAATTCAATAATTCTTTGAATGTTGAATGAAGTACAGAGATGTTTATAAAAGTGCTCCTTAAGAAGAAAACAAGGAACAACCAAAATAGCCAACTTACGGAAATGATTAAGCAAATTATACAGTAATTTGCCAAGACAATCTCAAATGTCTAACAACAAAAATTGGCCAGACAAAAACTACAAAAACCACAAAAGATCATATCTTTAAGTGCACTCTCAGATAAGTTAGCTATTTGTTGATGGGTTTTTTTTTTTTTTAAGAAAAAAACGTATTCCAGTTTCTAAAGAGAAAGAGTTAATTACTGACTCAGTAATAAGTTGAAAACATAAAAATAATAATGGAGCCAGGCAGGGTGGCTCATGCCTGTAAAATCCCAGCACTTTGGAGGCCAAGATGGGCAGATCACTTGAGGTCAGGAGTTCGAGAACAGCCTGGCCAATGTGGCGAAACCCCATCTCTCCTAAAAATACAAAAATTAGCCAGGCATGGTGGCCACCTGTAGTCACCCAGCTACTTGGGAGGCTGAGGCAGAAGAAGAAGAAGAAGAAGAAGAAGAAGAAGAAGAAGAAGAAGAAGAAGAAGAAGAAGAAGAAGAAGGAGGAGGAGGAGGGGGGGAGGGGGAGGGGGAGAAGAAGAATGGGTACTTGAATGAAAGAACTGTTGTAAATACTTAATTTAGATCAAAGAAGGTCTATAACAAAAAAAATTCATGTTATCTCAGTAGACCCTTGTGCAGCAGAGATTTAAAGAATACCTTCCACATATATTTCCTTCATAACCACTTCTTAGGTTATATGAGAATCCTTTTAAAAGTCCTACCTGGTCTTCAGATTTTCAAGGTCTTCAGAGAAAATTGCATGATTTTTTGTCAGGAATGCTCCCAGTTGGTTATCCTCTATACCCACATCTTTAAGAAACAGAAGCATTTGCTTAATGTCTTTTTCAAAATCCAGTCTCAGAAGGAGGTTTGCTGCTTCTGGATGTTTTTCTATCTTGGACAAATCCACGCCTATAATAAATTATAAATACTGTTTGAAGATGACTTCTTAGTTCACCCATTAAACTCATATACATAAGCACAAGAAATTACTGATGGAGATCAACACCTATCCAAAGGAGCACTGAGATAGATCAATAGAAACTTCTAAATATTTTTAAACTAAGTTGGTTGCAGAAACAACATAGTATTTATTTTAAAAATCAAGTACAGAGGAAAATAGAGCATTTAGTGCTACATTTCCCCCCAAAACAAATTCACTAAGTCATATTGGTGTAGGGTCATCATCTTTGTCTAAGGTTTCTTGAATATTGTTTCAGAATGTTTGTCAGTCCCAGATGAACCCCACAGTAACTGGTAATTCTGCAGGGTAACAAACAATATGAATAAAATGTTACCTTCTTTGAAGATTTTATTTTTCCTTAGTTATAAGCATTATTTAAAAAATATGTTTATGATTCCCATCATAGGGGGAATAAAAATGACCCTGTGCCTTACTCATCGTTGTAATCTCTAGGTCTTTAGCACGGAGACACGTCCCTTGAAGAAACTCAAGAAATGTCTGAGTGAGAACAAGTGAACACATAGCCCTTCAAGTATACAACAAAGCAGAAAGTATACAACCTTAAACCTCCACATTTAAAACTTCTTAATGGCATCACACAGTCAAAAAAAAATCGTCATATTCATTATAACTCCAAATATTATTAGAACCAAATATAATTATAAATCCAAATTTCTTGATATTAAACAGGTATTAAGATGCCCATGAACAGTAAAATAGATTAAATACACAGACACAATGATATGGTTAGGCTGTGTCCCCACCCAAATCTCATCTTGAATCCCCATGTGTCGTGGGAGGGACCAGGTGGGAGGTAACTGAATCATGGGGAGAAGTCTTTGCTGTGCTGTTGTGTGATACTGAATAAGTCTCACGAGATCTGATGGTTTTAAAAAGGGGGGTTTCCAGGCACAAGCTCCCTTCTCTTGGCTGCTGCCACGTGAGACGTGCCTTTCACCTTCTGCCATAATTGTGAGGCCTCCCCAGCCATATGGAACTGTAAGTCCATTAAACCTCTTCCTTTTGTAAATTGCCCAGTCTCGGGTATGTCTTTATCAGCAGTGTGAAAACAGAATAATACGCACACTCAATGAAGATGAGAAACAGATCCAGAATAAACTAAAAAATGTTATTATACAAACAATAATGCATTTCAAATCAAATAGATAGACTATTTGTTAAAATATATGGGACCATTAGCTATACTTTTGAAAAAAATTATCTTTATATCTTATACGGAAATTAATTCTAGATAAAGAATCTAAACATACATTAACTCTACTAGAAAAACAAAAAAAATTACGTTTAACTACAGAATAGTATAAAACCTAGTGTAGAAAAAGGTCTGGAAAGCTATTCCACAATTTGGTTAATAGTGGTTACCTTTGAGAAGTGGAACTGGGGACGAAGAGAGGGTAAGAGGTCCTTCTCTTATAATATCTGCACTTTTGACAACCGGATGTAATTCTTTTGTAATTTAAAAATAATATTAGTAGAAAAATAAATCCAATTATTAGATGGACAAATAAATAAGATGAAAACCAGTTCCAAAAATCTGTGATAAATGGGGGAGCGGATGCTCTAAAAATAACATAAAGGGTTCAGACTTCACATTTAACTAAATATTACAGCTGACATGAACTGAAGTGCTTTGCTCAGCATGAGCTGTCACACCCTGACTGTGCTCGAACAGAAATCCTGAAAAGCTGCTTTTTAACAGCAGTAGGAGAGCAGAATCTCATCAGGAATGCACACTGCTCTCAATGCAAATAACTTGGGCTCACTTCATTTCATTAACTTGAAAAAATATTCCCTGAATGCCCACTATGGACCAGGCACTTTTTTAGGTATTGGGGTTATAAAAAAAGAATAATACACGATTCTAACCTCTAGGTGACCAGTCTAGTTGGGCTTTACCTCATCAGTTCAGTAATTACGAATATTACCATTTTATTCAGTTATGGTTACACGTATTTAGTACATCAATCAGGGTCTAGCAGGCTATACAACGTGCCCTGGAAAGTACAAATGACAAGGACTTTAATGAAGGGACTCTATACAGCGGTGTGAGCAGCCTTAAGAGAACAAACAAGAGCCTTCCCAACAATAAAGAGACAAGGAGGCAAAATGTTACCACGGCGCAGAGGGACTAGAGGCTATTAAGGAAGGGCTGCTCAAGAGTGCTGTTGTCATGGAGTGAGGCAGGTACAGGACCCAAAGAAGGGAAGGAACGGGAAAAATATCCCCACCTGACCCTTCTACCTTCTGTCCTGTAGGTGCCTCCCACTGGCTGAAGCTGCCAAGAAGCCAGCTGGCATAGGAGCCCTGGTGCATAGGGGTTGGCCTCCTGGGATACAGATCGGGCAGAAAACAGGTCTCAGAAGCAAACAGAGAAAAAACTAGGACTTGGGTACTCAAAAATACTGTCTGACAGAGCAAATAAGGCTCCCCTAAGTTACTATTATTTAAGTTACTTCTAAGACATGCTGTTGAAGTATCAGCATACAGGTAAAGGAATGGCTGAAACATATTCCAAACCTGTAAGTATACTGTAAATTATTTAAAGATAAGGACTAGGCCAGGCACGGTGGCTCATGCCTGTTATCCCAGCACTTTGGAAAGCCGAGGTGGGAGGAAAGCTTGAGCCCAAGAGTTTGAGACCAGCCTGGGCAACACAGTGAGACCTCCCTCTATTTAAAAAAAAAAAAAAAAAAATTAGCCCAGATGGCATGTGCCTATAGTCCCAGCTACTTGCGGGGCTGAGGTGGGAGGATCACTTGAGCCCAGGAGGTCAAGGCTGCAATGAGACAAGACTGTGTCACTGCACTCCAGCCTGGGTGACAGAGCAAGACCCTGTGTCAAAAAAAAGATAAGACAGGGACTGTGTCTTAGGTTTTATCTTGTATCATCCATAGCACCTGCCATAAGACAGGGAAAGCTGTTTCGAAAGGAAAAGTGACTGTCTCCTCACAGCAGACATCATCTTTTTCCTGCCTCTGAATGTACACTTTTTAAATTATATGTTTATGGGATACAACATGCTGTTTTGACATTTGTATACATAGTGGAACGATTAAATCAAGCTAATTAACATATTCATTACCTTACATATTCATGACTTTTTTTTGTGGTGAGAACACTTAAAATCTACTCTCTTAACAATTTTCAAGTATACATTATTATTAACTACCATCATCATGCTGGACAATAGATCTCCAAAACTTATGCCACCTGTCTAATTGAAACTTTGTACCCTTTGCCCAACAACTCCCCATTCCTCCCCACCCCACTCCCCAGCTCCCTCTGCTCCTATGAGTTCAACTTTTTTAGCTTTCATATATAAGTGAGATCACGTAGCATTAGTCATTCTGTGCTTATTTCACTTAGCATAGCATCCTCCAGGTTCATCCGTGTTGTTGCAAATAACA
This sequence comes from Homo sapiens, assembly GCF_000001405.40. Classification (NCBI taxonomy): domain Eukaryota; kingdom Metazoa; phylum Chordata; class Mammalia; order Primates; family Hominidae; genus Homo; species Homo sapiens. Next base: position 96,254,576 of record NC_000008.11, read on the forward strand.
GGATCTCCTTTTTCAAGGCTGACTAGTACTCCAGTGTATAAATATACCACATTTTCTTTAGCCATTCATCCACTGATGGACACTTAGGCTGATTCACAGAACACTTTATTTGCCTCTCATGTGGGACTTATCACTTTGCTCTTCATCCTTGCATTCCAGTTATTCTTATATATTTAGATGTTTCTGAGGACTTGAAGCTTCTTGAGAACAAAGGCCATTCTAAACATATGGGTAACATATGGGTAACTGGGCACAGACAGATGAGTATACAATTATAATAGAGTGTCATTAATGCTAGGATCCAAGTAAGCAGGGAGTGAAATGAGAGCCTGAAGAGGGTCACTCTGTCTGCAGGGTCAAGAAGACACTTTAGAAGTTACTTGGACTTCAGTGATGTTCTCCAGTTGTTGGAGTTGGCTAAACAAAGGAGGGAAGTGGCAAGCCATGAAGCTGAACAGGTAAGCAGAAGCCAAATCAGGAAAAGCTTTGATGCCATGGGAAGGTTTTGAAGGATTTTAAATAGGTCACTGACTTAGATCTGCATTTCAGAAAGAGCACTAACACTGGAAAGATATCAGAGCCAATACTGCTGAGGAGAAGACTATCAAGATAGGAGGCTCCTGCAGCCACTCAGTGACAAATGAGGACCTAAACAAGGTAGTGACTGTAGGATGAGAGAAGTGGATGGATTTGAAAGAAATAGAGAGGGTAGAATCCATAGGATAAGCTATTAAATTAGATGTAAAGAGGAAGGGGACAAAAGCAATAAGAATCAAGGATAGGCCGAGTGCGGTGGCTCATGCCTATAATCTCAGTACTTTGGGAGGCCGAGGTGGACAGATCCCTTGAGGCCAAGAGTTCAAGATCAGCCTGGCCAACAGGGTGAAACCTCGTCTCTACTAAAAATACAAAAAATAGCCAGGCATGGTGGCACGTGCTTGTAATCTCAGCTACCAGGGAGGCTGAGGCAGGAGAATCACTTGAACCTGGGAGGCAGGTTGCAGTGAGCTGAGATGGTACCACTGTACTCCAGCCTGGGAGACAGAGTGAGACCCAGTCTGAAGAAAAAAAAAAAAAAAAAAATCAAGGATGACCCCCAAAGTTTCTAACAGAGCACAGATTTTTCTCTTTTTCCTCTCCTGTTAAAAATCACCTCCCAAAAATATGGGGAATGACAAACAAAAAATGAGATCCTTCTTTGAGGAAACGAGATTATATCCCCACATATCTGAAAACATCTGAAAACAGATGAAAGCATGGCAACAGCCTTATCGGAGAGGAGAAAGACGACACTGAAATGCCTGCAAATGAGAATCTGGCAAGTGGTAAGTGATCAGTACCACAAAAAACTCAAAAGTCTCCAAAATTGGAGTCCCTAGAAATCTGAGAGATTAGAGGTGAGGTACAGACTAAAAACTGGGGTATTGGGTATGGAGAGACCCGACCTCCCCCAAATCCAGTTCCTCTCAATGCACTAGGAGAAAGGAGATTCATTATCTGGGAAAATCAAGTATGAGAAGTACCAAACCCAGAGAAATGAGGAAAGCAAAAGTTTGTAATAAAATGCCAGACTAAAAATAAGATGACTAAATGAAAGTTTGGACGGAGATCCCCTGGCTCCCTTAAGCTATCCAGATCCAAGTGCAACCTAATGGTCAACAAGTGAAGGCAGCTATAGAGTAGGCCTAGAAACCATTCAAATCAGGAGGACAGTGGCTTCAGGAAGGAGGTCGGGGTAGTGTGACAAGCAGGGAACAATCCACTCTGGAGAAATGAAATACATCATCTGATAGGGTTACCTGGGAAAAACTGTCCTGAGAGGCTACTGGAAGGTATGGAAAAGTTTAACCCCAGAAACAAACAAACAAACAAAACAATTCATCAAATGAAGAACAAGGCAACTATTACTGCCGGAAAAATGAAAAGTTGTACAGGAAGGTAAATAATGATAGCATACTTCTTGTTAGGGCAGATAGCAATATTTATAGTCATAATTTAACTACTGACTAATGATTTATCTAAAATTGTAATTTATATTAGGAGAATTGAAAAGAATACAGGAAAAGTACATGTGTACATACAAGAGATCAAATGATGTCTAAAACTGATGAACCAAACAACAGCACTACAAACAACTATTTTAAAATGAGGAGGTTGAACACAAACAGAAAGAATGATACAAGTTAAGTAGATGCATCTGGGGAATAGGATGCAAGATCACCAAGGATGAGGCAGGGAATACGGTTTCTCACTAGAAGCCTTTATGCTATTAGACTTTTGCTTATGTTTGTATACTACTTAGTATAGATTAAATTGTTAATTTAAAAAAGTAAAAAAAGTAATGAAGAGTACATGCAAAAAGTACTTGTAGTTTAGTCAAACTTACCTAGAAGAACCAACTTCTGCAGAGTCTCAGAATGATCCACATAGTCTCGAAGTGTGAATGAAGCTGGTGGCAATGGAGGGTCTGCAATAATCTGAATAGCCTCTTCCTCTGAAATTGGCTGCATTGGAGACAATGGAGGCAATTCATCCAGTTCTTTGAAAGAGAGAAACAAATTAGTGCTCTAATATGCACACTTAAAACTATTTCTGCAAAGACCAGCTCTTCCCTTGTTTGCTTCTTTCAGTGGTTAAATCTTGGGATCATTTTAGAATTAAACATCCAAGTCCCTAATTTTTCACCTTTTAAGAGGTAAGGTTACAACTATTTAGACAGACTAACTACTGTTCCTCTGAGATTAGAAATTTGTTGGTAAATTTCAAAGCACACAATGCCTTTCCTTCACTTAATCAGTAGGTGAGAATGCTAAAAATCACCTAACTTTCAAGTGAATTTTGAAACAGAGATTGAGTTTACCATAGCCTGTTAACTTGGCTAAAAGTACACATATGCCAACAGTCTGAATTGCATGGATTAAAGTAATCATATCCCGAAAGTCTTTGTTTTGACCCAATGCCCTCCCTTCCAAGTTACCCTCAAATACATCTTTAAAAGGGCTTCTATGATTGTTTCTACAACCTGCAGTCCTCTCTACAGGAGATGTGACTCTCTAGTACAGCCCTGATTCTGAAGTTGTTTTTGTTTTTTTAAAATCAAACGCAGCATGGAAGACACTTAGAACTACACATTACCTTAAGCTAAGGAATCAGGTCTGTGATCTTTTGTTCTGTTTTGTGCTTCTCATCATTAACTATCCTTTCTCATCATTTATAGCCAGCATCTCCTCCCTGCCCTCTCCCCAGCTCTCTTTCCTTCATATTCTACTTAACCTTATATCATTTCATTACCAGCGAAATATTCCTAGAATAGGACCCATAGGAAGGAGAGGATTGACTAAAAAGCGACCATGAGGGAACTCTGTGGAGTTAATATAATTGTTTTATTTGTTGATTGCAGTAGTTCTTACACACTAAATGCATATGTCAAAATTCATAGAACTATATATCCCACAAGATGAATTTTACTTGATATAATTATACCCTAATAAAACTAATTACCACTAGAAGAATTTTGTTTTAAGAATCTAAACAATAAAATATTTAAAAAGCAAATGTTTTATATGTGTAGCTATAAAATAATCTTACACGTTAGCCCACAAACTTTTTTTCTTACCAGTAAAATAAAGGCATGATAGAAGTTCATCAATAGAACTGGTATTATTCTTTTTCTTTCTTGGCACAAAATATTACCTGAAATGGGCTAGCAGAAGGTAAACAGGTAGCTTGTTCAAATGGCCAAAGTAGGGAAAGGGAGACTTTTCTGAAAGTTCAGAATTACCTTCTAGAAACAGCTCAGAATCAAAGCTGGATATATTTTGTGTCTTCTGTGACTGTTCATTCATGGAAGGAAGCAGACTGCTTTGGGCAGAATTATTCTCCTGACTACTTGAGCTAGTAGACTGGGAACTATTCCATAAGGAGGAAGTCCTGTAAGTCTTAAATCCCCACTGGAGAAAGCAATTGTCAGAGGATATCTGAGGCTGAGCAGAAAAGCCATGTAACAGTGTTCTTGCTGGTCTAGTAAAACGTTTTGTGAGTTGTGCAGCATTAATGAGGCTCCTCAACTTAACTGAGTTAAACCATCTGGGTATCTGTTGGGCTGACAAAGCCATTTTTCTTAGTCTACAAAGGAAAGATATAACCGTCAAAAGAAGAGAAATTTAATTTACTTAAATGTTTAAAACGGTATTCAAACAACAAAAAGATAAACTGGAAATTATTTTTTTCTAATTGAAAGGTGTTTAAATATATATTTAGTCTAAAATAGTGAGATGTTTCTTATGTACAGGAAAAGCCAACAACAAGGCAATCTCAGTTACAAACCAACAGACAGGAACTTCTGAGTGGAAAAATAAAGATATACTTTACAATTTAAAAACAAAATGCAATGACACTGGTGTAAGAAAAATGCTTAAAACAAAAATCTGCAAATGTTCAAGTGACAGCAGACCTCACTAATCTGTTAATTTAATCATTTAAAGAGAATAAGCTGATGCAAATAAGTGTTCTTGAAATTTGGTGTGAAGGGTGTTTCCGCAGCACATTGCTGATCAAAGTAACACTGAATTATTCAAATGCATTTTATGTATATAAATTTGTCCCAAAATGAAAAAACAGAAATCTACTGTGTCCTAAACAAATCATCAAAATATTATCATTGATATACAGAACAGTGAAAGCAGTTTCTTGCTTCATTCTCAGGGCTGAACACTGTTGATTACTTCACAGATAAAGCTGTTCTTCCAAAGGGAATTGAACAAAACCAGTTTTGTCAAGTTTTGTTTCACTGTAGGAAAGGAGAAAAAAGCCTTCAAAAAGAAAAGGTCAAAACTAGTAACAAAACCAAGTGACAGAAATAAATAAGCAACCAGCAATTAATACCTGTATATTTTGACTGAAAAAGTAGTTTTCAAAAATATTTTTATCAGGAAAGGCTAGTGCTATGTTAAACTCCAGGAATATGAAGGGATTTTATATTTAGCCAGCTAATTAGAAAGGTAAATTTGATGCATATAATCTTACGTTAAATAACATTATCCATATAAAACACAGGATGGAGTCAGGATATAAGAAATGCTCAATAAATGTTAGCCATTATTATTGGTTACACAACCAAATACAAAAATTCTGCTGAATTAATTGCTGCCTACAACTTTATACTTTGTTTTTCTGCATACTGGAATTCAGCTTGTTTTATGCTCTAAATTAGACCAAATACTTGAGGGTCTAATCTTTTCTTGGAGATCTGTAGTTTTGGGAAGTTTGCTGAAAGAGATTTTACAAAAGTGAAAGTTTCCTTTCATTCTGCAATTATTTATTATTATTATTATTATTATTTTTTTTGAGACGGAGTTTCGCCCTTGTTGCCCAGGCTGGAGTACAACGGCACCATCTTGGCTCACTGCAACCTCTGCCTCCCAGGTTCAAGTGATTCTCCTGCCTCAGCCTCCCGAGTAGCTGGGATTACCCACGCCCGCTACTATGCCCGGCTAATTTTTTGTGTTTTTAGTAGAGACGGGGTTTCACCATCTTGGCCAGGCTGGCCTCGAACTCCTTACCTCAGGTGATCCACCCAGCTTCCCAAAGTGCTGGGATTACAGGCGTGAGCCACTGCGCTCGGCCCATTCTGCGATGATTTTAGAAAAGAAGTAAGTATTCACAATACCCTGCTGGGATAGGTGGTTTCTGTTAGATTTTGGTGGGAAATGGGACTCCAAATGTGCCAAGTTTTCCCTCAAACCTACAACATTCATTCTCTGCACGGTAGTCATAAGGGCACTAAATTGAAAGTCAGAAGACCTCGGTTGTGCTACCTTGACAAGGCTGTTTCTGGCAGCAGTCTAACAAAAGCAGCAGTCTAGCCCATGATGTGGGGGGTGGGGGTGGGGTCAATAACTATTCTTCAAATAATGCTTTTTTAAAAGGCTAGGGGTACAATAAGATGATTCTTAAGGCCCCTATCAGCTCTAACATTTTTTGACGTCTAAGCACTTCATCCTACTTCAAACTCCTGAAATCCCAAATTCATCCTGAAGCCTTTCCACACTCAATACCACTTAAACATCAGGAAGACTCACTTTCAAATTTCACCCCGTCATTAAAAGATCTTTGTGCATACAACTAATGTTTATCCTTGCATTTTTATTTACAAGTGCACTATCTTCTCCACATCCTTTCATTGCTGCCTACACATCTTAACAATTGATTAACTGTTCATGCACGAGAGCAGAGCTGGGTCTCATCCCTGGATCCATCCTTCCGGGGACTATTCTCCACTTTCCCAGAGCCTTGTACTGCTCTAATGTTTGCGGAATGGAAATAAATCAATGGCAAGTACAGTTAACTCACTTGCTTACACAGTATGCAAAAGCGGGTAGGGGATGTGCAGATGTGTATAAAAGCCCTGTAAGGTGGTAACCTGAAGTCTTCTAACAAGGTCCTTTCATCAGGAAAATTACAGAAAACCCTTAAAGAAACTGAAGTCTCTTAACAATTCATATATACTGTTCTCAATGAGTGCCTAGTGCTTCGCTAGAAAAAGGCACTGAAATAGAGTTCAAGATTTCTACCTACGAAATGCTATAAATGAAATCAGGAGAGAAAGGGAGGTTATGGGGGCAGCTTCCTAATAAAGGGTCTCTCAATACTTCCCAGGCCATTTTAGCCCACTTCAGTTCCCCAAACTTGCGCAGGAAGGCAGAGCCCCCTCCTGAGGCTTCTCACACTGCGCTAATTAGCCAGCATGGTTGAGTTTTCACTACATCAGCCAGGGAAAAACACAAAACAAAACCAATCACCCTCTACTGGGCCGCGAAAACCTAAAGGCCCTTGAGGCCCTGGGGCGCGGTCTGGACGCGGGTGCGCCGGAACCTGAACCCTCGCCAGGAGCGCGATCCTCGTGCTGGGGCAGCTCCTGCTTTACCTGTGGCGAGGCCTGCTTCCCGTAGCGGGTGACCCCGGGACCGACCAACTCGCTGGGCCGCACGTCCCGTCCCGCCGCGCCGCACGCCGGCTCCTCAGCCCGCCCTACACAGCGCAGCCGCGCTCCCGGGCCCACGTGGGCCGCGCCCGGAGTGGGCGAGACCATGTGCCGGGTTACGCGGGGAGACAGCGGGCTACGTGCTCTGAAAAGAGCCAGCCAGGGGCCCCGGCTACCCTTCTCCGGCTCGCTATTCCTCTGAAGTCCTGTGGACTTGGAGTCTGAAAATTCCTCGAGTGGTAGAGATGCCTCAGCTAGGATGACAGCGTGGGGACGGCCGGCGGCGTCCCCTGCCCCAGGCCGCGGTGGCGGCGCCGCGACCCCGCCCTCTCGCGCCTGTCCTTCCCTCTGCTCCCAGCCTTTGCTGGGCGCCAGACCCGGCTTTGCCGTCCGGCTATTAGCCTACTGTGGCTAGTCACCCCCGGGGTCCCGGCCTTCTCGGGCTGGGGCCGCCGCCACCGCGGCAGGACGGGGAGGCGGGCCATGGCGTCCTGCGTGGGGAGCCGGACCCTAAGCAAGGATGATGTGAACTACAAAATGCATTTCCGGATGATCAACGAGCAGCAAGTGGAGGACATCACCATTGACTTCTTCTACCGGCCGCATACCATCACCCTGCTCAGCTTCACCATCGTCAGCCTCATGTACTTCGCCTTTACCAGGTGGGGCGGCCCAGCCGAGCGGGGGGCGCGTCCAAGGGCTAGGGAAGAGGCGGGAGGGAGGGTGGCGGGGAGGGGGGCCCGGCATGGCTCTGGGTGAGGAAGTGGGCTGGCTGCTCCACGCACACGCACTGGCAGCCCGCCGCCCACGCGGCCCCTCCGCCCGCCCGGTGTCTCACAGTACGCTAGCCTGCTCCCCTACCCCTCAGTGCCCCTTCTCCATACAGCGCCTCCGGTTACACGGGGAACGCACGCGAGTCACCTAGCACGATCGCCCCCTCACCCACCGCACTCAGCATCGCTCCACACAACATCACGACGCGGGCCCCTCCTCTGCACTGCTCCAGCCTTCGTCCCTACCCAGCACACCGCATGAATCATGTCGTATGCACCACTTTCAGCACACACCGCTACACATACAAAGCACCCCAATCCACAGCGCCTGCAGGCACCATACACAGGCCCAGGACACAACCTAGATCCCTTCCTGTGGAACTCCGGTATTCGGCACTATCCGTAACGCACAAAAAATGCACATGTGTGCTGCATACACGGTCTTTCCTGTGCAGCACTTCCCGTATGCATTGCACACAAGTCATCCAGCATAACACTTCCCCCAGCCTCAAACACTACCATCTGTACCACGGCACAAACTGCCACTCTAAACACACACCTCACAGCGGACCTTTCCTTTCCAGCACAGCCCAATACCCATCATCTGTGTACATGGCTGCACAGACACCAGCCCGCCACACATCACGCGGTGCATACCCTGCTCACTCATTACCTAACATACGTGCTGAAATGTGATCTTGTCCAGCAATTTTAATGGTGCCTGGGGTATAGTAACTGCTGTGTGTTAAATGAAACACATAAACCTCACACAGCATAACACAACTCTCTTATTCCCTGGAAAACATACACACACATTCTAATATATACCGGTTCATAGGAGCTGCCCAGCCCAAATCTTGAACACACCTCATGTTAACTCTGGCACTGCGCCTGTGGCTCCTCATTCCTAACCTAGAGAACTAATTCATCCTTGGTTCATAAGGAGGTACACACCGTGGTTCCTACTTAGAATGATTTATACTTTCTGAATGAACCTCTTTAAAGAAAGGGAAGTCACACCTCTCTCACCATTATGGCTTAAAAGGCCAACTTAGAGTAGAGTAGTTTTTGAGCCACACTTTTGGTTTCAAAACTGGCTGTGTGTCCTTAATTAAGTTGCATAACCTTGCTCTGAGCCTCAGGGGCCACACTCGTAAAATGGGGATGAAATATCTACTTATATAGGGTTATGAAAATTAAATGAATGTGTGTGAATGCATTTAGCAGAGTCCCTGGAGCACAATGTACAATTCATGTCAGTTACTTCTCTCCCAGTATTTTTATCCAACAATCAAGGTTCTCTGTCAGGGTCAGCAGAACATGTGTAGGGATATATATATTGGGTAGTCACAAGGATTGAGAGAACTTCTAGTATTTGGGAGGGGGAGCAGTTAACGGATACTAAATGTATTGTGACATATGTGACAGCGCTGTACAACATAAAGGGAATTGTCTTCTACACAGTCGTTTGCATACACACACACAAGTGCCGGTGGTGCCTCCCTTAGGAATAACTGCAGTTTTTCAAATCCTCATAAAACTAATATCCTCCCACATCACACTTGTTCCTTACCTCTGGGATTCATTTGACTCTTGGTTCTTGTTATGTAAGTGTTTATCCATTTGAAAGAATCTACCTAAAGGTATAAAGCTTAAGTAACAATTGCTTACTCTTTAATGATTGAGGGATCTTGCCACTATTACTATAAAATCTGCTAAAGCTGTGCAGCAGGTGAAGACCAGACCTTTCCACAGTACCTGACCAGACATATTTCTAGCTTTGGAGAGAAATGAATCATGTCCCTAACTATGGTTACTTTCAAATACTTCATTATGTTGCCTGATTTTATCACTTAATAGCTGTGTGGCCACATAATTTTGCTAGGCCTCAGTTTCCTTATCTGTATGTAAAATGAAAATATCAATACATTAATCTGTCGGGATTATTTGTCATGAGGATTAAATTCATCTTTTTAGATAATCTGTTTAGCTCAGTGCATGGCAAGTATTAAGTGCTTAATAAACATTAGTGGTTATTACGATGTGATTTCATTGAATGCTACTGTCTTCTAATTTATATTTATTATTGAACGAGGATGTAGTATGCTCTGTAATTGAGAAGGATAAAAGCACTGGAAAAATGGACATTAGATAACATACATACCTGTTTGATGTTAACTTCAGTTTAACTTCATCTTAGGTGTGGGCTTGAAATAATGAAATTAGTGAGGGAGTTTCTCTGGAAATTAGAAAAATAATTATGGTATTTTGTTTTAAATAATGAGAAGCAAGAATGAGCCATTTGTTTCAGCCTTTCATTTTTAATATTATTCTAGGTCCTTTCAAAATAGGTTTCTCTTCCTCTTTTCTGATATAAAAAGTCACAATCTTCTGAAATTTCCTTTTACATCATATTCTGTCAAGGCAGTCAATAAATTGCAGCAGTGAAAGTATAAGAAATGAATACGAATTTTAACAGCTTGTCCAAAATAATAGAAGAACCATAATCTGAACTTCAGACTGTAGTCTCATCCAAAAATGTTAACAATTTTATTTCTTCCACTAATTTCATAAAGAGACAGAAATCACATAATGAAGAACTAATTAATAACAAGTTTCACTTTATATAAAATCATAAGCACCATTAATAGAATTCGTACTTACTAAATCTTACTCATTTTTTGTAATGATTTGTGACTTAAGTGGGGCATTACAATGATAGCTCTATATTCCTCCATAAAGACGGAAAGTAACGACTTCTTAAATGAAAATGTATCCTATGTTCTTTTGTAATGATTAACTCCAGTGCCTTATTATTTATTTTATAAGATTTTAGTTGGACAATTGTTCAGTGCAATTCTTTCAGTAAAACTTAAAAGATATGTCTTAAAGTTTGTTTTGCAAAGACTAGTTGTCTAAGAGAACGAGGAGATAGGATTCTTTTGGGATGTCATATAACCAGTATGTGAGAAACAGTACTTGGGTACTGTCACATGCTTCAGAGATCCAGCAAGAATTTAAAATTACAGAGGATTAGATACCTTGCACTGAAGTCTGAGACAAGTTTGGATTTGTCAAGTAGTTCTTTTGTTAGATGGCCCTTAGGTCAATTCCCTGTTAAACCATAGTATTTAAATATCTCCTGTCTTTATCACCATCATTAAAAATAAAGTTAGATACTACCTAATCATTTTCCTATTTGAAAAAGCTCATTTCCAGCCTGGACAACATGGTGTAACCCTATCTCTACAAACAAACAAAACAAAACAAAACAAAACAAAACAAAACAAAAATTAGCTGGGCGTGGTGGCATGCACCTGGAGGCTGAAGTAAGACGATCACCTGAGCCTAGGAGGCAGAGGTTGCAGTGAGCTGAATCACGCCACCATACTCCAGCCTCCACCCTACTCACTCGACAGAATGAGACCCTGTCTCAAAAGAAAACCAAAAACTTATTTTCCCACATTTTAGAATAAGTAGGCTGGGTGCAATGGCTTACGCCGGTAATCCTAGCACTTTGGGAAGCCAAGGTGGGAGGATTGCTTGAGGCCAAGAGTCCAAGACCAACCTGGCTAACATAGCAAGACCCCATCTCTATTAAAAAATAAATAGTATTTTTATAAATAAATGCTTACGCATATGTCTTAGAAGTTTGTTAGCAAAGTAGGGCAAGGAAAACTTTTGTCTCAAGCTCAGAGTATAATAATTACCTATAAGATACCCTCATATTTACTCTGCATTCAGGGGTTGGTAAACTTGGAAATATTGAATGCCTTTAGTTTAAAAAACTCAAGCTTTAGATTTAGAAAACACCAGAATCTATTAATTCACATTCAAAGAAGCCCACCTCTCCTTAAGAGGCACCTGCCATTAAACAGTAGAATCAGCCTTTGTTAGCACTTGTCCAACAAAAATTGTTACTTACCTAGAAGACGTTGCCTTTCTGCGGATTTGTGTACTTAAGTGATCATCAATTTGTCTATGCTTCATTTCTCCTCGATTTAGAACTAAGGAGACAGGCAAGGACAGGGAAATGGACAGACTGATTGATTGACTGATTGATTTGTTAATAATGGTTTTTACTTAATTTCCCTTATTGGCTTTGGAACTCCAGTTCACCGTCATATCATTGGGGCATACTTGTGGCCACCTGTATTATATTGCTTATGGATACTTGCTAGCATTCCCTGTTCTTTCCCTCTTGACCACATAAATTCCCATTAGAAAATGTCCCCTGATACTGCTGATTCAGTTGTCTTTATCCTGTTTCCTTTATATACATCATGTTCCTTCTCTCCCAGCAACAAAAGCCCTGCATGCCCTTGTTGGCTGACACTAGCAATGTTAAATGCTCATCTATAGTGATTATGGGCTAGGATTAAACCAGCCCTGGAGGTGAACATTGTGTTAGGTTGCACCTGAGGTCCAGTTATCAATGATTGTTAACATTTCTTTTCCCTGGTTACCATTTGAATCAAATTTTTTATTGAACTTAATGTTTTACATTTTTTCTTATACTGATTTCCAGAGTTTTATGTCCATAATACGATTTCTAATTTGTTAAAGGGGGAAATGTGCCATATATTTCTCTGGGGTCTACTGCAGTGAATGGGCACTTGGGTGACTTAAATATTTATTTGGCTTAGATGATGCCTCAGCCCACAGAGATTATATACCTAGGAACTGCTGCCTTTCAGACTCCTCTTTAGTAAGCAACCTTAATTCAAGTTCATCTGTTCTGAATAAACTGTGTTTAGCATTTTAGATGTAGTTCTATTACCAGATGTAACACAATTTATCTTGTGACATAATTCCTATTGCCCCAGATTTCTGTAGAGAAGTTACAGTTTTTCAGTCTTAACTAATCCCAGAACGAGGACTAGTCCGGTCAGCCTGCACTGCTTCCTCAGCCCTGGCATCCCATTTAATTCAATTAATTCAATTCAACAGTTCATAGTCCTCATTGCCTCTAGCCCAGGTTTCTCCCAACCTGGAGTTCACCATCTCATTTATCTTCAGCAGGTCTGATTGGGCCTTTATAGCTTTCGGGACTGTTCTCTTTCCGTTCCCAAGCCTTTGCTCAGCAAACTCCCAACCCTTTGGGATAGCTGACTCTCAGGCCCTGGCTTCCCCTCCCTCCAGTGCTGCCCCTGTGATCTTTTTAGACAAAATCATGGTCCCATCTTTCCCTGTTTAAAATTCTCGTTTATCTAATAAATACTTTAAAACATATCACCTTTCTCCTGCTTTACTTGATAACTTAGCTGTAATTCTTCACAAGGATTGTGACTTTCCATAAAACGAAATTAGTATGGTATGAAAGATAACACCAAAGCTGGTTGACATCGGTATTTCAGTAGATGCCTGTCACCTATAGGAAAGTACTAGCTGGACTCCAGCGTCCTTTGTAATGGAGTAAGTCTACTTTCCCACCTCTATCCCTCCCTCCATACACAGCACACCCAACACCCAACACCCAGCAGGCCCCGGCAGCTCACGTGTCCCATACCTAGGCAGGGCTGCCATCTCTCAGACTGGAAGGCACCTCCCGCCACCTCCTGCCCACACATGACACCACCCTTGGCATCCTTCACAATCCATTTGGATGGTTCCCTTCCAAGATACCTTTCTCAATTGTTCCAAGAAGCACAGAGGAAGAAATGTTTATATCCTTCCAAATACTTGTTATTATTGTATCTAACATGTCATAATATTAGTTTCTGTATCAGCTTCTTGAGGCCAGTTATCTGAGTCATCCCAGGATAGACATCCAGTAAATGCTGAATGAATGGAATGCATGAAATCATTTATTCAATAAGAACTTAAAATTTATCACCATTCTTTTCCTTTAGTTGATGTCTCACCCATAATTCTTAACAAGGATCATAACTTTCTATAAAATAGATGAATGTGGTATTAAAGATAATACCTAAGCTACTTAACATTGGTCTACCATGTAACCTGGGATTAAACTTTTTATTGGGAGAGATGATCCTTAAACAGTGACTCATCTAAACATGAACCTATAGGTCTTTATTTAAGGACTCATATTAAAAGTAATGAGGGAGAAGATGGGAGGGGGAGAGGGACAATTAACCTAGAAGCCTTAGGAATCATAATAAAGGTTAGATATTCCTGGCTGCCTGACCCCAGGGAGAAAGACTTGTCTAAAAGATTGTAGGCAAGTGAATGGACTTTGCTTTGGTTTCCTGAAGTTACCACCCCTCTGGTCAAATTCCTGTACTCAAATATTAAATTGAGACAGAATCGGAGTCAGAGTCCAGAAATTCTTTGGAGTGCAAACTTTTTTTTTTTTTTTTTTTAAACTCAGGGCTTTCCTGATACTTCCTGCTGTTAAGACTTTGTCTCTTTGGGTAGTTCCCTATCCTAGCTGAAACAATGCTCTGCAGAAGAAGCCAAGGTGTTTGAAAACTTGATTGGGATTTTAGATATTTGCTGATGGTCTCAATAGCCCTCTGTAGCCAACACTCTGCAAGGGGAGAGGGAAGTCGCTGCCAGTGGACCCTGTGGGTCAGGCTGAGACTCCCCCCTCACGTTACCTGAGTCACTGGCCTACTCTGTCATATCATCTTGCTCATTCTTGCCACCTACTATGGCAGGTGGATGCCTGCTGTGTGTCAGGGCATTGTGCCAGGCACTAGAGCTACCTTGGGGAAATGAGGTGGGACTTGTGCCCTGGGGAGCTTTCTTATTTTAATCTGTACATTTGGTATTTTCACAATATGTGGTCAGTGCTATGCTGGAGCACCTCCTAAGTTTAGCAGAGAGCGAGGAAGACTTTGCCTCCCTAAGCTTGTCTGTTTGTGTCCTTATTGGAGAATGCATAATAGCAATCTTGACCTACAGCCAGCATTCCAGAAGCCCTCATACCTACTTCCACTCTGCCTCTATTTGTGTGTGACTGTGGGCAAGATAAACCAAGAGCTTAATTTTCCTCATCCTTCAAACAAAGATAATATTGGCTCTGCCTTCCCCCACAGAACTGTGGAACTGTTAAATAAAACACCAGCTGTGAAAGTTCTTTGGAGTGTTCAGGGCACTGCAGACTGGGGCATTTTGTTGTTAGTAGCTGCAGTAGACCCAGGAAAGAAGTCAAGGCGGTGTCACAGCATCACAATGGAAAGCTTTAAGTCTTCATATTTGTTGTTGCTGTGAACAAGCAACATGTCTTAGTTGAGCAAGTACCCTTAGGCCAGGAAGAGTCAAGATGAGGATTGGGCAGCCCAGACCACAAGTCATGATCTTTCCTGAGAAGCAGGAACCACACTGCAGCCTCACAAAGCCGTAGGAGACAATTACAATCCCACCAAGGGGCCAATCACAGGTGAATACCCAGGCTTTTTTGAGGTTTGTCAGAGACAGTTCCTACATATGAAAAACATTTCCTTCAGGGCAAGGCTATACTAAGATAATGTCTCATTGTCCTTTTTTATCTTGATCCACTCAAGAATAAGGGCCATGTCTCTTTATCTCAGACCTCAAAGAGTCCCTACCCAATGATAGGCATTAACTAGAAGAAGGAATGAGTGGACGTAAATGAAGGGCATTCAAACGTTGTGAACTCATGATAGTAACGGACACTTTCTCTGTGCCAGGCACTGTTTTAAGTGCTTTACATGTTTTAAGTTATTTAATCCTCACACAACCCTATGAGGTAGAACTATTACCATCCTCTGTTTACTGAGGAGGAAACTGGGGCACTGAGAGGTTAAGTAATCTGCCCAAGGTCACACAGGCTGGTGGTCTGGCCCCAGCCTGTACCAGTCACTGCACTGTATGGTCTCCTGTAGGGGAAATAGCTTGTACTTTGGGGCCAGACCCTATCAGTAAAATGCAGATTATGATCATTTCCTGCTATAGAGTGTTACAAAGATTCAGAGAGCTAACATGCAAAGCCACTAGAATATAGTGGCTGTCCATGGATACTAGATCTTGTCCCTCATTTGGGGTCCACTCATGTGGACTCTGCAGCCAAGTTCTATTTCATGATTAACTATGGAAACTTCAGCATGTGGTTAAATCTCTGGATTATTCGGGGTTCAGAGAGGAGGGACTCACACCAGACCTTATAGAATGGCCCTGTGTGCTCAGGTTGCCCTGTGGCCAGAGGGGAGTTTGGCATCCTCACCTGTCAGGCATTCTGTTCTTTTTGTGCACCACCACCACAGACTGGTAAGGGGCTGTTCTAAATGAGGTGGGGACACCCTCTCTGCTCTCGAAACTCACAGTAGAGTGTGACATTGGGGCCTTTAGTCTGATAGGACTCACATGGCTTCGTAAACTCACTCTCCTATCCCCTAATCTTTGATTGCAGAAGTTTGATCTTCCCATACTGCATATTTTCAGTTTATCCAAAGACCTCACTGTCTTTCATTAATACATTTTTTCCTAATTAGACAAATATAAAACTGCCAACTTTTCAGAACCACCTGCTATTTTATTCCGTTTAATCAACATTTTCCCACCTCTGAAACTAGGCCATCCATTTGATCCTCTTTTTCTAATAAAATTGCTCAAAATTTACAAAACTGCCATTTCATTGGTTTTACAACCTAATATATTACCCATTTAGTTATAAATTTAGTGCTGATGTACCTTTTCAAGCATTTTGATTGGTAGATAATTTTAAATAGAGACTAATTTACTGATTTGCCATGGCCATTTATTTGTGGTTAATAACCCATTAATTAAAATTTTAGTTAATGTTTTTAAAGAGAATGATGTATTCACGTCGCTTGAAGTCCAAGATACATCAAAGGGTATGTGGTGAATACCTCTCTCCATACTTCTCCCCAGCCCCTCATTTTTCCTCTTTGGAGAAAACCAGTGTCACCATTTTTTTGGGTGGATTTCCAGTGACATCCTGTGCAAGCATAAGCATAAATTATAAGCTACATACCCATACACATTCCCCACCTTGTTTTGCACAAATAGTTGCTTATTATACCTACTATTCTGCAATTTGCTTTATTTACTTAATGATATCTTTTAAATTATTATGAATCAGTTGATTCTTAAAAAGCTTCCTTGTTTTTTTAAATGGCTGCCCAGCTTCCCATCACAAGACTGGACCATAATTTCTTTACTCGGTCTCTTTTTGGTGGACATTTAGATTGCTTCCAACTTTTTAAGAATACATGTAATGCCATGTGAACAATCTGGGATATATGTCATTTTTGCATGAATGAGAGTTTATCTAAAGGATAAATACCCGAAAGTAAAATTGCTGAGTCACAGAGCATATGCATTTGTAGACTTAAAATAATGCCAAATTGCCCTCCATAAAGGTGATTTATTTATACTGCTACCAGCAATGTATGAGCATGCCTATTTTCCTGTTTCTTCATATCCTCCCCAGCTCAGTCATTAAAGTTTTACCTTTATCAATAAGGTAGATTTTAAAAACAGTTTCTATTTTAACTTACCATGAGTGAGGCTGACCATCTTTTCACTTCTGAGAGCCTTAGATTTTTTACTCTGTGAACAAACCCTTCATATCCTTTGCCCGTTTTTCAATAAGGTAGACTTTTAAAACGGTCACTATTTTTAACTTACCATGAGTGAGGTTGACCATCTTTTCACTTCTGAGAGCCTTAGATTTTTTACTCTCTGAACAAACTCTTCATATGCTTTGCCCATTTTTCTATTTAGATTTTTTTACTTTGTGAACAAACTTCATATCTTTTGCCCGTTTTTCTATTTGTTTTTCTGTGTTAATTTGTTCTTCCTGTTAGTTGATTTTGGGGAAAATGCTTTGCATATTAAGGAAATTAGTCTTCTGTCTTGATATGAGTTATAAATTTTTTTCCCCCAAGTTTACCTCTTTTCCTTCGATTTTGTTACTGATTTCTTTGCCATGTGAATTTACCACTTCATGATTGTTGATTGTTTTGTTTTGTTTTGAGGTTCATTTATTTTTTTAATTCTCCAATTTCTTCCAGTATTTTTTAAAATTTTTTGAATCTTTAATTTTAATTTTTTGAATCTTCCAGAATATATTTATTATAAAGTATGAGTTACAGAATGAACCTTCTTTTCCCATGCAACAGTTGTTAATTTCAGCTTTGCTTTTATTTTGTAACCTACATATTGTGTGTCCTGTCAATGTCTTTTATACCAACCCTGTGCCTCTAACATAAGTCAGGCTGATTTAGGATGACAGATCATTTTTTCATGAGATAGCTTGGCTTGGGGGAACAATCATTGTCTTCAGTGTCTAGCAGACCTGGTTTTGAATGCCAGCTTAGCAATGTCTTACCTACACAACCTCAGACAAGTTACTTAATCTTTCTGAACTTTTGCAACCTCATTTTGTAAAATGTGGTTGATAATACTTCCATTTCGCAAACTTGTGATCATTAGGGATAATGTTTATAAACTGCCTGGTCAGTGCCTGGCACACAGTAGATAGATAAATGGGAGCTATTAATGTTGTCATCATCATTCCCGATGTCAATTATGTGATGTCAGTCTGAATGAGGACATTGTGTGCCCTCAGTGTGCAGCCATTCTTAAGTAAAAACTGGTGTTCCTGGAAATTGGATGTTGAGCCTCCCTACCTAAGCCAGAAGGCATCACAGGTACCCTAGTAAAGATCAGGCTGGCATTTTGAGGGCCACATTTATAACCTCTGGGCAGATATTCAGTTGTTAGGTGTCTATTAAAAGTGCACTTCACTGGAAGGTAAAGTGTGTCTGATTATATAGTCTGGTTTTATAATCAGGTCTGTGAAATTAACAGTCAGCATTAGTTTGTTAGTGCCGTTTGGACACATAATGATCTAAGAATTATTGTATGATCTGTATAAATCTCTTATTTCAGAACCTATGTTCAATCCTGTCATACATCTGGCAGTCCCCCAGTTTTTAGAACATGGAAATCTTCCTTCCTCTAGGTTTTCTATTTGGATCTGAAAGTAAATGCTCAATGTTGTTTTTCTATTTTCAGGGATGACTCTGTTCCAGAAGACAACATCTGGAGAGGCATCCTCTCTGTTATTTTCTTCTTTCTTATCATCAGTGTGTTAGCTTTCCCCAATGGTAAGTAATGTCATGCATTACCACATTTCTCCTATATTGTGCCTTTCTGGTTTTTTTGAGATGTGAGTCATCTAGAAGATGAAGTAAAGAAATAATCTGAGTTTTGTGTAGTGGTTAGGGGCACAGGCTCTGGAGGCAGACTGCCCATTCTGCCACTTCCTAGCCCCAGAGAAGCCTCCTAAGAGTGCTGAGAATACTTCAGTTTCCTTCTATAAAATGGAGAGAGCAGACAGGTACGGTTGTGAGGGTTAACTAAATGGGTGCACGTTAAACACTATGAACATGACTGACAAATTATAAGCTCTCAATAAATGTGGTTGTTTTTGTTGCTGTTTTTGTTATTATCAGTTGAGTCATAAAATACTCCATTACTGCTGAGTTCTTCCTTTTTGCTAAGGACAGGGTCAATGCTGTAATGAGTATTACTTAAATAAGTTGTCCCAAGTGATCTTTTATCACCATAAACTTTGCTGATTATGCATTTAGGATATGAATTTTCATCAGCAGGAAAAAAAGACAATGATTTCTGTGAATTTTACCCCCATCATGATTATGGAGTGAGTGAGGCAAAGCTTTTGTTTAAAAAGTAAGTTTGGTGTTCTGCCATGCTCATAATTCATCCCTTTCCTCCAAATTCTTCCTTAAAAGTTGTTTTCTTTTCTCTTATTCCCTTTCAGTACCTTTCCACTAGAATATTCTCTACTTGTTCGCCGTAGCCGTAGCCACTTCTAAACGCTCACTCTTGTCTTCTATTTTTTTTTTTTTTAACACCTATGACATTTGGAAATTGTTCCAGTCTTTCTTAGGGGTTATTCTCCATGGGCCGGACGTACTCGGGTTTTAAATATCATGCTTTAAGATGCATTTCTTTTGTAACCGCTCATGCTATTCAGTAGGCTATCATGTGTAATATAAGAAGCTCATTATGAATGTTATCAGATGCTACCTGGAAATGTTCCATGTCAAGGCCTTCAGGCTTCCTAAGATGGTGGCAGTGGAATTTTGTCCTATTTTTTGAGATACGAGTCATCTAGAAGATAGAGTAGAAAAAACAGCCGGGTGCGGCGGCTCATGCCTGTAATCCCAGCACTTTGGGAAGCCGAGGTGGGCGGATCAGCTGAGGTCAGGAGTTCGAGACCAGCGTGACCAACATGGAGAAACCCCGTCTCTACTAAAAATACAAAATTAGCCAGGCGTGGTGGTGCGTGCCTGTAATCCCAGCTACTCGCGAAGCTGAGGCAGGAGAATCGTTTGAACCCGGGAGGCGGAGGTTGCGGTGAGCCAAGATCACGCCATTGTACTCCAGCCTGGGAACAAGAGTGAAACTCCATCTCAAAATAATAATAATAATAATAATCCAAGTTTTCCATCGTAGTTAGGAGCGTCACTCTGGAGGCAGACTCATACGTAGCACTGCGTTTACAAGAACGTAGTGGTTTTAGTATGTAGCAGACTAGCATAATAATCATGCTGATAAAACCATGACTCTGAATCTCTCAGAGAATGAATTGTTCTACATAGCCAAGTTATTTGGGAGCTGAGTTTAGCTCTCCAACCACTCAAGCTTTTAGGTGAAAAAGAATTTTTTAATGAAAATCTGCATACCTTATGCAGATATGTCAAATGTAGTTTGGCTTTTCCATAGGGATTGATGGTTCTGGTAGTGCACAATTATCACGGTATGAAGACAAGTTGTGCATAATATGGGTAAGTCATGGAATAAAGGGGTGTTGACCCTGCTATTGAATTTTTAATTAAAAAAAAAAATTTTAGAGATGGAGTCTTGCTGTGTTACCCAGGCTGGAGTGCAATAGCTATTCACAAGTGTGGTTATAGGGCACTACATCCTCAAACTCCTGGGCTCAGGCAATCCTTCCGCCTCAGCCTCCTGAGCAGCTGGGACTGCAGGGATACATCACCACACCCAGCTAATTTTTTATATTTTTTGTAGATAGAGATGGGGTCTCACTATGTTGCCCAGACTGGTCTTAAACTCTTGGCATCAGGCAATCCTCCATCCTCAGCTGCCTGAGCAGCTGGGATTCCTGCTATCAAATTTACTGAAAAAAATCCCTGACGTCAAACAGCTTTTTGGCTATTTGCCAACTTTCCCTTCCCTCTCATTGAATTTTACGTTAGAGGAGTGCTTGGGTCTTATGTAGACCCTCCTCTCCTTCAAGAGTGCCGTATTGTATATGATATGGCATAAGTGGCCAGCCAAGGGTGGGTTCCCTGAGCTCTTTCTGTACAAAGGTGGCCTAAGAATACATCTCAAAGCAAGGAAATGGCAAACTCTATCTCAGGTTACATACCAACGCAAGGCTGACCACCACCAAAGCAGACATTTGGAGCCTCTAAAACATGACTAGGTGACTATTCAGATGGTAGTGACAGTTTATTCCCCATTCCCCTCAGCCATTCTACCTTCTGTATCCCGTGATCTGCTGCCTTCTTCTTTGTCATCACTCAATGCCATGACCATTATTGGTCTGTGCCCTCTATTCCTACTTTTCTCTTATTTCTCTTATGTCCTCTGTCCTTTTTGTTCCCTTATCAGTCAATCAGAGCATGATACGTGCATATGTCCTCAGGAAACTGATCAGTGCACAGGTATCAGGTCTGTTCTTTAAGTCTTCAGCTTTCCTTGACCTGTGTTATTTGTTGCTTAGTTCTCAAGGGTTACTTTTTCGTGGCTTTGAAAGTTTCTTTTTGGCTCCTTATGAAAAATTTGCTGTTTCTGAGCCCAGAGCTGTTTTAGAAGTGTGAGGATTCTAAAAGATTAGTCTCTCAATAGTTGTGATTTGTACAGGCGTCCCTTCTCTAAGTCTTTAGCGGGAGCTGAGTATTGGGGCTTCATTAGCTGATGTTTTTCTTGAGGTACCAAAGGCACTGAAGGTTAGGGGATTAAATCTATTTGATGTAACACTTTGTGTGATTTCTTCTGGCTTTGCCTCTGTTCCCCAATGAAGTCCTCTAATCTTCAAAGTTGACTTCAGCTGCTCAATCTCTCATTGTGGGACTGTGCTTTTGTTTTGATTCTGGAAAGATAAAACTGAAGCTCGGTTTCCTTATCCTGGCTGCATGGACTTTGTGATACGCACAAAGGGAGGAGGAGCCACAGAGCTCATCTAGTTCAGCCAGCTCAGTTTACCAGTGAGAAGGCTGAAACGTGCCACCATGTCCCCCAGCCTTTGATGTCAGCCTGTTCGCAGGGCCACAGCTGTGCATTTCCCTTCCGCGGTGCTGCTCTGGTCATATCTCATATTAGGTCCATTGCAAGGTGCTTTATCTCTGGCTTTCTCCATAATATGTTTTCTGTCTCCTGCTGTTTCTCTTTTTTTCTGTCAGTCTCTGGCTTGTCTTTTCCCCCATGGTGGGATCTTAGTTGGCCTGGACCTAGCGTGCTTTGCATCCCACAAAGGAGGTGGGTGGTGACTGAGTTGATGCTCCTCTGTTGCTCATGTGTTGTCTGTGACTGGCAGGAACTGACACATTGATCTGAGCCTTCCTACTGTCTCCTGTTTCCACTCTATTTCTGCCCTACCATCCTTTCTTCTCCTCCCGGGCACATACACGCGCGCACGCGCGCGCACACACACACACACACACACACACACACACACCACCATTCACCAAAAGGCAGACCATGCCAAAAATAAGGTTTCAGATAGGTATAGAAGGTATAAACAAGGAGGATGGCAGTTCAGTGTCCTGTGCAGGAGGGATTGGGACATTAGTCAGCAAAGGGAGGACTTGGATTCTCTTCAAGCCATGTATATATAGCAAACATACTGTGTTTACGTCGTTTGTTTTCTAAAGATCTGTTTATTCATACCTTACCTAAGAGTAGTAAAACTAACTTTTCCACATGAAAGAATGTTATTGAATATTTTCAAATTAGGGATGGCTTTGGAAGGTGCTAGTGGAGATGGTGGGGAGTTGGGAGGGCCCTGGGCAGGGTGCCCCTGAGGTGCGTGGCCTCCCCTATTAGAGCCCTCTCTCAGGCCACAGGCCTCCCCAGGAGCCCATGCTGAACGGCTGTCTCTGTGAGTGGAGTGTACATGCCCCTTCACACTCAGTCTTGTCCTCTTATTTTCCATTCTCCCCACCCTTGGCACATATTCTCAAGTCAAGTAGTGAAAATGAATAGGAAAAATGGAGCCCAAACTTGCCCTCTCCTTCACAGACAGTTTTGGGGAAGTGCCTGCAGTGGATAGCATGTCCGGAAAAATTTTCTGGCAACTTGAAATGCATTTATCCTTGACCTGTTAAATGCTGCCCTGCACGGCTGTGTATAGGCCAAAAGTGGATTGTGTCCATTTGTCTCATCACGTATGTGTGAGTTCATGTATGTTATCTATGTAGTAGACTTGGTCAACTTCTACAGGAAGGGAGCCTTGTGATTCTTTTTGTAGAGTCTAAATAACAAAAAAGACCTTTGACTTTCTCCATAGGATTTTATAATAGTCAGGATGCTTTTGACTGCAAGTGATAGAAAACGCATTTCAAAATGGCTTAAACACTAAGGAAATTCGTTATTTTCTTACGTAACAAGACGTTCTGAGATAGGGTGGTTGGCAGACTGGCTTATTCAGCGGCTCAGTGACCTGTGAAGACCCAGCTTCTTTACCCCTTTCTGTTCTGCCGTCTTCTAGGCTGCAGTCTGCCCTGCTGGCCTTGAGACAGCTCCTGCAGTGCCAGCCATGTAGTGGCAGGCAATGGCCAGCAGATGAAGAGATCATCTCTTCTCTTGTGTCTTTACTTGAGTAGAGACCCCTTTTCTAGCAATCCTCCAGCACACTTACATGTCTTTGACTAGGATTGGGCCACATGTCTCTTCTCAACCAGTTCCAAGGACAGAAATTTATAGTGTTTAGAGGAGTAGGTGTTCAACAGATATTTGTTGGCTAGAAGAATGACAGGGGACTAGGATTACCTCTGCTGGTTTAGAATCCACCCCTGAGCTATATGGCAGAGGAGTGGACACTCAAACAAAATTTTGTGTGACAATCAACAGGGTGAGTGGTAGGATTAGGTCCCAGAGTTCTTTCATTCAGTCCCATAAGCAGATGTGGAGGGAGAGGGCTGGCAGTGAGAGCAGGGGAAGGAGAGGGTCTGATGTCTGCATTTACACTTCTCTCCTGCCCTCTTCGCCTCTTCAGTTCTCCTCTTCATTCTCTTTTGGCTTCCTTACAAAAATGTTTTAATGGCTACCTTCATCCCATTATAGCAACTGACACTCAAGTGTATGTGTAATTTTAACTATACCACCCTATCACTGGAGTGAAATTTAGAAACCTATTTGAGTCTCCAGTTGGCTGGAGATTTCTTTCAACGGTCGACCTTCTGGTGTACATTTCCTGCTTCTGAGAACTCCCTTTAACTGTTGTTCATCCCCTTTCCACCTTACCACGCCCCCAAAACCAGCCCAGCCTTATCTGTACTTCAAGTGCCTGGCCCATTATTAACTTCTCATGAATATATGCTGAATTAAATAATAAATCCACCTGGAAAAAAGTTCACAGAACAAGACCTCTTTTTTCCCTTTTGTTGTCTGCAAGAGAAACACCATTCAGCCCCCCTTTTTTTTTTTTTTTTTTTGAGACAGAGTCTCACTCTGCCCAGGCTGGAGTGCAGTAGCACAATCTTGGCTCACTGCACCCTCCACCTCCCGGGCTCAAGCGATTCTTGTGCCTCAGCCTGCTGAGTAGCTGGGATTACAGGTGCATGCCACCACGCCCAGCTAATTTTTTTTTTTTTTTGTATTTTTAGTAGAGACAGGATTTCACTATGCTGGCCAGGCTGGTCTGGAACTCCTGACCTCAGGTGATCTGCCTGCCTCGGCCTCCCAAAGTGTTGGGATTACAGGCATGAGCCAGCACACCTGGCTGCACTCAGCACTTTTTTACGGTCTTTGAGGAGAGTGAAAAACTAGTATTTCTTATTTTTCCTGAGTTTATCATTGTTTCTTCTTCTGTGTCATTTGACTTCTCTTTGCTAAGATAATGATAATCATGTCTCCTTGATGTTTAGAAGTGGTCCAAAAGGTCACCATCTTCTAAATTTAAAAAAAAAAAAAAAGTTCCTTTCTCCTTCCATCCTGTGTCCCCTCCTTCACTACTTTTTGTAAAAAAAAAAAATTTTCCAGCCCAGCGTAGTGGCTCACGCCTGTAATCCCAGCACTTTGGGAGGCCAAGGTGGGTGGATCACTTGAGGTCAGGAGTTCAAGACCAGCTTGGCTAACATGGTGAAACCTTGTCTCTACTGAAAATACAAAAATTAGCCAGGTGGGGTGGCACATGCCTGTAATCCCAGCTACTCAGGAGGCTGAGGCAGGAGAATTGCATGAACCCGGGAGGCGGAGGTTGTAGTGAGCCGAGATTGCGCCACTGCACTACAGCTTAGGCAACAGAGCAATACTCCATCTCAAATAAATAAATAAATAAATAAATAAATAAATAAATTTTCTTTTCCTTAGGTTTGAAAGTTGCCTAGAGATCATTTTTTTCACCTTCTCAAATTTTCCTAGAAGAACTCTAACTAATAATAATCAAAAAGAGAAGCTGACTAAGAGGGTCTGCCAGGGAGCCTCTGGCCTGAGGATACAAATGTTAGCTGTTGGACAGGCAATGTCTGATTTTTATTAAAATACTTTTATTTCCCTAAGGTGAAGTCCTGTGAACTTAATTTTTTCTAGGTATAACAGTTTCTGGTGAGTCAGGCAATGATCTTATTTTCTAATTTCTGACGTAGATTTTAAAATGCTAGCTCTTCTCATGAAGACATTGGTTTCTAGTTCTTTTGAAATTAATCTTGCTCTTAATATAAGATTGAAAATGATGTATTCTAGGCCAGGCACGGTGGCTGACACCTGTAATCTCAGCACTTTGGGAGGCGGAGGTGGGCGGATCACTCGAGGTCAGGAGTTTGAGACCAGCCTCGCCAACATGGTGAAACCCTGTCTCTACTAAAAATACAAGAATTAGCTGGGCGTGGTGGCACATGCCTGTAATCCCAGCTACTAGGGTGGCTGAGGCAGGAGAATCACTTGAATCTGGGATACAAAGCCTGCAGTGAGCTGAGATTGAAGCCTGCAGTGAGCTGAGATTGAAGCCTGCAGTGAGCTGAGATCGCGCCAGTGCACTCCAGCCTAGGTGACAGGGTGAGACTCGTC
The DNA here is from genome assembly GCF_000001405.40 of Homo sapiens. Lineage (NCBI taxonomy): Eukaryota > Metazoa > Chordata > Mammalia > Primates > Hominidae > Homo > Homo sapiens. The sequence goes on from NC_000008.11 coordinate 96,280,565, forward strand.
TCAAAAAAACAAAAAAGAAAAATAAAATGATGTATTCTAGGTGGAAGGAACGGTAAATAAAACACATAGTTTTTAAATGTCCCTCATAAGAAAACCAAAACCCAGCGTTCGTTGCTGCACCACTGCCCTAAGAAGTCTTCCCCAATTCTCCAACATAAGCAAGAGAGTAAGTAACCAAACCACAGATCCAAATTCTCCCAGGCAGCTTTTATCAAATCCGATATAAAGCACAGGTAAGGAGTAGGAACTCCTGTGGAAAGCAACCATGAGGCTGAGCCCTTCTAATAACCTCAGAACCATAACAATGGTCAGAGAAGAAAAGGAAGCCTGCCTTTACAAGACCACTGAGAAAGTAGTCAATAGTCTGTTGGGAAATAAGATCTGTGGGGAAGGCATTGAGATGACATGAATGTTCACAGGATGCTACAGATGGGGCTCATGCCGGGCAGGTGATGCTGTGGAATGCGGGGCTCCTCCTCAGTTGCATCCCCACCCCTGGCACATACACCCTTAGGCTCTGCAAAGGTGACTTGACTGGAGTAGCCAGGTGCAAGTAACCTAGTGAGCGTAAGTATCAGGACTTATAATCTAGAACATGCCAGCCTCATCCTCGATTTTTTTTAAAAAAGTAAAATGATACTTTTAGCAATACTGCTGTCTGACAGTAAAGATTGCACTGTTAGTATATAATGCTACTAAAATGTACTTTTTAAAATACCACTTTAAAAAATTCAGAGTTTCTTCTCAGGAGGCAATGGGCAGTTATGACAAGGCTCACACTCGCAGGGCGGCAGATTTGATGGTTGAAATCAAACCTAGACTGGGTTTTGAAGTTAGTTACTGAAAGGGTCACCTTACATTCCAGGGCCTTATCTCACCTTTTGTAGGCAAAAGTTACCAGTGGTTCCCACCTCCCTGGATTAGGGTGGTCCCTGGCTTTTATCTCTAGAGCTATCAGTTCCCTGCCCTTTCCCTGGTCTTGCTTTTCCTGAGCCTACTTATCAGTTCCACATTATGGTAAAGCCTGCGCCATGCCTTTCCCCCTGTTGCATCGGCTCTAAACACTCCTAGCTTGTTTCTTTCCCCTCACTCTCCTGGTTCTGAAACCAGTCCGCGCTCAACCCTCAGATACCGTCTCTAACCCTTTCCTCTTCCTGAGCTGACCCAGTTCTGTGAAAGTTCATAGGAAAGTCCCCAGGTGCTCCTCATGACTCAGCCTGGTGACACAGGAGGCTCTGATGGAACTAAGGAGGACTCCATGAGCTGCATGACCCCGGGCAGGTTCCTCTGCCTCAGTACCCTTATCTGTAAAGTGGGAGTAATGATGACACCTTTGTCACTGAGTCCTTATGACACTGTGTGGGGGTGTCTCATTCCACAGCCTGGTGCATAGTAAGTGCTCAGGAAGGTACTGCTGACTCCTGTCGTTATGATTGCTCTTGAGAATAACATTATAGAATTTTTAAGTGCTGATTTTGTCACAAGCCAAATAATAGGTCATACAGTTTTAGAGGTGAACCTTATAAGAGGAAACTATACAGAAAACTGACGTCCCATTTTATATCTAAAAGGTTAATTTAGTGTTATAGATAAAGTAATATTTACAAGCCAGGCAGCCACCAAAATACAGAAGTCACTTATGGTGACAAGTCAAGAGCTATCGCCTACCATGAGTAAAGAGGAGCATTTGGAAGTGAAAATAACTTAAAAGATGATAATTTTAGCCATGAGTTTCCCAATGACTTGACAAAAGGTGATGGTGTCACATTACCTGGCGGGGGATCCTGGTTTATAACCTTCACTGTGACTTTCTGAGAAAGAAGCAGCTGATTTTGAAAAGGAATATAGGTAGTCCTCACTGTCTGAGCCCTCACTATTAGAACTCAGAAATCAAACAGATTTAGATGAATTTTCAATAAACCCCTAACCATCTGAGTTCTCACTACCTGCCATCCAAAACGCAGGAACCAAACGCAAATGCATTTGGATAAAGCAGAGTCTCTCATGAACCAAACTCACCATCCGAACTGCCACCTAGGCACTGATAGATTTGAATGGTGGGGGGTACTTGTAACTGATTTTCATAATAAGAACTTGACTTATCAAAAGAAAGTAGTTAAAATATATTTCAATGTGGTCTTTTTAAGAATATATAGATGATTTTAGAATGAATTCAGGAATAAAAATTGCAGCAGAATGTTTGCCTCAGATAGGATTCAAGATTGCAAGCAACAGAAGCTGACTGTGCTTATTAAAGAGCCTGTTAAAGACTAGGAGTGGCTCACAGTGTCATAGGCTTGCTTGGAAACCAACCATAGTCTGAGCTTCCAGAAACAGGCACCACCCACAGAGCTGTTCTAAGGAGGAAACCAACCATATTCTGAGCTTCCAGAAACAGGCACCACCCACAGAGCTGTTCTAAGGAGGAAACCCCAGCAAGCATGGGCTATGGTCTGCCCCAGTGTCACTTCTGCAATGGATTCTAAGGGAGTGCCACTTTGGATGGCCACCACCTGCCTACTGCCCCTACTGGCCAGGGCTAGAGAAACAGAGAGAGAGGAGAGCTGTACCTACTCCCTTTACTGTCACTAGCTCCTGAGGCCAAGCCTGGCATGATTGTCACTGCAAAATGAGCCCTACCTGTAAAGAAGGCTGGGAAACAAGCTCTGGTGTCTCTCCTGGGGACATGGGATTCATAAAGTTGGAAATTCCGCAAGTGTAGGAAGGCTGTTCAAAAGGCGTGGGTAGACCTGCATAGAACAGGTACTCACCAGAATGGTGCTTTTCCATAGCTGTGAGGTGTAAGGTCAAGGCTCAGCTTGCTTTCTTCTCCCTCTTCTGCTTTTTTAATGAAAAAAGAGAAAGTATTGGCCTATCACTTGTCTTAAGGGAAAGTTTTGTCCTATGAGACTTTTGTTTCAGTTGTGTGGAATCTGCATGTGTCTGAACTGGATTGCCATGTCAGAGGTGTTTTGTCAGCACAGGTCATAATGAAAAGCCACATGATGTTTCTGTTTCCTCTGTTATTTTTCAGTCTCTCTCTCTCTCTCTCACACACACACACACACACCCACACATGTGCACACACGTACACACACGCATGCACCCACATGCAAACGCACACACATGATGATGACTGTGCTGTCCAGAGCCTCTTTCCCTGGAGCTCCTGGGCAGCTGGGACATTTTACTTGTTAAGGTACAATATGCATCACACACACTTAAGCCTAGCCTGATGACCCACTCACTATTACAACATTGTTTCCATGGGAAATTATGTTCTGACTTCTCAAGACAAAGCTTTATAAAAAATCTCTGTTGTGGAGAGTGGTGCCTGTGATGATTGTGGTGACAGTCGTTATAATGTGGAGAAAACATTTCAACCAAACTTTGACCTCAAAGTGTTTATGTAGAAAAAAAAAAAAAACTTTTAACAGTAGAGAGCTTTTTCTTCTTGTTATCTGTATGGAGATCAGCAGCACCTTAAGTTTTAGCCTTCTCTGAAACCAGTTCCTTCTAACTTTATAATGTTATTTATCTGCAGGTCCGTTCACTCGACCTCATCCAGCCTTATGGCGAATGGTTTTTGGTGAGTTTATATTAGCAATGTAAAAGGATGTTCTATTTTTTTAATCTTTTTTCTGCTTATCACTTTAAGACTTTTACTTGCTACTCTCAATAGTTAAAACTTTATTCTAGCTTTTTGCTTTTTGATGTTCCTAATATACATGTTTTCTTAAAATTATTTGACACAAAATAAAGTGTTGAGGATGACTTAAATTCTCTTACACATGAACTGTTTCAACTCCACATGCCTCCTTATGTTGTTGTCTCTTAATGTACACAGGATTTGACTTAAGCAAATATCTCTTGTTTTCCTTTATGTGTTTTCATAGTGCTTTTTACTAGTGCAAGCCCAAGAACTTATGATGAGCACATTTGTCTTGTGAGCATCTGGAAGGGAATGAAAACAAAGCAATTCAATTTCTTCAGTTTTATGAATGAGAAAGAACTTGGAAAGAGAAAGACTTCTGACAAAGAACCCTAATTTGAACTAAGGGTTAGAAATAAGCATATAAATATTGGATGTCTTATTTTTACTTAATTTTGTAGTCTAAATAGTGAAATCACCTAAAGGATTTAAAATGAATCTTCAAAACTTTGGATATTGGCTTCATCTGACCTAAATAAGTCACCAAATTATTTTAGGTTTGGAAAATGTAATCTTATGTAAAAATGTACAAGAACTCTAAGAAATTGCTATTTTGCTATAGGCTGCCTATTTTTCTTTCAGCCTTCAGAGCTTCTAGGTAACTCTTAGTCTCTTTGAATTGATTGGTGAACTTTTCACTCAGCAGCCATTCACTGAGTGAGCTGTGTGACAGATGCTGCTCTGTGCCCTGAGGCCACCAGGGAAGGCCAGACAGACAGGAGCCTGCCCTCAAGGAGCTGCCCTTCCACTTGGAGACAAAGGACAGCTAGTAAACAAACTATTACACAAATCAGTAATCAAAAAAATATCAGCTATCTGGAGTTAGTAGGAAGCTAGTTAAGACCAAGGGAGGTGACAGGAGCTGGTGTCTGGTTTAGCTTGAGGAGTGATGGGAGGCCTGAGGGAGTGATGCCAAGTCTGAAACTGTCATACAAAGAAGGATCCAAGCCTGCAAAGATTCTGGGGGAGGGGAGCATCCCAGGCAAGAGGAAAAGCTGCCAAAATGGCCCACAGCTAGAAACCACTTCCAGGCCAGTGTGGCCCCAGTATAGTGCACCCTGGGAGAAGAGTAGGAGAGAAGTCAGAGAGTCATCGGGCACAGATGTAATCATGGGGACTGTGGGCCAGGGTAAAGAGCAGGGCATGAAGGGCAGGGGGAAATCATGGGAGGGTTTTTCCTAGAGTGACCTGATTCCATTTACATTTTCAAAAAGATAGTCCTGGCTATAACGTGCATACCTCCCATTGATTCAATAGTGCTGTTTGAAGTTATAAGTTATTTTCAGCTATTTGGACACATCTGAATTCTTCCTATTTCAAATGATCTATGGTAGGTAGTAAGCAGTTTTATTTCCTTCTTGAGAGCCTTTGGGAGCATGGAGCCCTTTGATAATCCGATGAGACCTATAGATAGACCCATTCCCTATGTGTGCATCCATGGACATTGACCATGCACAGCTCTGCATATAGTGTCCAGGGCTTCACAGACCTCGAAGCCCAACCAAGAACTCCAGATTGAGAATCCCTGCACCACAGATTCTTTCTGTCCTAATGTAATTATTCAAGAGGATCATAATTATTAAAAAGTGTAGTGGGGGGCGTTTGTGGTGAAAATTGGTAAAAAATGGGTGGTGCATAAGTGCAAACTGAAGGCAATTCTCATATCAACTTGCCTAAAAAATGTGCATTCCCTGGGCCCTAGGATGCACAATTATGGGCTGGCCACATACCACCCGGGCCTCCCTTGAACTCCCTGAGGCCAGGAGAGGGGTGCCTGTTAGAAGGTCTGGCACTATAGCGCTTGCAGTGGATTTCATTCCAGCCACGGACGTGCTCTCCTCTGGAGTGGCTCACTGGAGATTAGTGCTGAGCCAAGTTTGGATGGATGCTGTGATCCAAGGTCATTTGTATCACGGTCTCTAAATGTCCCGCATAAACATTCTAATTCCAATGAGTTCAAGGGAAAGAGAAACCACAAAACCCCTCGTGATCGTTTCTGAAATCTCTCTAAAACGTATTGGACAGGGTTTTGCCTTCTAAAAGTGCATTGTTAACATTTCTTTTTAAAATGACACATAGTGATTATTAGGATAGCAATTATGAGATGATAGAACAATAAAATAATGCCTACACGGGGTAATGTGGAGTGTAAGTCTCAAAAAAGTGGCCCTGGGCCACCTCTTGAACCTTACACTGGTAGTACTGTCCACACCCAGCCTTGCCCTCCTCCAGTCCACTTAGTTGGCTTTTTAAAATGTTACCTAGATCATCTTATTTCCCCACTTAACTTACAATCATATCTGAAATGTTGGCCGTGGCCTTTAAGCCCTGATGGTCACTTCAGGGCCGCCTTGCTCCATTCCCCTCTCTGCCAGTGCTCTAGCCACATACGGGGTCCTAGATATTTCTCTTTTCGGAAACCGACCTGCATGCTGTTCTCTACCTGAATGTTGCGTGCAATCCTCACACCCACCCCGCACACCCTTTGCCTCATGATCCTTCAAGTCTCAGTCTAAGTTAGCATCAGTTTCTCAGAGATGGTTTTCTTGACCACTCTCAATCTGAATTAGGACTGTGTATCAGACTGCCTCATCAAGGGAAATCCCAGATTATAAGAGGAGTCTTGACAGGCTGTGCTGCAATCTTAGTGTCTGGTTTTGGCAATGCCATTCGAGTCTAATGTGTATTGTGTGTGTCTGACTATTGGATCTCTTCTAAACTTCAGCATGTTTTTGTTTCTCTCAGGACTCAGTGTGCTCTACTTCCTGTTCCTGGTATTCCTACTCTTCCTGAATTTCGAGCAGGTTAAATCTCTAATGTATTGGCTAGATCCAAATCTTCGATACGCCACAAGGGAAGCAGATGTCATGGTATGTACTTGTCAGTGGCCTCTTGGAGAAACTCGTAGACTCTTTCTTGGGTGTAAGAGGTAATAGACTTGACATTTTAAATTGTTCCTTCTCTGTATTTCCTGTGTAGTTACCTAAAAACCAGGTCTCTGGGAGGGTTGTTGAGTTGCATGGTTGTCCACAGGTGATAGAGTTCAGGGAAAGAAAATCCTCTCATTACGCAAAGGGGTCTGTGAGGAAGAATGCACACTTTATCGTCAGACAGCCTTGGGTGTGAATTCTGCCTCTGTTACTTGGTAGTTGTGGGACTTTGGGCAAAGTACTTGTCAGATTATTCCATTTTTTTGTAAGTTGACATAGTAATACTTACTTGGGGGTTATTGTGAAGTGAACAAAGTAGCATTATCTGTGGGGCCTACTGCGAGGTCTGCCATGGTGCCCCCAACACCCCATGTTGTTGGGCCATGCCCTGGGTCACGGTGGCTGCCCCTGCACCTGTCAATGTCACTCTCAGCACCTGCACTCTCTGGCCTTGATGCCTTGATCCTGCTCCACTGCTTGCCACAGAGAGGCCAGTAGTCATGAATTAGTTTATTTCATTTGTTACTATTATTTTTATCGAACCATACAAAAAAATTTTATTCTTGGCTAAAACGACTCTATTTTGGCTTTTACTGAAGAGACTAATTATGTGGGAAAAACCAACTATTTTTCTCTTCACTGACGGTGAACACTTCTGTGACCAGATGTGTAGGTTTTTCCCACACCAGCCAATTCTCTAACTTTCCTGACACCTGGAGTTAGCGTCAGATCCCACTAGTTAAGGGCCCAGTTCCATAAGACTGCCCACATTTCAGATGCCACTCGCAAGTCCAGGCTGTCACCTGTGCTTCTGACCAATCAGCTACAAATCAGGGGTTCCCACAATATCCTCCTTGTGCACAATCATTTGCTATGATGGCTCACAGAACTCAGGGAAATATTTAAGTTTGCCGGCTTATTGTAAAGGACATGATAAAGGATACAGGTGAATGGCCAGATGGAGAGGTACCTAGGGTGAGGTCCAGCAGAGTCCTCAGGGCAGAAGCTTCTGTCTCTGTGGTGTTGGGGTACACCACCCTCCCAGCATGTGGATGTGTTCACTAACCTGGAAACTCTGAACCCCAGAGTTCAGAGATTTTTATGGAGACTATCGCATAGGCATGATCTTTTTTTTTGAGACAGAGTCTCACTCTGTTGCCTAGGCTGGAGTGCAGTGGCACAATCTCGGCTCACTGCAGCCTCTGTCTCCCAGGTTCAAGCGATTATCCTGCTTCAGCCTCCCGAATAGCTAGGATTACAGGCGCCTGCCACTACACCCGGCTAACTTTTGTATTTTTAGTAGAGACGGTGGTCTCACCACGTTGGCCAGGCTGGTCGCAAACTCCTGATCTCAAATGATCTGCCTGCTTCGGCCTCCTAGAGTGCTGGGATTACAGGCATGAGCCACCACGCTTGGCCTTTTTTTTTTTTTTTTTTTTTTGAGATGGTGCCTCACTCTGTCGCCCAGGCTGGAGCACAGTGGTGTGATCTCAGCTCACTGCAACCTTGGCCTCCCAGGATCAAGTGATTCTCCTGCCTCAGCCTCCTGAGGAACTGGGATTACAGGCATGCACCATCACACTCGGCTAATTTTGTATTTTTAGTAGAGACAGGGTTTTAACGTGTTGGCCAGGCTGGTCTCAAACTCCTGACCTTGACTGATCCACACATCTCAGCCTTCCAAAGTGCTGGAATTACAGGTGTGAGCCACCACTACTGGCCCATGATCAATTTTTTTTTCTTTCCAAGACGGAGTCTCGCTCTGTCACCCAGGCTGGAATGTAGTGGCACAATCTCGGCTCACTGTAACCTCCACCTCCCTGGTTCAAGCAATTCTCCTGCCTCAGCCTCCCAAATAGCTGGGACTACAGGCGCCTGCCACTACGCCTGGCTAATTTTTCTATTTTTAGTAGAGACAGGGTTTCACCATGTTGGCCAGGCTAGTCTCAAACTCCTGACCTCAGGTGATTTGCCCTCCCATAGTGCTGGGATTACAGGTGTGAGCCACTGCACCCAGACCCCCATGATTTTTAACTCAATCTCCAGTCTTGCTCTCCTTTCCGGAGGATGGAAGGTGGGACTGAAAGTTCTAGGCTTCTAATCATGGTTTGGTCTTTCTGATGATCAGCCCCAACCCAGGAACTTACCAAGTCACCTCATTAGAACAAAAGATGCTCCTATCACCCAGGAAACTCCAAGGAATTAGGAGCTCTGTGTCAGTAACTGGGGTCAAAGAACAGATATTAGAACAAAAGATGCACCTGGCACCCCTATTGGTCAGGAAATTGCAAGGGTTTCCGGAGCTCTGGGCTAGGAACTGGGGACAAGGACCAAATTATGTATTTATTATGAATCACAATATCACACTATTTTATACTATAATGTGTTCTTTTCCAATGTTTTTTAATCCCAACATTTGGTACAGGTTAATTTTTTTCTGAAAAGGAGAACGGGAATTTGGGCCATAGATGGGTTTGCTTTGACAAACAAGAAGTAACACAAAGGGACTTCATAAAAGGTCCAAGAAATAATCATTCCCCCATGGTGACATTGGTCAAATCCTTCTTAGAGTGGTATTTAAAGATTGTTATCTATAAATTTTTTAAGGGATATGCTTAAAGCAAAAATAAGAATGCCAGAAATTATTTATCAGTCTTGGGGGAGAAAGTCTGTTTTGGAATTTTTTTACTCTAAGGGAGAGAATGACGGAGGTTGACTTCTTAGCCTATGATGATGATGATAATGCAGATGACGGTTATGAGAATAAGGGCAGTTATTTATTATGAATTGTCTATGTCAGACACTGTGCAGGGCTCTTTATATTCTACATAAGCCTCGTGCATGCATGCTAGATGTTCATATCACCATTTTACAGGGGAGGAGATGGAAGCTTAAAATGCAGTATCTCACTGAAAACACAAGCCGATGGATCTCTCTGGCGTCAAAACCTGTGCTTTTCATTTGGAGTGTGCTTTCAGTATATAGTTATAAAAATAAGTGCTTTGATGCTCACAGGAGCCTTAGGAAATAGAAATTGGGAGAAAGATACCCCAAGTGTAATATTTTCCCAAACATCTTTCTTGCATTTTTGAACAAAAGTGGTCACATTGCAAAGTAAACTGACTTGCAGGTGGATGTGCTTGTGTGCCTCTGCTGATCCAGTTCTCACAGCCAGTAGGAGGAGATTGAATCGAATGATAATGCTCTTGACACCTGGCTTTCTTAAGAATTTGACATCACAGGGACATCCAGATGTCAAAGTTACAGCCCCAAGTAGCTGAACCTGGCTTTTAAACTCTAGTTTTCAAGTATTGGCTAAATCTTTCTTGCCAAAGTAAAGCACGAGGCTGTGTTCAGCCTGTAGAGTTCTAACTGGTGCTAAAACAGCCTCATCTTCTCCATCTCTAATCCCATCCCTTTATACTTCTTTAAATTGTCTTTTGCAATTCTAAGGACCTATTCATTAGTGGTTCCTTTATGCAAGACAGGTCTATAATTCCTGGCTTCCCAGAGTCCCTACTCTCTCCACTCCTTCATGTTGCTACCCATTCCTAATCTTGATAGACCATGATCCATGCCTGGTATCATACATTGAAACTCAGACTTCATTTTCCCTTAGAATTAATATTATAAATTAATATTATAAAATATTATATAATATAAATATTCATAAAATATATATTATAAATATTATAAACATTTATAAAATATTATAAATCCCTTAGAATTAATATTATAATATTATAAATATTATAAATTGGATCACTGAAATCCCGTTAGAGGCAGTTTTTTGTGTAATTGAAAAGTTGCTGCATTTCAAAATATTGATTCTATTCAAAAATATGTCTTTAAGCTTCAATACTGGGTTGTCTTGAAGCAGCAGTCTTTGGCTAATTAATGCTGACCCAGCTTTTCTTCTGCATAAGACACCATCCCATGCTGGTGGGAGTGGGGGAGAGGGTGGGCATGTTCCCTGTCCTCTTAGAGCTTAGAGTCTACTAGAAGGCAAATTAAACAAATAATTGTTGGCTATTGAACCCTAAGACAATTTCAACAGCTTTTTAGAATTTTATTATGAAAAATTTTAAACCTATGCAAGAGTAGAGAGAATCTATAACTTCATGTACCCATCACCCAGTGTCAGTATTATTGACACAGGCCCAAACTTGTTCCACCTTTTCATCCCACATCCTGGAATATTTTGAAACAGTTCTCAGGAATTAAACCTAAAATAGATGGGCTTTTCTTTTTTTTTTTTTTTTTGGCATAACCACTGAACAGTGAACAGTACGCAGTGAGTGTTGACATTTCTGCAGTCGCTTCGTAAATGTTCTGTATAGTTGATTTATTCAAAATAGGATCCAGACAAGGTTTACACATTGCATATGATATGTCTTTTAAATCTCTTTTCATCTGTAATTCCCCTCATCATGTCCTGAAAATTTATTTGTCAAAGAAACCACATTGCTTATTCTATAGGGTTTTTCACATCTGGATTTTGCAGCTGCATTTGCAGTATCATCATTTAACATGTTCTTTTTGTCCCCCTATATCTTCTATAAAGTAGAACTCAGGTGTAGGGGCTGGATGAGATTCTAGATTCCAGATCAGTTTTTATAGTGGGACTGCTTCATAGCTGGTGCTGCGTATCACACTAGGAGGCACACAGTGTCTGGTGGTCTCGCTTTTTATAATGTTAAGATTGGTCATGGCTTTGTGAGGTCAACATCAGTTTTAAGATGCACCATCAATTATAGGTATGACTTTTTGGAGGAGAAAAAAAGAAACCTGGGGCTGAGCATGGTGGCTCATGCCTGTAATCACAGCATTTTGGGAGGCCATGGTGGGCAGATCATAAGGTCAGGAGTTTGAGACCAGCCTGGTGTTTGAGACCATGTTTGAGACCAACATGGTGAAACCCTGTCTCTACTAAAAATATGAAAATTAGCTGGGCGTGGTGGCACGCACCTGTAATCCCAGCTACTCGGGAGGCTGAGACAGGAGAATCATTTGAACCCGGGAGGCGGAGGTTGCAGTGAGCCGAGATGGTGCCACTGCGCTCCAGCCTAGGCAACGCTGTCTCAAAAAAAAAAAAAAAAAAAAAGAAAAGAAACCTTATATTTAAAGTGCTATACATTGTAATATATTGAAATAGTCACCCTAATTCTCAAAACAATACAGTGTGAAAAAGACGTGTCATAGATTCAAGGAAGCACGATAGTTAAAAATGGTACAGTCTGTGTAGAGGTCCTGATTGGGGGTGTGGGGAGCTGGGACCAGTCTGAGCTGGGACCAGATCATGAGGCAGAGGGCCCTGCCTGAGGCTAGGAGGCTGCCAGGGCTGAGCCAGCTGGGATGAGGAGTTTAGGTGTTATTCTAAGTGTATGAAAAGGCCATGGAAGGTTTATAAGCAGAGGAGCTACATGACCTGTGTTGATGTTTTAGGAGGTCAATCAATAAATACCTCCATTTCTAGTTGAGTTTGGAAACAGAAACAAGAGTTCAAAATCTCAGCTGATTTCTTCCTGTGAAAGCTCAGTGGAGCAGATTGCTTTAGACCTGGGCTGAATTAAGCAAGCCTGTCTTCCCCTAGCCCATTAGACAACCACAAGCTGCTTCTGCAAAGCAGGGCCTGACCCACAAAAATTGCTGCATGGCTGGGGGAGCTGATGAGAACCTGTGCTGTCTGTAAGCAAATAATTTCCAAAGAGGACCCAAAAGAGGTTGGATCTCTTTCTTCTTCCAAAGTCAGCAACTGCCCCAGAGAGGAGTGAAGAGATAGTTGGGCTGGAGACCTGGCGTGTGTAGTAGTGGAGATCCTTCTACATTGGGACGGGCATGCTACCCAACCCCTTTCTTCCCACCTCCTGCCCCAGACACCCTTACACACATGCATGCACGTTCCGTGATCTGATTATGATTTTCAAGATCTCTCTGTAGTCGTAAGCTAGATGTGAATACCTAGGTGCTTATTATAGCATCATCTATACTTTGTTATATGCCTGACACATTCCACAGTTTTCAAAAGCTATTATTATGGAAGTCTAAGCAAGAAATAATAGTGGCAGCGAGATGCATAAAAGAACAACCTGGGGAGGTAAAGTGAATAGGACTTGGTATTTGGTTAGGTGTCCAGCAAGCAAGGCAGAGGGTAAGGCCGCCAAGATCAGCCTAGGACCAGTTGGGAAGTCAGCAGAATCTGTCTTTACCCATCTTTTGCTCACAGGCATGCACCTGTCCACTTGACCCCCTTTCCAGGCTTCAGCTCTACACTGTCTTCAGTTAAAGCCTGTTCCTCCTGGTTCCCAGGGTTCTGCCTGCATGCAGCTCTCTGGCTGCTTTAAACTGCAATGCCCTGTGGCCCTTCCAGGACAAGGACCTCAGGTCTTATGAGGGGATAATTGGCAAATCTGTTCATTACTAACTATACTGCAAATAGACGGATTGGTCTTTATGATTTTTAAAATGCCTTTCCGCATGTCAAAGCATAGAGCTACTTAATAGAGTGTAAAGTCCTCCAGAGTTATCTGCAAGCTGTGATTACTTTAAGAGCAGCCTTCTAAAAACAGATCTTACCCCTTCCTTATCTAACCCTACACAGTGTATTCCAGAGTAAAGAAGAGGGTGGGGTGGTTGAGACATTTGAGGTTGACTGGACGTGGCCCTGCTCCTTAACCTAATATACAACCTGCTTCAGCTAAGGGCATTTCCCTCTGTCAGCCTGTGATTCTCTGTGACAAGAACGTGCTGTTCCAGAGTCCGGGAAGAAACTTTTCATCTTATTGCAGGGCAGTTTGTTTCTTTTAAAGCCTTATCTTGACTTACCCTATTGAATTTTATCCTCTTTTCTCCAGATTTCCCATTTACACAGCATAATCTCACATCATACTGCTTCTCAAAAAATAGAATTCTTAAAAATGTTTGTTCAGCTTTGCAAGTTGAAATGCATTTTATCTGAGAAGGAAATCTGATGTGTGGTGGGTTTCAGAAGAGACAGGGAAGCTCTTTTGCTCTCAGAAAGTATCATTTCTGGAATTTAAAACTATTATAGTTTATAGGAATTTTTTTCAGCTGGCTGATAATAGGGGGTGAATATTTGCCAACTCTTACTACTGCCTGTCAAATTAATTTTGGGAAGAAAGGATGTGAAATGTAGAGATTCCCAGTAAATGTTATATTATCATATTGTCATGCAGTCATATGATAAGATATTAAATTACTTAGAAATACGTATAATCAAAAACAAAGATATTAGAAATGGAACCAACATTCTGAAAAGCTTTGTAATTTTTAATATTTAAATTATGTAGTATCCGATATATTTTTGGGGAGGGGAGTTCTCTTTTAATTACTGAAGTTGGGTGCTTTTCTTCTTTTTTCTAGCATAACTATTTAAGGCTTTACATTTTCCTCTAAAGTTCAATTTTTACGTGGTGTATTTTCGTTATCATTATGACACGTTAAAAAAAATTCCTATTATGATTTCTTCTTTAATCCATGATACTTAGAAATGTGTGTTTAAATTTCCAAATCTATTGGGAATCTTTTATTTGTGCTTTAGTTACTGGCTTTAATATTGTTGCCCTGTGGTCTGATGACATGATCTATGTGATACCACTTCTTTAGGATATGTTGAGCCTTTGTAAAATTATTTTGCTTCTCATTTTAATGCAGCTTTTGCAATTCAGAGCAAAGCAGTTTTGATTTATAAACTCAAATACTTGTCTATTTTCCCTCAAGGCCCTTAAGTTATTAAAACTTTCTCATTTGTTACTGAGCAGGACTTATTTGTTGTCAAGTTCATATCTATTCTTTTTATTTACCGGCAGAATCCTGGAAGCAAGTTGATTTCTAGAGTTTCACTAATTATTCTCTTTTTTATTTTAAATAGGAGTATGCTGTGAACTGCCATGTGATCACCTGGGAGAGGATTATCAGCCACTTTGATATTTTTGCATTTGGACATTTCTGGGGCTGGGCCATGAAGGCCTTGCTGATCCGTAGTTACGGTCTCTGCTGGACAATCAGTATTACCTGGGAGCTGACTGAGGTAAGAAGGAGGGCATTGGGGGTTCCCCAGACTGTGCCATGTGTGTAGTTTATATATAGGAAAAAGTATGTCAGTTAACAGTCAGTTAATCCGTTCTCCAGCCCCTGTGGTACAAAACAGTATTTAAACCATCCCATAAGAATATTTAATACTTCTGTTTAAAAAACAAGCAAATATTAAAAATACCTCCTTGTTAACTTAATAAAGTGCACCTCTGTCCTGCAAGTCTTAAAGAGAAACAAATGAAATAAAGCTAAAGAATGAAGTTAAAATTCCAAGTAAGACAAATAAATGGGAATGAGGAGACCTGCTTAGAATTCAATAGATCAGTTGACCTACTAACTAGCTTCCAGTTTGAGATAATAGAATTGTGTGTTCAAGTACTATAAGAGCATCCAGGGTATTTGGTAGCTGCAAAATGGATTCCAAATGTTAGCTCTAATATGTCAGTAATCAAAAGTTTGTTGCATTTACTTAATAAAAGAGTTATAGTCTTGAAAAACCATTAGCAAAATGAAATTTTGGGAACTAACTCATTATTGTTCTATTATTATGAATCATTCCCAGTGAACAGAATTCGTCCACATGCGCAGTATACTTCTCCATGCTCATCATTGTCCTGACCCTAACTTAGAGACGTGTGCCAACTAGATGTGGCTTCTGTTAATGTGCCTCTCACTGTTCTGGAGGCCAGAAGTCCAAGATCAAAGCGTCGGCAGGACTGGTTCCCCCTGGGGCCTTTTGGAGCATTTTTTTCAGGCTCCTTCTCTATCTTTGTGGTTTGCTGGCAGTCGTGGTCCCTGGGCTTGTTGATGCATGACCCCTTCCTGGTCATGTGGCATTCTCCCTGTGCGTGTCTGAGCCTTCATGGTGTTCTTTTTTTTTTTTTTTTTTTTTTTTTTGCGACAGAGTCTTGCTCTCGCCCAGGCTGGAGTGCAGTGGCACGATCTCAGCTCACTGCAAGCTCCGCCTCCTGGGTTCACGCCATTCTCCTGCCTCAGCCTCCCGAGTAGCTGGAACTACAGGCGTGTGCCACCACGCCCAGCTAATTTTTGGTATTTTTAGTAGAGACGGGGTCTCACCATGTTAGCCAGGATGGTCTCAATCTCCTGTCCTTGTGATCTGCCCACCTCAGCCTCCCAAAGTGCTGGGATTACAGGCGTGAGCCACTGTGCCCAGCCCCATGTGTTCTTTTTCATAAGGACACAAGAGCATTCCCTTTTATAAGGACACAAGTCATATTGGATTAGCAGCTCACTGTACTGCCTATGATCTCATCTTAACAAAGTACCTCTCCAATGACTATCTCCAAATAAGCTCAAATTCTGAGATATTGGAGGTTAGGGCTTCAACATAGGAGTTTTGAGAGGACACAATTCAACCGATCCATAATAGTGCCCAACACTTTACATATGCCTTCTAAGTCCTCACAACAAACCGGGAAAGGCGGTGCATATAGGTTCTCACTGTACAGGTGGGGGATCTGGAGTGCACAGCCTTGCTTCCTTAGGTGAGTTAGGATTGGATTCCAGATGTGAAGCCCACGTTCCTGCCCTTATACCACATTCCACCTCTGAATTCCAAGTGTCTTTGGAACCCAGCCGCTGCATAGGCTTGTGTCAGGCACCTGGCCCTTGTCGGCCTCGCTTGCTTCCCCCTTGCACTGCAGACTGGGCATCTGCTGTACCTTCTTTCCCTGCTTCCCAGTGCCTGTGGTCACCAGGCCCTATAGAGTTCTGTAGAGTCTTCTAAGCACCCAGTCGTCCATTGACGTCTCTTCAGACCTCTGCTCCCACCTGTCTCTAATCCATGGTCATCTCTGTCAGAATTGCTTGTCTCTTCACTATTTATTGCCAAATGATCCTCTTTAGACCCCACCAGACCAAGGCTCTTTCCTACTCAGAGCTCTTTAGTGTTTGTCCATTACTCTGTTTTTTTTTGAGACGGAGTCTTGCTTTGTTGCCCAGGCTGGAATGCAGTGGTGCGATCTTGGCTCACTGCAACCTCCACCTCCTGGGCTCAAGCGATTCTCTTGCCTCAGCCTCCCAAGTAGCTGAGATTACAGGCGTGTGCCACCACACCCAGCTAACTTTTTATTTTTAGTAGAGATGGGGTTTCGCCATGTTGGCCAGGCTGGTCTCTAACTCCTGACCTCAGGTGATCCACCTGCCTCAGCCTCCCAAAGTGCTGATATTACAGGTGTGAACCACCGTACCAGGCCTCCATTACTCTTAAAATAGAATCCAAACTTCCAACCCTGCCTACGAGGCTCCAGGTTCACCGGCCCCTGCCTGCAGCCTCAGCCTCATCATGCCTCATTTTTGCCCTCAGTGCTGCAGCCGCCTCTGCTGTCTTCCCCACCACAGAGTCCTACCTGCTGCTCCTCCCTCTCTTCTTGCCCTTCACCTGCTAACAAGCTGTCTCCAGAGCTCAGCTCTGGAAGGCTTTCCCTGCCCCTCCAGTAACTGTGCTCCACCTTCATACAGCTGGAAATAGAACACCTCGCCACTCTCCTTTGAAATGCTCCTCACGTGTTAGACACTCGATAAGTGTCTCTTCTGCTAATCCTTGTGCCTCAAGAGGGCAGGGCCCATGCCTATGTATTCCCAGACCCAAGGACTTTGCCTTATACATGGCAGATGCTCCACAAATCTGTAGTGAATGAAAGAATGCAGCCCCCTCCTCCTTGGGCTTGGGTCTATCGGGGGCCCATCTCACCCCCAGAACCTGGTACCTTCCAGGAAAGTTCCTTAGGCTGGAGGATGTCCTCCACATCCCACTTTCTCTTGCATAGTTTTCTTTCAGCAAATATGTGTCATTGACTTCTGCTGAAGTTTCTCCCTTCCCTCTCTAAGGGCAAGAGTTAAGGCTCCATCTCGTGGCTTGGAACCTGGGAATACACTTCAAGGGTAGTACCAGGCCCCTGGGGTTAAGAATGCAGCCACAAGCCATCACATGCAGCAGCTACTCTGTAGCTTCTTGACAGCAGGTTCATTAAGAACAAAAAATTCCTCATATTTATAATTTGTTTATAGCTTACAAAATGCTTTCATGAATACTGTTTTATCTTTGCAGTATTTATTATATTACTTCAAAGGTTTGTAATTACAGGCTTGTCTCTTTCCAGAGAACTCCCAGGCATTGTCTTAGTAATTTCATCTTTTTACATTGGGCCTTCACACTCAGTGGGCATGCTGTTCTGAACACAGTGGATATGCCCTTTGTTTTGGACAAAACAAATTGATTTCTAGAGAACTTCTGTTCCACCCTTGATCTTACTGTTTCCCCTTCCTGGAATGCCCGCATCTTCATCTCCATCTCATGAAATCAGTCATTCTTGTCCTTAACGTTCCCCCTCCAATATGTCTTTCTTGTAGAAGCCCTCTCCAGGAAAGTTCCAGAGGCCAAAAGAACCTTCAGCCTCAGTCAGAATGAATGTTTTTTTCCACCATACTCCATTTATGTCACCATTGTAACACTTTCCTCAGTCTACCATATTTTATGGTTCTGGTTATCTGGATAAACATCTGATCCCAGCACTTTGGGAGGCTGAGGCAGGTGGATCATGAGGTCAGGAGTTCGAGACCAGCCTGGCCAACATGGTAAAACTCTGGCTCAACTGAAAATACAAAAATTAGCCGGGCATGGTGGTGTGTGCTTATAATCCCAGCTACTTGGGAGGCTGAGGCAGGAGAATTGCTTGAACCCGGGAGGCAGAGGTTGCAGTGAGCCGAGATCGCACCACTGCACTCCAGCCTGGGCAACAGAGCAAGACTCTGTCTCAGAAAAAAAAAAAAAAAATACAACATCTGACACCTGTCCTTGAAATCAAGACCCTTGACTTCCTTTTCTCTCACCACCTTGCACATCATGGGCACTTAATAAAAGATTGTCATTATTGTGAATCAGTTGGTGTGAGATTTCCTATTAAGCTGTCATGCTTCCTACATCGTGTCATCAAGAGCTAACTGTTCTTTTACAACTTACTCACTGTTTTACCTAAATATCTAGGGGATATTTTTGAAATGCACAACTTGAATTCTCAAGCTGCTAATTTTGAGAATTATGACAATGCTTTGTTGTCAGGGTTGGAAACTTTTCTCCTTTTCCCCTCCCAGATCCTTGTCATGTTGTCATTAGCCAAGGTAATTAATTGGTAGTATTTTTCAAGAGAGACCATTCTTTCTTTAAAAGCCCTGTGTCAAAAAGAGAAGAGCTGTTTGGATATGTGCTGTTTGTTTGCAAACCATCTGCAATATAAAAAACAAGAAACAGATTGCAGAACCTGTTACTGTTGGTTATTTTCTGTACATTAGGAAAAAATGAAATGTCAACAACTTCTTCTAAAATAATGTATTGTTAAAAAGGAAATCTATCTATCTGCATGGTACCCCAGTTTTGTTTATTTTTCCAACCATGGGCTCTTGTGTTTCTCAGCTCTTCTTCATGCATCTCCTCCCCAATTTTGCCGAGTGCTGGTGGGATCAAGTCATTCTGGACATCCTGTTGTGCAATGGCGGTGGCATTTGGCTGGGCATGGTCGTTTGCCGGTTTTTAGAGATGAGGACTTACCACTGGGCAAGCTTCAAGTGAGTTGCCTTCTTTTTGGATATTAGTCACAGTTTTTCATGATATATATTTAATTGTTTTGGTAGGAATCCATTTTAGTATGATCTTTGATGATAAGGAATAAATTCCATGTTAATAACTGAAACTCATAAATGATTATAAACCTGATTTCAAGCATTTGTCCAGAAAATGCTCAATCATTTATGATTTTCTCTCTCTCACCCTATGTATTCAGGGGGTCCTAACACCATCCTCCTAATTCAAAAGATTTCTGAAATCCACCCCCACTCTTTTTTATCCCGACTGCCTCAGCCTTCATTCAGACTCCCATCCCTGGATCAATTCATCTCTGTTTCCAGGTTAAGTCCTCCAGTCCTTCCCACACCATTGCTTGAGTGATCTTTTTAAGAACATCAGATTCATCATGTCATTGCCCTGTGATGGCTTCTCATGGTCTTTGGTCATGGTCAATACATCCATTACCCCAGTAGGGAGATCCTTTCTCTACACCCTCCCAGGCAACCGAGAGTCTGTTTGTGCACACGCTCCCCTCTCTTCACCTGAGATTTGGCCTGTGTACCCATAGGCCAGCCTGATCATCCTTTTCTTTGCTGACTTAGCTCACTTGCCACCCAGGAAGTTCTCTGAATAGTTTTAAGTTGCATACCCCACTATGCTTCCAGTAGAGGACAGTCATACCGCCGGCATTGCTTTATCCTGCTTTGTTAAACTTGCTTCTCATTTTGCAGCACGAATCATGCCATTGATAAGGAAGAATAATGGTACTGATAATGAAAGTTGTGGTTGCTTCAATTGTGTTTAAAACTTTGTTTACTCTATATAACAAAATAGCATTTTCCCACATCATTAAATATTCTTCTAAAACATGATTTTAAAGGGCTTCTTTGTACTTCAACATATGGATAAACCATGTAGTATTTAACCAGTTCCATTTTATGGTCCTTTAGTTGTTTCAAAGTTTTTGCTTTCATAAAGAAGACTGGAGTGATCATTCTTGGACATATATCTTAGTGTGCATCGCCTTTTTTTTGGTAAATAAATTCTTAGAAATAGAGTGTACCAATTTGTAATCTCACCTATAATATATATGTATATCCATTTCACTATTTCCTTGAACTTCATTTTTAAACCTTTGTCAAATTTATCACACATAAAATTGTGTGATACTGGATTTCTATCAATTTCTATTGGATTTACCCTCTTTTATTTGTGCTTTCTACAGATTAAGCTAATTAACACTTTGCCATAAATGTGACTTTATTTTCCATTTTGTCACCCCCTTTTTTTTTGTTTGTTTTATTGAGATGGAGTCTTGCTCTGTCACCCAGGCTGCAGTGCAGTGGTACAATCTCGGCTCGCTGCAGCCTCCGCCTCTCAAGTAGCTGGGACTTCAGGCGCGTGCCACCACGCCTGGCTAGTTTTTGTTTTTAGTAGAGATGGGGTTTCACCATGTTGGCCAGGCTGGTCTCGAACTCCTGACCTCAGGTGATCACCCGCCTCAGCATCTCAAAGTGTTGGGATTACAGGCGTGAGCCACTGTGCCCAGCCTGTCATCCCCTTTTAAACTAGTTTGTGGTGGATTTTTTATTTAAACATCAAAAATACTGTTAATCTTTTTGTTTAGGTAAATATTAACCAGTATTTTCTTCTAGTTCTTTTGTTTTTTTGTTTGTTTGTTTTTGTTTTTTTTGAGATGGAGTTTCACTCTTGTTGCCCAGGCTGGAATGCAATGGCACAATCTCGGCTCACTGCAACCTCCGCCTCCCAGGTTCAAGCGATTTTCCTGCCTCAGCCTCCCGAGTAGCTGGGATTAGCCACCACGCCCGGCTAACTTTTTTTTTTGTATTTTAGGAGAAACGGGGTTTCTCTGTGTTGGTCAGGCTGGTCTCGAACTTCTGACCTCAGGTGATCCGCCCGCCTCAGCCTCCCAAAGTTCTGGGATTACAGGCGTGAGCACCGTGCCCAGCCTTTCTTCTAGTTCTTTAGTGGTTTTACTTGTTTTAAGTATTTAATCTGTCTCAAATTTATTTTGGTATATGATGTGAGGAGGAGATTTCACAATGTTTTTGCCATTGGTTAACCAGTTTTCCCCATCCCTTTTATTACTAAACCTTTCTTTGGTCACTGACTTGCAAGGACACTTTTTAATATATTTAATTTTAATTCTAATTTTTATGTATTTGTTTTTTTGAGACAGAGTCTTGCTCTGTCACCCAGGCTGGAGTGCAGTGGTGCAATCTCAACTCACTGCAGTCTCCACTTCCCGGGTTTAAGCAGTTCTCCTGCATCAGCCTCCCCAGTGCCTGTAATCCCCAGGTGGGATTACAGGCATGCACCACCACACCCAGCTAATTTTTGTATTGTTAGTAGAGACAGGGTTTCTCCATGTTGGCCAGGCTAGTCTCGAACTCCCAACCTCAGGTGATCTGCCTTACTCGGCCTCCCAAAGTGCTGGGATTACAGGTATGAGCCACCATGCCCAGCCACTTTTTAATATATTTAAGGCAGCATTTAACCTAATAAAAATAGTAGCCATGCTTCAAGTATTGCTCCAAGCAAGCTTCACAAGCAATATCTCATTTGAGCCTTGAATCAGTCCTGAGGGTAGACACTGTTATTCTCTTCAGTTTAGGAATGATGTGATACTGAGGCTTAGGTTTAGTAATTTGCCTAAGGACACACAGCTAGCAAGCAGCTGAGTCTGAATTTGCACCAGGATGTCTGCTTTCCTTGTTGTTGTTGTTGTTGTTTTTGAGGCATAGTCTCACTCTGTCGCCTAGGCTGGAGTGCAGTGGCACAATCTTGGCTCACTGCAACCTCTGTCTCCCAGGTTCAAGTGATTCTCCTGCCTCAGCCTCCCAAATAGCTGGGACTGCAGGCACCCGCCACCACACCTGGCTAATTTTTGTATTTTTAGTAGAGACAGGGTTTCACCATGTTGGCCAGGCTGATCTCAAACTCCTGACCTCAAGTGATCTGCCGGCCTCAGCCTCCCAAAGTGCTGGGATTAGAGGCATGAGCCACCATGCCTGGCCTCAGGATGTCTGCTTTCTTGAACACTGCTACAGTATACTTCCTTGTTTTCTTATGTTTATTCTTGAAATTTGACTTCAGAATCATTTTGTCAAGTTCCCACGACATAAACCCAACTAATAAACAACAACAAAAAATCCTATTGGTGGTTTTTTTAAAGTAATATTAAATGTATAAATGAATACAGATTAAGTTGAATTAACCTCTTTGCTGTATTAAATATTCTGATTCTTGATCACGCTGCATCTCTCTTTATTCCCATTTTCTTCTCAGTCTTTCTATGCACTTTGCTATTTTTACAGTACAAGTCTTTTGTAGTTCTTGTTTATTTTTGGATAGTCTCTATTTTTTGCTGCCAGTGTGCCGCAGATCTTCTTGCTGTGATGTTTTCTCAATACGAGTTTGTTGGTGGATAGGTGGGTGGATGAAGGAACAGCCCTGGTTTCCTATCACTCTCCCTGCTCCCACCCACTAGAACGGAAGGCCTGACTGGTTGGTGCTTGTGCCTCCAACCACTTAGCACAATGTTGGAGACGTAAAAGTTCATGATATAAATATTTGTGGAATTAAAGACTCTTTACCAGTTATTAAATAGTATTTATTATACCTTGGGTTTTGGCTCTCCTGGACTAGTACAGGGAGGGCTGGAATCTGCACCCACTCCTCATGCTGAGTGTGCCAGCCACTTGCTGTCTCTGGGCCTTAATGTCTGCATTTGTAAACTGTAGGACTGTTTAGTTCTTTCATGGGTGTGTGAAACTTTTAATTGAGTGATTTCGAGGATGCAAATGAAGAAAGGTTAAATATCACTGTTCATCAACCCAAAATGTTTACTGCTCTGGGGAAGAAATAGGGTAAAGAAGTGTTGTGGGTGATGCAAGAATATGGAGTGTGTGCAGTTTTACGTGGGAGACAAGCAGTGGGAGAACAGTCTCCTTGCTGCCCTGTGCCTGTCATCAATGAGATTCCTCATTGAGTGTGCTTCTGTCACCTGCTTTACCTGTATAGAGAGACCTTTGAGACACAATTCAAATAAAAAGCAGTCTCTTTGTCCTGAGCATTTATTATAAAAATCATCAGTGCACAGGATTTTTTTCTTGTGCTTTGTTTTCCCCCTGCCTTATCTCTGGATTTTCACTGGAGCCATTCTCTTCTTACAGGGACATTCATACCACCACCGGGAAGATCAAGAGAGCTGTTCTGCAGTTCACTCCTGCTAGCTGGACCTATGTTCGATGGTTTGACCCCAAATCTTCTTTTCAGAGAGTAGCTGGAGTGTACCTTTTCATGATCATCTGGCAGGTATTTTTTCAGATGCCCAGAAGTTGGGAGGAAAACAAAAACTAAAATAAAAACTTTTTAGGAATTTAGAGTTAACATTAGTTTACATTGCTTTTCAGCTCCATACTTTACAAGATATAATATTCTGCAGCTGGCATGTAGAATAATTAAGCAAAGTGATGTTGTTATGCCTAAGGTCTTGCCTCATTTTGAAGACAGTTTTAAAATATGGATCTTTGAATTACAAATTAGAAACAGATTAGATTCCGTGAAATAATTTGTGTCTAGCATCCATCATCCAATGAGTTAGGCATTGGATTGCTTTTTAGAATGATCATTTTCAAGACCAAAGGAACAAATGAGAAGGCTTTTCTTACATTCCTAATTCAGTGTTTATTGGTTAAAATTGTTCCTCAGCTGTTACCACTTTGGTTAATCTGTAGGGTGCTAAATGAGTGCTGGGGAATTGGAGCCTTTTGCTGAGTCCTCCAGAGTGTTGTCCTCCGTGGAGAGAAGCTGTATTTCCAAGTGGCCCACTTCACGACGGAAGTGATTCTGACAGCCCAGGGTCTTGGCAAAAGATTATCAAGCATCTGTGTTTCTGAGAGACAGCAATTTTTTCTGATGCTCCTGGCCCCAGGTTGTTTCACAACTTTTGGAAAGTAGCCAAGGGAAACCAGCTTTTGCCTGAAGAGGATCTTTCAGAGTCATCAGAAATTATGTTTTGGACACATAAACACAAAATACTCCCAACATAAGGAAAAAATTAGCAGATGTCACTTTTAGGACAGATGATCTTCCTTGTTCACACAGAGACAATGCCCATCGCAATAAATGAAGTTTATGCATACAGAAGTGTACGTGAATAGTTAAGTAAGTAATCACTGTGGTTTGGAGAGGTCAGTATCTTTAAAAACAGGACTGTAGATGGATTGGGATTAAGCTTTGCCTTATCAGGCCCAATGTCACGGAAAGCAGAAGCTTTCTTTTATTACAAGGAGGAATGATTGGATGTGTCAAGGAGAGTAGTATAGTGCCGTTAGGATGGAACCACCTGGTGGTATGCGATGGAGCACACTGTTCCCATGAGTGTGAGCACTGCGCTGGGATCAGCTTTCCATATGTGATATTAATTAGACTATTTTTTATTTTGTGTCCTTGAAGTCAGTGCTATGGGAAAACAACATGCATTTTGTGGAATTGTAATGAACCTGCCAGTCTATGTACTGTGTTCTCCTAGCACAGTGACCGTTCCATAATCTCCACCCCTTGTTTGCTACCTGGAGCTGGGCTCTAGGCAGAGAGCAGCCACGTCCCAGCCACAAGATATTTTGTGCTACTCATCATGATGAACTGCATGAGGATGCTAACCTCAGGGAAAAGTACTACTGCTCCCAGCTGAAACTTGGACCAACCCTTCATACCTACTTTTAAGGACTGCCTTTGGTAGAGGATCTGCTCTGTCCCAGGCGTGTGCTGCACGAGTCCATCGTCATCTCTCAGATGTGTCTCCAGCTTCTTTTTTTGCTTTTTTTTTGAGATGGAGTTTTACTCTTGTCACCCAAGTTGGAGTGCAATGGCGTGATCTCGGCCCACTGCAACCTGCAACCTCTGCCTTCCAGGTTCAAGCAATTCTCCTGTCTCAGCCTCCTGAGTAGCTGGGATTACAGGCGCCCACCACCATGCCTGTTTGTATTTTTAGTAGAGATGAGATTTCACCATGTTGGCCAGGCTGGTCTCAAACAACTTACCTCAGGCGATCTGCCCGCCTCGGGCTTCCAAAGTGCTGGGGTTACAGGCATGAGCCACCGTGCATGGCCTCAAGCCTCTTTTGATTGTTAAAGAGCTTACTTATCTACATTTGGAATTCTGTTAGACCTGGCCTGATTTCTGTAAGGCAGCATAGGTGTTCTGTGGCACAGGTTTGCTTTCATGACTTCTGTATGCTCAAAGCATTTCTCTCCCGACTATCCCAGTGGATCACATGTGTGAGCTGAGTAACAATCATACAAACCAGGAAACATGACAAATAGCTGATAATCCTGTTCCCCTATGTGCCCATCCACCACCCCTGCCACCTCTCCCTGGGCCTCCAGTTGCTCCCTGCCCATAATGTACTGGCTGTTAACTAGTTTGAATAGCAATCCTTGGAAGACCACATCTATTCTCTGAAAATGCTTTGAACATACCAATTATTTCTAATTGTAGAATGTCTATTTAAGGAATAGAGGATTTTGAATTAGCATGAGGTACCAGGTTGACTAATTTCTCCGTCTTTTTCAGCTGACTGAGTTGAATACCTTCTTCTTGAAGCATATCTTTGTGTTCCAAGCCAGTCATCCATTAAGTTGGGGTAGAATTCTCTTTATTGGTGGCATCACAGCTCCCACAGTGAGGTAATTCTGCACAAGCCTGACTGTCATATGAGAACATTAACTTGCTTTAGATTGTCCTGTTTAGCATAAGGAAAGTCATATAAACTAGCAGATTTTCCATGAAAATACCATCGTAAAGAATTGTACATCCAGAATATGACGAAAATGTTTTGTTCTCAGATGTCAGTAACATTAACCAGACATTTAAAAAGAGAAGCACTTGATGAACACCACACCAATAGTACTATCCATTATTATCAGATTCCTTTACAGTCTTGGACTGCCGATCTTTTTTTCTCCTATAACATCATATTAGAAAAAAATAACAGCATAGTGATGCTGAGTTTTTTAAAAATGAGATTACTGGAAAAATGCAAATGTTTTTATGGTAGAACTGAAGTCATAAATGACATTATTTTTTGAATGAGACTTTTAGCTTTTTCAGACCCAATTAATTTAATTTCCTTTTAAAAAGGCCCTTCCTGTAGTCCTCCAGGACAACTGAGATAAGCTTGGGTGTTCCCGCCATTATTCCCCTGGATTAATGTGGGGCCCTAGAGGTGAGGCTTATTCAGACACCATCCCTCAAGTAGACTGGGCCCAGTGCAGTTCAAAGCAAGCATTTTCATTTGTTTCATTTTTCCTATTTAGAAATGGCATTTGAGTTTTATAACTAATACGGAATACTGGCATTAATGAGTAGCAACACCAAAGATCTGCCAAAGGTACAAATATAATTTAAGCAGTTAAAAGAGTTAGCTTTTCAGAAGCTGTAAGATTGTTTATTTCATTATTTTTAATGTGCTTGCAAACCCCATAAGCAGCGGGCCTCACTTGCCAAGGACAGTAGATCTATACCTTGGTCAAACAGACCTTCCAGCCAGCACCTCTTCTTGTCATCATTCAATATTACCAAAAAAAAAAAAAAAAAAAAAAAAAAAAAACCTCCAGATCCTGGATTCAACAAATCAAGTAAGACATGTCCAAGTCCTGAGGAGTTAAGCCTAACATTCCCATCTGTTCTTTTTGTTATGACCAAAATGGAAAAGAAGAGTAAGCCAGCAGCCCTTTGAAACTTCGTAGATTAGTGGTCTATTGCAGTCATTATCTCATAAATCCTGTTTTTTCTTAATGGTTTAGAGTCCCCATTTAAAATGTAATTTAATTTGAGACTTTACAATTTTTTTCAGGAAAGATTTACCGCAGCTCTTTCATAAAATTAAGAGCAATCAATAAAGTCAGTAAGAATGGAAAGAATTTTCTTCTTAGAACAAAATAGCAAATCGTATATGATTTATCATGAAATTTCAGTACTAAACATTCCAAAATAAAAACTAGACACTAAAAATCCAACGTTTTGAACTTTTGAGAGATCCTCAAAATTTTACAATGCCCTATGGATTTCTCCACAACTCTCTTTGTTTAAAAAATCAGACACTTCCTGTGCCCTTACACTGTTTGAGGCAGTTCCCATGTAAGGAGTTTCTTTGACAAGTTACTCGGAAAGATGGATGTGCTGCTAATGGATTTTAACACAGCCACCCCATTTAGCAAATGTTAGGTCCCGAGAGGAGAGAGAGTTTAGAGGCTTCAGTGTAAATCCTAACATCTCCAGCTTCTTCCTTTTTTATTAGACTTTCACACGAATCTGCTTTGAGAAGATATTTGAGTGAACATGCTTTTAATCTGATACTATAAAGTACAATATAAGGAAATGGGTCCAGTTAGAGTGTAAAGTAGCTAAAATGATCAAGACGTGTTAGGTCATGACAATATGAAGTTAGAGGAAAAGCTACATTCTTTATAATTAGAATTCTTCACTCTGGTCTTTGGGGTGAGACGACAGTAGTTTATGGATGAGCTTCAGGTATTCGTGAATCCTCTGAACTTTAATGCAAAGTGTTATGCCTTTCTTTCATCAAATCCTCAAAGAGTCAGTGACCCCAAAAAGATGATGAGTTCCTGGTTCAGGTGCTACTGCTGAAGGGGTAGATTGAGTTTCAGGGGTACTTACAAGACTCCAAGCCATGCTGTCCCACACAGAGGCCACTCACCACGTGTGGCTATTGAGCACTAGGGATGTGGTCACTCCACAATGAAATGTGCCGTGCATGGAAACTGCACACCAGACTTTGAAGAGTTGGGGCCAAAACAGAATATAAAATACCTCATTATAATGTTTTAATATATTTGTTTAAATATTAGTTTAACATATTAATAAAATGGATTTTGTATGTTCCTTTTTACTTTTTTAACATGTCTACTGGAGAATTTAAAATTGCATTTATGGCTTGCATTATATTTCTACCGGATGGTGCTGTTCTGAGCCTTTCAACACCATGTCATTGCCTGTTTTTTTTCTGAACTTGTCAGTAACATTCCAAGTCATTGGCATTCAATGGCAGTGAGATATAGCTGGGGTCCCATTCCAGTTTCTGAAAGCCAAAAATCTGTATATTTTTTGCCTGGTTACAATCAGCAACCTTTGTCCTGGAGAGAACCAGAGGAGACAACCAATGGACAGTACTGCTCACTCTCTGGAGTCACCTCCATGGAGCTAGACATGGAAACACCCACCTGGGGTTCCTTTGCAGCGCTGTGGAAGTCTTACCACTGAATCCAGACTGACTTTGTCAATAATCTGGCTCTTTTTAGTGGTTTTTTTTTTTTTTTTTTTTTTTTTTTTTTAGGCTAGTCAAGTGAAGCAGTGGGAGTGGAAAAGGAACAAAGAAATCTGTAAATGGTTGCGATCAGTTAGTTGTAAACACCCCGGCACTCAGACCAGACAAGAATCTGGCTCTTTAAATGATGCTCCCCTGCCTCCAGCCTAACCCAAACGCTGAATCTCTTACAGGAATGTTTTAACAGGCACTGGCTTTCTCTTCTCTTGAACAGAACTAGACCAGGCAGCCTGACATGGGACAAGGAGGGACGTTTTTTACTTTGTCAAAGTGATTTAATTATGTGCTGACTTGCTGGTCTTCCAGCAGCTCTCAATGAATTCCAACTTTGTTCTTTCAGACAGTACTACGCTTACCTCACCGACACACAGTGCAAGCGCGTAGGAACACAATGCTGGGTGTTTGGGTGAGTAATCTGTTATTGTGGAGATTTAAAAACCACTTAAGCCCTAATTTTATTTGGGTATTTCTTGACCCTGTGTTAAGAGCCTTTCAGTATAATTTTTCTATGAAGACAGGTGGACTAGATTTTATATATCTATATCTATATCTATATATACATAGATATATCTTTTCATCTTTAATATTCCCTTTTCTGATTTAAGTTAAGAATAGTTACTTGGCAAATTATAAAACAAGAGTATAGAAATGGCTCTCTTATTTTGGCCGGGTGCAGTGGCTCATGCCTGTAATCCTATCACTTTGGGAGCCCGAGGTGGGCGGATCACTTGAGCCCAGGAATTCGAGACTAACCTGGTCAACATGGCGAAACCCTGTCTCTACTAAAAGTACAAAAATTAGCTGGTTGAGGCTGAGGCAGGAGAATCGCTTGAACCCGGGAGGCTGAGGTTTCAGTGAGCCAAAGTCACGCCACTGCACTGCACTCCAGCCTGGGCGATAGAGTGAGACTCCATGTTAAAAAACAAACAGACAAAAAGAAATGGATCTCTCTCTTTTTTTTTTTTTTTGAGATGGAGTCTCACTCTGTCCCAGGCTGGAGGGCAGTGGCATGATCTCGGCTCACTGCAACCTCTGCCTTCTGGGCTCAAGTGATTCTCCTGCCTCAGCCTCCCAAGTAGCTGGGATTACAGGTGCGCACCACCACACCCTACTAAGTTTTGTATTTTCAGTAGAGACGGGGTTTCACCGTGTTGGTCAGGCTGGTTTCTAACTCTGACCTCATGATCTGACCCCCTTGGCCTCCCAAAGTGCTGGGATTACAGGCATGAGCCACCGCACCCGGCCTTGGCTCTCTTTTTTTTTTTTTAAATAAATTAGGAAATCAGATGGTATTTCCCACAAACAACTCTGAGACTTTGTTTTATGAAATACATTAGAGAGAAAATGGATTGGTTGCATTCCTTCTGGATGTATCTTGAGTTTGGAATGCCATCCTGTCATGGGCTGACCCACACCCCATATTATTGTCACATCAAAAGGGCCCCTTGGAACAGCTGCTTGCTATATACTGAAGTATAATTTTATTGTTCCAAAGAGTACTAACATACAGCAGCATGGTCACAATGGTCTTGTTATGGATTCAAATGTTATATCTTTTTTTTTTTCTTTTTGAGACGGAGTGTTCTGTCGCCAGGCTGGAGTACAGTGGCGTGATCTCGGCTCACTGCAACCTCCGCCTCCCAGGTTCAAGCGATTCTCCTGCCTCAGTCCCCCAAGTAGCTGGGACTACAGGCGCGTGCCACCACACCCAGCTAATTTTTGTATTTTTAGTAGAGATGGGGTTTCACCATGTTGGCCAGGATGGTCTCGATTTCTTGAACCTCGTGATCCACCCACCTTCTGCCTCCCAAAGTGCTGGGATTACAGGCTTGAGCCACTGCGCCCGGCCTTAAATGTTATATTTTAATTTATTATTTAACTGATGAGAAAGAGACCTTAGGTTATCTAGTTTAACCTCTTGCTGTTAAATGTGAGACCCTCTTGAATATCTCAAGTAAGTTGTTTTTCTACTTAACATCAGCAACAATTTACCATCCCATTTAGTGACTGAAATTCCAGAGACATCCAGCAAATCTGTACATGAAGTTCAATCCCCAAGGTGGCTTAGCTTCAAGACCTAATCGAGGTTCTAAATGGAGTATGAGAGTATAAAGAAAAATTGAGGAAAACCCATTATAGAGAAGAAATTACTTTTCACAGATTTTTAAACAGGACATTCTTCCAATTAAAAAGTAATACATGCACAATGATAAAAATTCAGAAAAGGATCTAGAAGGAACTAAAGATCACCCAAAGAAGTCAACCATTTAGAGATAATCATTGTTAATATTTTAATGTCATTCCTTTCCATTTTTCTGTGTATGTGTGTGTGTGTTTCCAGCTGTCATCTAGATTCTGAAGGGTGACATAGTTTTAAAGGCTAAAAATGTTGATACTCAGGTTAGATTTAGGCAGGTTCCTCCCGACCCTTAGAAGACTAAGGGCCATTGTCATTTGTTTCTCTTAGGTTCTATGGTGTAAGCTGATTTTCTTACCCAAAGTGGTTTGTTGTAAAAGGTGATAAGATGGATTTGGTTTCCTTTGTTCATGATATAGCAGGAGGGAGAATTCACACATCTCCCAGATTTCTGACAGCGCAGAGGTGGCGCTCCCGCTTCATGTGTGAGGGCCCTGTGTACTGGAAGAAGGGATGTGGGCCCCTCCTTCTAAAGGATTGTCCAAGGAGGAAATGGTCTTTCCTTTTCCTGCATTTGAGCTCTTCTGTCCCACTCACACATTCTTTCCACGTGCATTTTGCTTTCATATTTAAAAGTCCTTAGCAAGGTCCTATTATTCTGCTGTGGAGTGGATTTTTTTTCCACAGAATTGTATCGATTTACGTGTTGAGGGAAATAAGTGGGTCAGAGAGAGAGGTCGCATCATGACAAAGTTTCTTTCTAATTGGACAGCCATGAAACACCATCCCCACGGTGGGAGAAACGGCAAAGGTAAACTCCACTATGGCGGCTCACGCCTGTAATCTCAGCAATCCAGGAGGCTGAGGTGGGAGGATCGCTTGACGCCCGGAGTTTGAGACTAGCCTGGGTAACATAGCGAGACGTTGTCTCCACAAAAAGTTTTTTAAGTTAACCAGGCATGATGGCACATGCCTGTAGTCTGCTACTGTGGAGGCTGAGGCAGGAGGATCACTTGAACCCAGGATGTCAAGGAGGTCAAGCCTGCATTGAGCTATGATTGTGCCTCTGCACTCCCACCCGGATGACAGAGCAAGACCCTGTCTCTCTCTTTTTTTTTTTTTTTAAAAAAAAAAGGAAAAAAGTAAACAATGCCAAAGAGTGGTAAACACTGCCCCAGAAAGTTGTGCCTTATTTGAAAGTGATTAAAATATACTGAAATGCAAAGGAGAGATCACTGGGCTTAGTGTGCTTTACTGAGAATTGAGAACTCCCGGAACAGTGTGATACCGAGATTGAAGACTCTTGTGAGAACCAGTGAGCTATGCTGAAAAATAATAAAGCCCTCCTCATAAATCACACCCAGTGGATCCTCCTGTGTGCGTGAACAGCCGTGAGAGCTGCCCCCTGCACAGTCCACTGCCAGCCAGGGAAGGTGAAACAGGAGCCACAGCCTCCTGCTCTCCTGACCCCGGAGGCCACCCACTTCCTTCCTCTGCCCCAGCTCTACCTCCCTGCCATTTTGTCATTATTTCCTCTCCTATCAAAACAGAAAACACTGAAGTGTGTGGTTTCCTTTAATCACTAATAGCTGCTTTATAGCTTTCTTTTCACTAATTTTGGAATGATCTCAGACTTTGGTAAGGTGGAGAAATGAGAGGGAGCAGTGCCTTAAATAGTGACTTTCTGAATGTTGCCTTTTGGGAGGTAGAAAGGGGAAGGCAAAGGTCAAATAGGATCACCCGCCTGGGGTTCTTTCCCAGCACTCCACCCTTTTTCTCCTGAAGAGGGTACTTTCTCTTCTATAAAGATGGTATCCTCAAAATGTTTTTATGAATTACTTGCTATTGTAGCTAAATACATGTCATCCCTAACGGTTGTGCCATAGACTGAGCTTTTAAACCTTTTATACGAAAGGTGTTGCACTCAGCAGAGAGAGGGCGCCATCCAGCAAGGGAATGGGATCCCTAACAGAGAGAAAGCAGCCGTGTGGAAAGGTCGGCTGTTTCTCTATTTAGATGTCACATGATGTTCCTTCAGCTCGGTGGGAGTTTTGGGGCCAGACTGATGTGAACAAATTCTCCAGGTGTGGGGTTTATGTCATCTTTGTCTTTTCCCCATTCCACCCTGATTAGAATTGAGCTTCTCTGCCTCAAAAAGAGAGTATTGGCCCAGTTTAAATAGAAGCAGTGTTTTATCGCCTGGTCCTGGGAGGAAGGTGGCCAAGCGTCGGCTGAACAGCAGTGCACAGTTGCTTTTCCTCTTCCTGGGAGTGCATGGGGTGGGCCCTCATGGGAGAGTGAGCCTACCCTGCCTGAGGGCCCAGGGCTGCATCCTGCCTCCCAGAGGCAGCCAGAGCTGCTCCTCACCCGACCAGTTTCCTCGCTGCCTGTGATCCCACCTCTGCTAATGTGTCCATCACAATAAGTTCCCACCTCTGCTGCTCTCCAAGGTCAGCTCCAAACCAGCCAGTCCTTTCCTCATCCTCTTCTTGGATCTTCTGCACATTATCTGCCTTCTTGAAACTGTCCTCTTTCCTCTGCAATATCTGTCCTGTATTTCCTCTCACTTTTCTGTTTTCAGTTCCCTTTGCTGGCTTCCCATTCTACCCCTCTCTCCTCCTTACAATTTCTCATAATTGTGGTTTTGTTCTTTTGTTCTTCCAGGCCCATAGTTCAGGCTTTCTTTCTTTTTAAATTTTATTTCTTTTGAGACAGGGTCTTGCTGTGTTGCCCAGGCTGGAGTTGAGTGGCAGTGATCACAGCTCACTGCAGCCTTGACCTCCCAGACTCAAGCAATCCTCCCACATCAGCCTCCTAAGTAGCTGGGACTATAGGCACACACCACAATGTCCAGCTAATTATATTTTAGTTTTTGTAGAGACAGGGTTTCACCATGTTGCCCAGGCTGGTCTTGAACTCCTGGACTCAAGCAGTCCTCCCACCTTGACCTCTCAAAGTGATGGGATTACAGGCATTGGCCACGGCACGCAGCCTAGACTGTCTGTCTTAAGGGTAGATGCAACTATGAGCATGAGCTTCCTTCTAGGGAGAGGGTGCAAACACAGGGGAACAGATGTTGGGAGGGGGGTCCCTTCCCAGCACAGGGGAGTCACCGCCGTCCTGCTGGTATAGCTTTATAGCCAGTTCCCCTTCTCCTCGTGACTGTGTCTGTTCATCCTCCCTTTATCTTGCCACACCCCACCCCCTGCACTCAAGTGCACCTCCACTGACATCTCAGAAGCTCTGACAGTAGTTACATTTGAGATGGAGTCTCACTCTGTCGCCCAGGCTGGAGTGCAGTGGTGCCATCTCGGCTCACTGCAAGCTCCGCCTCCCGGGTTCATGCCGTTCTCCTGCCTCAGCGTCCTGAGTAGCTGGGACTACAGGTGCCCGTCACCTCGCCTGGCTAATTTTTTGTATTTTTAGTAGAGACGGGGTTTCACCATGTTAGCCAGGATGGTCTCGATCTCCTGACCTCGTGATCCGCCCACCTCAGCCTCCCAAAGTGCTGGGATTACAGGCGTGAGCCACCACGCCTGGCCTACAAAGCTTTTTTTTAGCAGCCGATCCCCTTTCTTCAAATGGCATCTTGCCCCAAATCCTACTAAGTATCTAAACGAGTAAGCAGAACAGTTCTGAGTTTGCCATCCAAGACCCGCTTCTCCCCTTCCCTCCTTGTGCCGGGGATTCTTTGGAAGTTAGAAAGTTGACAGGAGCACAATAGGAATTGTATCTATTGTTTATGCCACACTTAGCTCTTGCTTCCTCCAAAAAGGTGTCTTTGCCCACCCTAATCAGAACTAGAAGCTCACTCCTGAACTTGGAGGACCCTTCCTGGCATCCTGTGTGATTGTGTGGTCATTGAGTTAACATGGATACACATCTCATTTCCACTATTGGAGGCTGGGCCCTGGCTGCCAGGAGAGGGGGTCTCCCACACTCTCAGCCATCCAGGGATTGCTTGTGCAGCCATGGAGCAGTGCGTGTGGGATGCAGCAGCCAGGTACCCGGCCTCCATGTCCATGGCATTCCTGTGGCATCCTCAGAATCCACGTGCAGGCTTGTTGGCAAGCCAAAATCTCTTCTTCTGCTTCTCAAGTTTGGCTCATACACCCAGCTCACACACACGAGCCTAGAGCTTTCATGCCCCAGATTCCTACAACAACCCTGCCACCATGCCTGTTCCACTCAACTCACCGAAGAGCTCCTGACTCTGGGCTCTACATTAACATCATCTTTTTTCCCACATTGTGGAACTGGCTCCACAAGTCGGGGGTGCTGGGAGTATGTGCACCAGTAACCAGCCCTAGGTCAGGAATCTCTAGTGCCTGCTCCCAGCAGAAGCACCTCAGGCTGCCCAAATGTTTATTTGCCTTTTAACCCTGCTAAACCAAGATACAGGATGGTGGATGGCATCAAAGGGAGTGGAGGCCCTGACTGAATTCCATTAAGCCACAATTTGTCCACCTAGCTTAGCCTGGGAAAGATCAGAGAGATTTAAATTGAACTGAGTAAAGGGACCTATTGCTGAGCTGTGCGGAGGAAACCCCAGCACCCCTGGGGGTGAGGAAGTAGGAGGAGGTATGTGTTCTCACACTGGCAGGCTTAATACAGGCTCCCGCTGTGCTGAAGCCTCCAGCCTCAGCCCTAAACTAGCCACTCTTTGAGTCTTGGTAGAAAAGTAATGTCAGCCTTCTGGAAGGGTGCTGTTGATTGGAACTCCCTCCAGTGGGCCAGAGGTAATGGTGGGGGCGATGGCTGGTGGTTAAAGGAGCCCATGTGATCGTTGGGTTCCTACCACTTCTCACCATCTCCACAGCCCTGACCCGGGTCCCCATGTCTGGATGAGTACAGTAGCCTCCCTGCTTCTGCTCTTGTCTTCTCACAGAGTTCTGTTCAGCCAGCAGAAGGTTCTCGAATGTTCATCACCATGCTGTTCACAATAGCAAAGACATGGAATCCACCTAGTGCCCATCAGTGGTGGACTGGATAAAGCAAATGTGGTACATAGACACCATGGAATAATACACAGCCATAAAAAAGAATGGGATCATGTCCTTTGTAGCAACATGGGTGCAGCTGGAGGCCATAATCCTAAGCAGGAAAAGAAAACCAAAAACCGCATATGCTCACTTAAAAGTGGGAGCTAAACATTGAGTACACATGGACATAAACATCAGAGTAATAGACACTGCTGACTACTAGGGAGGGAGGAAGCGGGGCATGGGTGGGAAAACTACTTGCTGGGTGCTACGCTCACTACCTGGGTCCAATATACCCATGTAGCATTCCTACACATGTACCCCCTGTATGTAAAATAAAAGCTGAAAAAAATTTTAAAAAAACATTAAGCAAACTGGCCAGGCGAAGTGGCTCACTCCTGTAATCCCAAGCACTTTGGGAGGCCAAGGTGGGCGGATCACGAGGTCAGGAGGTCAAGACCATCCTGGCCAACATGGTGAAACTCCATCTCTACTAAAAATACAAAAAATTAGCCAGGTGTGGTGGCACACGCCTGTAGTCCCAGCTACTCAGTAGGCTGAGGCAGGAGAATCACTTGAACCCAGGAGGTAGAGGTTGCAGTGAGCTGAGATTGCACCACTGCACTCTAGCCTGGGTGACAGAGTGAGACTCCGTCTAAATATATATATATATATGTATGTGTATATATATATGTGTCTATATATATGTGTGTATATATATATGTGTGTGTGTGTGTATATATATATGGAGAGAGAGAGAGACAGAGAGAGAGAAGACTGTATTAAACCCTCTGCTCTAGACCCTCTAGGATCCCCTCAGACTAAAAGCCAAGCCTACGGGTGGCCTTCCAGGTCCATGTTACCCTGACCTCAACTCAGCCCTTTCCCCTGATTCCTGGCCCTTCCTTGTGCCTTTCCCATGCCCAGGCCTCAGTCTGGGACTCTCCACACTTATGTAATCCCATAGCCGGCCCCCTCACCTCCTCCTAGCCACCTTCTCATGAGATGTGCCCACACACACGGACAATGGCTTAGCTAAGACTCCTCAGCACATTGGCACAAATCATATCCTTAAGTTGCTAACTCAAAAGCACGGTCTTCAGAAAAACTTCAGGTTGACCAGGTGCAGTGGCTCATACCTGTAATCCTAGCACTTTGGGAAGCTGAGGTGGGTGGATCACTTGAGCTCAGGAGTTCGAGACCAATCAGGGTAACACGGTAAAACCCCGTCTCTACAAAAAATACAAAAATTAGCTGGGCGTAGTGCCGTGAGCCTGTAGTCCCGGCTACTCGGGAGGCTGAGGTAGAAGAATTGCTTGAGCCTGGGAAGTGGAGGTTGCCATGAGCCAAGATTGTGCCACTGCATTCCAGCCTGGGCAATGGAGTCAGGGCCGGTCTCAAAAAATTAAAACAAAAAAACAGAAAAAACTTTAGGTCATTATGAAGCCAGTGATTGGGTTCTGGCCAGTATTTTCTTAAAATGAAACAGAATAGAAAAATATCAGAATAAAGATGCAAATTGTCTTATGAAGCTTTTGTTTCAGTGTGTGTGTGTGTGTGTGTGTGTGTGTGTGTGTGTGTGTGTACACGCATGCGTATACTGGATCACAGTGAAAATTGTGTTTCTTGCTATGGTTCTTAATGGGTCTTAGATCACAAAAGTTTGAGAAACACAGCTTTAGTCGGCCAATCAGCATGCTTTTAAAAGGGCCCTCAGGCTGGCTCATGCCTGTAATCCCAGCACTTTGGGAGGCTGAGGTGGGTGGATCATTTGAGATGAGGAGTTGGTGACCAGCCTGGCCAACATGGTGAAACCCCGCCTCTACTAAAAATACAAAAATTAGCTGGGTGTGGTGGCAGGCGCCTGTAGTCCCAGCTACTCGGGAGGTTGAGGCAGTAGAATTGCTTGAACCGGGAGGCGGAGGTTGCAGTGAGCCGCGATTGCACCACTGCACTCCAGCCTGGGTGACAGAGCTAGACTCTATTTAAAAAAAAAAAGATAGAGGGCCTCAAGTCTAGTTGAATATTCAGAAATCTTTCATAATAAACTCAGGGTGTTCTGTCCGGCTTATGGGTAGATAATCACACTTATGTCCTGGGCTCAACACTCCCATCATAGGAGTTATTCACGAAGTCCGAGCCAAAGATGAAATCATCCTTTTTATGTCTCCTCACTGCACAGGCTGGAATACCAAACATGTAACTGCCACCTAGCGTCTTAATCACAGTCTAGACTTTAGAAGTACAGTGAGAAAACCTTCTGGGTTCCTCCACTGAAATGATACTTTCTCACATGTGACATGCTTTGTGGAGCAGTGCTTTAAAGATTCAAGCCAACCACTCTTAAACCTTGTTTTGGTTCGGGCTAGGGGAAAAGACAGCCCCAGACTCTCTAAAGACAAATTGAGGAGAATTTCTGTTGATTTTTCTGCTTTGCTGAAGTGGTTCTAACTCCAGGCATTTAGACCTTCAGTTGTTTAGAGCCATCTACACTTTTGATGATGGCAGTGACCACTATGTCTGCCAGTAAGCAGGGGTACCAAGGGCCTTCTTGGCCCCTTCTTGCCTTTTTTTTTTTTTTTTTTTTTTTTTTGAGGCAGAGCCTCACTCTGTCGCCCAGGCTGGAGTGCAGTGGTGCCATCTTGGCTTACCACAACCTCCTCCACTTCTCAGGCTCAAGTGATTCTCCTGCCTCAGCCTCCCGAGTAGCTGGGACTACAGGTGTGTGCCACCACGCCTGGCTAATTTTTGTATTATTGGCAGAGATGGGGTTTTACCATCTTGGTCAGGCTGGTCTTGAACTCCTGAGTTCAAGTGATCCGCTCGCCTCAGCCTCCCAAAGTGCCGAGATCACAGACATGAGCCACCATGCCCTGCCCCTTCTTGCCTTTTTAGAAAACATCTGTGTGAGTACACCATTCATGGAGTGTACAGATCTCATCTTGAGCAAGGAATGCATAAAATGGACTTGTCTAAAATCAGTATTCATATGCTGCCTGGGATCTCATGGCCAACTATGTCAACCTCACCTCATCCATTCTTACCTCCAAGTCCTGAACCTTTAGAAAGGCCTGATTTTTATAGTCATAAATGAAGATACAGAACACAAGAGTGACTTTTTTTAATGTTTTAAAGGGGAAATAAGTGTGTGGCGTTTCTTAAAAAAAAACAAAAAATTTGTATTTAGCACAATCTTTTACAGATCAAGAGAAGGTAAAGGGTTTATATTTTCACCAAAAACGGGGGCTATTTCATCTGGAAATTCTTAGAAGGCTGGGAAGGAATGTGATTAATGCCTTCAAATTATTGAAAGACTCTCTTGGAAGGGTCAAACTCACCCTGTGTGGCAGCCACCTAGCCTCTTAATCACAGTCTAGACTTCAGAACTACAGTGAAAAAGCCTTCTAGGTTCCTCCACTGAAATGATGCTTTCTCACCTGCGACATGCTAGGGTAATGTTAGGACCCAGGGTAGGAGGTATAGGAGGCAGATACCAGCCTGTGACAAGGAAAAACTTCCTAACTGCTGAAGAGTTTGACCAGAAAAATAAGCCACCTTGCAAAGGTAGTAGTTTCCCTGTGCCTGAGAGGGTTCCAGCAGAGGCGGCGTGATCACCCACCCTTATGGCAGTGGAGGTGCTGAGTTAGGTGATGCCAGTGCCCCTAGCTATTAAAATTTATGAGTCACAATTTCGGTCTGGGAAGAAGGAAGAGGTGAAAAATACTTTATTATTTCCGAAGTAAATGCAGTTGGCTTGAACAGTGTTATTTTGTGGGGTACCTGCTACCAGTGTTTGAGGCAGAAATCGCATGATGAGTTGAACTTTTTCATTCAATCATGCATATTTTGGATAAAGTGTATGCTCTGGTAAGATGGATTAATACTTAACCTCTGTTCTCTGTCTAATTAGGGTCATTGGTTTCCTGGAGGCCATTGTTTGCATAAAATTTGGACAAGATCTCTTCTCTAAGACCCAAATACTCTATGTTGTGCTTTGGCTTCTTTGCGTGGTAAGTCACTGCATTTTACCCAAAGGCATTAGCTAAACTCTCATAGTATCACTTTAAACGGAGGGGGGCAAAGAAACCCTCTTGTGTATCAAAGTTCCTTAGAAATTCATAAAAAGATGTTCTACTTGTAATTGTCTGAGACTGGCCACCAGCCTAATTTCAAGAGTAAGACACAGCTACACAGTATCTGAAATAGGTCACCTCAGCAGATTCCAGTCAAACGCCTTCGACAGGTACACCCCACGTGCATTTCCTTGACTCACGAGAATTTGTCTGCATGTGCTATGCATTTAGGGACCACCATGAAAGGACAAGAAAGATCACAGTGCACTTTGCTTTCTCATCATCATGCCGCATACATCTTAACCTACATATCATTGCACATGGATTTATATATAAAAGGACATATGGTCATTCATAGGCAATAAAATATGTTTTGGAAGATAATTCGATCCTGCAATTTCTGCCCTCCAGGTCCACGTTATAACCCAAGCCTGGATATCACCTTCCGCTCTGAAGGGAAGAGCCTGTAGGGACACCAGCCTAAGCCTTGGTTCTTTTGCCCTGGGGCTCTTCCCTCACCTTTCAAATGAAGTAAGATAGTACCCACTTACACATTTTGTAACTGCCATTCTTCATTTAAATATTTGAAGTTATTATTTTGAAGAAAAGTTCTTATTTTATATTTAAGCTTAAGATTTTTCACTTAGTCTAGAAAATGTATTGGGCTTTTTAAATAATCATAGAAAATTTCAGACATGTGCAAATAGAGAGGATAGATGGCCCCTCATGAACCCATCATCGGTTATCAACTCAGGGCCAATTGTGTTTCCTCTTATGTTGTACTCACTGCCCCAACCCTAACTTATTTTGAAACAGATCCACCTTTAATATTTCAGGATGGATCACTAAAAGAAGCTCAGGATACTTTTTCGGTTTAATGCAACCACCCTACCATTATCATATCTAAAAAAGAATTAACAGTAATTCCTTAATATCATCAAATACCTAATCAGTGTTCAAATTACTAACCTTTTCTTAAAGGTTGTATTTGTTTAACAATATATTTGAATCCACATTCACCCATCGTGATTGGTTGGCATGCCTTTTAAGTCTCTGAATCCATAGGTTTTCCTCTATCGCTAACCCTCTTTCCCTCGTAATTTATCGGTTGAAGAAAGCAGCCCTTTTGTCCTATAGATTTTCCCACAGTCTGGATTTTACTGATTTTATCGTATCTTGTAATTTAACATATTTCTTTGTCCTCTGTATTTTCTGTAAGTCGGTAATTGGATCTAGAGGCT
Organism: Homo sapiens; assembly: GCF_000001405.40. Lineage (NCBI taxonomy): Eukaryota > Metazoa > Chordata > Mammalia > Primates > Hominidae > Homo > Homo sapiens. The sequence goes on from NC_000008.11 coordinate 96,321,650, forward strand.
TAATCACATTTGGGTCTAGTTTTTTTCTTTTCTTTTCTCTTTTTTGGCAAGACTAACCTTTGTATTTTTAACGTGTCTTTTATCGCCTTTAACGGGATCTATTTTTAGGGTTACTTGTTAGAAATCCTAACTGTACCAAGGCACAGTGAGCCTGTTCTGTCCTGTTTCATCTTGAACAATAAAAGGGAATAATGATCTCCTTTGTATTTAAACTACAGAATTAATGCCCAAGTATATTTTTTCATGTCAGTGAGACCAGATGTAAGGAATCGGTTAGGGAAATGTGTCAGACATGCCCAGAGATTTTCACTATGCTCTTCTCAGATATGTCTCTGGCCTGTGCACCTCAAGTCTGAATTGTAATAGGACCTGACTGCAGGGGGCAGAGGTGGGTGCCCTCTTCACCGGGTACCAGAGAACCACCCGCCCACAGGGAGGGTGAGACAGGCAGGACTCCCAGGACAAGACAGACAGCCCTCCTCACCACAGCAAATCACAGGCCTCCCAGCTGCCTCCCCACCACTGCCCCCTGGGCAGCAGTGACCAGAAAGGTCTTCTCAGGCCACCTACCCAGGCAGCCCTCTCTGGTCCCTGTCTTAGTCCATTTTCTGTTGCTATAACAGAATACCATGGGCTTGGTAATTTACAGAGAAATTAAATCACAGTACTTTATTTGGCTCACGGTTCTGACAGCTGGGAAGTCCAAGAGCGTGGTACCAGTATCTGGCAAGGGTCACCCCATGATGGAAGGGCAGAAGGGGGAAGTGAGCATGTAAGACAGCAGGAGGTGGGCCGGACTTACCCTTCTTATCAGGAACCCACTCCCACGATCACTAAATCACTAACACGCTCCTGTGATAACAATCCCACTCCTGCAATAATAGCATCAGTCCATTTATGGGGTGCACTCCTCATGACCTAATCATGTCTTAAAGGCCCCACCTCCCAATATCATTACATTGACAGCTAAGTATCAACATGAGTTTTGGCAGGGACATTCAAGCCATAGCATTCCACCCCTGACCCCCGCTTCTCACATACGAAATACATTCATTTCATGCCAGTAGTCCCAAAAGTCTTCACTTGGCCCAGCATCAACTCCAAAGTTCAGAGTCTCATCTAAATCAGATATGAGTGACAGTCAAGGCACAATTCGTCCTGAGGTGAATTAACCCCACTTGGACACCACCGCAGTTTCTGGCCTATACCTTCCAGAGTGGTAGCTCAAGCCACACCAAGGTCCACTTGAGCCACAGCCAAGAAGAACTATGCCAGCTGTGAGCCTGTGAAATCACACAGGTCGTCTACTTCCACAATACAATAATGGGACAGGCATAGGATAGACATTGCAAATCTGAAAGGGAGAAATGGGCAAGAAAAAAGGGATAAGCAGTCCCAAGTAAGTACAGAACCCAACAGGGAAACATTACATCTTAAAGCTGGAGAATAATCTCCTTTGACTTTATGTTCTGTGTCCTGGCCTGGGGCAGGAGTTGGGCCCCCAGGCCTGGCAGCTCCACCCCTGTGGCTGTGCCGGGTTCAGCCAGTGCTTCAGTTCTTCCAGGCGGGAGTTGCACACTGGCAACCCTACAGTTCTGTGGTGTTGGGGATGACCCTGCTGCCACTGCTCCTCTCTGGTGGCTCCAACCCCACATTTCTCCTTGGCATTGCCCTAGTATTGGCTCTCTGCAGTGGCACTGCCCCTGTGGCAGGTTTTTGCCTAGACTTCTAGGCAGTTCGCCGCATCCTTTGAAATCTAGGTGGAGGAAGCCATGGCCTCCACAGCTCTTGCGTTTTGCATACCTGCAGAATTAACACCACATGGACACCACCATGGGTTATAGCTTATCCCTCCCAGAGTGGTAGCCCAAGCCACACCAAGGCCCACTTGAGCCACAGCTAAGGCAGCCAAGGAGCACTCTGCTAGAATGTGGGAGTAGAGTCCCTAGGTAGCCCTGGTCAGTGAGCCCGTGGAGGGCTCCCCAGGCCTGTAACCGAAAACCATTCTGCCCTCTTAGAGCTCTGGGTCTGTGATGGGAGGGGCAGCCTTGAAGATCTCTGAAACGCTTTTGCTTTCAGGGATCTTCCTCACATTTTCTTGATGAATAGCACCTGGTTTCTTTCTTTCCATGGTAATCTCTTTAACAGCCACGTGGCCCCACCCTTAGTGTTTGGAATATGCTTTTTCACTGTTTACATGGCCAGGCTTTGAATTTTCCAGATTATTCCATTCTGCTTCCCTTTTAATTTTAAATTGTCTTTAAGTCATTTCCTTCCTCTGGAATCTCATTGTATGCAGTCAGAAGTAGCCACACAGTAGCCCGAATGCTTTGCTGCTTGGCTGTCTTCCACCAGATATCCTAGTTCATTGCCCTCAGGCTGCACACTCTAGAAAGCCTTCAGGCATGGACACAATTCAGCCAAGGTCTTTGCTACTGTGTGACAAGGATGCCCTTTACTCCACTTTCCAATCCTTGCTCCTCATTTCCATTTGAGACCTCATCAGAGTGGCCTTGACTGTTCATATTGCTACCAGCATTCTGGTCGGGAACGCTTAAGTAATCTCTAAGAAGACTGAGGCTTTCCCTCTTTTCTTCTGAGCCCTCACCAGGATCACCCGTAATGCTCCCTTTACAGCAATACAGGCTTTTTCTAGCCTGCTCCTCCAAATTCTTTCAGCCTCTACCCATTAGCCAGTTCAAAAGCTGCTTCCATATTTTCAAGTATTTGTTATAGTAACCACCCCACTTTTTGGTACCGATTTTCTGTCTTAGTCCATTTTCTGTTGCTATAACAGAATACTGCAGACTGGGTAATTTCAAAAGAAAATAAGTTTATTCTGCTCACAGTTTTGGAGGTTGGGAAGTCCAAAAGTATGGCAATGGCATCCAGTGAGGTCATCCCATGGTGGAAGGGCAGAAGGCAGAAACAAGTGCACCAGACAGAGAGGGAAGTGCCAAACTCATCCTTTTTATCAGGAACCCACTCCCAAGATAACAGCCTGAATCCATTCATGAGGGCTTTGCCCTCATGACCTATCACCTCTTAAAGGCCCCACCTCCTAATACTGTTAAGTTGGCAGTTAAGTTTCGAGGAGAGTTTTGGCAAGGACATTCAAACCATAGCAGTCACTCAGACTGTAGGGACCCCTCTAATTTCTCTTTAAGTTTTAGAGAGACTTTCTGTTACTTATTTGACACTTAGAATATATCTCCTTTTGTGGGTTAGCCTTTGTATCTATGTGATTGTAACTTATTGAGGACATGCACCATTTCTTATGCTCCCATTGACCTCTGCTTCACTTGGTACAGACCTCTTAGTCCGGGCTTCATTCACAGACAGTTGCTGAGTGCTCTTCCGTGCTGTGCCTGGGGCTCTAGCCACACAGATAGATGACGGTGATAAGATTTACTGGTGCCTACTATGTGCCAGAGACCATTCTAAGCACTGTCATGAATTCCACATTTGATCTTCACACTTTGAGGGAAGGTATTTTATTATCCCTCTTTTACAGATGAGGAAACAAAGGCACAAAGAAGTTCACTAACTTGCCCAAGGTCACATAGGTAGTTAAGTGGCAGAACCAGGACTCAAACCCAGACATTCTCTCTAGGGAACTGCTCTTCATCACTGCCCTCCAAGGATCTCTGAGTTCAGATGGCAATTAGACATGCAAACTAATTATGTTAATATGTGATAAATACTGTAAAAGATTGTGTGCATAAGGCTAAAGGATACTTAGAGCAACAGACATGCTGGGGGTTGGTGAAGGCTCCTTAGTGATATGTGAGCAGGATTTTTAAGGGTTGCAGTGAACCGCTGGCTTTCCCCCAGCCCCCCAGGCCCCAGCTAAAAACCTGGAGGCTGCTTCCTGTCCTCCATCACTCTTCGAATCAGCCAGTCACTAAGATCTGTTAATTTGACAATGCAGCTCAACTCCATCTCCTCTCCATTCCCACTGCCTCTGCGGCTGTCAGGACACCCATTTTCTTGCCATTCTGCCCTCCAAATCCATTCTCCATGCTGCTGTCAAAATGATCTTCCAAAATTCAGAACTCAATCTCTTTCCCCTGCTAAGAATCATTCTCTCTGGCTGGGGGCTTGAGAGGGCACAATAACACAATCTTTTTCCCCACCTGAGTTAAAAAATAAGTAAGAGATAAGCAAGATAGAGGAAAGTTATGGGGATCAGAGTAGCATCTTCATTAGTGAGAATTCACCTTTTTCAGGAAATGCCGGCTTCCTTAGTCACCATTCAAGGTGTGACTTCTCCCCAGGGAAGGAGTGAGGGGTGGAGGGAAGCAGTGAAGCTTCCTCCACACAAGAAGAAACTTCAAGAAGGAAGAAGGCTCCCCACCACGAAACCTCCCAGATGAATTATGAAATCTGCTTGTGTGTTCAGGACCTTCATAGTGGGAGCATTCCATCACATCTGCCCACGTGTACTCTATTCTCAGGCTGCACTTGTCTGCTGGTAGTTACCTAAACAAGTCATCCTTCCAGACTTCTTTTGCCCTTCCCACGCTGTTTTCTCTGCCTGATCTGAAAGACTTTCCCTGCCTTATCTACATGATGAAACTGATACCCCAAAACCAACTTAAACATATGACCCCCATGAAATATGCTCTGACCTCCAAGGCAAGTAGATAGCTCCCTCCTTGGGACCAGTAGTGCTTTGTACGTAACTCTCAGTTCTAACCCCAGTGCAGTGGAATTTGTTTTTTTTCTATCTGTCTCCTCCACACTGCACTCCTTGCTCAGAGAGAATAAGTTGAAGTCATCTTTTGGCCCCACTGTCTCAAGCACCGTGCCTGGTGCATAGGAAGCACTCGGCAGCTTCGTGGAGAATAAAGGAGTGAGTTCAAGAGACAAAAACTTGCGACATGCAGGTGGCTGGGGGGCAAACATACAAAGACAGGAAGCTGTGAGAGTGCCCAGTGGCTCAGGAAGGTGGTGACCTGTTTGAGGAGTGACAGTGAAGAGTTGGATGAAGAGTAGGACAGGGTCCCCTGCTTAGGAAGGGCTTTGTGCGGCTGTAGTTGCAGCCCCAGCAATTTTCAAGCGGGGAAACAATGTGGTCTGATCTGTGTCTCATGGGGAAACACCATGGAGGCTGGGAGAGTCTAGAGGGAAGATGGGTTGGGGGGAAGAAGTACAGTCAGAGGTGCTGCCAGGCCTAGTTGACAAGTAACTGAAGCTGAACCAAGGCAGAGGCATTGAAGATGCAGAGGAAGGGCTGGATCTGAGAGTTGTTTAAGGAATGTGCTCAACAGGATGCCATTCCTCTTGTGGTAGCTGGGAGGGGACTTGAGTGCCACTCCAAAGGTTCTAACTGGTGCCACTGGGTGGCCACCAGTGCTAGCGACAGATTGGAGGATATAGGAGAAGCCCATTGAAAGGAGGAGGTGAATTTGGTTCAGGGGATTTGGGTTTGAGGAACCTTTAGAATTTACAGGTGGAAGTGTCCTGTTTTATGGGAAATTCTAATCTGTCAATAACACTGGAAGGATTTGGTCGTTGGTGGAAATAAAATACTTGGGAGGAGCCCATGTGGAGGGTGCAGTTGGAGTCCTGGGATTAGGTTAAGAGCTCAGGGAACATGCCTCTGGGAGAGGAGCTGACTGAGGCTGGGATACCTTAATAAGAGGTCAGGCCGGGGACGATGAGCAGGATTTTGAAGACAGGCAGAATCTCTGATTAGACTTACAGGATGAGACATGAGAGAGGGACGTCGCCCGAAAAGAGGCCCTGAGACAGGATGATTAGGGGTCTCCACTGCCTCCCTTTAAAGAAGAACAGAAACAAGGTCCTGGCACTTTTTAAAATATTCCTGACCTTTATTATAAAGAGCAAGATTGATCGCAGACTCAGGAGTAGAGGCGAACATTATTCAATAAGAGAGCTTCAAGTTACACCATGCCTTCTGCCCCACTCAGAAAAGCAAAGCCCCTAATTACTCCCCTGGCCTGGTAAGAGAGCGCACACGGAGCTTGAGATTAATGCAGAAGCAAAGATCCCGGGTGCTGGTTAATAAGCTTTTCCAGGAGCGTGGTTGTCTGCTCGGCCGTCATTAATTTGAATGCTCATTACCATAATGTAGAAGCCAAGCTGGGGTCCTGCGCCCTCCTTGCCGCCAGCCCCGTGGTCCTGGACAGCCTGGCTCTCATCCCACGTAGTTTCTTCTCGCCCCCCCGCCCTTTCTTTAAACGAAGTGTGCAATTGCTATTTTAAATCTGAGCCTTGACATTTTCAGTGGGTACGTGCCTAGATTTCCACAGGTGTGATTGCAAACCTGTAAATTACCGGCTTCCGTTTGCTGGGACAAGTGTAAAATGGGCCTCTTTGTACGCAGGTGAAGTAGATTTGGCAATCACAACAGACCCTTTGTGTGACGATTGTGATGATAAGCACCTGTCGTTCTCCACTTGCCTGCTGTTTGCCGCTGGAGGGAGCGGCAGCTGCCACTGCCTGTCATATTGGGCCTGGGGCTGGGGAAGGGAAGAGCCCCGCGTGCCTGCCCTCTGGTGGTCAGAGTTTGCAATGACAGTCTAGTTGAGGGACCCGCCTCCCCACAGCCCTCTCGTTTGGGGAGGTGGAACCTAACCCCCCCAGTCCGCTGTGTGAAACCCAGAATGTTCTGTTTTGCTCTTTGTAAGGGGCCTAACGCATACACAGGCTTACACTCTGCAAATCATTTCTAGTCCTTCCCACTCTTTCCATGCCATGAAAATGGCACACTTAACGTTGGTATATCTAAGAAATCTGGGCAAGCATTAGAGTATGTTAAAGGTTGGAAGTCATTTTCACTTTGTAGTTTTAATGTATTCATTCGTGGCCTAATTTTTTGATGGATATGAGCTTTTTAATAAATCCCTAACCTGTAGGTATATGCCAGTTTGCACGTGGGTTTAGTAGGAAATGAACCAGTGGCGCTGCTTGTGCTTCTCACTCTCTCTCCACGCTGCCACTGTTCCTGCTTCCACGTAACTGGCACGGAAGAGGACAGCTAGCCAGAGTGTTGCTCTCCTTTCTTTTTTGGAACTAAGAAGGCACTGTGTATCCAGCAGCTGCCAGGAAATGTCGCTGATAAAGGAACTGGGCCAAAGCTCGACTGCAAGCTGCCATGATGAGAATTCACAGCCCCTGCCTTCCCGCCCTACCACCAGACTGTGGCTGTGCAGAGGAGAAGCTGCTGCTGTTCACTGTTCCCATGATGCTTTTCGTTCTCAGGGATGGATACATGGATGGAGAAATAAAGCTATATAGACATAAAGCCAATATTTGTATCAGTAGCCATCCCTTAAACCCAGATCCGGGGGTTTCAAGAGATCTGAGTTCCGGCTCCAATGTTCACCTCTCTGAGCTTTCATTCTTCTTCTGGAAAATGAGGGGCAATGAAATTAATGGTCTCTGAGGTGACCTTTTGGATCTAAAGTTATGATTCTTAGAACTAAAATTATTTCCTTGAGAAGGTCCCTCCATGCTCTCACAGCTGTCCCCACAGTTGGTGCAAGATGAGAGGGGTCCAGGAAAATGACAGGTGCCCAGGTGTCCACAGGAAATGCAGGGGGAGAGATGGAGGCTCAACAGCCAGGATGGCTTGATGTGAATGGGTTTCTAGAGTGAGGAATTTGGAAGGAGCTGGCAGTTGCCTTGTTTTGTTCTGGTTGCTTTGCTTGCAGTGGGGAAGGTGTGGCCGGGGAGATTCATGGCCCTGCTCTACCGCTCACCCTCCCTCCCTCCTGCCTTTGGTATGCAGTCCAGGCAGCTGGAGACTTTTCCTAAGCTTTGATTTTTTGACATGTTTTGAAACTTTGGATTCTTGTCTGTGCTTTTCTTTCCTTAAATTAGGGTATAATTTAGGGTGTGGGGGCAGGCCCAGTGAGTGGGGCAAGTGTGGAGTAGAGGTTGTCCCTGCCTCTGGGCACCCACAGGCCACACCCTCCTCATTCCACTCAGGGCCTTAAGAGCATCTTTATTTTCTCTTTGTTTTCCTATCCATATAACCAAGAAAAACAAAGCAATAAAAACTGGGGTCCACTCAAAAGCCTGGAAAAGCAAGGGCAGCCCTGTCCAGCTAAGCTCCCCACCCTCTACCCTGGGAGTGTTTGTCCGTGGGCCCTCAGGTGCCGCTGTGACCTCTTCCCCCTAGAAGCTGACACACTGAGTCCTCTTAGCGCTCTCCTGTGATGGGGAAGCCGGGAGAGAATGGACCCTGAAAATCAGAACTAGAACATAGAATCCTCTCTATCTTCTTCAACAGAACCCGCAAAGCTATCAAGAAAATGCATCCCACCATATTGCACATCTGAAAATTGTCTTTCTTGCTTTCTGATAGTAGAGTCACAGGTAGTAACTGTGGTCTCATCATAACCTTTGTTGTCAGAAGCTTTGGGTGTGCACCCTCCCCTTGAGGTCTGATCTCTGCCACGTCCAGCCGTTTTGTAACCGGCGTCCAGACGGCAGAAATGCATTGAACGGTCCTGCATTGATTCCCACTGAAACCCTGAAGTTCTGGGAAATTGAACTTTTTTGTGCAGCATCATTTGTTTTTCTCTTCCAGGCTTTCACCACTTTCCTCTGTCTGTACGGCATGATTTGGTATGCAGAACACTATGGTCACCGAGAAAAGGTATGGAAGGAGAGGCAGGCATGGCCATTGTTTAAAATAATCACCCCGGGCTCGGCAAATTCGCTCAGAGCACGTGCCTGTAAGGATATGGCGAGGTAAACACTGAGGTTGGGGCCTCCAGTCCTGCCACTGCAGAAACCGCATGTCACAACTCATTCCCTAGCCATTGCTGGCCCTGCTTGTGACGGCTCTGTTCAGTAGACCAATATTTTTGTCTAACTTTTGTTAGATAAAAAAAGTTATGTTTGTTTGGAGAAAAAAAGAAAAGTGATGGGAAAGCTGTGGACTGGCTTTTGGAAGCTGGGTTTTCTCCCCAGCTCTTGAACTGTGTGGAGGCCTCTTCCTGTGTTCCGGCCTGTGGCTCTTCTGGGCAAACGCTTGCCCTGACCTTCATTTAGTAGATATGAGGATACCATAGAAAATAGACATGAATGGCTTTAAGACACGATGGCCGTCTGGTAGACGGTAATATTTTTTTCGGTAAAAATAACACTTTCATCCTTTATTTACACCTTCAGTCTAAAGAACTTAAGGCATGTTGTGGAAGATTGATTCTGCATCACCTGTGAGAGGAAAGAACCTTGTTTTTATAGCAGAGAAATATAAGCACAGGGAGGTTCTGTCACTTGCCAGTGATGATCCCAGCCTGGGAGAGGCAGGGATGCAGCATGCTCGCCTTTTTGCCCTGCCACTTCTCCCAGGGAGTTCCTAAAATTCCTGCACTAAGCCTGTCTCTCTCCCTAGACCTACTCGGAGTGTGAAGATGGCACCTACAGTCCAGAGATCTCCTGGCATCACAGGAAAGGGACAAAAGGTATCTTGTTCTTGTTCGTTGTTTAAAATTTTACTGGGTCCTTGAGATGTGGAATTATTACCTATTCTTTGAGTGGAGATGATATAAGCCTTGAAGGGTCTCAGGCCTACCCATTGAATGTCTCCTGTCACTTATTAAGAAACATGCAATGGCTGGGCACGGTGGCTCACGCCTGTAATCCTAACACTTTGGGAGGCTGAGGTGGGCAGATCACTTGAGATCAGGAGTTCGAGACCAGCCTGGCCAACATGGTGACACCCCCGTCTCTACAAAAAATACAGAAATTAGCCAGGTGTGGTGGCGGGCGCCTGTAGTCCCAGCTACTCAGGACGCTGAGCCAGGAGAATCGCATGAACCTGGAAGGCGGAGGTTGCCATGAGCCAAGATCGTACCACTGCACTCCAGCCTGGGCAGCAGAGTAAGACTCTGTCTCAAAACCACGGCACTCCAGTCTCGGCAGCAGAGTAAGACTCTGTCTCAAAAAAAAAAAAAGAAAAGAAAAGAAAAAGAAACATGCAAAATGCTCACAGGATCTGAGTGAAAGACTTGGTTTGTAAGAAGAGGCTCCATGTAGCTCTGCCCTTCGTGAGGGCCCCACACCATTTCAAGCACCCTGATGGGAACGTTCTTCCTCTTGGCTTCCATCATGAGTGAACAGGAAGAACTGTATATCCGGCCAGGCACAGTGGCTCACGCCTGTAACCCCAGCGCTTTGGGATGCCATGGCAGGATCATTTGAGGCCAGGTATTTGAGACCAGCATGGGCAACAGAGCAAGACCCTGTCTCTACAAAAATCTTAAAAAATTAGCCAGATGTGGTGGCACATGCCTGTAGTTACAGCTAGTCAGGAGTCAGAGATAGGAGGGTCACTTGAGCCCAGGATCACTCCCATGTGGAAGACAGAACAAGTCCCTGCCTCTTAAAAAAAAAAAAAAAAAAAAAAAAAAAAAAGGTACTGTGTATCAGGAGGAAAAGCCTTTCAAAAGAGGGGGATCATTTTAATGGCATTTATTCAAGAGGCAGGGCAGTGTAAGAGATTTTGGTCGTGTAGTTAGGGAACCTCCACTGGCCTCTAAGGATCACTTTGGGAATATTTGGGGCCACCTGGTTATTTCAAAGAATTAGACTTGTAGAATAATGACATTGAGGTGATTTCATTGGACAGTAATTCCTCGTCAATCCTTATAAGCTACTTGGGAAGCTTGGCTGAAGAAAGAAAATTAGAAATACTAAAGACTGAATTTTAGCTCACAAAATTGCTCAGAGAAACGGTGGGCCAATGGAGAAGAAAGCGCCCTGTTGCAGTCATTCTCCTAAGTTCTTTTGGCATCAGGCTCATTAAAGATCTCCCAGGGGAGACACTAACATACACTCTGCTGAGCTGCTGGCCGCCCTTTTGGGGAAAGTTTCTCCTGAACCACGGAATTGATCAGTGAGCGGCCCGTTGTGAAATCTGATAGAGATGGACAGAGGGGCTCCCCAGCTATCTTATTTAGAACCATGCCCTTACAAACAACCTTGGCACTTACAGGTTCTCCACTGAAGAGAATTAAGCAGTAGTAGAGATGTATTTACTTGATGGAATAATAAAAAAAGAAAAATAACAAAAACAGAAGTCTTCTGAGTGGGGAAAGAATCTCTTAGTCTAAGTCAAATGCTCCTTACAGTGGAGACTGTAACTCTGGTAACTTTTTTTTTGTTGGCAGCCTCAGGTGGAGATTTCCTATGGGGCTGGATCAGAGCCCTGGGGCAGAGAACCCTTTGGCTTGGCCGCTAGGCCAGGCAGGGGCTGAACAAAGGCTCAGCTGGAGGGCAGAGGCTGCCCAGTGCCCTCCATCGTGGGCAGCAGGGGCCTGAATTGTAAAGATGTTCTCCAGATCAAATGTAGAGGGTGTGAAATAGCTCTGATTTTATAGTGTCAAGAGTCTTTCCTGATGTCGGGTTTAGAAGGTGGTGTGGAGCAGGTGAAGGGATGGAAACCCTTGGTTGCAGGGCAGGATGGGCACCGCGTGGTGTGTGTTTTAATTGCCCCTCGTTTGGGCTTCCGTTTCACTTGTGCTCTCACTTCTGGTCCTCACCATCATGACCATGTCCATCATACACAGGACAGATGTACACACGCTTCAGGAACCACCCAGACTTTGGGGCGCTATTGCGTTGAACCCCGCGCCACCGCGTGTGCTCCTTCAGTACTAGTTCTGTGTTTGAGAGCCTCGCCTTCATTTATGAATGAGGCCACTAGGGGGAGTGCACGTATCAGGGAAGAACCTGTTCCCCGGCAAGCCTAGGGCGGTCTGGAAAGGGACAGTCACCAATCTCCAGAGCCCAGGGTGACGGTGTGCTCTGATTCCTTTGGCCAGGTTCTGAAGACAGCCCACCCAAGCATGCAGGCAACAACGAAAGCCATTCTTCCAGGAGAAGGAATCGGCATTCCAAGTCAAAAGTCACCAATGGCGTTGGAAAGAAATGAAAAACCCTGGTTAATCAAAGATGTTCCAGAGTGCCTAGAACTGAGAGGGAAATGGAACTCATTTGGAACTCCCCGTGAGGAGGTCGAGGCGCACAGGGCAAGCAGGAAGAGGCGAGGGCACTTGGGGGTCATTATTTGAGATCGTAAGTCTTGTTTCCCACAGACCTGGCCGCGTCAGGCAGATCATCGCCTGGGGGGCCTTTGCCAACGTGGGGTCTCTTCTAACTTCAGCACTTGACATGCGGTCACCGGTGGCAGCGCGGTGTGTTGAAGGGAAACGGTAGCTATTCATTCACAGTTGCCAAGAGCAGCTCCGCGCCTGCTGGATCGTGGATGCAGCGTAAACATCTTCCTTCAGACGAGGCATTAACCCCATGGTTAATGGACTGGTCACCAGTTTTTATTTTATTTTTATGAATCTACCTTTCCATTGATTGATTTAAGTTCAGGCCACTTTTCTGTCTTTTATTTGGTTACTGTTGTTATTTGTTTTTAAGTTAGGATGCTTTTTAACAGCCTTTAGAAGCCGCTGCTGAAATTGATACTGGGGGAAGGGTTCCCCTTCCTTCTAGAGCAGAAAAGGGAGAGAGGTGTTGTATTCCTGTTTGGTAACCTCAGTCTCCTGTAAGACCTCCTACCACATGGCGAGTATACACCAATCAGGAGAGGGTAGCTGCCTGCATAGGAGCCTCGCTTCCGATTATTCCCTTCCCAATATTATTCATCCAGACTTAGCCACAGTGCACAAAAGCAAACCTGCTAGAGAGGCAGTGAACACCACAGCTTCTCCCCAGCTAGGTGCCTTTTACATCGGGTTTGTTCTCCTTCCATGGTGTGTTGCTGACATTGTCACTGAGTCCCATGTGAGGTGCTGGTGAGTATTACCTTTCATCTGTGCCATGCTCTAGAACCTTGACCTTGATAGTTCACCACCTCTGATGGATCCCTGTTTTAAATAAAAACGATTCACTTTAAAGCCTATCAAAGGTCTGTCTGTAAAATGCTCATTTTCTTGCATCTTACTGGTATCTTCTATTGATTGTAAGCAGTCTGTGTTTTTCAAGTGACTTTAGGATAATATATATGTGTTTTACATAGTGAGAAGAAAAAAGAAAAGATGTGTATTTTAAAGGGCTTACAGACATATATGTCCTACTTCTTAGACTACCCAAGTGACCAACAGGAATGAACAACATAGTCATTGTTTTTTCCTGTGGTAATGGTTTCCAAGTTGGACTTTTTTTTCCTCTAACAAGAGGCCAGTACCCAGTTGATTAGCTTACAGATATCAACTCACTGAAAGTAATCTTTTGTTCCCTCATTTCACACAGCACAAAGGTTCGTTCTGATGTTTCTTCTTCTTTAAGGAAATCTTTAGCCATAGAAGTGTCACTTTTTTTTTTTCTGCAAAAGAATTCCAAGATGAACGGGTTGAATGAATCATGCCAGCCAGGGTCACATCCTGTCCTCAGGGGGCCCAGTGCTCAATAGTAGATTCTGCGGGAGTGGAGAAGCGTCAGTGGCAGCTCCGCTCACTTGGTGAGTGAGGGATTTGGCTGTGATGAGCCTCAGCTCCGAGCTCTCAAATGTCCTCCAGCCAGCATCTGCCTGCTTCCCACAAAAGGATAGAAGAGAGGCAAAGTGCGTGTTTCATAAAACCTGCCTGCACTTTTATAACCCATCAAAGAGGCCATTTTTAAACACAGGTACAATTTAAACATGATCTTTCTTTGCAAATAAATATGTTTTGTTTCATCCTGTGTTCTGCTTTTCTAAGCATGACATACTTGTGCCCATTGGAGAAGACACCTGTCTCTTCTTTCTCACACCGGTGGTGCCTCACTGAGTGTTTCCGGGTTCATTTTCCGGGAGCACTGGGCCTGACACTTTCACACTCTTCTGACTTTCGCCTTGTTGCAACTGATGGAGCATGTGTGCTTCCTCTGAGGCCAGCCTACAGGAGGCAGCTGTTTCGCAGGTGGTGAATTCGACTTTACTGTGGCATTGTGAAGAGCAGGGTGCACAGGAGATGATTTTTTCTCCATGGCTTTGTAAGAAACAGCCAGGAAAGTTCTCAGATACTTTCCATGCCCTTTCTTTGAGTTGAAACTTTCTATTTCCCTTCAGTCAGAGCTCTTTACTATAGTAGTTACAAAACCAGTGCTTTCCATGGCTGGCCAGAACCACAGCTGCTATTCCTTTTAGAAGCCATACTGCTGGGTTTGGCCTACTTTTTTCACCGTTTCTATGGAAATAAACCTCACATTGATGGAAATAGAATGCGTGTTTCAGAATCATCATTCAATATCTGAAATGATTTGATTGTAAATTATCTCATGGTCCCTGTTTGCAAACCACCCTCTTAAGAGAGAACATTGTTTTGGACCTAAAGCTTGAAGAACGGTTTATGTATTTTTCTCCTTAAGTAGCATTGCATTGAGTGTTAGGTTCTTTTCCCTTTTTTTCATTCTTGGTCTTCCCAAAGCTTCTTCCCACATTTCGTTTGTGTCTGTTTCCACCATTCATAGAAACCTTGGAACCACTCTCACAGCAATGCTAGGATGTTTCATGGACCTGTTAAGCATTTTGATGATACAAGACATCCTATCAATGCCAGTCTTATTTTCGCTAGGACTCTGCTTCCACAGTAAGCTCCTAAGGTGCTCACCCAACCCAGGAGAAAACAAAATTCATTACCAAATACAACAGGTTCAGCCTTCTTGGTCTTCCCTCAGAAGCCACCGTGTAGCACCCTGGAATGATGCCTCTTTATGCCAAGGCCCACCCTTTGGAATTGGGAGGGTTTTGGGTAGAATCCTGCACTTACAGAGGCCCTTGGGGTCATTGAGAAGTGGAGGAGGTTGGACACAGAAGGGGAGGCTAAACACAAGGTGGGGAAGAAAAAATGTAACCATTGGCAGCCAGACTGAAGCTAGCCCTTTAAAATACGGGGTTGGGGGGTTAACATCCGCTCTTTGGAATGTGCTCAGTGACTGCTGCAGAGTTCCTGGGCCACCCTAATGTTTACCAGGTGGGCGTTGTTTATATGGTTCTTATTGTTATGACAACTAGAAATCCCACAGTAGACTAGACAGTGCTCCCTACCATTTCCCATTTATAGGATTGAAATCAAGATGTAAGGAGAGCTGGCCGGGCGCAGGGCTCACGCCTGTAATCCCAGCACTTTGGGAGGCTGAGGTGGGTGGATCGCCTGAGGTCAGGAGTTTGAGACCAGCCTGACCAATATGGTGAAACCCTGTCTCTGCTGAAAATACTTAAATTAGCCGGGCATGGTGGCAGGCACCTGTAGTCCCAGCTACTCGGGAGACAGAGACAGAAGAAATGCTTGAACCCAGGAGGTGGAGGTTCCAGTGAGCCGAGATCACGCCACCGCACTCTCTAACCTGGGCGACAGAGCGAGACTATCTCAAAAAAAAAAAAAAAAAAAAAAAAAAACTGTAAGGCGAGCTAAGACGTCTGTCTATCAGTGTTCCATTACATAATACACCTCTTTCCTTCACATGTGTGTGCACATTCTCAGGATTATATTAGAGATTTGATTCTTTGCAAGGGTCAGTATCAGTAATGGCTGAGACTGGTGGGCTGCAGTCATGTTGCTATGCCGTAAGAGGTTTTTACAACATTTCCCCTTATCACACTTTATTCTAACCTGATGATGGGCCTATCTCAGGTGAAGATTGCAATAGTTTCCTTAATTGAACTTTGGTATTTGATGCATTAAATAAATATGGCTTTTTAATTTTGCTATCTTCTGTGAATTTAAAGGAATTATTTCATTGATGTCTACCAAAGAAGATAAAAAAACAGTTGGATGTGAAATTTTTTTAGGTTGTGGGAATGCTACGTTGTAAAAATCTTCCTTTTCTTCCATGTTCACTAAAAAATGCCTTTAGTCCATTTCAGAAAGTTCATCTGTGACTTGGTCTACTCTGATATTCCCTTTCTTGCAGCTTGTTAGGTGGAATTTTGAAGTTGCTTGTCCTGCAAAGAGATATTTGTTGTCACAGTCTAACAGTGTTCAAGGGTTTGCAACATGTCCAAGTACCTCCAAGGCCTCACAGGGCTAAGCTGAATTTATCCCTCATGATACTCTGATACTCATAATACTCTGGTTGAAGCCTGGTCTCTACCTCCATATTCAGTACACCCAGCTGGGGAGGCGGGTGACAGCAAGCTTCCTGCCTGCATTTCTAGCAAAAGGGACTCCTAAGCCCCAGCATTGTTGTCCTCTTGGAGCAGAGAGAAGGGTGTTGGCAGATCCCTTCCCCTCTCGTAACCCCAGTGAGGACAGTAACATCATTCAGAACATAGAATTTACCCAAGGGTTTTGCTTTCACAGCTGATGCAACCAACCACCCAGCCTCTTTAAGTGATCTGGGCTCACGCTCGTACTTGTGCCTGGGAGTTAATTGCTGGTTTTTCTTTGTTACTGGAATGCTCAAGACATCACCCTGGCCAGGGTCTGCAAACTGTGGGCACCGACAGTGCCCTGCGGTGGCAGGAAGATTTGCTCAGAGCTGTGACCTCCTGCCCCTCGGAGCAGTCATCCCAGGGCGTCAGAGCCTGGTGTTCCATTGTAGGGTGTGGCCCCTTTCTGGATGCTGAGTAAAGGAGACTCTTGTGGTTTTACAAACCACAGGAAATGAAGTTTGTCTGCCTTTAAAAGAAAATTGGTTTTCTAACATTTGAGACTAAAAAAACCAAAATATTTCATTATCGTGTCTGAAGTATACACACAATAGCTTTCATTACAGAGTCAAATTGCAGGCAAGGTTTATGTAACAATCCATACTGGAAATCCGGGCTGTAAGCCTGACTGTTCCCACCCGCCCGACAAAGGGCTGTTTGGGCTCAATCTCATCTCTCCAACTGCATACGTCATGGACTGATTAGGTATTTTATGAGTGCAGCGTGGGAAAGGCTTAAGAAAGATCTTCAGCTTTCAAAATGTTAGGGATCCTCCACCTCTCTTAGAGTGGATGAAATCCAGACCAGGAGCAGGGGAATAAGAGTTCACTAGGGCCACTGCTAACATGACTTCCAGACAGTGGCATTCAGAGGATTGGAGCCTTCAAAACACCCCCGTGTGGGGCTCTCCGCACCCCTTCCCTCTCGTCCCTGAATCCTCCCAGCAGCCACAGTAACACAAGCTTGCACATAGAGCACACGGCCAGGAGGTGCCCGGGGGCCACCGGAGCAACACAGCCTGAGACTCTGTGCCAGGCTCCTCCCCTGGATTCTTGTGCACATGTCTTACTCCTATCAGCAGACCACAGCCCCATAGATCCTCACTGGCCTCAGAGCTGGCAAATGGATGGCAAGGAGCTGGTTCCCTGGTGACCGCCACACCTTTGCTCCTCCTCCTCCTCCTTGGAAGGAGACTCAGATCTCAGGTGCTTGCTTGATTAGAGATGGCCACACCTCCAAGCCACTCTTCAGGTGGCTCCAGGGGTGGTTGGCTGGTTGCGTGCTCTGTGGACAGAATAACTGGTGTTGGCCTTCGTTGTCTTTTGTGTCCTGTGAGTAGGCAGACTCCGGCCTTGACATCCCTGTGTTTCTGTGGCCTGAAATCAGTCGAGATGCCAGCTCTTGAACAGGGTCCCCATACTCCACGTGGATTCTTTTCCCAATGTTT